>NC_000016.10:16028918-17232702 GCF_000001405.40 Homo sapiens | reverse complement strand
CCATCACCACCACCTTATTATCTCTTTCACCACCATCCTGTTATCCCCATCACCACCACTGTCATCGCCTTCACAGTCATCACAGCTATCACCATCACCTCCACCACCATCACTGCCAACACCACCGCCATCTTCATCATCATCAATCAATCAATAATCAACATTACTGAGAACATACCATAAAGCCCTTTGCAAGTTTTATCTAATTTGAGATTCAGAACTTTTTGACATGGGCAATATATATATATATATGTATATATATATATATATATACACACACACACACACACACACACAGACACAGACACACAGACACAGTCATGCACTGTATGTTTCAGTGTTTCAGTCAACGGTGGACTGCATATACAATGGTGGTCCCATAAGAGTATAATATCTATTATAGATATAGATATTATAATCTTATTATAATAGATTATAATAATAATTATATATAATATATTACATATAATCAAATATGAAGGTGTATATATAATATATATTATATATTTTATATATAGTATATATTGTATAATATATTATATATAATCGATTATAATCTATTATCTATTATATATTATAATATATATAATTATCGATTATATATAATAATAGATTATTATAATAAGATTATAATATCTTACGGGACCACCATTGTATGTGCAGTCCATCGTTGACTATTCAGCCCTATTATAGGGGCTGAAAAATTCCTATGGACTAGTTACATTGTAGTCATAACATCATAGTTTATTTTTTTATAAATTGAGTGTGGCCTAAGTGTACAGTGTTTATAAAGTCTACAGTAATGTACAGTAATGTCCTACACCTTCATATTCACCCACGACTTACTGACTCACCCAGAGCAACTACCAGTTCTGCAAGCTCCATTCATGATAAGTATCTTATATAGGTGTACCATTTTTATCTTTTATACCATATTGTTACTGTACCTTTTCTATGTTTAGATATGCTTAGATGCACAAATACTTAAAATTGTGTTAAAGTTGCCTACAGTATTGAGTACAGTATGATGCTGTCCAGGTTTGTAGCCTAGGAGCATATAACCTAGGTATGTGCTAAGCCACCCCATGTAGGTTTGTGTAACTGCGCTCTGTGATAGTCTCACAGCAACAAAATCTCATAACAATCCACTCCTCGGAATGTATCCCATCGTTGTGATGCATGGCTGTACCCTCACTTAAAGGTAAGGAAATTGAGGCTTAGAGAAATGAAGGCATTTATGAAGGTCACACAGCTCAACTGATGTGGCTGCAAATTCCAAGCCAGCTACCTGACTCCAGAGCCAACACTGTTATCCACTGCACCCCACTGCCCCCCACTGCCTGTGGGGAGAAAGGCCCTGTAGGATGTGTGAAGTGCTTAGGACACTCTAGAACATGGTAAATGCTCAATAAATTGTTAGATACTGCAGCTTACTTCAGAAGAATGATAGTGATTATTGCCTAAACAAAGGATTTCTGTATTCAAATACATTAGGAAATGGTGGATTAAACAAATGCAAAGCAAGTTTTTATTTGGCTGCAGACCTTGTCAGAGCCTTTCAAGGGCAAATGCACATTGGAAATCTCCAAGAAGCAATGCGTGAACTGTTTCCTTCTGAACACATTCAAGACTAGAGTTCCTTGAGAGGCACAAGTCATGAGATAAATGATCAAGAGCATCAAAGTGGGATTCTGTTAGCTCAGGGTTTTTCAACTGTGGTCCTGTTGACACTTTGGGCTGGATCATTCTTTATTGTCAGGTGCTATCCTGTGCCCCTTGGATGCCTTTGGCCTCGACTTACTAGGTGCCGGTAGTACAGGGTCACCCAGTTGTGGCAATGAAAAATGTCTCCAGATATTGATAGATGTATCTAGGGGGCTATATCACTTCCAGTTGAGGGCCACTGAGTTAGCTTATTTAAAGCATAGAGAAGAGAATAGGCCTGAAATGCCTACATTGAAGGGACCGGAGGATGAAAGAAAAGGCTATCACGGAGCCAAGGGAAGTGATGAAAGGTGCTCAGATGACCTTGGAAGGGCAGGACCAGGGCTGCCAAAAGAGCAGGGTATTCCAAAAAGAGGAGGCGGCCTCCAGCTGTTGGAAGCTCTGGAAGAAAAACGGAGAATGGATGAAGACAAGCCTTTGGATTTTCTCATCAGCTTCCTTTGGAAAACAACTCCAGTTGACTGACAGACAGCAGGCAGATTTCAGGGTGCAGAGCAGGACCATCTACTGCTCACGGAAGGCTTAGAGTGGCCAATATCAGGAAATGCTGTTAAAATGGGGACATCGGAACTAGCCCAGGAAGGATGGAGGCCAGCATAGTGGACAGGCAGCAATGCAAGGGAGAAAGTGAATCAGTCAAGCTTCAGACGAGGAGGTGGACAGGGACAGGATCAAGAGCATGATCCTGTGATCATGGGAAGGACAGTTGGGCACATTCCTCTCGCAGCCCTGGTGGGTTTGGCTCTTTGTTTTAGTTCCCTACGGCCACCATAACAAATCGCTTCAACCAGCGTGGCTTAAAACAACATGAATTTATTCTCTCGTCCTGGAGAATGAGAGTTCTGGAGGTCAGAAGTCCACACTCAAGGCATGAGCAGGGTTGGTTGGTTCTAGAGGATCTGGAGAAGCATCCATGGCTCTCTCCTAGGTTCCAGTTGCTGCTGGCGTTCCTTGGTGTTTCTTGGCTTGTAGATGCACCAGTGCAGTCCCTGCCTCTATCAGCACGTGACCTTCCTGCATGTCTTCACATGGCCTTAGGAGAAGATGAGTCATTGGATTTCTAGCCCATTCTAACCCAGTATGAACTCATCTTAATTTAACTAATTATATCTGCAGAGACTGTATTTCTAAATAAGATCACATTCTGAGATTCTGAGTGGACATGATTTTGGAGGGATGCCGTTTAACCCAGTACACTCACATACAGCTTATTTTTTTACAAATGTGAATTTGTAACCATTTTAAAATTGGGATAATGCCCATAAGAATAAGTATTTCTGGAGTCTTCTGGAAAACCAGAAGACTGAGCAACTTGGAATGCATTCCCCATGGTAAAATGATTGGCGCTGAGAATGGATCACCTCTGTTAGGGTGAATGGGCTTGTTCTAATTTGCCTCTGCCCCCACCTGGCCTACTTCTCTCATTGACCTTACATGGGTAGCCCAGTGTGGCCTGGAATTTGAGATCCCAGCATAAGCCATAAGGCTGGGGCCTAGCCCAGCACTTGGAGTAGACTCCATACTCTCTAGTTTCCTCGTGGTCTGATAGAGATCAGAGGCATCACCTCCTCTCAGATGTTGTTTGTGATCTAGGTGTAACTACAGTCACATTCATCCGGTCCACATAAGCCCACAGCTGGGGTCACATGCACAAGGAGGATGGAGGCAAACCAGCCCTCACATGGACATGCGGGCCAGGACTGGCCCGGGCTACAGTTCAGGAGGCCTTTTGCACATTTTTTGCACGTCAGTTCTGGAATCTCACCTCAGAAGGGCATGGTGCCAGAGGCGAATGACACTAACTTGAGAAACCAAACAGATCTGTACAAAAAATACAAAAATTAGCCGGGCTTGGTGGCACTCATTGGTAATCCCAGCTACTTGGGAGGCTGAGGCAGGAGAATTGCTTGAGCCTGGGAGGTGGAGGCTGCAGTGAGCCGAGATTGTGCCACTGCACTCCAGCCTGGGCAAAAGAGTGAGACTGTGTCTCAAAAAATAAAAATAAAAGGAAATCAAACAGATCTGGATTTGAATCCCAGCTGTAACTCTAGCTGTGTGGCCTGAGACAAATGCCTTAATCTCTCTGAGTCACAGTTTTCTCATCCTTAGAATGAGGATACAATCTACTCTGCCCAAGGGTGTTTTGGGCCAGGTGTGTAAAATGCCAGGTATGAAGTGGGCCCTCAGTAAGTAGCAATCATGTAAAAATGATTGTTGTTCCTATTGTCAGATGAGTTCCAGCCACCAGACAGACAGTTGTCACACACAGGTCCGGAGGAGCAAAATGGATGGAGAGAAGGGGAGATGAAGCTGCCTCCAATCAGAAGCCTTCTCCAATCACAAGCCTCCACCGATCAGAAGCCTCCTCCAATCACAAGCCTCCTCCAATCACAAGCCTCGCTGATGAGGACATGGAGCTTCTAAGTCCCCTATTGGCTGCTTGAGACAGGACATATTCTCAACAGCAGTCACCTCCTCCCCTCAGCCCCCAACCCCATCACCGTTCTGTGCCCATTTTGTATGCACCACTCAGTGTTTAGGTGACACCTTATTAAACAAGGTTTGCCTGTGACCAGGCAAGTCACAATGAAGTCAGGAATTAAGATATAGCTTCCTGCATCACCTAATTGGATTACAAGGATCATATGAATGCTGTGTTGACTATGAAATGTGCAGGGGATTATTCAGTAATGACTTTCTTCTGTCGTCCTTCACTAATCCTGTCAATCGGGAATGCCTTTAGATTAGGAAAGAATCCCACTGGAAGGAGCTGTCTTTCTCATTTACAGTTGGGCTTCCCCAGGGGCTGGAGAAGCAGGGTCACTGTAGCTCACTTATTGGCCAGTGAAGACAGCCGCCATATCTAAGCAATGACTCTATTCCTCATCACTGGTCTGGGTTCCTGATCCAAACCTACAACAGTCAATGGACATTTCTACCTTGGGGTTCCACGAGCTAAGGGTCTGAAAAATAACCTACCATCCTTCTGCCTCCAAAATCTCCTGAACTTTTTTCCTAGGTGAATAACCCTGTTATTCCCCAAGTTGCCCAAACCAAAAATCCAAGAGTCTCTGTTATTTCTACTCCCTTAAATCCACAAAGTCGCTATCATTTCTAGGTCCTAAATACCTTGTATCTGTCTCCTCCTCCCCAGCCTCCTGCTCTGCCCTTTAGGCATGTATTGTCTCTGTCTGGTAGTATTACAGTCACTTCCCAACTCTTTCTCCTGCTCCATTTCTGCCTCTGTCTTCTCTTCAAAAACAAAAACAAAAAAACATGGCTTCCAGAGTGAGCTTTAAAAAATGTGCTTCTCCTCACATCACTCCCCTGATGAAAACCCTCATCAAACAAGGAAATACATTGCAGCTTGAGCCTCTTCTACCTTCCTGGGCCAAAGCAGACATTGCTAATCAATCACTGCATTGCGTCCTGCAAGGCAGGATTTGGACTCAGCTTTGCTATGAGTTCATTGGGTTGACAAGAGAGATGAGAACTATTTGACATCTCAGGATCCTTCCTCATCTGCCCTCTGCCTGCCAGCCTTGTTCCTGCTGCTCCTCCTCCCTTACCTGCATTGTAGAATTCACCTCCCAGCCGTCCTGAGCTCAGGGGAGTTCTGAGTGACTCATACCACCATACCTTTGCACATGCAGTTGCCTCTGTGTGGAATGCCCTTCCCCAAGTGTGTCTGCCTGGAAAACTTTTACTTTACTCAGGTGCCATCCTGTCCATGAAGTCTCGAGATTTAGGTATTTTTCTCCAAGCCCCCATTGCCCCATGACCAGGTGTTCATTTTAGGGAGCACCCCCTTGCACTGACGTTGTTGGTTAGCATGTCTGAGACAGAGATAAGGCTTATGCGTCTTCACACCCCTGGTACCTGCCATGGCTCCACTGTGCTCAGGAGCTGTTTGTAAACAATCAAATGGGTGATGGAATAAATAGCATCTGTCTTACTGAATGCTTGCTTTATGCCAGACACCAGGCTAAGCGCTCTATCTGCATCATTGTATCCCAGCCTCACAATCTCTCTGTAAGGTAGGCATGGGAGTTTTTTTGCACATGTGGAAACTGAGGCTCAAAGCAATGAAGTCATTTGCTCAAGGCCACACAGTGATGGACCCAGGTCTATCTAAAGTAGTATTTTTTTTTCCAGGGACATTTGGCAATATCTGGAAACTTCGTTTTTATTTTTTGAGACAGGGTTTCACTCTGTCATCCAGGCTGGAGTACAGTGGTGTGATCTCGGCTCACTGCAATCTCTGCCTCCTGGGCTCAAGCCATCCTCCCACCTCAGCCTCCTGAGTAGCTGGCACTACCACCACCACCACACCTGGCTAATTTTTGTATTTTAGTAGAGACAGGGTTTCGCCACGTTGGCCAGGCTTGTCTCAAACACCTGACCTCAGGTGATCTGCCCGCCTCAGCCTCCCAAAGTGCTGGGATTACAGGTGTGAGCCACTGTGCCTGCTGGAAACATTTTTAATGGTCACAACTAAAGAAAGGATGCTCCTGGCATTTAGTGGATCGAGTCCAGAGATGCTCCTGGGCACTGCACAATGCACAGGACAGCTTGCTGTCACCTCCAATAGAGAGTTATCCAGCCCATAGTGCTAGTAGTGCTATAGTACAAGGGTACTACGGCCCTGAGGCTTTGAATGTAACGGTGGCCTTGAATGTCCCTACGGTATGTGGCTCTGTAACTGCTGCTGGTGTTTCATTGGTTTCAGTTGCTCAGAGTCACAAGCTGCACAAATACATTCAGAAGGTGCTGCCTTCCCTTTGGTTGTGTCAAGAATGGCAGAGAGAATAGGGACATAGGTCCAGATATGCCTTCTACTAAATCTTGGGACTTCATCATTTAACCATAACAGCCTCCAAGGATAATAGTTCTCAGTGTAAGCCGTCTCCCCCATTCTGTCCATCCTGGAGGGGTCCCCTTCAAACCCACTACCTCATGCAAATTTCCAGCAGCTGAAATGAATACATGCAGATTTTTTTTTATAATTTTTTGCAGATGTTCTTAGGGGTAAGGTAAATATGTAATTTACAAAAATCCAAAGAACTTATGATCCGAATCTGCTTAAGCCACATGAAGTCAACAGAGGGTTAAAAGCACCCAATTTATTTTCATCAAGAAATTTGAACTTTGGTCGTAGAATGCAACTTAGCTGCGATTCTACATTATTTATGATTCATGGGGCATTGTAACTTACCACAGTCTCTGAGTAATCTTTTTAAGCCTGCCAAAAGAACCGGTGTTAATTGCTTACACTGGAACATATTTGCTGTTGGAAATGTCACACCATAATTATATTCCATTTCGCTGTCTAACAAGTAATATACTAAAAGAAAATTGGGTTTTTTTTTTTTCCTCCTTCTTCTTGTGATGTGCAAAACCATTCCTGAAACGCTTCAAGCAGCTCGCAGGTGGCAAGTTTCTGGACTTGTCAAGAAATTAGGCAGAAAACTTTCTGGGTTTGCTGATGGTAATACAAGCCAGACCAGCAGGGTCTGCTTGGTGGACTTTGTAACCTGAGCTCATGCTCAGAAAGCCCCATGTTAGATTTTATGCTTTGCTTTCACCGTCTTGACACTCTTAATATTTTTTGAACAAGGGGCCTTGCATTTTCATCTGTAGTGAGCCCTGCAAATTATGGAGTTGGTCCTAAAAAGGAGGAGGAAAGGGAGAGGGACATGGCCCATGGAGACTGGGATTAAAGATCAGGAAACAGTTGACGTTTCAGAACATGATGAGAATTTCAGAGACACAGACCAATTATAAATAGAGAGAGAGAGAGTGTGTGTGTGTGTGTGTGTGTGTGTAAAATAAGAATTGGTGGCTTACGAGGTCACACAGGACAAAATGTCTAATCAGATGACTCTTCCTGGAAGACTAATACTATATTTGGTAGGCTGAGCATCTGTTAAACCAGGGACTGGCAAATGATAGCCCACAAGCCAAATCCGGCCCACCACCTGTTGCGTAAGTTAAGTTTTATTGGAACACAGCCACACTCATTTGTTTTGGTCTTGTCTGTGGCTGCCTTCTCTCTACAGTGGCAGAGTTGAGAAGTTGCAACAGAGAACCATATGGCCCACAAAGCCCAAAGTGTTTACTGTCTGTCCTCTTATAGAAAATAAAATATTTAAGATTCCTGTCTTAAAATCTAGGGAGAGCCTCATGCACCTCGCTACAAGAGAGGCTGAGAAGTGTTGAAGAAATGTTGATAAGTGTCACATTCTCATTTGTAATTGTGTATAACAGAGGGGAAAATGGATGTTGATGGATGGTTAGCTGTCTCTGGCATACCCCTTTTGCAGATTTGGAAGCTGAGGAGGCTTCAAGAGTTCATGAAGCCATTTGCCCAAGACCACAGATCAAATAAGTGACAGAGCCAGGACGCAGAGGGAAGCCTGACTTGAAAGTATAAAGCACGTGCTTTCTAAATTGTGATAGCTTCCCTGCATCTGCTAACAAGTGCACGTACACTGAGTAATCTTTTGCACAGATACACTGATAAGACTGCGAAATAAGACTGTGAAAGAAAACAAGCCAAATCACAGATGGCTCTTGCCCCCAAAGGGTGATTAGGCATGCACGTGCCTGGTCTTCATAGAAGGCAGATGCTGCTAAAAGTGTTCGTTGGGTCATTCATTTGTTCATGTAAGAAATGTATGGAAAGTTTAGGCTTTGTAAATGGTTCACCTTCACCCATCTCAATGCCTTGCTTTTCCTCCTGTCCGTCTTGTCGCTGATAGAATGTGGTCAACAATCAGAACATCTGTACAACAGCTCCTAGATGACCAATATACCACAGCCTTCAATTAAAATATGTCAGGTTACCTTCTTCAGTATTTCCTTTCCATTTTCCACTTTGGGAAATTGAAGCTCAAAGGTTCTGGTAGCTTCTCTAGATAACAGAGCTAGCGAGGTCTGGTCCTAGAATTTGAACCCAAGCCTTTCTGCCTTCAGTAACCAGGTATAGAATCACTATATTAGTTAGGGAACATCAGCTGCTATAACAATCAAACGTAGCAATGTTTGTTTGCGTTGAGGTCACACAGGGCAAACTGTCTAATCAGATAACTCTTTCTGGAAGACTAGTACTTTATTTGGTAGATAGAGCTTCTCTTCAACCAGAGATGGGTAAACTGTAGCCAGTGGGCTGAATCCAGCCCACCACCTGTTTTGTAAGTCAAATTTTATTGGAACACAGCCACCAGTGTATAATGTCTCTAACATGAAGATGGTTGATGTCTTCATCCTCTGCCATCCAAAATAGATGTTCCTGATTGACTCCCCTCCATGTTGTAATTCAGGGATCCAGGCCCTTTCCATCTGACTCCACTATCTCCACTATCTTCAACACACAGCATCCAAGGTCACCGTGCTCTTCTGCACCCAGACAGTGAAGAGGGAAATAGCACAGAGAAGCATGCACAGGTGTCCATGGGTAAGCCTAGAAGTTGTGTGCATCACATTTCTATTTTATTGGCTAAAGCACAGCCTCTTGGCAAGACCTGACTGCAAACGATGTGAAGTAGGTTGTAGTGAGTGCCATGAATAAAGCAGACGTGGTTTTGACCAAGAGCCTCAACCACTCTGATTGCCCTACTGCTCTGCCCAGAGTTGCTTCCCTTTCCTTTGGGTTATTTCCAGCCCCCTGGCCCCTGTGAAATACATGTGACCACGTGGCTCTGTTCCTGCAAAAGGGTCAGCTTCCCCAATGCTGGGAACACATCTCCAGGAAGCATTCCTCTGTGAGTGCGACTGTGCATCTGACAGGGATACGGGGCACAGCGGGAGGCAAGGTTAGTAATTTAGTTGTTACTGGCTGACAGGTTAGTCTTAGAATATGTTCCCTGCAATTCAAGGCTTGCACGAAAGAGACAGAGAGAGGCACTTAACAAATGTCAGCCTTTCTTTTTTTTTTTTTTTTCCTGGCGCAGTTGCCTCACACTGACCCTGAAGCATTTGAGGGGTGTCTCTGTGTGAGTTCATCAGCGCCTAGTCCCAGCCCCCGCTTGGTGTTCTTGATTCCTCTTTCCTGTGAGGTTTCCCTGAGTGTGGTTCACGAAGAGCGGCCGTCACAGTTGCCAGAGGGCCCCTGAAAATACTGAAATACTGCCAGGGTGGTGATCTGGAGGGAGGAATGCAGGATTCTTTTTTTTTTTTTTTTTTTTTTGAGACAGAGTTTTGCTCTGTCACCCAGGCTGGAGTGCTGTGGCACGATCCCGGCTCGCTGCAATCTCTGCCTCCCGGGTTCAATTGATTCTCATGCCTCAGCCTCCCAAGTAGCTGGGATTATGGGTGTACACCACTGTGCCCATCTAATTTTTATATTTTTAGTAGAGATGGGGTTTCGTCATTTTGGCCAGGCTGATCTTGAACTCGTGACGTCAAGTGATCCACCCGCCTCCACCTCCCAAAGTGCTGGGATTACAGGCGTAAGCCACTGCGCCCGGTCTAGATTCTGCATTTTAATAAGCTCCTCAGACAATCTTTTTCAGGATCACGGGTTTCAAGCAGTTTCTCAACCTTGGCATTTGACATTTTGAACCAGATAATCCCTTCTGTGGGGGCCGTCCCGTACATGGTGGGACGTTTAGCGGTATCCCTGGCTTCTACCTCCTAGGTGCCAGTAGCATTCTTTCTTCCAGTTGTGACAAATAAAAATGTCTCCAGACATTGCTAGATGTCCTCAGGGAGACAAAATTGTCCCTGGTCAAGAAGTGCTGGCTTAGGGCATAACTTAGTATGTTTCTGTGACATAAAATATAAATGTTCCTCTAGGACCCATGTTCTTCTCTCCATTACTAACTCCCAGGTATCTGGGTCGGGTCCTAGGATTCAGTCTCCCTCAGAGGAACGTGAGTGGAAATGATGGTTACTTCTTGGCCAAGCCAGTTGACGGGCTGTGAATTTGTCATGCCAATCGCTGTCCTCTCTGTGCACTGCAAGAGAAGGGTGCTAAGGAGTGGGATTGTGTAGTTGAAGCAATTTGGATCCTCAAGTCACCTCTTGGAGGACGGCCCTGTAGGAGAGCTGCTCAAGCTGCATAGGAGCAGGAAATAAGCCTTTGTTGGGTTCAAGCCACTGCGATTTTGGGATCCATGTGTTGAGCCCAGCATTGCCCTGGCTCATACTGGATTTTAGTGCTCTATGTAAAGCACAAAGGAACTGTCAACTTCCTCTCTTATAAGTCATCTGAAACCTGTTCTTTTTATTTTTTCTTGGAGACAAGGTCTCACTCTGTTGCCCAGGTTAGAGTACAGTGGCGTGATCATAGCTCACTGCAGCCTTAACCTCCCAGGCTCAAGCGATCCTCCTGCCTCAGCCTCCCGAAGAGCTGGGACTACAGGTGCACCCCACCACACTCTGCTTAAAACATATTCTTAATACATTTAAGGCAGGTTGGAGTAATGGCTTTGGAAGCAGGTTAGTCTGGGTTCAGATCCCAGCTTGGCCACTAGCTGTGTGATCTTGGTTATGCTATATAACCTCTTGAGTCTCAACCTGTTCTTCCTTGGCAAAAGTGGGATAATGATGGCATCTGTCTCAGTGTTTTGAGACGATGAACTGGAAAAATTGCCACCAACCAACCAACCAACCGAAAACACTCTTGATACCATGCCCGGCATATAGTAAGTGCTTAAAAAAATGCTGGCTTTTGTCAATATATTTCTGGCAGGGTCAGTGTGTATGCATTGTTTCTGGGGTTAGCATTTTTAGTAGAGACCTGTTTTTTGCCAATCAGTCAGCTTCCCGTAGCTTTATTGACTATAGGACATGGTTCTGTGAATATTGAAAAGGAGTGATGGCTGCCGGAGAGGGACGAGGACCCCAAACAATATGTTAGGAGGTGATGATTATTAACAAGAGGCAAGGAAATGTTGTTGCCACCATGAAGCCGTAAGGGTGGAAAACATGGCCAAGGAGTGTCTGGATCACTCACTCATTCTGCATTTATTGCCCTAGTGCCTATTTTGTGCCAAGGGACAGAGATAAAACAGAAAGCCAATCTTTCCACATTTTCATGTACCTCCAATACTACACAATCTGTTGCTTTTAAGAAAAGGACATAAACAAGCAAAGGCGCACTTTCTGCCCAGGGTGAGATCTCAGTCATAGTTGGAGAGACAAGCAAATGATTTTATCTGCCCAGGCAAACAAGCCCAGGAAGAGCATCAGAAGTTAACACAGGCCGAACGTGGTGGCTCACACCTGTTATCCCAACACTTTGAGAGGCCGAGGCGGGTGACTCACCTGAGATCAGGAGTTTGAGACCAGCCTGGCCAACATGGTGAAATCCCATCTCTACTAAAGATATAAAAAGTAGCCGAGTGTGGTGGCACACACCTGTAATCCCAGCTACTCGGGAGGCTGAGGCAGGAGAATCGCTTGAACCCAGGAGGCAGGGGTTGCAGTGAGCCGAGATTGCGGCATTGCACTCCAGCCTGGGGGACAGAGTGGGACTACGTCTCAAAAACAAAAACAAAAAGTTAACACAGACATTGACCTGAGTTCCCCAAATTTATCCAGACTGCCTCCAATCCCGGCTACCCACTGCTTCTCTCAAGTGTGTTATATGAGAACGCCTAGGTGGCCTGGCCTGGGTGACAGCTTGCTCAGATTTCAATTGTGCTCATATTTTTTTTTTAAATGGCAGTTTCAACAAATCCTACCCACTGATGCATTGTTTAACCAAATGTCATTTCTCTGCCTTTCTCATTTAAGTATCATCTGTTAGGTTTACACATTGGTACACCCATGAAATTAACATTACATGTGTTTCCTTTTGGAGCTGACTAAATTTAATTTAATTTAAATTGTTTTCACTGTCAGTGGCCTTCCCAAGCTGTGGTAGCACACGTTCTGTCTCCTTAAAGGCTTATCTTAACTGCATCCTGTCAAAAAATCCTAGGACCCACCCACTTTCCCCTGCAGTTCTCTGGTCTAGGGGCCAGCTCATGTTTAAAATGAGCTTCCTCTGTCAGTTCATTCAGAGAGGTTCTTATTTAGAAAAGTTTATTCTCCTGCCTCAGCCTCCCAAGTAGCTGGGACTACAGGCATGCACCACCACGCCCTGCTAATTTTTTTGTATTTCTAGTAGAGACGGAGTTTCACCATGTTGATCAGGCTGGTCTCGAACTCCTGACCTCAAATGATCCACCCGCCTCGGCCTCCCAAAATGCTGGAATTACAGGCGTGAGCCACTGCACAGGAGAATCACTTGAACCCAGAGGCAGAGGTTGCAGTGAGCCAAGATCGCACCACTGCACTCCAGCCTGGGTGACAGAGTGAGACTCCATCTCAAAAAGAGAAAGAAAGAAAAGAAAAGTATTCTCAGGAGCCCCCTGGCTTAAATGAAGTTTCCAAGCCATCGTTGAGAAATCAGGGTCTCTCTGGTCTTCCAGGTAGGTCGAAGAGTGACCTGCCTGGAGCTCTCAAACCAATGTTAGGGAACTTGACTCGATTAATACAAGCACCAAGACAGCATAATGGTTATCCCCTCAATGATGCTGTAATGGTAAAAGACAAGATGTAGCGTTCATTCATTTCACATTTATTTAGAGATTCGCCTATCATGTCCATCTGGTCCAGTGTGCAGCCCTGCAGTGTGTCACCCAGTAGCAGGCATTTGATAATTATTTCTCTTTTTTTTTCTTTTTCTTTTTTTTTTTTTTTTTTTTTGAGACAAAGTCTTGCTTAGTCGCCCAGGCTGGAGCACAGTGGCACGACCTCAGCACACTGCAGCCTCCACCTCCTGGTTCAAGCAATTCTTGTGCCTCAGCCTCCTCAGTAGCTGGGATTATAGGCATGTGCCACCACGCCCAGCTAATTTTTGTATTTTTAGTAGATACAGGGTTTTACCATGTTGGCCAGGATGGTCTTGAACTCTTGACCTCAGGTGATCCACCCACCTTGGCCTCCAAAAGTGCTGGGATTACAGGCATGAGCCACCATGCCCTGCCGATAATTATTTCTCAAATAAGTGATAAGTCCATCCTGTCCACTGCTGTCTTCCCCCTCCACCTCACACCCTGCCCCCTGCCACTGCCCCAGGGTATAGCACACTCACAGGCATTTATAATTATTCATCAAATGAACAAATGACTTTGTGCTGGCACATGCTTGGGAGGTATTTCAAAGTTTTTACAGTGATCTCAGGCTGTGCCCGTGGAGGATCTTCTAGTCACTCCCAGGAAGAAACATGACAAAGAGACCTTACATGTTGTAGGAGAGAAATTGAATGAGCTTGGAATATGCAGGTGGCTTAGATTTGGAGGGAGATGGGGGCCGGAGTAATAGCAAAATAACAATTTCCACATATTTGAGAGGTTGGTTTGCCAGAGAAGCAGCAGCACTATCTTTGAAGACCAAATTAGGACCTATGGATGAAAGCTTCGAGCAGGCACATTTTGGAAGCGATAGCTCACAATCACTGCTGAGCACAAGCCCTGCTATGTAAGGCACTGAGCCTTCCATCTTTGGAGGCATCTAAGAAAAAATACCCAGTGGCCCTGAATTACTTACTCAGTAAGTTCTTGTCATTACCCTACAGAAGTCTTAAAAATACAGAAAAGCACCAAAGGAAAGTAAAAAAAAAAACAAAAGTCCGCACTACTCCCCTCTCCCCACCCCTGAGTTTGCTTTTTCGCTTTGTTTTGTTGTTCTTGTTGTTGTTGTTTGTTTTTTTGGTGTTTTGCCTTTTCTTGAGAGGAAGCCTCACTCTGTCACTAGGCTGGAGCGCAGTGGTGTGATTTTGGCTCACTGCAACCTCCACCCCCTGGGTTCAAGCAGTTCTCCTGCCTCAGCCTCCCGAGTAGCTGAAACTACAGGCGCGCACCACCATGCCTGGCTAATTTTTGTATTTTTAGTAGAGATGAGGTTTCACCATGTTGGCCAGGCTGGTCTCGAACACCTGACCTTGTGATCCACCTCTCAAAGTGCTGGGATTACAGGCGTGAACCGCTGCGCCTGGACCCCCAACGTTTTTTGTCTTTTTTTTTTTTTATTATTATTATTATTCAAAATAAGACCCTCCCTGCCTTGAGACCTTGACACATGGTCTTCCTTCCTTCCAAAGTGACATCCTTTCACCTGGCTCACTCTTTATGTTTCACAGCTCAGCTTCACCGTGGCTTCTTTGGAAAGGTCTATAGACCTGGTTTGCATCAGATCACCTGGCCCCATCTCTCTCCTCCCCTGGCCGCCCGTACTTTTCATTCATTGCATCCAACACCTTTTGTAAAATACGTTGATCTGTTTTCTCCATCCAACATCCACTGGACTGTCAGCTCCTTGAATACAGATTCAACACTGGTTTTGTTCATTTGGGCATTCTCAGTGCCTGGCAGCGTAGCTGCTCTGTGAACATTTGAGAAGGGAAGGAGGAGGGTGGGAGGAAGGAAAGAGAGAATGCCTGTATTCACTGACAGTGAAAAGATGTCAGGAGTACATTACTGAAAACAGAATGCATATGACAAAGCAGAACATACATGATTATATATAACGTGAGTGCATAAAACTATTTGCAAAATGTTCACTGAACGTTTGTTAACAATGGTGATATTTTGGCACTAATATCTGGGTTTTTTTTTACTTCATATTGTTCTGTATGCTTGAATTTTCTACAGTAAGTATTATCTTTGTAGACAGAGAAATCCAAGAAACAATCAGAAGCACCTAAGAAGTGAAGCTAGAACAGAGTTCGAAACGAGGTCCTCCTTGGTTTTCTCCCAGGAACTGCAGCTCCCCAAGTGGTGTGGTCTCCTTGTCTGTGTATCAGAGCCCCGGCCTGAGGCTGAGCCCAGCTCACATCATTGCAGGGAGAGGGATCTATTGAGATCCCAGTGCATTTGAGGTGCTCGTTGTTACCCACTGTTGTGAACCCTGTTGCATGTGTGTTTCTATGTCCATTTATTCAACAGGAATTTACTGTATGTTCCAAGTGCTCCTGGCATTGTCACCAGACACTCTCCTAGGCCAAGTAAATGAAACACCATCCCTGCCCTCTAGGAGCAAAACCAAATGTTGTGTTGACTATTGCTGCTCGTTGCTGTTGTGATCAACCGGAGATTTCATTAGCAGTAGGCTTGACGAAGAGGACCACTGTGCTTAGAGATGTAGTCCTTATATTTCAAGAGGCAGGATGACAGAGTATCCTGGAATCAGTTTGCTTGGACTCACATCCTAGCTCCATTACTTGCTAGCATTTGATCATGGGCAGATTACACTCTTTCTGTCTGCCTCAGTTTCCCCATGTGTAAAATGAGAATGATAGCAGGACCTCATAGGTTTGCTGCAAGAACTCAATGAGATGATATGTGTACAGGGCTTGGCCGAGTGACCAGCGCAAAGTAAATCCTACCCACATGAGCTTTTATAATTATTCCTGTCTGCATTATGTGACGTGACAGCATTAATGTGACAAATGGGAAACGATTTGGAGAAATGTCCCTTTTTTAAAAGAAGGCACCTGCAGAACATATTTATGGTTTATGATCAGGAGGCAGCGTTAATGGCCCATAATGTGATTACTATGAGGATTTTTATTAGGAAAATTCCAACCAATTTGGCATTAATTAATGTACTGTTAACTTTAGAGTGTTACTCACTTAATCCTTGGAGAGTTGGAGAAAATAAACCTGTTGTCAAAACCCTCCCTCTGAGAAGTAAATAAGAGTTGTTCCCTCCTCGAGAGGCTCCATTTGTAATAAAAATAGATGAGTCGCTGCGTTTTTCCATGGCAGTATTTATTGAGCCTGCGAGTCCCTTCAAGAGAGGAGAAACGAGGGCAGAGATGAAAATGTCAAGCGACAGGAAGGCTCGTAGGAGAACTTGCACACAGCAGCCTCTGGGTCAAGAGGGCAGGGAGTACAGATAGAGCAGGCTTTCTGGACACACGAAGCACAGAGTGCAGGATATGGGGGCCCCTGCCTGTCTTTCCACCCCATGAAGCAAGGCATCCCACACCACCCCATCTGGGAATTTCAAAATGTGTCCTGCCTGCCACCCACTCCTCAACCATGGATAACAAGCCTGATGAAAGGGCTTGTTACTCTCTTCAATTGCAGTCCTTAAGGTGGTACCCAAGACCCTGTGTGATGCCTCTGCTGTCGGCCCATCCTCATCTTCTGCACTTCCTCTTGGCCTCAGTTCCAGCCACACTGGCCTTCCTGTATGTCTTCTCCTTACCATACTATCATTCGTGACAGGCCCTTTGCATATGCTGTTCCCTCCACTTAGGGACACTTTTCCCTCTTCTCTTACCTAGTTAACTCCTCACTCAACCTGTCAATTGTAGTCTAAGGGGCACATCCCTGGCCTCCTTGAGTTGTATATTAGTCTGCCTGGGCTATCATTTAAAAAAAATTACCATAGACCAGGTGGCTTAAAAAACAAATATTTGTCTCCATTTTGGAAGCTATGAATCTGAGATCAGGGTGCCAGCATGGTTGGGTTCTAGTGAGGGCCCTCTTCCTGGCTTGCAGATGGCCGACTTCTCACTGTGACCTCATGTGGCAGAGAAATAGCAAGCTCTCCAGTGTCTCTTCTAAGAGCAAAAATCCCCTAAATTCAAGGCTCCACCCTTAGGACTTCATTTAACCTTTTTGTTTGTTTGTTTATTTCAGAGGCAGTCTTGTTTTGCCACCCGTGCTGGAGTGCAGTGGTGCAACGTCTGCCTCCTGGGTTCAAGTGATTCTCCTGCCTCAGCCTCCTGAGTAGCTGGGATTACAGGTGCCTACCACCATGCCTGGCTAATTTTTGTATTTTTAATAGAGACAAGTTTTTACCATATTGGCCAGGCTGGTCTTCAACTCCTGACTTCAAGTGACCCACCCACTTCGGCCTCCCAAAGTGCTGGGATTACAGGCATGAGCCGCCACACTCGGCCCAACTTCATTTAACTTTAATCACCTCCTTAAAGGCCACATCTCCAATACGGTCACAGGAGAGGCTAGGCCTTCAACATATTAATTTTCGGGGGACACGATTCAGTCCTAGCAAATCCTGTCTTTGGAAAAGGAAAGGATACCTCAGCATCGAGAAACAGAAGCAGAGGTTTCGTGAGATTAAACAACATTTTGGCTTCACAGAAAGGGTGATTGGAGGAGCATAGAGGGAAATGAGGTTGGAAAGAGGAGAAGAGAAAATGTAGTCATTTGCAAATCATTATTTAAGGCAACAATAATGATGGCCACCATTTCATTTTCTGCATACCACATACTGGTCCTGGAGATATTTATGTGTTTATTATCTGTCTTCTTTCTCAGGAGAGGCTGCTTCTCATAAGCAAAAGCTCTTGTGGCGTGTGCATGAGTCTATTTTTCACTCCCAGAATGGTGCCTGCCTGGCATATCATAGACATTCGTTCCAGTTACTTCTGCTGGGTAGCAAACCCCCCCAAACTTAGTGGCGTAAAACACCATCACTTGTTATGCTCTTGGATTCTATGGATCAGGAGTTTGGAAAGAGCACATAGGAGACAGGGGAAAGACATAATGCCCCAGGTTCAGAGCTACTGCTCTGTACTAGGCACTTCTCTGAGCATAATTCCATCCATCAGTTCCTCCCTATGAAGGAGGGTCAATATGTATCCCTATTTTACTGATGATGAGCTAGAATCTTTGAGAGGTTATATAGCTTGCCCGACCTCCCAGAGTTAATGGGGGAAGAGCCATGGTTTGAATGCAGATCTGTCCGATTTCAAAACGAAACTTCTTTCCACTCTGCTATGTAGCCTTTCCAGAGTGGCTACCTGTGTTTGCCAAAAAGTGGGAGGCCATCTTGGCAGGAAGCCTTCTGCCTCCCAGGGAGATGAGTGGTTCTCAAACCATGCTGGTCCCCTAGGGGGCACTGGGAAATGCAAGTGAGGAGAGGCTGTTATGGGGACTAGGGATTTCAAATGCCCTGTAATCATGGGATAATACCACTCAAAGAATTGTCTCTTCCCAAGTGACAGTAGTCCCTGTTGAGAAATACTGCTTGAGAAGGGAGGAGGATCTGTGAAATATTGATCTGTGCTGAAACCCTCTGAAAGGTTGCTCAAATGGCTAGGTGCGGCAGATCATGCCTGTAATCCCAGCACTTTGGGAGGCTGAGGCGGGCGAATCACAAGGTCAGGGGTTCAAGACCAGCCTGGCCAACATAGTGAAAACTGTCTCTACTAAAAATACAAAAAATTAGCCGGGCATGGGGGTGGGCACCTGTAATCCCAGGTACTCGGGAGGCTGAGACAGGAGAATCGCTTGAACCCAGGAGGCGGAGGTTGCAGTGAGCAGAGACCTCACTACTGCACTCCAGCCTGGGCGACAGTGCGAGACTCAGTCTCAAAAAAAAAAGAAAAGAAAAGAAAGGTTGTTCCAATACAATAGAAGCTCAGGGGTTAAAAGTCCCCATTTTAGTGTCTGACAGATGGAGGGTTGAATCCCAGTTCTGCAGCATATTAGCTGACCAGGTCAGGTAACTACTCAGAGTCTTTATTTCCTTATCTGTAAAATGGGAATAGTCAGAATGCCTCCCTCAAAGGTCTGCTGTGAGGAGTAAATGAGGTAAGGTCTTGTATTGGTTCATTCTCCCATTGCTATAAAGAAATACCTGAGTGGATAATTTATAAAGAAAGGAGTTTTAATTGGCTCTCAGTTCTGTGAGCTGTACAGGAAACATCAAGGCTTCTGCTTCTGAGGAGGCCCCAGGAAACTTACAATTGTGGTGGAAGGTAAAGGGGGATGTAGGTATGTCTTACAGGGCCGGAACAAGAGCAAGACAGGGGAGGTGCCACACACTTTTAAACACGCAGATCTCTAGAGAACAGCATCAAAGGAATGGTGCTAAACCATTCATGAAGGATCCACCCCCATGATCCAGTCACCTCCCACCAGGTCCCACCTCCAACACTGTGGGTTACCATTCAACATGAGATTTGGTTGGGGACACAGATCCAAACCATATCAAGTCTGTTAGAAAATGCTCAGCCCAGGACCTGGCACACAGTGGCCACATTGCTATTATCATAATAGCTCTTTCATCCTTGATGCACAGAAAAGGTAACATCAGCAGGATGGATAAGAGCTTGCAGGCCACAGCGCAGCGTTTTCACAGATGATATGTTACAGGCCAAGTGACTGGGACCCAGTGAATTGCAGTGAAATGTACCATACACCGTCAATATCTATCCCACCAGTTTCCATTTATTGAGCAGTATATCATTAGAATATCCCAGGGCTCTGAACAATAAAATCAATAAGACGGTTCAGTCATGGGCTGTTCTTTAATAACTCCAGACTTGAATGGGGTCGGGGGAAGTCAGTGAGCAGGAAAATGTCCTGAGTGCTTGGTCGGGGGTGGAGGGAGACATTTTCTCAGAGTGGGAGAAAAATAATGAATGAGGTAGCCTTCAGTCTCTGGTGGAGTGAGTGGCCATGAGCATTTGAGGCAACAGCCAAAGATATGTTTGGGTAAAATTCTTTCCACCTCGAGAGATGCGTTTTTTAAAAGATGGTTGAAAAGAAAAGAAAAGGTGTCCAAAATGTGGTTCTCAACCCTGACTGCATGTCAGAATCACAGGGGGAGTTTCAAAAGAGTCCCAATACTTGCGCCCACCAAACTAATTAAGTTAGAATTTATTGGGGTGGGGCCGAGGCATGAAGATGTTTTTCTAAAAAAAAGATGTTCAGATGATTTTAAATGTGCAGCCAGGGTTAAGAACCACTGGCCTAGGCAAACATGAGCCTGTATCACAATCACCTGGAGAGCTTCTTACAACACAGAGTCCTTGTCTCCCACACCCAGAGTTTCTGATTCAGAAGGTTTGGGGTTGGGGCTGAAACTTACATTGCTAACAAATTCCCAGGTGTTGCTGATGCTGCTCATCAGAGACCACATCTAGAGAGCTTGTCCTAGAACAGTGGTTCTCAACTGGGAGCAAATTTTGCCTCTCCACGCCCTATCCCCCACCAGGGGGACACACATCAATGAATGGAGACATTTTAGGTTTTGTCACAACTAGGTGAGTGCTACTGGCACCTAGTGGGTAGATCCAGCGATGCTGCTAAACATCCTACAGTGCGCAGGACAGTCCCCTCCACAACAAGGAATTATCTGGCCTCAAATATCAATAGTGCCAAGGTTGAGAAATCTTGCTCTAGGGGAGACGATAGTTTTGAAGCCATTCTGAGAACATGAGGCTTTGGTTCCCATCAAGCTTAGCATGGGAGCCTGAGTGAAGATGAGGATGCCAGATTCTTGCTAGCCAAAGCCTGGTCATAGAGCATGGTATTTGACGTCAGAACAGTGCGTATCCTAATTTCTTCTCCACCTCTTGGCTCTGTGACCTTGGGCAAGTTCCTCACCCTCTCTGAGCCTGGGATGATTATCTATAAATGGGGATAATTTTCATTTGCAGCATTGTTACAAGAGGTAAAAGCCTCATGAGTGAAAGAACCACATGAATGTTAAGTACTCAACAAATTAGAGTAAGAATCAAAAGGACAGTGTTTCTCCACAGACTTCTGTCTCTCTAGCAGGGAGGTGCTGTCCCAAAAGCCCACCCCAGGAGACTCCTGACAAACCCTCCTGGGCCCCTAAAGCAAGTGGGAGCCCTCATCCAGAAAGATCAAAACATTGTCTGGACCTTTGGGTCCTTGCAGGATGGATGGGGCTGCTTGAGTATCCCCCTGCCCTTTGCCTTTACCTCCTCTCATTTGTTTAACAAACTCAGCACATCCTAGTTTGGAAGCAAAGCTCATGGAGCCTAATTAACATTCCCCAAGCTTCCTTCGCATCCCTCCAGCCTTCACAATTCTGCCATATCCACATTCCACCTGCCATATTATTCTTGTAGTATTTTTACTGCAATAGACTCGCCTTTATTTTTATGTAAGCACATTTTATTTTAAAAGTAATTTTGCATCATGGCCATAAGTGGAAATCTTGCTGTCACTTGCCATGAGGAGACAGCAACAATGCGAAGAAATCAGTGAAACAAAAACAATGGCATTCAGTGCTAGCCGGGCACTCCTGTTACCTGCTGGAGATGCCAGTTCTGGGGGCAGGATTCTGCTTTTTGGAAAAGGAAGTTCAGTAGGGGAGTGCTGCTGAAGATTTGTTTGCATTGACCTGAGAGTTTGCTGGTAGGGTATTCAGGAGAGGTGGGTAAGAATTGAAAAAAGATTCACAGTCCCCCCTGACTCAATGCCATTCGATGTGAGCAGCATGTGAATCCTCTCTTGGGTAACTCTGACATCGCATTTAAGAACACACTGGGCAAGGTGGCTCACACCTGTAATCCCAGCACTGGGAGGCTGAAGGGGGAAGATCACTTGAGCCCAGGAGTTCAAGACCAACCTGGGCAACATAGGGAGACCTTATCTCTACAAATAATTTTTTTTTTAAGATGGAGTCTCATTTTGTCACCCAGGCTGGAGTGCAATGGTGTGATCTTGGCTCACTGCAACCTCCGCCTCCTGGGTTCAAGCAATTCTCCTGCCTCAGCCTCCTGAGTAGCTGGGATTATAGGCGTGCACCACCATGCCCAGCTCATTTTTGCATTTTTAGTAGAGACAGGGTTTCACCATATTGGTCAGGCTGGTCTCAAACTCTTGACCTTGTTATCCACCTGCTTTTGCATTTTTAGTAGAAACGGGGTTTCACCATGTTGGTCAGGCTGGTCTCAAACTCTTGACCTTGTGATCCACCCACCTCAGCCTCCCAAAGTGCTGGGATTACAGGCGTGAGCCACCACAGCCAGCCTACAGATAATTTTTCTAAAAAAATTAGATGGACATGGGATGCATGCCTCTGGTCCCAGCTACTCTGGAGGCTGAAGAGGGAGGATCATTTGAGCTCATGAGTTTGAGACCAGCCTGAGCAGCATAGGGAGACCTGGTCTCTACAAATATATATTTAATTAGCCAGGTGTGGTGTTCATGCCTCTAGTCCCAGCTACTCAGCAGGCTAAGGTAGGAGGATCTCTTGAGCCTGGAGTTTGAGACTGCAGTGAGCCATGATCACACCACTGCACTCCAGCCTGGGCAACAGAGCGAGATCCCGTCTTACGAATTTAAAAAAGACAAAAACAAAACCACAATCGCTATAGTCCTCAGGATCAGGTCCCTGTTAAACACTCTCCAGCCATGTGATTAGTTACAAGTTCAAGTGTGATGGGCGAGGTCCGCGGAGTCACACCACATGAACTCCTCCACAATCAGGCTGTATGGCTTTATTTTGCCTCATTTATAGC
Organism: Homo sapiens; assembly: GCF_000001405.40. Taxonomy (NCBI): domain Eukaryota; kingdom Metazoa; phylum Chordata; class Mammalia; order Primates; family Hominidae; genus Homo; species Homo sapiens. The sequence continues at coordinate 17,209,727 of NC_000016.10, read as the reverse complement.
TGTGCTTACAGCATCACTTAGAGGTGAGTTCTCTTTGACAGATGAGGAAACTGAGGCATGAGAGGCAAAGTGACCTCCTAATAAATGGTAGGGCTGGGATGCAGACCCAGGCTAACCCCTTCTGTGGAATAGCTGAGTTAGGAAGTGCAGGATGGGCTCCTAAAAATAAAACATTACAAATAGTGACTTTATGATCCACCAATTCCATTTCTGGGAATATACTCCAAAGAATTGAAACAGTGACTCAAACAGGTACTTGTACACCCATGTTCAGAGCAACATTATTCATAACAGCCAAAAGGTGAAAGCCATTCAAGGGTCCATTGACAGATGAGTGGATCAATTGTGCTATATGCATACAGTGGAGTATTACTTGCCCTGAAAAAGGAATGAAATTCTGACATAGGCTACGACGTGGACAAACCAGGAGGGCACTGCGCCAAGTGAAAGGATCCAGACACAAAAGGAAGAATAATGTCTGATGTCACTTACATGAGGTTCCTTATCAAATTCATAGAGGCAGAAAGTAGAATGAAGCTTTCCAGGAGCTGAAGGAGGGGAGAGTGGGAAGTTATTGTTCAATGGATAGAAAGTTTCAGTTTTGCAAGATGAAAAGAGTTCTGGAGATGGATGGTGATAATAGTTGCACAACAGTGTAAGTATATTTATTATACTAAACTGTAAACTTAAAAATGCTTAAAATAGGCCAGATGTGTCTCATGCCTGTAATCCCAGCACTTTGGGAGGCCAAGGTGGGCTGATCACCTGCAGTCAAGAGTTTGAGACCAGCCTGGCCGACATGGCAAAACCCCATCTCTACTAAAAATACAAAAAAATTAGCCGGGCGTGGTGGTGGGCACCTGTAGTCTCAGCTCCTCAGGAGGCTGAGGCAGGAGAATCGCTTGAACCCGGGAGGTGGAGGTTGCAGTGAGCCGAGATTGTGCCACAGCACTCCAGCCTGGGTGACAGTGAGATTCCATCTCGAACCAAAAAAGGCTAAAATAGTAAATTATATGTTATCCATGTAGAGCATCCTTAATTCAAAAATCCAAAATCTGAAGTACTCCGAAATCCAGAACATTTTGGGCACATAATGCTACAAGCGGAAAATTCTATACATAAATGCTTAATGCAACTTTGATTAATGCACACAATTATTTAAAATATTGTATAAAATTACTTTCAGGCTATGTGTATAAAGTGTATATGAAACAGAAATGGATTTTGTGTTTAGGCTTGGGTCCCTTCCCCAAAATATCTCATTACATATACACAGATACTTCAAAATCTGAAAAAATTCAAAATTGGAAACACTTCTGGTTCCAGGCATTTCACATAAGGGATACTCAGCATGTATTATCTTGGACTACAACTTTTTTTTTTTTTTAAAGAGAAGTGCAGGATGTTCAGAGGGGCTGTGACAGGGAACTCAAAGAAGGGATGGGGGCCAGGCACAGTAGCTCACACCTATAACACCAGCACTTTGGGAGGCTAAGGGAGGATTGCTTGAGCCCAGGAGTTTGAGACCAGCCTGGACAGCATAGCAAGGCACTGTCTCTACCAAACATTTCAAAATTAGCCCACATGGTGGTGGTCACCTATAGTCCCAGCTACTTGGGAGGCTGAGGTGTGAGGATCCCTTGAGCCCAGAAATTTGAGGTGGCAGTGACCTATGATCATGCCACTGCACTCCAGCCTGGGTTACAAAGCAAGACTCAATCTCTGAAAAAGAAAAAGAAAAAAAAGTCATTAAAAATATTTTTTAAATGAAGGGATGGGGAAGAGAGTCAGGGAGGGCTTCCCAAGGAAGGGTCATTTCTCCTGAGACCTGACAGGTGCTGGCTTGGCCACCTTCATCCTTGGACCTATGTTCTTTCAGCTCCCCTCTGTGGACCCCATGACCCCCAGTTCACATCCCCTCCACCCCTCTCTTCTCATTAAGCTGGGTGGGAGGGGACCTGGTGGCCCCGCATGAGCAGCAGCTGCGGTGCAGAGCAGTCTGGGCCGTTGACTGATTCCTCCCAGCAGGGCTTGGTGCTGCTGAGCAAGGGTCCACAGACCACCCAAAAGCCTCAAGGAAAAGTGGGGGTGCCTAGCCTCCATCCAGTTTGCTGGATGAGAGGAGACAGCCATGGGCAACCTCTCAGGCCTGAGTCTTCAACTTTGCCCCCTCATCCCCACCACCGGGACCCTGTATGTGGATGAAGCTGTCTGGCTAAATCTGTCAGTCAGAAATCATTCATTGAGGCCTCTCCCCCAAACTTAGCTCTGTACCAGGTCCAGGGGCAAGGCTGGCATCCTACAAGAGATAAGAGCATGACCTTGGCTCATAGGGAACGAACTGACAGGTATCAAGAGAACCAACCTGGGCTAGGCGCTGTGGCTCACGCCTGTAATCCCAGCACTATGGGAGGCTGAGACAGTTAGATCACCTAAGGTCAGGAGTTCGAGACCAACCCAGCCAACACGGTGAAACCCTGTCTCTATCAAAAATACAAAAAATTTAGCCAGGCGTGGTGGCAGGTGCCTATAATCCCAGCTACTCAGGAGGCTGAGGCAGAAGAATTGCTTGAACCTGGGAGGCAGATGTTGCAGTGAGCCAAGATTGCACCATTGCACTCCAGCCTAGGTGACAAGAGTGAAACTCTGTCTCAAAAAAAAAAAAAAAAAAAAAAGAAAGAAAAGAAAACCAACCTGACTCTCAAGGGAGTACAGTTCTCTATGTGGCAATGCTAACTCCTGGATCGGGTTAGAATTCCAGATGATTCAGAAATTTCCAGAAATATCCAGAAATTTCATCTCCCTCATTTGGGTTTTTCCAAAATAGGGGTTTTGGAGTCTGGCACACCCAAGTGGTGGTTTCCATTCTCGCACCAACTGCTAACATGGCACCTGCCTCCTGAGACCTTGGGACAATTAAATAATGAGATCACATTTGACTGGTGCTTAGGCCATAATGAGTGTTTGTTTATTTCTGATTTATTTATTTTTAGAGACAGGGTCTCACTCTGTCACCCAGGCCAGAGTGCAGTGACACCATCGTAGCTCACTGCAGCCTCGAACTCCTGGACTCAAGCAGTCCTTCTGCCTCAGCCTCCAGGGTAGCTGGAATTACAGACGCAAGCCACCATGAGAAGTATTTGACGCAAGCATGATAAGTATTTGACATGCATCTGATAGCGTTACTAGTCTTTGAGATTCTACAGGACCAAGGAAAGAAATTGACTTGCCCAGGCCCCCGTGGCTGGTTCACAGCAGAAGCAGGAATTTGAATCCACCTCGTTGCTCTTTATCCAGTATGCTTGTCGCCACACAGCACCGCCTTTTCTAAACCCATCGAGAGCAGGGGATTCTTTCTGGGCACCAGACAGCTCCCAAGTTTAATCACCAGAAAACCTCTTTTAAAATTTCCCACTAGGATAAAGGCATCTCCCACCCAGATCTAACAAAGAACCTTGAGCGTGCAGGTTTTCTCCCCCAGTAAGACGAATCCCGCTCCTCTGCAACGCGCCTGCTGCCGCTGTGAAACTTTTCCTCATCTGTGATCATGAATCACCCTGGAACCCAGCGGGGTCAGAGATGGACCTCTCTTCCCACTTTGTAAATGAAGAACTGACAATCAGAGAGGGGCGGTGTCTTTCCTAAATCCACACAGTGCAAGGTTGCATTCTACACCCCAGCTCTGAATCCCAGTCACACCTTCCCAGGCAGCATAGAAGCTGGGCTCCAGCTGGGAGCTTCCTAACCCAAGCCTCATTTGCATACAACCTTGTTTCCATGTCTCTGTGTTCCCAAGACCCAACTAACCCTCTTAGTTGGAAGTAAGTCAGAAAGTGCCCCTTGCAGCAGCCGGAAGCAGCCCTTTCAGAGTATAAATAGAATCGAGGGCTTTGTTGGTAGAGTAACTATTCCAGTCAAGCAGCTCCTTCACATTTGTTATTAATTGTGGTCTGGGCATACGCTGCAGAGGGAAATTCCGGTTGTAGATGTTTATTTACAAGCAGCAGGCTCTAGAGTACACACAGCCCTGGGAGTCAGTGCAGCTTTGAGGTAGAACTCTGGAGCTGGGCCTGTTGGTTAAATCCTGATCATCGTGGATGAGCAGCCACATAGAAATGATGGCTATGACAGTATAATTTATTGAGGATTTGCTAGATGCCAGGCACTGTGCTCTCTCTTCTGGATGTGAATGTCCATGTGGGGTGGATTCTGTGATTATACATACCCATTTTACAGATCAGAATACTAAGGCTTGGAGAGATTGCATAAAAGGTCCAAGGTCATTCACATCTGCCTGACCACAGGTCATGTTCTAAACCCCTGCACCTTGCTTTCTCCTCCCAAATCATTATTGCAGGACACTGCTAACATGATCTTTGCCAGCACCACAACAGTGGAACAGCATGTTGACCCTTGCAAAGCACCTTCATCTCTGCTATGTCTTTGGAGCCCAAGGATTACATAGTCCTCGTTTGACCCACAATGCTGCTAAGAAATAGGGAATTTGAGTAACAGAACTAACACAGCACAGCTATCTACTGGGGGAGCTCTCCGGGACCCCCCATCATCCTCAGCCTTCACACCTGCACTGCAAAAATATACTTGATATTCTCTCTCGATAAACCTGGCTTGTTAACATTCATCTGAAGTCAGCTTCTCCTGCTGCCTCTAATCACTCTGATTTTTCCACTTATTTTCTGTTTTGTGCCATGGGAATCTGATTACATTGTTAAATTCTTTTTTTTTTTTTTTTTTTTTTTTGGAGCTGGGCACTGTTTGGGTTTTGGTCTTTCAAAGAGTTCCGTGTTCATAAAGACCCACATAGCTCTGACCACATGTCATTGTTATATCTGTCCTGCAGCTGAAAGCTGACACATTTCCTCTAGGGACGGATTTTCCTCTTTTTGAAATGAGGACAGTTTGATTGAGCATGGTGACCATGACAGGGCTCTGGGATCACAGACTCACTCCATTCTCAGCTCAGCTACTTTATAACTGGGACCTCTCCAAGCCTCAGCTTCCTTGTGCCTACAATAGAAAGATAATAGCTCTGTTTTCATAGCAGTTTTGATAGAAATGAATAAAATCATGCACAGAAATTGCTTAACACATAGTAGGCACTCAGTAAATGGTTGATCTTTCTCCTGACTCGCTGTCTTCCCCCTCTGCCCCCCATCCCCATCCGCATCTCTATTTCTCCTTCTCTGCATGTCTCCTTTCTTTAGATATTTTTGTTCCTTCCCACCCACCCCTTCCCCAGAATAGCTGTACTCAGAAGAGCTCTGGGTTTTTTGTTCCCCATTCTCTTTGCAGCTCCCCAGACTAACTGTCTGACCCAAAGATGACTTTATATTTAAGCCAAGGGAGCTCTCTTGCTGGAGTGATTTGTCTTTGATTTCACAGGACTCTGCCCTTTCTCCAAAAGAAAAGCATCCATGTCTGTGTCTGTCTGTAAATCTGTTCTGCCTTTTAAAACTCTAAAGAGAAGTTGTAAAAGACCTCAGCATCAACATCCAAGCCCTTTTTAAAGACCAGCATAGAGTCCTTACACCTATCCTCTATATCGCAAATCTCCACTTCTGCAGAGAGCAAGTGGAAATATCAGGGCTGGCTTTGGACTCGGCAACACTCAGCTTCCCCTCCCACCTCTGTCCTCACTCACTGTGTGACCTGGGAAATGTGCTGACCTCTCTGAGCCTCAGAGGATGATAACGCATTCTTCCCAGGGTCAAATAACAATGGATGCATAGGAGGCACTTAAGAAACACCAGCTCCTCTGGATCAGAGCAGCCACTCTTCTTCAGAACACATTCATTAATTTGCTCATTCAAAAACTATGGCAAAAGATGTTCATGGCTACAGGGAAAAGCAAGGGTTAATCTCAAAGGCCCCATACACCTTAAGTGGATGGATGGTGTTTGGGATGATAAGCTCTTGGAGGCTTTGCTGGATGCATAGTTGGAGGGTTTGCTGTATGCTTGGATGGATGAATGGTTAGATATGGATGAGTGGACAGATGAGTAGTTAGATTTGGATGGATGAATAAATGGATGTATGGATGAATGGGTGGAGCAATGGATGAATGGTTGGACTTGGATGGATGAATAAATGCATGAACGAATGGGTGGATGGGTGGAGGGATGGATGAGTGGGTGGATGGATGGACAGATAAGTGGTTGGATTTAGATGGATGAATAAATGGATGAATGGGTGGATGGGTGGAGGGATGGATGAATGGGTGGGTAGATGGATGGACAGATTAGTGGTTGGATTTGGATGGACAAATAAATGGATAAATGGGTGGAATGGTGGATGGATGAATGGATGAGTGGTTGGATTTCGATCGATGAATAAATTAATGGGTGGATGGGTGGAGGAATAGATGGATGGATGAAAAGATACAGCCTTATTAATCACCTAGAATCAGCATCTCATCTAATACAGAAATACTGGAATACCTATGTTAGTCCTTAAATGCATGCCTACCTGCCTGCAATAACTAACTTACAAAGTATTTGGTTAGCAACAAGCAACTAAAAGCAATTGTTATAAACTTTTCCTTCCAAACTCTAGGTATGATCATATGGTGTGTATTAGTGGTTCAGGGCATGATCTTTGGAATCAGACCTGTGTTTGAATCTCAGCTTAACTAATTAAAGCAGTGTGACCTTGAGCCAATCCCTTGGCCTCTTCTAAGCTGTGGTTTCCTCATTTGGAAAGCGGGGATAATAGCATTACTTTGTAGGATCATTACGAGGATTAAATTATCTAATGAACGTCAAGGGCTGGTCAATGCTCAATAAAAGGTATTGTTATTTTACTGATCCCAAATGTGCCTTCCTGTAACTTTTGTTTCACCGAGAACCAGATGTGTGTCAGATACTGTTCAAGTGTTGCAGATTCTGTGGTAAACAAGGCCAAAATAGCCCCTCATCTCTTGGAGCTAATGTTCTAGTGGTGTGTTCAGATAATAAGCAAGTAAACAGATAAACAATTGCAGACAGTGTTACATGCTATGAAGAAAGTTGAAATCCGGTGAGGTGAAAGAGAGTAAAAGAGGTGCGGGTGAGGTGAAAGAGAGTAAAAGAGGTGGTGGTGAGTCCCCTTTTTGGACTGTGAACTAATGACAAGAAGATGCAGCCACGCAGAGATCTGGGGAGAGGGCGTTCCAGATCACAAGAAGCCAGGGAGAAGGTCCTAAGGCAGAAATGAGCTTGTTTGAGGAAGAGAAAGAAGGCCAGAGGACAAGATGGAATGTGAGACCCACCAATCGAGGGCAGAGAGATCTGAGTAGTTAGATCACACCAGCCATAGAGGCTGTGTAGTGTGATTTGGATATTATCTACGTCAATCTTGTCTTGTCTCCTGGAACTACGTAGAAAGAGCCTCGTTCATTCAGCAACCATTCAGCCTTCTGATGACAGCTTAGACTCCCGATGTCCTAATCCCCCAGCCCCACAGTCTCCATCTCAGTTCTCCCGGTTTAGATGCTGGGACACTTGCAGCTACTACCCTGACAATGTCCTGGGTCCCATAAACCCAGAACTCTTAAGAAATTGGGTTGGACCCAAGTGAAATCAGGCTGAGGAAAGCTAGGAGATTTCTAGTTGGGATTGTAATAAACTAAACTAGGAAGCTGTGTTTTTATCTGAAGCAAGAGAAAGAAAGAGAGGAGTCTTTGAGGCTGATTTTCGGAATAAAATATGTCTGGGACTATTTATCCAAGTGGATGTGGTATAGGATTTGGATTTAAAAGAACATGATAGATGACAGTGGGTGATCTGTAGCCTTACTGATGCAGGAGCTCAAGGCAGGCCACAAGCACCTGGACCCTCATCCCCCCTTGGCAATGTACTCCACATTAGTTTTCTTCTCAGGCAACCTCTCTCCGTGTGGGAACAGAAAGGCTCATAGAATCTTCTAGTCTCCTGTGTAACAGAAAAAGAACCTCTCACCGGGCACAGTGGCTCACGTCTGTAATCCCAGCACTTTGGGAGGCCAAGGTAGGCAGATCACCTGAGGTCAGGAGTTCCGAGACCAGCCTGGCCAACATGATGAAACCCCATCTCTACTAAAAACACAAAAATTAGCTAGGCATGGTGTTGCGTGCCTGTAATCTCAGCTACTCAGGAGGCTCAGGCAGGAAAATCACTTGAACCTGAGAGGTGGAGGTTGCAATGAGCCAAGATCGCACCACTGCACTGCAGCCTGGGCAACAGAGTAAGACTCCGTCTCAAAAAAAAAAAAAAAAAGATAACCTCTCTTATGTAGTAGTTCTAACAAAAGTCTAGCATTCTGTCTTATTGGTTAATTAACTTGGTTGAGTCATATGTTCATCTCTAAACAATACTGTGGCTATGGAGAATCAGCATTCCCATTGGCCAGGCCTAAGCTGTAGGTCCACCCCTGAAATTGATGATGAAGTTAGGTCTTCCCCACCCATATGGACTAAGAATAGAGGAGAGGAGGATGATGCCACAAAAGGTATTGGATGATGAAGTTTCAGTCATGCAGGACAAGTAAATTTAAAGATCCTGCTGTACAACATTGTATTAATAGGCAGCAGTACTGTAGTGTACACTTAAACATTTATTAAGAGGGGAGATTTCATGCTATCTGTTCTTACCACCGTTAAAACAAACAATATATTGGATGCTATTAGAAGAAGGGAGAATGAATTCTGGACAGGCAAAAACAACACATGTATCTTACGTTCACTAACTCGAAATTAACTGCTTCTTCCTCTGTCATTCAGAGATACATCTCTTATAGCTCTCACCTCCTCCTGCCTTGTTCAGTAGCTTAATATGTGTCCATGTGTCTCTTCCAGCATTTTTAAGCTCCTCAGAATGGAAACTATGTCGTAACAACCCCAGGGTCCCCTAACCCCTTTTGTGCCTGACAGTGTGAGAATCTAAGATGTGCTTTGTGGCATTGAATTATGTTTTAAGGCCCAATTTGATGACTGTGCCCCTAAAATAGTCCCCAAAAGAAGCACCAGAGAAACTTCCCACCCCTGCAAAGGATGGCAGAGCCTCACTTTCTCCTCTCTGTTCTCTTGGATTTTCCCCAGGTAAAGCCAACAAGAACGTGCAGTGGGACGAGGACTCCGTGGAGTACATGCCAGCCAACCCGGTCAGAATCGCCTTTGTCCTGGTGGTCCACGGCCGTGCCTCTCGGCAGTTGCAGCGCATGTTCAAGGCCATCTACCACAAAGACCACTTCTACTACATCCACGTGGACAAGGTGAGAGGCCTCTGTGATCACCCCTTGCTGGGCTTTCTTCGGGGTCTGTCCGTCCCTCCCTGATACCCTCCTTCTGCATTGCTAGTCCAGACTGCCTGCTTTCAGAAAAGGCTTGGAAGCTGACCAGCTGCCTCTCCACAGAGCGTGTGGCCCTAGAGTGCTGTCTCTATGTGTGTGTTGGTTTCAAAGTTTCCAGCTGCGACTTACAATTTTGTCCATAAATGATAAATGCTGTTTTTGGGGGGTTTTTTTTCTTTTTTTTTTGATGGAATGTCGCTCAGTCACCAGGCTGGAGTGCCGTGGCATGATCTCCGCTCACTGCAACCTCTGCCTCCTGGGTTCAAGCAATTTTCCTGCCTCAGCCTCCCAAGTAGCTGGGACTACAGGTGCATGCCACCACACCCGGCTAATTTTTGTATTTTTAGTAGAGACAAGGTTTCACCATGTTGGCCAGGATGGTCTCGATCTCTTGACCTCGTGATCTGCCCGCCTCAGCCTCCCAAAGTGCTGGGATTACAGGTGTGAGCCACCGTGCCCGGCCCCTAAATGCTGTTTCTTACCTCTCCCCTCTACCCAATGCCCTCTGCCTGCCTCTCACATACTTTGTGGGAATAGCTTACCTTTATTAGTCCATTTTCATGCTGCTAATAAAGACATACCTGAGACTGAGTAATTTATAAAGAAAGATGTTTAATGGACTCACAGTTCTAAGCAGCTGGGGAAGCCTCACAATCCTGGTGGAAGGCAAAAAGCAAGTCTTACATGGCGGCAGCAAGAGAGAAAAATGAGAGCCAAGCAAAAGAAGTTTCCCGGTGTAAAACCATCAGATCTCATGAGACTTATTCACTACCACGAGAACAGTATGGGAGAAACCACCCCTGTGATTCAGTTATCTCCCACTGGATCCCTCCCATAACACGTGGGAATTATGGGAGCTACAATTCAAGATTAGATTTGGGTGGGGACACAACCAAACCATATCACTATCCCAGGAGTGCGTACACTTTTTCTATGGAAGGCAAGATAGTACATATTTTAGGTGTTGCAGGGCACATAGTCTCTGTCACAGCTACTCAGCACTGCCCTTGTGCTAAAGCAGCCAAGGAGAACATGTCAACAAATGAGCATGGCTGTGTACCAATAAAACTTTATTAACAAAAACCTGCATCAGCCCTGCTGACTCCCGAGCTACCTTGTCCCTGAGGTTTCTATTGGTGAAACAATTATGCCTTTAGTCAAGAAGGCAAAGGGGGAAGTCTTGTCCAAAAGGTCGGCTTCTAGCAGACCTGTGAGAGGATAATGGAGGAGCAATCAGTAGGAGTGGGGACAGAAAACAAAAATTCTGCCTCCGAAATATACATGGGTTTAGATGGAGCCATATTTCCCAGCTTGTCTTCCTCAGACCCCATGCAGCTGTCATGTATATGAATGCAAAGTTGGCCAGGTGCAGTGGCTCATGCCTGTAATCCCAGCACTTTGGGAGACCAAGGTGGGCGGATCACCTGAGGTCAGGAGTTCCAGACCAGCCTGTCCAACATGGTGAAGCCCCATCTCTACTAAAATACAAGACTTAGCTGGGCGTGGTGGCGCATACTTGTAATCCCAGCTACTTGGGAAGCTGAGGCAGGAGAATTGCTTGAACTTGGGTGGTGGAGGTTGCAGTGAGCTGAGATGGCACCACTTTGTTCCAGCCCGGGTGACGGAGCGAGACTCTGTCTAAGTAAATAAATAAAGCAAGACTCCATCTCAAAATAAAATAAAATAAGATAAAATTTTAAAAATGTGAAGTCCCAGGCACCACCAGCCCAAGCCTAGTGAACCATTAGCTCAGAAGTGCGGCCAGTGAATCTGCATTTCAAATAGCTAATTTGAAATGTAAAAAATAATCCAAGTTTGAATTGCAGTACAGAAAGACACTCCAGTCCAGGATCATTTACTTGGCAAAGGCCACTGTGCTCAGAAGTGCCCAACCAGGAGGGAAGACACAGAGAGGGGACAGGGGTGAGGGGCATGCCTGGGTATTTTCTAGGCCACTGACTGTCATCACCCTTTCTCTCCTGGGAAAAGCGCTCTAATTACCTGCATCGGCAAGTGCTCCAGGTCTCCAGGCAGTACAGCAATGTCCGCGTCACCCCCTGGAGAATGGCCACCATCTGGGGAGGAGCCAGCCTCCTGTCCACCTACCTGCAGAGCATGCGGGACCTCCTGGAGATGACCGACTGGCCCTGGGACTTCTTCATCAACCTGAGTGCGGCCGACTACCCCATCAGGTAAGGCAGCCAAGGGCCCCAAGCCAGTCTTGTCTGACGTCCTGCTCTGGCTGGTCATGGCTGGGAACTCACGAGGCAGAAGGAGACTGATGCATAGTCTCCACAGGATCGCTCAGGATAGGATTCTGATTGGACCTGAGAATCATTGATTCATTCACTCATTCATTCATGCATTCAACAGATAGAGACTGAGCACGTGGTTTTCCCAGCTCTATTAGCTGATATGCCAGTGCACTAAACAGACGGAAACTCCAACCCGCGTGGAGCTTTATATTAGGGTTCTCTAGAGGGACAGAACTAACAGGATAGGTGTATATATAAAGAGGAGTTTATTAAGGAGTATTGACTCACACAATCACAAGGCGAGGTCTCACGATAGGCCGTCTGCAAGCTGAGGAGCAAGGAAGCCAGTCTGATTCTCAAAACCTCAAAAGTAGGGAAGCCCACAGTGCAGTCTTCAGTCTGTGGTCGAAGGCCCAAAGATCCCAAAGCTGAAGAACTTGGAGTCTGATGTTCAAAGGCAGGAAGCATCCAGCATGGGAGACTCAGCCAGCTTATTCCTTCCACGTTCTGCCTGCTTTTATTCTGGCCACGCTGGCAGCTGATTAGATTATGCCCACCCAGACTGAGAGTGGGTCTGCCTTTCCCAGTCCACTGACTCAAATGTTAATCTCCTTTGGCAACACCCTCACAGACATGGCCAGAAACAGTACTTTGCATCCTTCAGTCCAATCAAGTTGACACTCAATAGTAACCATCACAAGCTTCCATTCAAGTAGGGAGACAAACAACAAAATAAGTTAAATGATATCTTAGAAAAATAAAGTAAGGGGCAAAAGTAGGGGACAGTTGTAATTTTACCAACGGTGGCCTGGAAGGTTTTCACGGATAAGAACAGAAGAAGATGAAAAAGAGAGTCACGCCTACAGAGAAAGTGGTCCAGGCAGGGGCAAAGGCAGGGGCTGAGCCCAGAGGTGGGTCCATGCCTGGCCTGTGCGAGGAACAGCAGGGTTCAGTGGAGCTGTAACAGAGTAAGTGAGGGGTAGCATAACAAGAGAGATAAAGTCAGAGAGTAATTTGAGGCCAGATCGTGGTGATCCTAGAATTTGGCTGTTAGTCCAAGCAAGAGGGAAGCCACTGGCATGATACTTTGAATGATATTCTGAACGGTATATATATCTATATATATATATATATTTTGGAGACAGAGTCTCGCTCTGTCACCCAGGCTGGAGTGCAGTGGTGTGATCTTAGCTCGCTGCAGCCTCCACCCACCAGGTTCAAGTGATTCTCCTACCTCAACCTCTGAAGTAGCATAGAGATGGTGTTTCACCATGTTGGTCTCAAACTCCTGGCCCCAGGTGATCCGCCTGCCTTGGCCTCCCAAAGTGCTGGGATTATAGGTGTGAGCCATCGTGCCAGGCTGTTATTTTCTCTTGAGAGGGCAGCTTTTTCCTTTGACTGTGTTTTCCATCTGGATTTGCTGACAAGGGTGAAAAGGAAAGTGGATGGGGGTGAAGAGGGGGATCTTCCTCCCTCTGATGGCATGAGGCCATAGGGTTCAGCATTCCCAGGAGACCTAGATGAAGGGGTCCTAAAAAAATAAAACTTTTATTAAGGCAACTTTCAAACATGCACAAGAGTACCAAGAGAATAGTGTAATGAACTCCCACGTGGATGTCACCCAGGTTAATTCATGGCCATTGTTCTTGTATCTGGACTTTCATCCTCTTCCCCCAACAGTGGGTTATTTTGAAAGAAATATAAGATATCACAGAATTGTATCTATAAATATTTCAGTATATATCTAGAAAAGATAAGATCTCTTTTTTAAGACAGCATCACAATGATGCTTATACCTAAAATATTAGCAGGCATGTTTTAATGGCATCAAATATCTAGGTCACATATTCCCAAGAGTTTGAGTTTTGAATCAGAACCCAAACAAGGTACAAGCATGGAAGGAAGACCTACCTCTCTTTAAAGCTAGAAGTGGCTGCTTTCTTCTTCACAGCTTGGTCACTGGGGGTCTTCTTCATTCCTAGGCTTGGGGGCATCCCACCATCTGCTGGGAGACCCTAGACTGCAGAAGGTACTGGGGAGGCACAATCTCTGGTCAGTTTGAATGGGGTACACCTGACATCCTTGAACCTGAGAAAAATGACAGGCACTAGAAAGACAACTGTTTTCTTTTGTCCATAAGACAGAGGGATAAACGGGAATGGTTATAGAACATTGCTGGTAGAATTTTACTTACCACAATTTTGTTCATTTGTTCAACAAACATTTACTGAGCAACTACCGTGCTACATTCGAAGTAGTGCATTTTGTGAACAAAAGTGATGCAGCTTCCTGTACTTCTCCTCTGCTCATGGAATGTGTATCCTAGCTGAGAAGATGGAGTTAGATGATCATGCCAAAGATACATCATGCAAGGTGTGAACAAGCCATAAAGCAAGGAAGATGTGGGCCGGGTGCAGTGGCTCACACCTGTAATCCCAGCACTTTGAGAGGCCAAGGCAGGTGGATCACAAGGTCAGGAGTTCAAGACCAGCCTGGCCAAGATGGTGAAACCCCATCTCTACTAAAAATACAAAAATGAGCCGGGCATGGTGGTGCGTGCCTGTAATCCCCCCTACTTGGGAGGCTGAGGCAGGAGAATCGCTTGAACCCAGGAGGTGGAGGTTGTAGTGAGCCGATATCGCGCCACTGTACTCCAGCCTGGCGACACAGCAAGACTCTATCTCAAAAAAACAAACAAACAAACAAAAAACAACAAAAAAAAAGGAAGATGTGGGTGTGGAGAAAAACTCGAGGGCCATAAGCAGGAGGTCAGAAAGGCCTCTGAATATTCAGCTTTGAACCGAGACCTAGAAGACAAGAAGGGATCCATTGGGAGGGAAATAAGAAAGAGATCCTTCTATACTGGGATTCCTAGCAGTGGCACTGCTGATGTTTGGGGATGGATAATTCTTTACTGTGGGTGCCATCCTGTGCATTGCAGGATGCGTAGCATCATCTCTGGCCTCTACCCACTAGATGCCAGGAACACACCCTGCCCACTTTTGCCAACCACAGATGTCTCCAGACATTGACTCGTGACCTCTGGGAGCTAAAATTGTCTCCACTTGAGAATCACCGTTTCTTATAGAGGGAACAGCCTGGGCACAATGTAGCACAGAAACAAACTTGTTGCGTTTGAGAAATTTAAACAATGGATAGAGTATAATAAAAGAATGAGGAGAAGTGAGTTTAGACAAGTACATGGCAAGGAGGGGTTAGAACATTCCCTCTCCATCTTCCATGAAGGGACCGAGTTTGGAAATGTCCCAAAATGCTGAGCATAGCAGCTAGTGTGGCAGACACTTGTTTCAACCCTTACAACAAACCTGTTTTACAGAGGGGCAAACTGAGGCCCAATGTCATGTGATGAATGCATGGCAGAGTGGGGATTAGAACCAGTTTCGTCTGGTTGCAAAGTTGGTATTCCTTCTGGCTTTTAGTCGGCCTCTTAGGGAAATCAGCAGAACTGGACTGGCAGGATGGCCCCAGGCCACCTTGAAAGCACAGAAGGAAACAGTCCCACCCCATGAGCTTGTGGCGGGGTGGAGTAGTGGCTGGACTGCCTGCAGCAGGGATGTCCAGGATGGTCCTGGGAGGACCCCCATTGTCTGTTCCTCAGTCTTAGGGGCTGTGCTCAAAGTTCCCACATTCTTCCTTCTCTGGATTCCCAGTGGAGGCCTCAGAGGTCATGCCAGCCTAGGTTGGGGGCCCGCATTAAGCCCAAGACCACTTGAGGCCAGGTAGGCATGCGCATTGCTGCCCCCTAGAGGCCATTGTTGGCTTGCTTTGCGTGGCCACCTCCCCTAAAGAGTCCAGCTCGGCTCAGCACCCGGGAGGGTGAGTGCCTGCACTCTCGTCAAACTGCTTACGGCTCGAATCTGAGTTCTGCCACTTAGCTAGCAGCGTGACCGCGGGCAAGTAAATCCAATTTCTGTGAAATCAGGATACAATAATAGAACCTAGCAGCCTGCCGGACACTTGGAAGGTGCTCCATGAATGTCAGCCATTTATACGTAAGGTACATCCAAGGTCTCATCTTGTATCTCTGAGAGGCCCAGAAATCCTTTCTCAGGCCATGCGTGCAACCTATTTTGGGGTTCAGAAAAGAGAGTTGTCTTATTTGTGGCTTTTTTGCTTTAGTGCCCCAGGTCACTCTGTGTCTCTTGGCCTTTCTCATCATCTTCCTCTACTTCACTGATCTCATTTCCATGGTGCCTCCCACGAATTCCTTTGCCCACTCTTCTTTGCCAGCCTCATAGCCAGAGGCACTTTATGCATCAAGCACTGCTGGTTCCTCTTGCTGTTGTTTTCATGAAGTTGCCCTACACAAAAACATATGAATTTTGCAGATGAATGGTTTCATCCTGGGCAATGCTGATAGGTTTTCAGTTTCCATCTGCCGCCCC
Source organism: Homo sapiens (assembly GCF_000001405.40). Taxonomy (NCBI): domain Eukaryota; kingdom Metazoa; phylum Chordata; class Mammalia; order Primates; family Hominidae; genus Homo; species Homo sapiens. The sequence goes on along the minus strand of NC_000016.10, from coordinate 17,193,742 downwards.
ATCTGTAGCTTCCAAAACCACTACTTCTCCCATCCCAGAAAGAATGAGCAAACTTAGGAGTCTTCTCAAAGGGGCGGTAGTGCCCAAGTCAGGCACTTCTAAGAGGCACTGAAAACTTGGGGGATACTTAAGGGTCCAGCCAGCCCGACGTAGCCACTGTGAGCTGCTCTGTGATTTGACGTCACCTCCCTGTGTCCCCTGCACAACCCTCACTGTGGGGGGTGGGGGGGTGTGGGCAGATTCTTCCTCTCTTAGATATTAAAGATGCACTGGTGTTTACTGGTCACTAGCCTTGTTTAGGCCCTGGACGCAGACATCCTGGTTTCAGATTCTGCCCCACCACCAACTGGGCAAGTTGCTTCAACTTTCTGCATCTCAAATTCTCTACCTTAAAATAAACACAATATTAGTGCCTATTTCGGAGGGTTCTTAGGAAGTTTCAATGAAATCTTGCATGATAAGGACCTACCACAGCGTCTAATGACAGAAAGTGGTTGATAAATGCCCAAATTACTCCATGGCTATAAGTAACTGTGGGACTTGAGTTACTTTCCCTTTTCTCTTTGATAGAGTTAAAAGAGTAGCAAAGTATTTCTTGAACTCACATCTCTGTCAAAAGAGGGAAAAGTGGGCCAAGCACGGTGGCACACAACTGTAATCCCAGGACTTTGGGAGGCCAAGGCAGGTGGATCACTTGAGGTTAGGGGTTCGAGACCAGCCTGGCCAACATGATGAAACCCCGACTCAACTAAAAATACAAAAATTAGCCAGGCATGGTTGTGCATACCTGTAACCCCAGCTACTCATGAGGCTGAGGCATGAGACTCACTTGAACTCGGGAGGCAGAGGCTGCAATGAGCCGAGATCGTACCACCGCGCTCCAGCCTGGGTGACAGACTGAGACGCTGTCTAAAAAAAAAAAAAAAAAAAAAAAGGGTGGGAAAAGCAAAGATAGACGTGAGACTGTTTCAAGAAAAACAGAATAGATCCAATTCACTTGTGGACATGAAGAATATTCCTGAACTTGGCATACGCAAGCTGAGAGTGTTTAGAGACTCTAGGTGCTCCTGCTCTGCTGTTGACATGACATCCTGGTCCACGTAGGCTCCAGCTGGAGCTGGTTGTGTACCCAGCACGTGGATGAAAGTGGAAAATGGATACTTTCAAACTCTGAGGCCCTGCTAGATCTTGAATCCTCGAAAGGTATGATGGTTTTATTCGTATGTTCTATTTACCGAGGCAAGGAATTATACCTGGCCTACTTTAGATTGGCTGCAGGAAGAGATGAAGCCAATAGCACTTTGCCCTGTTTCTTGGCTTGGACTTGTAGTAAGAGACCTCGGCTGGGTGTGGTGGCTCATGCCTGTAATGCCACCAGCACTTTGGGAGGCCAAGATGGGTGGATCACCTGAGGTCAGGAGTCTGAGACCAGCCTGGCCGATATGGTAAAACCCCATCTCTACTAAAAATACAAAAAGTAGCTGGGTGTGGTGGCGGGCGCCTGTAATCCCAGCTACTTGGGAGGCTGAGACAGGAGAATCACTTGAACCCAGGAGGCAGAGGTGGTAGAGAGCTGAGATCATGACATTGCACTCCAGCCCGGGCAGCAGGAGTGAAACTCCATCTAAAAAAAAAAAAAAAAAAAAAAAAGAGAGAGAGAGAGACCTCACGCCTCACACTGTGTCTTTTCCTAAGTCCGGTGTCTTGGGGCAAATCAGATGTAAAGAGAGGAGGGTTGAGTGTGTCCTTGGCCCCTCCCGGGGTTCACATTCAGTCTGTGGTGTGTACACACGTTTGCACATGTGGGGCAGTGTATGTATACAGAAACCAGGCAGGGGAAACCATGTTGACATTTTCCTGCTACTTCTGCCTCTTGGGTATCCACATCAACAAAGTCCAAACTATCAGGGCCCACCACATGGACATGTAAGTTACATTAACTGCAGATCCAAATGTCTGTCTTGAGATACTACCAGAGCCGCAGGCTGAGAACATGAGAGAGCTGCTCCATGGCGCCTCAGTAGGAAACACCAGCTGGTAAAGACAGGAACAGGTGGCCAGGGCTTCTCTACAGTCTCCCGAAGACCAGAGTTTATATGGGACCAATTGAGCAAGACTAACCCCCAGACTAACAGAGCAGACACTTACTGCACACCTACTGTGTGCTGGGCCCTCTTCAGGGCCCTTTACCACATATTTCTTCTTAATCCCATCCCCCAAAACACAACTGCTACTTGGTAAGTAAGTTTAGAGAAATTAGTATTAACACAGAGCAGAGGAAGCTTTGCAGGGAAGTCAAGCCCTTGATAATGTTCAGCACAGATCCCAGTCACTCTGGGATTTGAAATGAAGATGAGCAGTATGGAAGTCCAAGCATCCATGTACAGTCACTGCATCTGCGTACAGATCACATCCCTTTAGTCTGCTAAAGTGGAACCCGAATAGGTCAAAGAATTCCTGTAGTTAAGACCGCACAGCAACCACAGCAAATGTATATGTAGCACTTCGTACATTCCTAGCATTATTCTAAGTGCTTTACAATTCAGGGATGTCTGAGGGAGAGAATACAGTTATGGCTCCTCAGTTTCTTTTCTTGGTTGGGCCAGTAAAGCCCCTTCCTCATCCCTCTTTTCTGCTTATCACTAGAGACAGAAACTAAAAACCATGGCTTCAGGCTGCTAAAAGCCTAAAACAAAAAAACAAAACAGAACAACCAAATAAGGCAGGGTTGGACAAGCTTGTTTACATCGTTTTGACAACAACTCTGAAGTATGCACTCTTGATATCCCCATTTTTCAGATGAATAAACTGAGGCACAGAGATGTTAAGAAACTTGACCCCAAGGCTACAGCCAGTAAACTGTAGAATCATGATCCTTTTTTTTTGAAACTGAGGTGAAATTTATATAACATAAAATTAACCATCCCATTACTGGGTGTATACCTAAAGGATTATAAATCATGCTGCTTTAAAGACACATGCACATGTATATTTATTGTGGCACTGTTCACAAGAGCAAAGACTTGGAACCAATCCAAATGTCCATCAATGATAGACTGGATTAAGAAAATGTGGCACATATACACCATGGAATACTATGCAGCCATAAAAAAGGATGAGTTCATGTCCTTTGTAGGGACATGGATGAAGGTGGAAACCATCATCCTTGGCAAACTATCGCAAGGACAAAAAACCGAACACCACATGTTCTCACTCATAGGTGGGAACTGAACAATGAGAACACTTGGACACAGGGTGGGGAACATCACACACCGGGGACTGTTGTGGGGTGGGGGGAGGGGGGAGGGATAGCATTAGGAGATATACCTAATGTAATTGACAAGTTAATGGATGCAGCACACCAACATGGCACATGTATACATATGTAACAAACCTGCATGTTGTGCACATGTACCTGAAAACTTAAAGTATAATAATAAAAAGAAACTGAGGTGAAATTTATATAACATAAAATTAACCACTTTGAATTGTTGAATGGCATTCAGTACATTCACAGTGTCAGGCAACCGTACGCTCTCTAATCCTAAACATTTTCATCATCCCAAAAGAAAACCCTGTACCCATTAAGCAGTCACTTCCCAGAAACCTCTCCTCAGTCTCTGGCAACCACTAATCTCCTTTCTGTATCTATGGACTTGATTTGCCTATTCTTGACATTTTTATTTATTTATTTTGAGATGGAGCCTCCCCTCTTGTTGCCCAGGCTGGAGTGCAATGGCACGATCTTGGCTCACTGCAACCTCTGCCTCCCAAGTTCAAGAGATTCTCCTGGCTCTGCCTCCCAGGTAGCTGTAATTACAGGCATGCACCACCACACCTGGCTAATTTTGTATTTTTAGTAGAGATGGGGTTTCACCATGTTGGTCAGTCTGGTCTCGAACTCCTGACCTCATGTGATCTACCCACCTCAGCCTCCCAAAGTGCTGAGATTACAGGTGTAAGCCACTATGCCCAGCCTATTCTGGACATTTTATATGAATGCAGTTACATAGTATATGACATTTGGTGACCTGCTTATTTCACTTAGCTTAATATCGTTGAGGTTCATCTGCATCGTAGCATGTGGCAGCACTTCATTCCTTTTTATGGCTGATATTCTATCATGTTGATATACTTGTACCACAATCTGTTTATCCAATTATCAGTCAATATACTCAGCATTCTGAAGCTTCCCAAAGCCCCTGTCTCCTGGCCATGTTGTATCTGCACTGTATGCCCTGAATTGAGGACCTCATCTGGTTTAAGAAGATGCAGCTCCATCATATGGGACTCTGCCCAGCAGTGGTGCTGGAGGACTCTTGTTAAGCAAGCCCTGGTGACTGTTTGGCCATGGGGGGTTGTAGATCTGAGCATATTGGCCTGATGGCCTTTCCCATTCACACCGGATCTTCTCTACCCATGCTAGCCCCTGGACCTCAGCTGAACGGGAAAGAAACTTCAGTGATTCTCATTGTCCGGGGAAGATTCAGGTTGAAGATGGAAATGTGGAGGAGTAGAGTGTGAGGTCCAAGCTTCCCTTTTTCCCTTCTTCCTTCTCTCAACACCAAGCCCCTTCTGATGACAATCTTGGGGTGCTTTGAGGAGGAAAGTGCTTAGGTCAGCCCAGTGAAGATACTTCTCTACTCCCACAGATGAGTTCAGGAGACAGGGCTCCTTCTGACTTTACCCATTCACCCAAAAAAATATTTATTGAGCACCTACTATGTGTTGGACACTGTGCTAAGCAGCAACTCAAAGGTGAGGAAAAACATATCCAGCCCTGCCCTCATCGTAGTGGTCAAGGGTACAGGCTGGAGCCAGTCCACCTGGGTCCAAATCGCAGCTTCTTTATTTACTAGCTGTGTGAAGTTGCACACAGCAGTCCCTGTGCTTCAGTTACTTCATCTGTAAAATGGGCATAATAATGGCACCACCCCATAGGGTTGCTTTGAGGGCTAAGTGAGTCCATATATGTGAAGTGCTTAGCACACAGTGAGGGTTATCCATGTGATAGCCATGGTTATTAATAGAGGAAGGAGACAGACATTAATCACAGAGATCACAGGAGTGCACATATGACAAAGTCAGGCAAGCATTGTGAAAAAAAGGAATGAAGGATCTATGAGCACTTTGCAAAGGAATCTCACATGGACTGAGGGCCCGGATGGCTTCCCTGAGGAGGCAGCCTGTGAACTGAGATGTAGATGCTGGGTAGGAGTTTAGGAGAAGTGTGAGGAGGTTCCAAGCAGGCATCCCAGGAAGAGGGGGTAGCTTGGGACCCTGGCATATCTGAGGATCTGAAAGAAGGCAACTATGGGTGAAACATAAGAGGCGAGGGTTTGCCTTCTTACAAATGAGGTAGGTCGAGGCAAGCCCATGTGGGCACTTGAGATGTCCTGTTGGGTCACTAAAGCCTCAGTCTGTGAGCGGTGAGGTTTTAGGGGAGAGTGACAATATTTGCCACATTGAGAGATCGTACTGGCTGCCGTGGGAGAATAGTTGGGAGTGGGGCCCAAATGGGAGTGGGGAGGCCAGATCACAAGCAGTTGCTTCTACTGACCCCAGAGCCACATCCACAGAGCCCCCTATTCTCCAAACCTCCAGGCAGAAGCAGGTGTCCTAGAAGGAAGCCATAAGGAGCTTCCTGAACCCAAGCAGCCATGAAGTCTTTTAGTCACTCAGAGCCAGGCAGCCACCTTCTGTTTGGGGACCAGGACCCCACACCTGTGCAAAACAGCCTCGTTCAGGAGACTCAGAGGATTTCAACAGGAGCTGGAGCAGAGAACAGAGAAGCAAGCGTGAGATGCAAGGATCTTAGGAGAGCGGGTCAGAAAAAAGCCAATCATAAGCCAACAGGGGCGCAGCCAGAGGATTAGAGGAAGAATGTGGGTTGAGTGAATGTGAGAAAGAATATGGTGGAGACCCCTCTTTGTCTTTTGTTCTTTTTTTTTAAAGTGATAAAATATGGTGAGAATGATAAAATAAGTGAGAATTGCTTGAACCTGGGAGGCGGAGGTTGCAGTGGACTGAGATCACGCCATTGTACTCCAGCCTGGGCAACAAGACCAAAACTCCATCCCAAAAAGAAAATAAGAAGAAAGAAAAGAAAAGTGATAAAATACACTTAAAATAAAATTGACCTTTTTAATCTTTCTTTTTTTTTTTTTTTTTTTTTTGAGACAGCGTTTGGCTCTGTCACCCAGGCTAGAGTACAGTGGTGCGATCTTGGCTCACTCTAACCTTTGCCTCCCAGGTTCAAGTGATTCTCATCCCTCAGCCTCCCAAGTAGCTAGGATTACAGTTATGCACCACCACATCTGGCTAATTTTTTTTTTTTTTTTTTTTTTTTGAAACTGAGTCTTGCTCTGTCACCCAGGCTGGAGTGCAATGGCGTGATCTCGGCTCATTGCAAGCTCCGCCTCCCTGGTTCAAGGGAATCTCCTGCTTCAGCCTCCCGAGTAGCTGGGATTACAGGCACGTGCCACCATGCCTGGCTAATTTTTTTGTCTTTTTAGTAGAGACAGGGTTTTGCCTTGTTGGCCAGGCTGGTCTCGAACTCCTGGCCTCAAGTGATCTGCCCACCTCGGCCTCCCAAAGTCCTGGGATTACAGGCATGAGCCACCACACCTGGACTGATTCTTCTACATTTTAGAAGAATCCAAAATGTCTTCCTATCCTATATCAGTCACCCTTCTGGTTCCCCCATTTCTCTGAATAGGACCACCCTCCTCCTGAGCACCTGCAGCTGGAAGCCTGTGTGCCCCCTTCCTTGCTGCTCCATCTGCACCTTGCGTATTCTCGTTCTAACCCTGACATCTCTCCGTGTTCATCCCCATCTGTGATGCCCTTCATCCCCACCCAGGTCAGACCCTCTTCACCTTACACCTGCAATATTAGCACAGGTGTGCTCTGACGGGGACTCCAAGGTCTCCCAGGAGAAGACAGGCTGAGCCAGACTCTTAAAACAGGATAGAGCTGCTTCTCAAGGCCATTTCCTGAGCACCCGTCATGCGTCAGGCTATGGGTGTTCCGCAGGGAGCAGGACAGACACCATCCCTGCCACAAGGAGCTTGACATCTCACTATGTGCTTCTCAGCCGGGTCAAATCAAGGTTCTATGTGATTCTCAGAAATTCAGAGTTCAGCAGGCGCAGTGGCTCATGCCTATCCCAGCACTTTGAGAGGCCGAGGTGGGAGGATCACTTGATCCCAGGAGTTCAAGACCAGCTTGGGCAACAAAGCAAGACCCCCATTTCTAAAAAAAAAAAAAAAAAAATTAACCAGGTGTGGTGGTGCACCCCTGTAACGCCAGATACTTGGGAGGCTCAAAATAAAGAAATCGGCTGGGCATGGTGGCTCACGTCTGTAATCCCAGCCCTTTGGGAGGCCAAGGCAGGCAGATCACCTGAGGTGAGGAGTTTGAGACCAGCCTGACCAACATGGTGAAACCCCGTCTTTACTAAAAATACAAAATTAGCTGGGTATGGTGGCACATGCCTGTAATCCCAGATACTCGGGAGGCTGAGGCAGGAGAATCGCTTGAACCCAGGAGGTGGAGGTTGCAGTGAGCCGAGATCGCGCCACTGCACTCCAGCCTGGGCAGCAAGAGTGAAATTCCGTCTTAAAAAATAAAAATAAAAAAGAAATCTAGAGTTCCGTTCCAGATCAACTGAATGTAAATTCCTTGTGGATGCCAAGAATCAATTTCTCTCTCTCTCTCTGTGTATATATATATTTGAGATATTTGAGATAGAGTCTTCACTCTGTCACCCAGGCTGGAGTGTGGTACAATCTCAGCTCATTACAACTTCCACCTCCCAGTTCAAGTGATTCTCCTGCTTCAGCCTCCCAAGTACCTGGGATTACAGGCACTCTCCACCACATCTGGCTGATTTTTGTATTTTTAGTAGAGACAAGGTTTCACCTTGTTGTCTAAGCTGACCTCAAACTCATGACCTCAAGTGATCTGCGCACCTCAGCCTCCCAAAGTGCTAGGATTACAGGTGTGAGCCACTGCACCCAGCCAAGAATCTATATATTTTTAAAGTGTCCAGCACCCTGCAGGTGATTGTACTAGTGAGAATTGAAATCCACTGGTCCAGGGAGAGAGAGAGACATCTTTCACATAGTTAGAAAAATAAATAGAAGCTACATGCTGTGTTGGAAAATGTTAGCCTCAGTACTTCGTGGGAAAGCATACTTGGTGGCCCAACACTCAGATATTTGGGTGTGACCATCTCCCCTGCATTCTGCTTTCTCAGCATCCAAACCACTTTTGTTCTTTGGGACGTTCAGAGACACACACTCTGCTTCCTGAGACCCCAAAGTTCCTGGGTTCGAAACCATCCAATAAAACCTCCACCCAGATAATGTGTGAGTTTGAAAGGGTGTATCTGCTCGGACTGTTGTTCACAAGGAGACTGGAAAAACATGCCAGTAATTATGCCGTTAACAGTTTTGTTTGCCTCTAGTCACAAAATAAACATATCCTCAGCCCTGTTATTTTTCAGGCTGATGGAGCACACACTCCTGCTTTTGCAGAAATGCAGTTTGCTTCCCTCTTGCCAGTTGTCCTGGGTCTCCTGAGCTGTATTTTAGGCTGGTCAGCTCTTTAAGCCTTCTTAAGGCCAGAAGTGACCTAGACCATCGGCTGGACAAACAGAGTGAGCCTAGAGTTCTCGGAGATCTCATGAAAACCAAGGTTCTGCAGAAAGCCAAGAGTGGTCTATGGGCTTAGGACCTTCTGGGAAGGATGTGGTGGAAGACAAGAATTGAAGTGACTGCTTCACCCAAGGGATGCCATCATCTGGCTTAAATAACTTTTAGTTGTATTGTTTGTTTGCTTGCTATTTTGTTTGCTTTCTCTTTCTTTCACAACGGAAAACAAAAAAAATTCAGAGTCCTGGGGAAAAATGTGATAGTTCTCTCTTGAGTTGTGTATCCCTTCTTTGGCTAGCAGAGAATAGAGCACTTGGCCATTCATCCATTCATTAAATAGATGCTCATTGAGATTCTGCTAGATATTAGGCAATGCTCTAGACCAGCACTGTCCAGTGGAACTTTCGGGGGTGATGGAAATGTTCTATAAGCACCATCCTGTATGGTAGCCGTTAGCCACAGGTGGCCATTGAGAGCTTGAAACGTGCCTTGTGGGACTGAGGAACTAAATTTTCAATTTGATATGATTTTAATTTAAAGTTAAATTAAAACTGTGCGCTCATGAACCTTACATCGATGCCATGGGGTACAAACACTTCCACTAGAGAGAATTATACTACTGTTACCAGAAGAAAAGAGAGTCCAGGCTAAATAGTACAGAAATAAATGTGGTCTCTGTCCTCTGCCAATTTGATATTCTCACCAGATCCCAGCTTGACCACACAATGAATTTTGCAATGTATTTTCTTCCGAATCCCTCCCTCTCCAGATCTCACAATTCTCCTTCCTCTTGGCAGCGGCTCTCTATGTGTCTGTGGATGGGACGTTTCCAACCCTGGCATCTTCCTGCCCAGTGCATTGAGCATTTTTGCTTATTGGCAAAAAAAAAAAAAAAAAAAAGCCGTCTTTTATGTGACTTTTTCTCCGGTGGCCAAGAGTATGGACGGTATCCATGCTGGGATGCTCCAAGTGCATCCTGGGAATTTGGATGTGAGCCCGGGGTGGTCTACAATGTGGGTGGTCTTTATTGTAGAGTCTATTATTCTTCCCTTGCCTGTTCCTTACATCTAACTGCAGGTGAAGATTCTTTTCAAGGGCAATCTGGAGGAACCGCATGTATTAAAAGTGGGATAAGGGAGGAGCGTTTCTACCCTTTTAAAAATTGATGAGGGCAAAGATTTGACTGAGTATAGGATCCAAGCGACAGGGTTAAGGTCTGATCATTAGGCACACAGACGGACTCTGTGGATTATTCTTATTATCATTCAAGTATTTTCTCTCCCTTGCTCCCACCCTGAGTCATTGTCCAGCATGGTCAATAGTAGCCACTCAAAGTAGATGCCTGGGAAAGCCTTTTAAGACCTGCCATACTCCAGTAGCTAATCATATTTGCTGACATTTCTTGACTACTTACTGTGCATAGGATTCTAGGCCAAGTGATTTCCATGCATTATCTCATGTAATTCTCACAACAATCCCAGAAGGTAGATAGTGTTACTGCATCGCAGTATGAAGAAACCAAGGCTGTGAGAAGTAAAGGGATTTTCTCAGTGTCTCACAACTGGTGGGGGTTGGAGCCAGGATTTAAATGCATGCTTCTTTCATCACGGGGAGTAGGGGCAGAGAGGAAAGGACCTGAGTTTTTTGCCAACGGGTCATAATTTCACCTGCTGGATAGTTCTGGGGTAAAGCTCTCTCACTCATTTCTTCCCCATCTAAATCCTTGGTTTCTGTATCTGGATGAGAATCCAGGAGGCAGAGTTGTCCACGTATCAAGAGATGAGCAGGGTACATCAGAACCTGAGATCCAGAGTGACCTAATGTTTAGCCAACTGCCAAGTTGCCCCCACTTTCTGCTTTAGTCCCCATGGCATCCCAGTAAGATGACATATAGAACAGCACCAGGACTCAGAGTGTTCAAGTGACTTGCCCAACGTCACATGACTTGATCGTGGCCAAGCTGGGATTTGAATGCAGGCTTAGCTGACCCTGAAGTTCACCATGCTTTATGCAGTGTGTTGTGTAAGTGGTTGACCCCAGGGAGGGAAAGCCGATCACCCAAGGATGCCAACACTACGATGTGGCTGCCAAAGCCAAAAGCCAGTGTAGACCCATCTCCAGATGGTCTCTTTCTTTCTCTAATGGAATATCCAAGCTTTACTGACTGTGTGCTCTAAGCATAGACCTAGGAACCATCTGTCCTGCGTTAGCAAGAACAACCCCAACCTTCAAATTCCTTTGTAATCCTGTTCCCATTGGACCTCAGACTCTCCATATCTCTACCCTAACTGGCTATCTGGTGGTGCCCAGTGGAATTCTCATTCATTTAAATATTAGCCTAATGCAAGCATAATTAGAAAGGAATGGCTTCTGTCCCTCCCCCCACCCCACCCCCCACATATGCCTAATTGTTTCAAAGCAAAATCAAAGCAAACTCAAAGCAATGCTGGCATATTCTACACCATCAAGTCATTCCACTACGATGTAGAAGAGGCCATGCAATATCAGCCTGACCTGGATTTGAATCCTGTTGCTATAGATTGAACCGTGCCCCACTAAAATTTATATGTCGAAGCTCTAACCCTTGTACTTGGAGATAGGGCCTATAAGGAGGTACTTAAGGTAAAATGAGATCATAAGCATGGAGCCCTGATCCTATAGAAGGAGTGTCCTTCTTTATAAGAGACACCAGAGAGCTCGCTCTCTCTTTCTCTGCCATGTAAGGACAGAGCAAGAAGGTGGCCTTCTGCAAGCCAGGAAGAGAGGCCTCACCAGCATCTAATTGACAGGCACTTTGGACTTTCCAGTCTCCAGAACTGTGAGTAAATAAATCTCCATTGTTTAACCCACCCAGTTATGGTGTCTTGTTATAGCAGCCTGTACAGACCAAGGTACCTGTCCTCATCCCCTGTATGAGAGCTATATGCTCTCAAGCAACAAATCCAACCTTTGTGAGTCTCCTTTTTCTCACCTGTGAGAGGGCATGACCATGCTACCCATCAGGGAGCGGTAAAAGGAAGAATAGCCAGGTGGGACTCCAGGTACTGCTTTATTTCAAGCTGTTTGATGACAGCTAGGTCAGAGCATGGTGGCTCAGGTCTGGCAGCTCCATGTGACCTCCTCTCCACCTTCTCACCATCAAAACATTGGGACCAGGATGCTTGGTCATACTGATGGATACAAAGCAAGGAGAGATGGTTGAATCCACCAGGGAGACCTTAGCTTACTGTACCCACCCCGTTGCATCAAGCGGTTGGGGTAACTCATCGTGGCCCCAAGAGGCTTAAGTACCACCCAGGCCTGAGGCAAGAAACATTAAAAAAAAAAGAAGTGCAATTCATTTGGGAGGAGGAAGGGTTCACAGAACAGATATCTAGCCCACTAATAACCATGTCTCAAGCAATCTCTCCAGCACTAAGTAATCCTACCCTCAGTTCCTCCCTTTGGGTAAATGTAGGAGAGAGATGGGCAGAGGAGAACCTGCTATGGGCAGCAGGCTAGAGTGCCCTCCCCAGGGTACTTTCCTCATAGGATTGTTAGAAACATGAAAGATAGTGGAACACAGGACCTAATCCGGAATTGGGCATTTTTTAACAAGGAAATTTTTTGATGATAATGGTAGTGATGACAATGATAATTAATAATCCTGTATAGTTATTAATTCTGGACAAAAACATGGTCTGGCCTTGTGTGGTCACTTTCCTTATTCTCTCCTTCTTTCTTCCTCTTATATTTTATGTCTCTATTCCTTGTACTAATACAGAAATGCAGATTGGGCAGGGGGCACCTGCCTTTGAGGAAGTCTGATCGTGATGAGAGTGAGGAAGGTAGTTGCCTTGAGCTGAGCCTTCTTTGCCTGTAGTTGGGCCCCCATATTCCCTCCCTGCTGCAAGGCTGTTTGAAGACAGCCCTAGTGTTTACTGGCCTTCTCTACCCCAATGAGGTGAAACAACATATTCCATTTCTCAAGTCCATTTCTCCACTTACTTTGAAAAATCAAGTGCATTTCTCCAGTTACTTTTTGAATGCAACTGCAATCTACCTGAAATTTCAAGTGGGAAACTTCCTTCCAATTCCCAGCCTCACCAACCCTCACCCCATCCCCATGCTCAAGTGGCCTGCCTCTGACCCTCCCCTGGTGGCCCCAGGCAATATCAGAAAGTGATTTGGACATCTGGGCAGGTCAGCTTCCTAGGAAATCATCATGGAACAGAAGCCAACGCAGAGAGCAAAGTCTTCATGGTTCATGAGACTCCCCTGCTGCCTCCTCCCACTCCCACTCAGCTTAGGTGAAGCAGGCCCATGAAGGTCAGATGGAGTGTCTCTAGAACCTGGAATCTAGTCTTGGCCCACTGCCTATAAGACCAGTTAATCCAAAAGTGGAGAATGGGAAGGGGAAGGCCATTTGGTAGTACTGGCCAGTTTTCCCATGGTAGGGGGTGAAGGGGAATCCCACAATGGTGGTTGTTCCCTTATGGAGAAGGAATGAAAAACTGTGCCCCTAAAAGCCATCACCCGTCTCCTATGTCCTTTCTCCTCCAGGGAGGGATTCTCCTCAGTGCAATTTAATTGTATTCATCAGTCAACATTACTTGGCAAACCGAGCCAGGGGCACAAACATTGCCACCCTTTCTCAGTCTAATCATGCTCTTCAGGATGCCGGAATCTGGTTTAAGGCCAAGCAGAAGCAATTTTTGATTACAGAGTCAATCTTTGTTTAAAATTTGCCACCCTGGGGAAGTTTCCAACAAGTTACTTTAAACAATGCATTCTCTGGACACCTACAGCTAAATAGTCCCATTAATCCAAATTGCTTTGCTGGGTTGTGGTGCAACCATTCAGGAATTGGGGCAGTGTCTCAGACAGGCTTCATGACAGTGATGGCTGCAGTACCAAGGGGGCACTGCTTTGTCATGAACTGAGCGACCGGGAGATGGCCCCACCCCTGAGAGTTCCCTGCCACTGAGTTTCTGCAGGTGCTAAGTGCTTCTTCTATGTTCTCCTTTAATCTCTCAGCCATCTGGTGAGATGGGACCTTCATTGTCCCCATTTGCAAGAGAAGGGACTTGAGCAGATGCTCAGCTACCCAGAAGTGGAGCTCAGTGGAGCTTAAACCCACCCATGTCCTTAACAATGAGTCAGGACTTCCCAAGTATGGCCTGTGGGCCGCTTGCAGTATGTAAGATGATTTAAAGAGAAATGCAGGCGAGTCTTTGAAAATGTCCATGTTTATCTATATTAACACATAGAAGGGAATAGGAACATGTTCAGCCCAGATTTTGGAAGCTGAAGTTTCCTTAAAAATAAAAAGTAAATAAATAAATAAAATGAAAGTTGATTTAAATGAGAAAATATTAACAAGGCAACAATACAAGGGGTAAGTGGCTCTTCAGTCATTTGGCAAGTACTTATTGAGTGCCTGGTATACTCCAGCCATTTTGCTGGGGGTTGGGAATATGGCAGTAAAGAAAGCAAGCACTGTTGTGCATCCTCCATGCTCATTAGAGAAAGAGACAGTAGATAAGTGAGCGGGTCATATATCAGGTAGAAATGAGTACCAGGAAAACTATTGCATGGAAAGAGGATAGGGTGGGTCAGGAAGACACTTCGATTAGACGGATATGCCAGAAAGTTATGAGGAAGATTGTGAATGACCCAAAAAAGAGAGTTATCAGGCGAGGGATCAACAAACTTCTTTTCTAGCTTTTATTTGAGGTTCAGGGGTACATGTGCAGGTGTGTTACATAGGTAAATTGTGTGTCCTGGGGGTTTGGTGTACAAATTACTGCATCATTCAGGTGATAAATGGAGTACCTGATAGTTTTTCGATCCTCACCCTCCCTGCCTCCTCAAGGAGACCCTGGTGTCTACCCTTCCCTTCTTTGTTTCCGTGTGTACTCAATGTTTAGCTCCCCCTTACAAGCGAGAATATGTATTTGGTTTTCTCTTCCTTTGTTAGTTCACTTAGGATAAAAGCCTCCAGCTCCGTTCATTCAACAAACTTTTTTTTTTTTTTTGAGACAGGGTCTCATTCTGTCACCCTGGCTGGAGTGCAGTGGCACAGTCACAGCTCACTGAAGCCCTGACCTCCCAGGCTCAAGTGGTCCTCCCATCTCAGCCTCCTGAGTAGCTGGGATTACAGGCTCATGTCACCACACTTGGATAATTTTTGTATTTTTGTAGAGACAGGGTTTTGCCATGTTGCCCAGGCTAGTCTCAAACTCCTGGGCTCAAGCCATCTGCCTGCCTCGAGCTCACAAAGTTCTGGGATTACAGGCATGAGCCACCACGCCCAGCCTCAAAAGTTTTTATTAAAAGGCCAGATAGTAAATATTTTAGGTTTTGTGGTACATATATGTCTCTCAGGATGACGAAACTCTGCTGTTGTAATACTAAGGCGGCCATAGACAGTATGTAAATGAATGGGTATGACTGTGTTCCAGTAAAATTTTCTTTCTAAAAACAGGTGGCAGGCAATAGTTTGCACTTGATCATTCTGCCAGATCTCCCATGTTTCAGATCGTGGCCTTGCCCAGAACACGTACATCTCAGCCCTTTCAAATTTAGTGCCAACCCACTCACCCATCTTCCTAGGCATGGCCTTTGCTTCACTATCTTAGATGATTCTGTCAACCCAGGTGGGGTTGAATCTGAATCACCTCAAGTGCTTCAGACTTCAGGACCCTGGATAGAGAATGAGTGATGGAGATCCCCAAGGCCTTCTGCTCTACCTCCCCTAGGCCTTGACCTGGATTTCTACCCAGTCCTGGGTAGCTGAACCCCTTATTAAACAGCAGGCTCCCTTTATTTTATGTTCCCCTAACCTACTTCGTGTGCCATTTCTGACCTTGAGCTGGTAAGGAGCACATGAAACACAGCTCACCCATCAGTGTTGCCTGACCAGGGGCGGCCGAGAGGAGACAGGCAGTTTGCACACAGACAGTCCTCCATGGCTATCCAGCCCCGCAGAGTTCCTGCCAGCCAGAGCATACCGGTTTTCTTACCACCCAGCCTTCTCTGCCTAAACGCAGGATAAATACCTGGTCCTCATTAGCACCGTAATTCACCCTGCACCACCTTCCTCAATCTGAATCAAAAAGGTTAATGTCATTGAATCCTGAGACTCGTTGATTTCAGCACTTACCCCAAGTTTCTGCTCCCCCGCTAAAAGCACAGAGCTCGTTTATCTTTCCTTGGTTGACCAGGCAAGTTGCTGACTAATGCCTTAATGCCAGCTAATTCTCAAAGATTTCCCAGAGTGACTGGACATGTGTTCCTCTAGTACTTTCTATAAATCCAGTTGATCTTGTGTGTCTGGTTTTCTACTGACTCACTGCCTGGATGTGTCTGGGCTCCCCTCCTGTAATTTATCTTGGAAGTCTGTCTCAGGTTGCAATGTTAATTCAGGAAGAGAGAGATTTTTAACCAAGGTGGTGTCCGCAAAATACATTTTAATGAACTATCAGCTGTAGGGCGTCACTGTGAATTTGTTCATTCATTCATACATTCTAGTCAGTCAACAGATGCTTGTTGGAAACCTACTGTGTGCCAGACATTTGCCAGGACCTGGGGTTACAGACACCAATAGAACCATTAACATCGCTGCCTTTGAGGAATATACAGATTAAGCCATCAAATAATGACATCTTCATGACATTGTCAGGAAAGAAATTTGCATGCATATAATGCAGGAAACAGACATGCATATCACCCCTTCTCTTCTAAAGGACCAGGGAAAGCTTCCCTGGAGAAGTACCCATCCCATAACCACGTCTCAAGCAATCTCACTGGCACTAAGTAATCCTACCATCAGTTCCCCCTCCTTTTATGTAAAACTAAGAAGGAGATGGGCAGCAGGCTGGAGTGCCCTCTGCCCAGTGGTTTCCTGAGAGTTGAAAGAAGAGGAGGAATTAACTGGGTGAAAAAAAGGGGGCGGTGAACATTGCAAGCAGCAGGGGCTGCATGCACAAAGGCACTGAGGCAGGAGAAAACATGGCTTCTGTGGTAAATGAAAAGAGGCTTATGTGGACAGAGTGTGGCAAGGGGATAAGCCAATAGAATGAGGCCAGAGAGGCAGGTGGGGGCCAGACCGTGTGGGACCTTTAGAGCCAGGTTAAGGAGTCCAAGCTTATCCTATAAGCAATGGGAAGCCTTTGAAAAGTTTTCTATTAGAAAATGCCATGATGAGATTGGTTCAGTTTATAATCAGTTGCTTGGCAGTGGGAAAAAGAAAGTTAAAAAAAAAAAAAAAGTAGAGGACTGTACCAGCCTGCTGGAGGAGGGGAAACATGATAGCTAGTATTTTTTGCTAGTAGATATGTACATTATAGCTCAGGTAATTACTTTCCACCAGGCTAAATGCCTCCTGTTGCTTTGTTGCTATTATTTTCTCTTGGTGTTGAGCTTTTCTGCAGCATACCTTATTCTTAGGCTTCGTGGCCCTGGGTTTCCTGGAGAGACCCTGTAAGCTGGATCTGGAACTGGACCTACAAACCTCCTTCTGCTAGTCGGCAGGAATTTTCCAGGGCTCAGGCCCTCAGGCCAGTGCAGCAAAGCGGTTGAAAGTGTGCACTTGAGGAGGCAGCAGAGCCTGAGTTCAATTTCCAGCTGTTCTGTTTACTGGCCACGTGCCCTTGGGCATGTTGCTCAACCTGTCTCTGCCTCAGTTTTCTCATCTGTAAAATGGGAACCATCAGTTACCTGCCTCAGCCTTTACTGTAAGGATGAAGCTGTGAAATGTGTAGCACCTTGCCTGACCCAGAGAAAGGGCTCGAGAAACGATGATAGTGATGGTGACCCAAGCTGCCCGGGTGACAGTTCCACAAGTGGAGAGATGACATCTGTTTTGCTCACCACTGTGTCTTATTCCTGGTACAGTGCCTGGCACATAGTGAGAGCTCAGTAAGTACTTACTGAAGTAAGGCATGAAGGAGCAAATGAGTGCTCAGTGTTTGTCCCATATAACACCACTGTGGCTGCAGTGGCTGTGGTCCTTTATTTCTAAGTGCCAGGAGAGTCACTGATATTTTACCGCATTTTTTTTTTGCATTCCCCATTTATTAAAAACATCTCTGGGCTTATTCCTAGATTGAGGACCAGTGGAGGGGTTTTGTCTTTACTTAATGTCTTTTCACCTAGAGACGTTTTCAGATTTCACCACCATGAAAACAGAAAACATTCCAAAGAGCTGGAGAGTTTATTTCAAAAGGACAGTGAGCTGTGGTAGGTACTCATGAATCCTAAGGTTGGCTCAGCTGCTTCTCCACATAAAGTGGAGGTGCCTGCACAGATATCAAGGATCTGTGTCTGGGAGCCTGGCAGGCCAGAGGGACATTCACATATCACACCTGTCTGGCTATATGCTGGCTTCCATGCAGCCTGGGGGAAGGTCTGGATCCCATGAAGTCACTTGATGTCATGGAGCAGATACCTAGTCTGTTCCCATTTTCCATGAGAGAGGACAGGGAGGTAAGTTCTGCAGGTGTCCACATTCCTTCCCGGCTCCATGACCACGCCTGCGGGCTCCAGTGGTGATGCATATGGACTCTGAGGTCAAATGACCTGGGTGCAAATCCCTGTTTCTGTTACCTGTGGGCTGTCTAACCTAGGCCAAGTCACTTAACCTCTCTGTTCATCTTCCTCTGTAAAATGGGTGATAATGATAATATGTACATCATGATGATGTTGGGAAGGCAAACTGAGCCGATATGTAACAAGTGCCTCAGCAAGCAACTCTTATATTCTATACTTATTATTGTTATGATCATCATGATTATTAGACACGTTGCCCAAGTTTTGAGAAGTTTGCTCCATTGTAAAATGGAGCTACTGCTGCCTATTTTAGGGGGGTTGTGAGGATTAGGTGGATAGCGTATATAAAATAGGTAGGATACACCAAACATGGTTATTATTGTAGCTGTTGTTTTATTTCTCAGTTTGAAATTTTGGGGTTCAACTGTCATATTTTTATTGTGGCATAAAAATAAAAACATAAATAATAACATTAAAATATGTTGGCTGGATGTGGTGGCACACACCTGTAATCCCAGCAATTTGGGAGGCCAAAGAGGGCGGTAACTTGAGGTCAGGAATTCGAGACCAGCCTGGCCAACATGATGAAAGCCTGTCTCTACTAAAAATACAAAAAATTAGCCAGATGTGGTGGTGCATGTCTGTAATCCCAGCTACTTGAGAGGCTGAGGCAAGAGAATCGCTTCAACCCAGGAGGTGGAGGTTGCAGTGAGCGGAGATCGCACCAGTGCACTCTACCCTGGGCAACAGAGTGAGGCTTCATCTCAAAAAACAAGTTATATTTAATATGCCAAAAATAATATACAACTGAAATTAGTGGCGCTTAATACATTCACAATGGTATATGAGCATAATCACTATCTAGTTACAAGCATTTTAGTTACCCCAGAAGGAAAACCTGTACCCATTAAGCAGTCACTCCTCATTCCCCTCTGACCCCCAACCCCTGGCAACCCCCGGTCTGCTTTCTGTTTCTGTGGATTTGCCAACTCTGAATATTTCATATAAATGGAATCATACATCATGTGGGTATTTCACGTCTGGCTTCTTTCACTTAGCATTATGTTTTCAAGGTTCATCTGCATTGTAGCTTGTATCAGTACTTCATCTCTTTCTATGGCTGACTAATATCCCATTGTCTGGATAGACCTCATTTGGCTTTATCCATTCAGCAGGTGATGGACATTTGGGCTGTTACTACTTTGGGCTATTGTGAGTAGTGCTGCCATGAATAGCATGGCCAAGTTTTGTTCGAACACCTGTTTTCCATTCTTTTCAGTATTACAATGACTCTTAACATATGTGGTTCAGCTACTTTAGAGAAAAAGGGAAGAAGTAATAAGATAAAGTAGAAAAACAGAGGAATTTCAGCTTCTGTAGATGTATATCTTTCTTTTGTGTTTTATTTATTTATTTTTTTGGCCACCCTCTGGAGGGCCAGCCAGGGAACAACCACAGAGAGGTTGGTCTTGGTTTGGTCTCTAACTCTTGGGTTCGTCAACATCCCAAGGACCACAGCTTCCCTGAGAAAACCTTTGATGACTGCACATTGCAGCCTGGGGAAGCCTGCCACCCTTCTCCCTCACTCAGAGCCAAATAAAAAACAAGGGCTACCAGATAATCAAGCGATTACTATGTGGCAGGCACTGGATTGAGTCTTCCACACCCATGATCTCATCAAATCTTTGCTCAACTTAGACAAGGAAATTGAGGCTCAGAAGGATAAAGAAACCTGCAAGGTGGTACCGCAAGGATTAAGGAGTAGAGATGATCTTTAAACCTATTTCACCTTTTGCCGAATGATGATTCTGCAGAACAGCAGCACGTCAAGCTGTCACTCAGTTAGGCTCGTCTCAGCTGGACCTGCTGATGTATCTGCCTTAGCATGAAAGGAATTCTGTCCGAGTTTGTGAATTCCATTCCAGGAACCTGGCACAGACTCGGAGATTGCATTCAACCTTTGTCCCTGTGTGCATTGAGCAACTATAATATGCCAGACATGGCGCTAGCCAAGCCTTGCTCAACTGAGGTTCCTCATTTGAGCCACAAAACACAGGAAGTGGGCAGAGTGCCTGTGTTCTTGATTCTAGCAAGGATGGTATGTGACTAGTATGCTCTTAATGCATAGAGGGAAGCTAATCCAGGATGTACGTGGATGCCTCGGAACACCAAAGCTCCATTCTCAGAGGGATTTTGTCTTCATCTTCACTGTTTCTCCAGCATCTGAAACAGCACGTGACTCATAGTAGCTGTAACATAAATGTTTGCTGAATGAGTACGTGGAGGTAGTGTGGCGTGCACAAATCTGCCTTCATCTACTACACGTCCTGTTTGACAATTTATAATACGATCCTGTTTTTACAATGCAGCCATTTAAATACTCAGAGACCTGGCACTGAAAATAATTCATCAGCGAGCAATGAACTTGTGTCAGCATCTTCCCGGCAGAGTTTATGTGATCAGATCCCAGATGACATTTGTTACTAATTTGGTTTTTTTTGTTTGTTTGTTTGTTTGTTAGTAAAGCACTGTATCAGTCACCATAGGAGCGCAGAAGGAGCAGGACTAAGGTATTGCCCCTGAGTAAATACCTCTCTGGGAAAAGAAAGAAATATCTGTAAATGAACAGCTTTTACCCAAGAAGCAGGAGGTATGAGCTCATGTAGAGTCAAATAAAACCCGGGCTTAAATGTCCTCAATGAAATGGGCCCATACAACTCAAAGTGATACCCAGCTGTTGAAAAAGCAGAATTCATGTCTCAAGTCAGAAATGAACACAGTCGGCCAGGTGCGGTGGCTCACGCCTGTTATCCCAGCACTTTGGGAGGCTGAGGCAGGCGGATCACCTGAGGTCAGGAGTTTGAGACCAGCCTGGCCAACATGGCAAAACCCCATCTCTATTAAAAAGTACAAAAATTAGCCAGATGTGGTGGTGGATGCTTGTAATCCCAGCTACTCAGGAGGCTGAGGCAGGATAATCGCTTGAAC
The DNA here is from genome assembly GCF_000001405.40 of Homo sapiens. NCBI lineage: Eukaryota > Metazoa > Chordata > Mammalia > Primates > Hominidae > Homo > Homo sapiens. Next base: position 17,172,566 of record NC_000016.10, on the reverse strand, counting down.
CTGGGAAGCAGAGGTTGCAGTGAGCCGAGATCACGCCACTGCACTCCAGCCTGGGCAACAAGAGCGAGACTCCGTCTCAAAAAAAAAAAAAAAAAAAAAAGAAATGAACGCAGTCTTTGGCACATAGGAAGATGCTCAGCAAATGCTTATGGCAGGGCCTGAATTGCTGAAGAACTGGGAAATTGTATTTACCAGGAAAGCTAATAGAGCTTGCAGGATCTTAGAGTTATGAAAGAGCACAAAACATTCAGAAAACTTCAAGTAATTCCAAAGATTGAGTAGGCAGGATGCAGGAAGAGAAAGGAAAGAAAAGGACAAAGGAAAAGGAAAGAGAAATGGAAGAGGGAGAGAAAAAAAAGGGAGAGAGGAGGGAAGGAAGGAGGGAATAAAAAGAAATTTAATTCACAGCTGCAAGAGTAACATAGTTAATACTTACTAAGTATTTACTGTACACCGAGTACCCATGCTAACAGGTTAACCTGATATCATTCCTTCTAACCCCAAAACAACTCCACAAGGCATGTCATATTGCGATTCCTGTTATTATAAAGGCAACAGTGCTGTTCAGAAAAATTGTCATCTGCCCAAGATTGGGCAGTTAGTGAGGGCAGAGCTCAGCCAGTTCTGCTATTGAGTAAGATGCCAGCCTCCTTCCTCTCCTAAAGGAGAACTGGAAGTTAAATTGGCCGTTTTTTAAATGATTTTTGAACACTTGTTTTTAGGCTACTAAACCATTTTTGCACAATTGAAATTTTACCCAATATAGGGGTGGAAGTGAGTCCTCAGTAAGGAAACCTCTACTGAGGTGTCTTGAGGCCCCAGCTGCCCAGCCCCAACCTGGGGTTCCCCCAGATGCAGCTTAAAAACCGATGATCTATGTGATAACGTCTCATTTAAATCATTTCTGAAGTTTTCTTTGCCTAGGAACTGTCAAGTTACTTCAAGGCCTGTGTCCTCTGTTTAAAAAGAAAAAATCCGTTTAAAAATCCTTTTGAAATTTCTCATCAGCCCTCTGAGATAAACAAGTAACCTTGGAAATCTGTGGGTAAAGAGTCTACTGGACGCAGCATGTCCTGATCCTCCAGAATCGATCTCTGTGTTGCAGAAACCACAGTGTTTGTTTTTCCATGGTGTGTATGACTTCTTGCCTGTGTTGCAGTGCATTTTGACCTTGTTCCAATACAGACAGGCAGGTGAATGTGGCAAGCTGCCCAAGGAGAATGAGATGCTTGGTGACACTATCAACTGTCCTTCAAGCTCAATCTCACCTTGGGGCTGAAATCCAAACTGACCCAGTCCCAAAGTTCTGGGAGTTAGAGATCCTTGCTGTATCCTACTCCTGGCACAGTGCAGACTCTAGTCCTGGAGAATTCATGATAATAAAAATAATAACAATAATAAGATCTGACATTCTAGCATTCTGTGGGCTAGGTTACCTAAGCTGTACTAGATCTCTCTTGTTTTCACTGGCTCAACACTCATTACCCGACTTCTGATACCAGTTTCTGTATCAGCTAGAATTTTGTAGTTGCAAGCAACAGATTATTCCCTCTTATTTCATTACATCTTCAACTCTATAAGGTAAATAGTGTTATTATCCTCAATTTTAAAAATGACAAAATTGAGCATCGACTAGCTAAAAATGACCTGCCCAAGGCCACACAGCCAATAAGTAGTAGAACTAGGACTCAAACCTACATTTCTCTGATGTCAGATCTGCATTATTTTAACCACTGCAAATTCTGATACATTAGTGTAGGTGCGTTAGGAAGACCTATGTGGTGAAATGGAAATGGACAAATTAGTATTATAGGTCATGGTGATTATTTGAATAAACCCAGGGCAGGATGAATGGTGAAAAAGGCATCTGTTCTCAGCCATAAGCACAAAGAGAAAGGTCAGCGTGTCAGTACAGTTCAGTGCCATTCAATGGTTATTTATACTCCAGCCTTTCCCAGTGGAACTGACATTGAGCCAGCTTTTGCAAAGGCAAGCAGGAGTTCTCTAGGCAAAGGTGTAGGAAGGATGTTTCTGGCATTAGGGATGGTATGGACAAAAGCCCTCATTCTGTCCTGCAACACAGTTGTGCTGAGCAGTTTCCGTGGGCTACAGTGAAATGGGCCTGGGGACCCAAAGAGAAATAGGCATAAGGCTGATGGAACCTGTCATGTTCCTGGCCTCTGTGCTGGACAGTTGGGGAACATAGATGACCCAGATAAAGTTCTTGTCCTCAGGTAGCTTACAGTCAAGCAACTTGAACATACATAACTTAAATTTTTGCTAGGAACCACAAGTGTGTAAGAATTGAAATGTCACAGCTTGGTAGGAAACTAGCAAGGGGTGGACATGCCTTTCTCTCTGCATTTCTAGCGAAGAATATAGAAACTTCTTTCCAAGGAACTCCAGTTACTGCGCACCTGCTATGCACCAGGCACTGCATGTACCATACCCACAACACACAAGTAACTCATAGACCATTGTTAAATGCTCCCATTTGGCAGATTAGAAAACCAAGGCTCAGTGAGCCTGAGGAACTTGCTAAAAATCAAACGGCAAGAAAGTGGCAAGGAGCAGAGAGAAACTACTGTAAACACCTCTCTGAAAACAGCTTTCCTTGTAGCCGTGTCTTGGCTTTCCTACTTAAATTGCATTTACTTTTAAGATTCAATCTTTCGATGCCCTCTGAAGTGGACCTCCCCTGGTTCCCTGAAGACCAAATCAAATAACTGGCTGTAATCAATCATTGTATGGGAATGCAGAATTTGGTTAACTAAATGTTGTGCACATTTGAGATGCCTCATGGCATGTGAGGACAAGCAGACTTAAGAGAATCAAAATACAGTTAAATAGACTTCATATACATATGTGCACACACACGATCCCCACCCTCCCCGCCCGCCCCCCAACCCACCAAGCAGAATGTCAGTTTAGTTCATTCATGATTCCGGTGGCGTCCTGGGTTCCTGCGTGGCCCCTGGGTGCTGATTGTTGTCAGTTACCTTTCCATTACAGCCGTCTGAAGGAAGGGCTGGTGTGTTAAGAGTTCTCATTGATAGAACATCAGATAAACTGCCTCTTAGAAAGGCATATGTATGTTTAAAATGAAAAATGTGTTTCTTACAAATGTCCTGTGAAAGCACTGAGGCTTTGTGAAATGGTTTGCCGGTCCATTCAAATACAATGAGTGTGTTTTAATGCCACATCATTTTTGTCAGTACAAAAAGGTAAATCCAATTAAAACTGATTGGGTTGTAACAACCAGGTAGTTCTCCAGTTTACTGCCTGCCTTTGTAGAAGGAGGTACTGTCCCCCTGGTGTCCCCAGCATACTTTTTGTAGCCTCCCCTGAATGCTCGTGCTTCAATTCATCTGCTGTCTCACTTCATATCACAGGGACCTACCTATATGTCTGCATCCCCCAGTGTTCTGTGCGTTCCTTGAGGACAGGTGCCACAACCATCTTACCCACTCCTGTCCCAGGCGTTTGTCACAGGGCCTGACCTATTGAAGAAGTGGAAGTCATATTTTTCCCAGGAGACCAAACAGTGCTTGCACAGTCTTAGAGTTATGAAAGAACACAGAACATTTAGAAAACTTCAAGTAATTCCAAAGATTGAGTAGGCAGTGCCGGGTCACAAACAACCTTGCATGCCTTGCCAAGGGGTAAGGACATTGTCCTTCAGATGATGGAGAGCCGCTGAAGGTACTGAGTCAAAGGGTGACATGGTCAGACTCATGTTTTAGGAAGATCCTGCAGCTGCTTCCTGGAGGACGAGGTAAAGAGGAGCCTGGAGGCCGGGCCAGCATTTTATCCAGTTCACTTTTCCTCAGTTGCTCATGGTGGCTGGAATTATGCCTGTGGAGTCCAGGAAAACATACTCTTTAGCATTTTTCATACCTTTTCCTCCGTATCTTAGCAAAATAAGTCTCTGTAAATTTGGACTACTTTTTAAACTTTAAAAAAAAAAGTCACCTTTTATTTTAGATTCAGTGGGTACGTGTGCAGGTTTGCTCCAGGGGTATATTGTGTGATGCTGAGGTTTTGGGTATGAAGGCCCCCATTACCTAGGTAAGTGAGCATTGTACCCACTAGGTTATTTTTCAGCCTTTGCCCTCCTCCTCTTCCCTCTCTAGTAGTCCCCAGTGTTTGTTCCCATTTTCATGTCCGTGAGAACCCAATTTTTAGCTCCCACTTATAAGTGAGAACATGTGGTATTTAGCTTTCTGTTCCTCTGTTAATTCACTTAGGACAGTGGCCTCCATCTGCATCCATATTGCAGCAAAGGACATGATTTTGTTCTTTTGATGGCTGCACAGTGTTCCATGGTGTGTATGTACCGCATCTTCCTTATCCAGTTCACCATTAACGGGCACCTATATCGATCCCATGTCTTTACTATTGTTAATAGTGCTTCAGTGAACATACAAGTGCATGTGCTTTGACTGCATTTGAATCAGGGATTTGCCTTTTTTCCAGTTCTTTTGCTCTTGTCTCTTCTTCAGCAAGTCCCGAACTTGGCCTTTATTCACTGTTGGTCTGCAACCCTGGACTTCCCTGATTTTTCCAGTGGGTGAGAAGATGTCAGTAAGGTCCTTGCATAAACCGTCTGGAGTGTGGAGGAGAGAGCACTGGCAGTGTCTCCTCCTCCCCCAGATAAGCCGTGGGGAAAGATGGTTTAGAATCCATTCACGAGATGGAAGGATGGGTTAGAATCCATGCACGAGATGGAAGGATGAGTTAGAATCCATGCATGAGATGGAAGGATGAATTAGAATCCATTCACGAGATGGAAGGATGAGTTAGAATCCATGCATGAGATGGAAGGATGGGTTAGAATCCATTCACGAGATGGAAAGATGGGTTAGAATCCGTTCACGAGATGGAAGGATGGGTTAGAATCCATTCACGAGATGGAAGGATGGGTTAGAATCCATTCACGAGATGGAAGGATGGGTTAGAATCCGTTCACGAGATGGAAGGATGGGTTAGAATCCCTTCACGAGATGGAAGGATGGGTTAGAATCCGTTCACGAGATGGAAGGATGGGTTAGAACCCATTCACGAGATGGAAGGATGGGTTAGAACCCATTCACGAGATGGAAGGATGGGTTAGAATCCATTCACGAGATGGAAGGATGGGTTAGAATCCATTCATGAGGCAGGGGGAGGAGGAAACTTACTGGACTTCAGATTTTACAGGAGCACAGGAAAAAGACATACACCCTGAACAGAGGTTCTACCTGTATCAATTCCTGTTGTGCGACTCGCACTCAACAACAGTCCCCTTGAAGGGAAGTAGTAGGCTTCAGAAGGCAGCTGCAGTTTCCTGTTTATTTCCTGCCTCTGTCTACAGAAATGGATCACATTCCTGAAGCTTATTCACCACGGGGAAAGCGGGATTGAAAACAGCTCAGGCTCTGGCCCTGGGGCACTGAGGTCTGCATCTCCCCTCCACCACTCATAAGACCTGGCACAAGCTGTGAAGGCTCTTCCAGTCCTAGTTTATTCATCCGCAAATGAGTACCTCCTGGATGTGTATTGTAAAATTAAGGAGGACGAGCACTTAACACTTGGTGAGCAACAAAGGGAAATCTTTCTGCAATTGTTATTATGAAGCATTTTCTCATGAGTACCCTGACTCTGGGATTCCTTCCCCCAAATCACCCCCCAGTTCATTGGGCAAAGACGTAGGGAGGAGCATTCCTGGCAGAGGGTATGGAATGGGCAGAGATGTGGATACAGAAGTGGATGATGGGCCAGGCACAGGGCCTCATGTCTGTGGTCCCAGCACTTTGGAGGCTGAGGCAGGCAGATCACCTGAGGTCAGGACCAGCCTGGCCAACATGACGAAACCCCATCTCTACTAAAAATACCAAAAAAAAAAAAAAATAGCTGGACATTGTGGTGCACGCCTATAATTCCAGCTACTCAAGAGGCTGAAGCAGGAGAATCTCTCGAACCCAGGAGGTGGAGGTTACTGTAAGCGGAGATCGTGCCACTGCACTCCAGCATGGGTGACAGAGCGAGACTCTACCTCAAAAAAAAAAAAAAGTGAATGATGGACTGAGCCCTTCCCATGGGGCAGGTACTGTCTGTGCTGAGCATAGAAGCCACAGAGATGAACCCTGCATACCGGGCCTCTACTTGGGCTTGCATTAAGCAGTGAATACTTACTTAGCACCTTCTATGTGTCAGGTCCTGGAGGAACAGATGGGAATTGGACTCAATGCCTGCTCATCCCAGGACTACAGCCATGGTCCTGAAAAGCACTGTCCGAGGTGCTGCCCCATAGTCCAGATGCTGGTTCTGTTGGCAGACAGATGATCACCAGCTGCAGCAGCTGCTCCAGGCATGGGAGAGGATGGTTCTGCCCTGACCCCGTTGCTTGACAGAAGGTCCTTTCCATCTCCATGTGAGCCTCCTTTGTTTTCCAGGGTCCGCTGGTGGTTGGTCCTTTGGGGAACCCAGAAGGCCCCTGCTTAACCCCACCAGCCTGCTGGAGGAGCCAAGAGCCTGCCAGCTCTGCAAGACATCCCAACTCCATCACCTTTGCAATTTCCTTCTTCCTCCCCATGCTCCTGGCAGCCACAGGCTTGGTTTCTGTGCAATGATGTGAGTCTTGGGCAATTCTTAGAGAAGTCTCATTCCGTGTAGTTTGCTTTCTGAAATTAAAGACTGAAAAATAATCCTAGAGTGAACAATTCCATATCTGCAAATTTGATCCTACAGAAACCTATCATGCCCACATGTGAAAAGATAGTTATTCAAGGGTGTTCAATGGAGCAGTAGTTGTAAGGGGGAGAAAATGGAAATGACCTAAGTGTCCATCACTAGGGCATTGGCTATGCCCATTCTTTTTGTTTGTTTGTTTTTTGAGGCAGAGTTTCACTCTTGTCACCCAGGCTGGAGTGCAATGGCACAGTCTCGGCTCACTTCAACCTCCGCCTCCCAGGTTCAAGCAATTCTCATGCCTCAGCCTCCGAGTAGCTGGGATTACAGGCGCCCACTACCATGCCTGGCTAATTTTTTTTTTTTTGTATTTTTAGTAGAGACCAGGTTTCACCATGTTGGCCAGGATGGTCTCAATCTCTTGACCTCATGATCCGCCTGCCTTGGCCTCCCAAAGTGCTGAGATTACAGGCATGAGCCACCATGCCCAGCTGGCTACGCCCATTCTATAGGATCCTGTGCAACCGTTAAAAGGATGAAGTCTGCCTGTACGTGCTGATGAGTGAGAGAAGCAGCATAGGTCATTACACAAAAATCCATGTATATACATGTTCCCGTTTATATAATAACAAATGGATATAAATATAATAGCATCTACCTCTTAGGGTTGTCATGAGGATTAAGTGGGTTAATAGATGCAAATACCACATAGGAGGCATTCAAGTGTTAGATGATGATGATGTTGCTATTGCTGGTATTTCAGTCTTTATCTTGCTGTGATCTAAGCTTTCATAATGATTTTAAAGGCATAGGAAAAGGTTACAATAGGCCCTGCCATTATCTTGTTTTCTATACATTGGGTTGATCACAGGAGGGTGAGATTTTTGCCTCTGTGGAGTGTGCACTTCTCCTGTGGTTACACAGCCCTCAATGGAGCCATGTGCCTGGGGTCACCAGCTCATCTTCATTTGCTCAGGACCATCCAGTTTTAAAACTAAAAGTCCTGTGTTGTGGGAACTCCCTCAGTCCTGGGCAAACCAGGACAGTTGACCTCTTCCATATGTGCCTCTGGTAGCCCAGTTGATTTAAGAAGTATACAGACACGTGGTCGTTAATGTTTTTAATGTGTAACAGGGAAAAAAATAACATACAGGTGGTACATGAGAGAGTATTATTCAGCCTTAAAAAGGAAAGAAATTCTAAGGTATGATACAATATGGATGAGCCTGGAGGACATGGTGCTAGTTAAATAAGTCAGCCAGCAAAACACAAATCCTGTACAATTCCACTTATGTCAGGTACCTAGAATAGTTAAAATAGCAGAGAGGAAGTAGAATGGGGGTTGCCAGGGGCTATAGAAGAGAGAAATAGAGAATTATTATTTAACAGGTAGAGAGTGTCAGTTTTGCAAGATGAAAAGAGTTCTGGAGATGGATATTGGTGATGGTTGCACAACAATGTGAATCCATCCAGTACCACTGAACTGTACACTGAAAAATGGTTAAGATGGTCTACAGACATATCACCCTGAACACACCCAACCTCGTCTGATCTCAGAAAAATGGTTAAGATGGCAAGACTCTGTCTCCAAAAAAAAAAAAAAATTTGTGACATCAAATATCACAAACATTGGTGCATAAGATAAAGCTAAAGTAGAATTTAAATTAAATAGACATATGAAATAACTTAAAGATTATGGGTACACTAGAAGCAGAAGTTGGGGAAACACTGTTGTAGTCTATTCTCAGCTTAGGTTGAAAGCACCTCAACCCTCAACTTCCTCAACTTGCCTGACTTCACAGTCCCTCATGCACCAGCATAGTCTTTCTTTTTTTTTTTTTTTTTTTTTTTTTTTTTTTGAGACAGAGTTTCGCTCTTGTTTTCCAGGTGGGAGTACAGTGGCGCGATCTCTCCTCACTGCAACCTCCACCTCCTGGGTTCAAGCGATTCTCCTGCCTCAGCCTGGGATCACAGGCGCATGCCACCACACCTGGCTAATTTTTGTATTTTTAGTAGAGACGGGGTTTCACCATGTTGGTCAGGCTGGTCTCTAACTCCTGACCTCAAATGATCCACCCGCCTTGGCCTCCCACAGTGCTGGGATTACAGGCATGCCTGGCCTCCCCATAGTCTTTCATGTGTGTTTCTGCCCCACAATGGGTCGTTCATTGCAGTCCAGGAGGACTTACTCCAGTGTCCCCTGGGCTCTGTGCACACCTGGCAGCATCAGAGGTTTGAAATCCTGAATCCTGACATTCACAAAATCCTGCGTATAACTTTGGCTTTAGTCCTGTCACCTCACCGTTGGGCTGTGAGCACCTCTGGCAGGGTCCTTGACAGTATCCTGCAGTCGGGAAGGGGTTCTGGGGCATGAGTGCCAGGTGGGCACCGGGAGCCCAGAGAGGTGCAGTTGGCTTTGTGTTGGGCTCCTTCCTAGTGGAAGCTGAGCAGGCTTCATCTCTTGTCACATGCCACCAGCAAACAGGCATTGTGTGCCTCTGTGTGCCCAGGGCACCTTTTCCATACAGCCTGGGCTCCTGGGTGCTATGGGAACCTGAGAACTCTGCCCTCTCTTCCTTCATATCTTCATGTCCAGAGCTGTTATATAGATAAGACACACACACAATGGTGCCATGGCCCTCTGGGAGCCAGTCCCTAAGTCTGACACCAGCTGGGAAGGGACCTTGGACAAATCCCCAGGAAGGGGCCTTGGACATCTCTTAAACTATGCTCTGCAGAACATTCCATGGGTCTTATGCACAGAAAGCCTTCCAAGTTCAAATCAGGTTGGGTCTTTACACTGTTTTCCACAGTTCAAGGTGTCTTAAGCTTCTGATGTTCAAGATGGTAATAATAATGCTATTATATAATAGCTGACATTTATCAGGGGATTACTATATGCCAAGTACTGTGGCACAGATATTAGGTGCATTGTTTTTATTTAATACTCTCAAGACCTAAGGCTTATTGAAATGAAAGTAATTCATTCATAGTCCGGGTTCTCCAGAAGAAACCATGAGGAGCAGATAAAGATGGAAAGCAGAGAATTAACTACTCATAGTCATACATGACTTACAGCAATGCTTCTGAAATTTTAAAGAGCACATGCATCATCTGGAATCTTGTTTGAAAACACATTTTTGCTCAATAGATATTGGGTGAGCTCTGTTGCTCAATAGGTATTGGGTGGGGCCTGAAGTATGGCATTTCTAATAGCAGTGGGCTGCAGACCAGGCTATGAAGAGGAAGACATTATTGCGCCTGTATTTTTTTTCTTCTGCACTTGAAATGGAATACATTCATTCATTCATTCACTCGTTCATTCACTATCATTTGTAGAGGCAGTCTCGTAGTAGAGAACACAAGCTGTGACATTTGTCCCCAGGTTCCAGTTCTGGTTCTGCACTTTACTAAATGGATGATTTATCTAAGTCTCGGTTGCCCGTCCGTAAAATGAGAGTGAAGTGAAATTCCTTTTTTTTTTTTTTGAGACAGAGTCTCACTCTTTCACCCAGGCTGGAGTGGAGTGGAGCGATCTGTGTTCACTGCAACCTCCACTTCCCAAGTTCAAGCAATTCTCCAGCCTCAGCCTCCTGAGTAGCTGGGACTACAGGTGTACATGCCCACACCTGGCTAATTTGTTTGTATTTTTAGTAGAGACAGGGTTTCATCATGTTGGCCGGGCTGGTCTCAAACTCCTGACCTCAAGTGACCCACCTGCCTCGGCCTCCCCAAGTGCTGGAATTACAGGCATGAGCTACCACACCCAGCCAAAATTTACATTTTTTAGCATCATTGTGACTATCAAATGCAATAAAATGTGGCAAAAGTCTTTCCCCATGGCCTAGGGCATGGTGCACATTTAGTAAATGGCTGGGACTTGGGAGATTATTGTATTACTCATTTTTTTATTCATTTCGAAAAAGATTCTCATATGGCTCCCAGTAAGTTTATTTTAACATTTATTTCTTACTTATTTCAGCAGAGACTTCCCAGTGACTCCCATGGTGGTAGCAACAGGCCCCAGTTATCCTCAGGAAGCAGAGGAACTGGCATAGACCAAGAGACATGATTTCTAATCATTTCAGCAAAAAGTAGGAGGAAATTGATGATGAGATAGATACAAGAGATGAACTATGGGAACCATTTGGCAAATGACTTCACCAGAAAAAGAGAGTGAGAAACGTGTGTGAGTGGAAGAGAGAGAGAGAGAGAGAGAGCGCGCGAGAAACTGGAACGGGGTAAAATGTCACCAGATCGCAAGCTGTTAATTATCTGGAGAGAACTAAATATTATGTAGGCAATTATCGACAGGCGTCTGAAAGCAACAATAGGAGAATTTGGTCCTCAGCCAAATTCCATCTCCCTTTGGAGAAGGACTGGGGGGATGGGCTTTAGCATTCAGAGCAAGCATTTCACACAGAGGGAGAGCGAGGGGCCCGAGACCCTAGCAAGGGGGGTAGGCAGGGGTCCCCCCGCCCCACCCTTCCAGACAATCCATCAGGATCCTTTGCCAAGCACACAGCGCTTGGCTTTGAAAGGCGGCTTTGCCCAAAAGCTCTGGGCCTGGAAACCTCAGCCCCCTCCTCATCCACCCTCCCTCCCCCAAGATGTCATCTTTTGAGACGATTTCATGTGGAAGCATCGCTAAGTAAATTCGCTAAATGCCTATTCATCCCCGTCAGATGGGGACTCGGTGAAGCGGTAAATGTGAAAATGGCCCCAGCTCACAGCCCTGAAAGGCGCTTTCTGGGATTGCCAAATGGAACTGCAGCCGCTGACCCTGGGAGACCTGAGGCTTCACGAGAAGGGGGCCCAGGAGCCCCGGCCCGGCCCCTTCAATCCTCCCACTAAGGGTGTCTGAGAGACCTTATTTATTATTCCAACTGCCGGGGACCCATTCAGAGGTTAACTTGTCTCGTATTCATCAGGACAACAATAATGAACTGTTGCGGAGAGTGGTGAGGGGGTTGGTAAATAAGAGCTGTTAAAACGCAGTTGGAATGGGCCTCTTTATGGTTTGGAGAGAAACATTGCTTAAATTTTTTTATAGGCCGATTTAGTTTCCACCTCTCCCAGCGACTTATTAAAGAGGCTCTGTCCCCACAAACTACAGGTAACAGTGTCGGAGGCACCAGTGGACTTTACCTTGGCATGCACGATGGGGTTTAACCACGCGGGAGATGCACCATTGTAGGGACACGTGGGGTTAGCCCTTTGCGAGCATCCCCTGGGTTCACCTCTGTGCCCATCAGCAAGGTTTAGCTTTCCGTGTGTGTGCTGTATTCAACTCCCTGCAGACACACGGGGTGTTTCTGGTGCCTGCCGCTGCTAGAATGGCTGGTTTTGAATTGGTGTTTATTTCAGTAATAGGATGGGACACGAGCAGCGCTCATTTTCACTGCTGCCTCTCTTAACTGCTTTGTGCCCCCTCCGCTGGAATTATGAGTTGGTCAACATGAGTCATCCAATGAGAGAACAGGGGCTTGGAGTGGCGAGACTGCAGAGGCGCAGGGAAATGAAGGAGGGGGTGAGCAGTAGGGGCAGCTCAGACCAAAGAGTTGGGAGGCAGAGCAGGACGACGTGCATTGATTGTGCCCCTACTGTGTGCCCTTTAAATCCACCCAGTTGTCCATTCAGTATATATGCATGATGGGCCTACTAGGTGCTGGGCATGTTTAATTTTCAACCTAGGCGCATTCAGAGAAAGCTGCCATTCAGTGAGGTTAAATGACATCCTTGGACACACAGCTGACTCAGTCATGGAGCTGGGATCTGTCCCCAGATCTTTCTGTTTCTGCCCAAGCATTGCTTTCTAAAGCACTGTCCTGCTTCTCGAAGGTCTAGCTTCTATTATAACCCCAGAGATGTTTTTTTATCTTTCTGCTCTCTTCTCTGTTCCTCCCATTTGAAACAATAGTTAACGCTTTCCTTTGAAGTAAAAATTCCGAAGCAGAGAAGGCTGGTGATAAAGGAGCTGTCACATCAGCACCATTTACCTGTTTGGGTTTATTCAGCAGAAGAGGCGACTGCGTTTCTGGCAGATGGAGACCCGTGTGACTGCCTTTTAAAATACTGTCACAGCTGTATGCGCAAGCGGATTAGCTGTGATTACACTGCTAGTGCTGAGATTGATGGGGATAAATTTGGGATAACAATGCTGGCAACGATGTCACTCGTTTGTATTGGACTTCATATTTTTTAAAGCTCTCTCAATCAGTAGCCCCGTGGTTATCGAGGACTTGGTATCCGTCCATTCATTGATGCATTCATTGCTCAAAGTGCATTTGAAGGAGTCAGTTTGAACACACATCACTTTGATTCATTTGTTTATTCAACAAATATTAATATAGCTCCTACTGTATGCCAGTGTTGAACAAATCCAGCTGGGCTCTGTCCTCGTGGAACTTACATTCTAATGTAAGCAAGGTCAGTGCTTTCAGCTGGTGATACAAGAGTGAAGTATTATAAACAGAGTGATGTAATAAAGGTGGGGAGAGAGCGGGAGGCAGGTACTACTTTAGGTTAAGTGGTCAGAAAAGGTCTCTCTAAAGAGGTGGTATTTGAAAGGACACCTGATGACAAAGCCAAGCCAGCAATACTGGGAGAAATTTCCCAGGCAAGCAAATGCAAAGGTCCTGAGGTTGCTGTGCATTTAGCTTTGGGCTGACTTGCTGTTTGCCAAGCCCAGTGCCAGGCACTGGAGATTCCCAAACATGTGGAGCACCACACTTGCCCTCACAGAGTCTCCAGTATATTGGAGTATAGAGGAGAGAAATGCACAAACAGCCCATTTTAACATAGTGTGATAGAGTCAGTGATGGTGACATAAAAATGGCGATATAAAGAGGATGCCTTATCAGCCTGTGTGCAAATGATCAGAGAAGGTGCTTCAAGCAGACTGACATAATTGGTGAAACTTGCTTTCTGTGACAAAGACAGTACCCACGGTGTCTGGCCTGACTCTCCCCTTGGTTTGTTTCCACAGGACAAATGACCAGTTGGTGGCGTTTCTCTCCCGATACCGAGATATGAATTTCTTGAAGTCACACGGCCGGGACAATGCAAGGTAGCACCTCAACCCCTACCCCTGTACAAAATGGAAATGAAAATCTGAGTGATCATTTGGGGAATTTTCTAGGCTGGTTTCATGCAGCCACAGAAAGGTTGAGGGTGGGAGAAAGGCTTGGCACCAGCTGTCCTTCGCTGTGTCTGCGTGGGATCTGAAGTAGTCCCTTCTGTCAGCCAAGGACAAGATAACCATAGATGTTTCTCATGGTGTGACAGCCCTTTTGATTACTTCCCCCAAGGACTTCCACAAGTCCAATATCTCATTGCAGCAACCCTTTCAGTAGGGCACCCACGGTTAATTCTCATTTTATTGATGGGAAGACTGAGGCCCATAATGTAAGCAACGTCCCCAGATCGTTCATTCAGTCAGCCACTCATTCAAATACTTAACAAGCATGGGCGTGTGCCAGTTGCTGTTCTAGCCGCAAACAAGACCAAGTCCTTCCTCTCAGGGAATTGACCTGTAGTGGAAAAGAGTGTCATACCAGCATGGACTTGAACCCAGGGGTCCTGATCCCAGCCCCATGTCCTCCTCACTCCCTCACTGGTGTCCAACACATCAGCAGGGGTGGGAGGCACCCAGAACCCCAACCCAGATCCCTCACACCTCTCTCGCTTAAAATGAACAATGTCAAAAAAATAGCATCTCTGCAGTTCAGCATTGAGCTGAGCCCAAGTCTCCATGATGGTCCATCAACTGGAAGGGATACAGTATTGAGCGCCCCCTGTAGGTGACATCACGTGATGGGATTCCTCATTCCAATAGAAAATACCATTAAAGGCCAGGCGCAGTGGCTCATGCCTGTAATCCCAGCACTTTGGGAGGCCGAGGCGGGCAGATCATGAGGTCAGGAGTTTGAGACCAGCCTGACCAACATGGTAAAACCCTGTCTCTACTAAAAATACAAAAATTAGCCAGGTGTGGTGGCACATGCCTGTAATTCCAGCTACTCAGGAGGCTGAGACAGGAGAATCACTTGAACCTGGGAGGCGGAGGTTGCAATGAACCAAGATTGCACCACTGCACTCCACCCTGGGCAAGAGAGTGAGACTCCATCTAAAAAAGAAAACAAAAAAAGAAAACACCATTAAACACCAGTCCAGGGTGGCTCTGACATCCCGGGGTCTTGTTCTAGCATTGAACCTGGCAGTGCTTGGGATCATTTCAGCTTGTTAACGTGCATGGTTTAGCTCTCAGAGTGTTTTGTTTTGTCTTGTTTTCATTCAGGTGCTTCATTTGAAAATTAATAGCCCCATTTAAAAACAGCAGTATTTCCTATGAAAATCCAGATTTCTAGCCAGTCTTAAAAAATCTGAAGGTCCATTAAGTCTGTGCCTGAATTTTCTCATGGCAGTTATTTCCTGGATCTTAGGTCGCTCGGTCCTTGCCTGTCCCCGTTCCCCAACCTGGCCCCCGACCACATCTCTGTTTGTAATCTCTGCTTTAAATCTTCACTGCTGTTGTTGGTGGGAGTGTCATTTTGGCTGGCTCTGTGACAGTTTACCCAGTTATCCACAGCATGGGAGGAACAAAAGCAAGCAGGTAGCTCCGTCTCCTGAGCTTTAAAGAAGTAATCTGGCCAGGTGCCGTGACTCAAGGCCTGTAATCCCAGAACTTTGGGAGGGTGAGGCAGGCGGATCACCTGAGGTCTGGAGTTCGAGGCCAGCCTGGCCAACATGGTAAAACCCCATTTCTACTAAAAATACAAAAATTAGCCGGGTGTGGTGGTGCACACCTATAATCCCAGCTACTTGGGAGGCTGAGGCAGGAGAATCGCTTGATCCTGGGAGTCGGAGGTTGCAGTGAGTGGAGATTGTACCACTGCACTCCAGCCTGGGTGACAGAGGGAGACTCCATCTCAAAATAGAAAAAAAAAAAAAAGTAACCCTAGAATCCTTGTGTTGTATCATTTTTCTAAATTGAAACTTTGATTTCATTCTGCTATTTATGGATTGTTCCTGCCCCTACTCACAGCCTACCTTCTTTACATTAAAAAGGAGGCCTCTTTCTGCAACACCCGAACTTGAAGATGCTCTGTAAATTAGCACAGATTAGTTTACTACGCTCAGGCCACTAAGAGTACAGAGGCCTGGCTGGATGAGTAAGAAGAATCATGGCCACTGTGTATTGTGTTCCTACTAAGTGGGCCCTTTTTGTATAGGATCCATATTTGTTTTCACAGCCACTCAATGCAGCTGTAAGAATTATTCTCCCCATTTGTCAAGCTTCTGGAGTTTACCTGATTTTTCTGAAGATCACACAGCTGGTTAAATGCTAGAATTTGAACCCAAGTTTTTCTGGCCCCATAGCTGCAGGAGCAAAGTGGGGCTGGGCAAGGATTCCATGGAGGTGGTTAATTGTCAGAAGTGGCTCAGACATTGGTATTCCTCGCCCTCAGGTAGAGAAGGAAAAACCCTTCTTCTTCTCCAGGTAGCAGCTAATAGGTGATTTGTGCAAAGTTGTGTCTCGAGAAAGGAGCCCATTGTAAATGTATCAACTTGTGTGTGAATTACATCCACCCTAGTATTAACTATTTCAGCCTAGTCAGGATTTATTCTCTGAGCACTATTTGTCAGGCACTGTGCTAGGAACTGAGTATAGCACAAGTTAAAAACAGGGACTGTGAGGTTACACCTTCTGGTTTGGAATTCTGATCTACTGTGTTCTAGCTGTGTTGCATTGGACGAGTGACTTAACCTCTCTGAACTGGTTTCATAATATTTGAAAATATTAATAGACCTATACTCATTTATTCATTGAGAAGATTAAATGAGATGCTGCATATACAGCATTTGGCATAGTAAATGTTTATGATGATGGTGATGGTGATGATTATGTCATTGTTATGATAAGCATAGAACTAAATTGTTGCTGGTAGGAGAAAGAAATAGATGGAGAATGGGCCTGAATTTTGCCTCTAGGTGCCTGAGTACATTTTGTATAATTGATGTGCATCCGTAATTGACAGGTGGTACCCAGATGTCTTGGGACAACATAAAGAAGTCTCAGGCTGAGGAAATGCTTCTTACACCTCCCTCCAAGACCCTAAAACCCAAAGGCCTCTTGACAGAATAGCTCACAACTTCCAACTCTTGCGTGTGAGTCCCCAGCTGGGATTTTCTCATTTACCGGAAGTTAGGGCAGTGATTCAGCATTAATTTAATAGTAAAACAAGCCAATGTCCCATTCACTGGCCACTTCCCTCTTTGTTAGCTGTGGCCTCACCTGCTGCACGAATAAGCCTACCTATAGCCCATCATCCATGGTCCCTCCCAAGTGACCAGAGCTGGGCGTGGCTTGCTCAAGTTCTTTCACTGGTGATGTGTTAGGGAGAACTCTTTTGGTGGGAAATGACAGAAACCCAGCTCAAACTAGCTTAAGGGTAAAGAACATTACCAGATCAGGTAACTAAAACATTAGGGCTGACTTCAGGTATGGCTAAATCAAGCTGTGCAAATTATATCATCAGGCCCAGACTCTCTATTAGTTCTGTTTTTCTGTGTGTATGTTTAATTTTCTGGCACTGGGTGGGGATTATTGGCAATATATTAGCCTCCTTTTATAGATAAGGGAACTGAGACTCAAAAAGATGAAGTTACTTGCTCAAACTCACAGCACTAGGGCAGCGGGGAGGACTCACACCCAAGTGAGTGTTCACAGAGTCCAAGCTCATAATTCTCACGTGATGAAGCCTCTCTGTGTTCTAGGCCTGCTTTCTTCCAATGCACTGGTGACTTTGAGGCAGCTACTCTGCTTCTCTTGACTTCATTTTCTCCCTTTGAAAAACAAGGGGGTTGCATGAGAAAGTCTCCAAATTCCCTTCCCATTCTGGTATTTCATGTGTCCAGACCAGCCCTGGTAAAAGAGGAGGTGACAGAGGCAGAGATCTTGAAAGACAGAGAGATGGGGATGAACAAAGGCAAGCAGTGAAATACAGAATAGGCCACGGGGTGCCTCGGTTTTTAATTCCACGTAGCTCCTAATAGCAATGTTGACCTTCTGTCTTCATCTCCAACCTTTAGCAGCCAATTTGGACTTCTGGCTCCCACTGTGAAGAGATGGCATAAAGGCAAACTAGTATTCTAATAGCTGCCAAATTGGTCCTGATTGTTTCTGTTATTAAATGAAGGGGAGGGTTGTGTTCACTGTTTCTCCTTGCTTTCCTCCAAAAGTAAAGTCACTAGATACATTGCAAGACAGGTAGCACAATTGTCATTTTCCCAGGCAGCCTCAGCAGGGCTTGCAGAAGCAGGTGGCCGCATGTTTACTCTCAGCCTGAATAATCAGGTATTTGGAAACATCCCTACAAGTCCCTGGCCTTGGCTCAGGGAGCATCAGAGAAGTTTTTCAAATCTCTGAAACCTGTTCAAGTCTCAGTGTGTGGGGACAGGCCTCTTCCAGGGAGCTGGAAAGTGAAAATCGGAGTTTTTCTGAGACTTTTCCTTCCCTGGTTGATCTAATTTCTCCACTTCATCCAGGGTCACCAGGGCCCCCATGTTAGCCCTGGGACACAGTGTGTGAAGTGCCAGAGCATAGATGCTGGAGTCCAGCCACCTGGGTCGAAATGCCAGCTCTTCTATACCACAGCCATGGGATGTCAGCAAATGGCTTCGACAGGCCATGCCTCTGTTTCTCCATCTTTATAAAATTCAAATAATGATCATGGTATTGGGGAGATGGAGCATCCTCACTGGCCACAGGAAGGCCCCACGCTGGGCGCATTCCAGGACATTTTCTCATTTCACCTTCATTTAGCAGGTGTTACCCCATTTCAGAAATGAATACAGCTGAGGTTTGAGAGTCGCTTTACCTTACTCAAGGCCCTACAGCTAGTGAACGACAGAGCTGAGATGGAACCTGGTTCCGTCTGACTTTAAGGCCTGTGTTCTTTTATTACTCCATAGTGACTGCATTTGAGAGGACCTGCAGGTTTACGCTCTCGAGGTGTGCAGATGAAAGAAAATCCTGCTGAATGTAAATAGAATTATCTTTTTGCATGGGTGAGGGTAGGTCCTTCCCCTACTTCCTAGGGTCAGCATTTTGCAAAGTGTGTTTATGTGCCACCAGGACATGGGGGATTCTTTTGGGTCCTTTATAAGTGGGCATGCTATGAAAGTTAGGTATTGATCTTATGTGTATCAACAAATTTATAAAATTAGCTGCTCCAACCATGACTTATGGATATTATGCTTCGAATAAGGCTACATTGAAAGAAAACAGTTGAAGCTATTTAAAGTTAGCTTAGAGGCCGGGCACAGTGGCTCACACCTGTAATCCCAGCATCCTGGGAGGCTGATGTAGGAGGATCGCTTAAGGCCAGGAGTTTGAGGCTTGCACCACTGCATTGCAGCCTGGGTGACAAAGCGAGATCATGTCTCTAAAAATAATAAAGTTGGCTTAGAGCAGAATATTAAGGGGCCTCTTGTATAGGATGCTACATAAAGCACATAGCATAGCAGTTAAGAATCCAGGCTCTGGAGCCAGACTGTCAAGATTCACGGGCCAACTCTAATACCCACTCACAGTGTGTGACCTTGGGTAAGTTACGTGAGTTACCTGTGTATCAGTTTTCTCATCTGTAAGATGGGAATGAGGATAATCATACCAATCCCATAGAGTTGTTGCAAGAATTAATATATGGAAAAGCCCTTGGGGACAGTTAGTTGCGCCTATTAAGTTGATGATGATCACAATGGTGGTGGTAGTAGTGGTGATAATGATGGTGTTGTTGATATGAGAAGAATCTTGATGATAATATACACATAATTAAGATGTTACAAAAATGTTCAATAACTCTTATGTTCAATAACTCTCATGTCCACTGGGGACATGGGAGATTCTTTTGGGCCCTTTATAAGTGGGCATGTGATGAAAGTTAGGTATTGACCTTATATGTATCGACAACAATTTATAAAATTAGCCACTCCAACCCATGATTTATGGGTATTATGCTTAAAGTAAGGCAAAGCATAGTAAGAGAAACAGCTATCATTTCAAATATAAGAAAGCCAGGCAGGTAGATTCCAGCCCCAGGTCAGAAGTGGTATAGAGAAGTTTCTCTCTCTTCTCTGGTCTGAACCCCATCTGCCAGAGGCAGCATTCTCCTATTGGAGGCCGGGATGGCATCTGAGCTGCCTCCCTAGCTCCCCTTTTCTGACATTGAACTAATCATCAGACCCAAACCTCCTTTGATGTATAAACAAGCAAATGTTTAAACAAAAGTTGGCAAATCAGTCGAGAGCCTGGCCAGGAACCTCCTCCAGGCAAATCCGCATTCGGGAAGGCCTTTGGTGCCAGCTTGCTTATTGAGAGAAGAGCTCTGTTTCTGGCTAACTTGTAGCTCCATGACTGATGCAAGGAGATCATTAATATCTCATCTCCAATAGGGAAAGCAGATTGCATTTCTCTTTTGCTTTCCTTAAACCCAACCGATGCGTTCATGACTGTTTGCATGTTCACTTTATTTAATCCAATTATAGCAGCCACGTCAAAATAAAGTCTGGCATTATGTAGGCACCCACACAAAACTGCACACACATACCTCCCTGGGCCTCAGCGTGTGTTTTTAGGTCATCTTTAGAACTTTTCTTCTTTCCAAACAATACACAAAGAAGTTAGACAAAAGACTAGAGGGGAAGTACATTCCCAGTGTCATCTCTGAAAGGTAGAGTATGATTTTTATTTTCTTCTTTGCATTTTTTTATGTTCCAAACCATCTATCAAGGCTATGCATTCCTTTTATAATCAGAAAAAAGGCAGTAAACAATGTTTTCAAAAATACATGAAATGTGGAAAACCAATTAGCCCTCAACAGACCTTTAGACGCTTGGCGATGCAAGCTGATTCAGTGACGTGAGCCCTGTGAAGAATGTGAGCCACCAAGCCCAGGTACTCCAGCCTCAGGATTCAGGCCACTGACTCTGCATTTCTACTTGAGCTTCTTTTTCTGCCCTCCTTGGGAAATATAAGAAAGCCAGGCAGGTAGATTCCAGCCCCAGGTCAGAAGTGGTATAGAGAAGTTTCTCTCTCTTCTCTGGCCTGAACCCCATCTGCCAGAGGCAGCATTCTCCTATTGGAGGCCGGGATGGCATCTGAGCTGCCTCCCTAGCTCCCCTTTTCTGACATTGAACTAATCATCATCCTTGAATGTCAAACCTAAGTCAGCTTTCTCCACACAGGGCAGCAATAATAACTGGTACATGTGCCACTGATTATCCTAAGCACCTTACAGATATTCACTCTTTCTACAACAACCCCATGACATAAATGCGATCATCATCGTGCCCATTTTCCAGATGGGGACACTGAGGCTAGAAAGATTAAATAACACACAGCTCATAGGTGGCGAGACAGACTTGAAGCCAAGCAGAGTGACTCCAAAGTTGGGGTTCTTTTTATTTTTCTTTTTGAGACAGAGTCTCGCTCCATCACCCAGGCTGGAGTGCAATCTCAGCTCACTCCAACCTCCACCTGCAAGGTACAAGCGATTCTCGTGTCTCAGTCTCCCAGGTAGCTGGGATTACAGGCATGTGCCACCATGCCTAGCTAATTTTTGTAGTTTCAGTAGAGATGGGGTTTCGCCATGTTGTCCAGGCTGGTCTCAAACTCTTGAGCTCAAGTGATCCGCCTGCCTCGGCCTCCCAAAGTGCTGGGATTACAGGCGTGAGCCACCACGCCCAGCCTGAAGTCAGGGTGCTTAACCACCATGCTGCACTGACTCCCTAAGGGTGCTGACTGCGGAGTTTCCCTCCATATCCAAGCCACGTGGACTTGTGGGTGGTATGTCCCTTCCACCAATCAGATCAAGTCGGCCCCTATGAAGTGAGGTTCTGAAGCTGAGGACTTCCCTGTAGCTTCCTTTGGCAGCCACAGGGCCCTTGCACTTTCAATTTTCTGTCACTCATAAAGGCCTTCCCCATAACTCCTTAGAGGACTGATTCCTTCTCTTTGAGCTTGCATGCCACCTGCTCCTCAGTGAAGCCTTCCCCAATGATCTCCACTAATTAAGTCCCTGTCTCTTTATTTTCTATCATTACCCCCATATTTGTTCCTATATAGCATGTAATTTTATATTTGTGTTTCATATTTCTCGATGTCTACTTACTTATTAGAACCTTGTGGCTAGAGTGTGGAATGCAGAGCCTGACACTAAGGCTTGATTCCCCTCATTGCCACTCACCAGCTGTGTGGGTCTTGGGAAATTTACTTAACCTTTCTGTGTCTCTGTTCCTTCATTTGTAAAATGAGCCCTCATGGGGTTGCAGTGAATTCTAAACAGAAGAATATATATTAAGTGCATAGAACAGAGCCTAGAATGTAGTATACGCTCAATAAATGGTAGCTGTTATTATTTACGCTTTTTGTCTTGCCTAGAAGAGAGAGAAGGGCGGGGTGATGTCCATTTTATTTAAAACCATTTTCTCAGTGCATAGAGCAGAGCCTGGAATATCGAAGGTGCTCTCTAGTGCTGCTAAAGGAATGAATTCCTCAAGCATTCTTGATCTTCCAGCTACTGTAGGATAGAGGAATAACAATTGACTCCAGCTCAGGCCCAGAAGGGGCACAGCCTACCGTGGGCCTGAGAGAAATGGCTAGCAGGGGCCCTGAGGAACTGCCAAACTTCAAAATCAGGGAGCTGAATCCTCGCGAGCTCATCCAGAGCTTGGACAGAATTAGAAGGATGGCCAGGACACTTGTCACCTTCATGCCACAATCATGGCTATTGCACAACTAAAACAAGGACTTCTGTCCTTGGTGCTGAAATATCATTGCTCTGCCAGACTAAAGGATTTCTTCTTAGCTGTGGAGGTGTCCTATGTACCTGTCTACCAAATCCCAGAAGAGAGAATAGGACAGATAGAAATTCACCCTGATAAAGGAAAAAAACATAAAGCATCGTAATGGACATTATGGAGCCCTTACTATGTGCTAAGCCCTCCCTGTATACAATCTCATTTGAATCATCACACCAGCTCTGTGAATTAGCTATTATGATCACCATTTCCCCTGTGAGAAACCAAAGTACCATATGATTAAAGTTGCCTAAGGTTAGTAGAAGACACAAGACTTGGGCCAAGTAATCTGATTCCAGGACTCAAAATCTTGCCACTGCATCCCAATAGAATAATATTTAGCTGTGACTTTGTGCCAGTAGAGAAAAATCTCAGGCAGCTAAACTGCCCTTTCCTGAGAGCCTAGGAAGAGATGTGTGAGCCTGTTCACATAGCTGACTGATTTCATGCATTGTGGGTCTATATGATTTATTCCATGACTTTATTTTTTAACTAAAATCCTTAGGTTGTACTTATGCTGAAGGAGTAATCTAGATTCAATGACAGATTACCAGACAGGAAAACAGAAAAGGGGGAGATTTTATTTTTTCTAGGCATTGTGACTTTGGATGTATCATTTGTACTTTCATTCTCAGGTTGTTTTTTTTTTAATTTGTAGCATTAGCTATATTAGCTGCTTGTGAAGATTCCTTCTTGCTCAGACATGCTGTAAACTTGAAGAGCAGAGTTATTCCTTCTAAAACTTACAGTGGGACAGCTTAATTCTGGAATAATTCCATACTTGATGAATATACCAAGATTGTAGCCAGTGAATTAACTGAATTGAGAAACTTCTTTGTTATCCACCTTTCTGACATTATTTCCAAAAGCCACAGATGTTTTTTTAACTGACTTCTTCTCCCATGGGGGAGAATCAGGACTTCTTCCCACCCTCTGTCTGATTTACTTTGATGCTCAGCTGAGTAGATTTGGTCCCTGGGATGTCCCAATAGGATCATATTTAGCTGTGACTTTTTCCTTAGTGTGCTAATAGGTAAAAATATCAGGAAGGTGAGCTGCCCCTTCCTCATAGCCTAGGAAGTAAAACTGAATGCAAATGATTTCATATTTGACCTCAGGTAGAAGACAGATATCTTCCAGAGGTCTGGCAGAAAGATTCTTCCAAAGCCAACAATAAGCCCTTCTCTTTTGATTCTCTCTCATTTCTGGGCATTGTCTTTTTCAAGCATTAGAAGATCACAGATCCGTTCTTTCTATCTTTTTGGTGGGACTATGGTGAATCAGGGCATCAAAGATGGCAGAGTAGTTAAGAGCTTGCATTGGATCCAGCTAGACCTGCATTTAAATTCAAGACTTCTGGCTGTGTGACCTTGGGAAAGTTACATAACTTTTCTGAGCTTCAATTTTCTTTTCTGTTAAATGTGTGTTAGAAGGATCCAATACCTAGTTAACGAAAGTCTGTGACTGCCTGATTGCCCAACAGGTGTGGCTGTTACCCTTCTTTTTATTCATTTTTTCAGTAAATATTTATTAAGCACCAGTTGTATGGTAGGCACTGATGTAAGCAGTAGGGATACAGCAGTGAACAAAAATAGGCAAAAATCTCTGCCATCTTGCAGCTTACATCTAGTGAGTGGAAATAGACAACAGACTAAATAAATATCTTGTATATTGTGTTAGAAAGTGAAAAGTCCTGTGGAGAAATACAAAGCATGAAAGGAGGATTGAGGATGCCAGGCATGGGGGAGGGATGTCATCCTTAGGTAAGAAGGGATTGATGGTTGAGTCGGTTCATTGCTTGGGTGAACAGCGCTTACTAAACACTTTGCAAGGCCCTGTGAGAAGCATCATCCATCACACTTTGCAGCTGATTCAGGAGGCTGTCAAGACACAGGTGTCATGGGGCTTATCTTACAGATGAGGAAACTGGCATTCAGAGAGGTTAAGCCAGCCCCACATCTCATAGCCTGTGAATGCAGAGGCAGGATTAGTACCTAGATCACCCAATGTCTGTTTGCTGTAGTGTCACCTGTTGCCCCAGTTGCCCCAGGTAACCTACTCAATGGGAAATGAAAAGGAAGAGCGTATCATTGGTCACCTTTTGTATATGGGGCTTATTGCTACAGATCTGTGCTTCACGCCTCAGGTGAGAGAGCCATGCGCCCCTTGTTGGTGAGCCATATTTTATAAAAAGTCACTCAGGTGTTCACTGACTTACCTTGCCTTCCAATTTTACCTTTTCAAGTTATGGTAAAGAAAGGGAAGAAAAAATGCAAATCCCTGCCCAAACAGCTGATGCCTCTCCCCTGGTAGATACCCTGTTGCTGGGCCTCTGCCACCATCTCCTAGTCCAAGACTTAAGTCCCCATTCACCCCTGTGACTCCAGAAACTTTTCTGAGACCTAGGGAATTGGTTGTCTCCATTTACTCTTAGTTAACCAAAGCATGCGTTTGCAGCATATCAGTTTTTGAATGTGATAAATACAGCAACCCATCTCCCAATCCCATGAATATTTCATTTTGGAGATGACTGCATAAATATTGTATTTGAATATTATGGTCCGGGACATCACATTAAAATTGCAAGACGATGCTATTATCCCATATAATGGAACATGAAATTAAAAACTGGAAAGAAAAATTTTGCTAGTCCTCTCACCTGTATTTCTTCTCTGTCTGTCTCTCATGGTTAGTCTGGTAACCATGTAAGTTTGAATACAAATTATCTAAAATTGAAAGTTTCAAGCATGGTTAAGTGCATCGACTGGACATTTTTGTATAATTAGCACTAGCCAGAGTCAAGGCAGGGTTTTATTTTCCTAAACTCAGGGGCTTCCTTTGATGACCCAGTTAGAGCTCAGTTACATTTCAGTGGGTTAATACTGTATTACAAAAAATCTTCGCTGAGTTCCTTCCCAGCAAGAACATGACTTTGCTAATGAGCTTGGATTATCTGTCTTCCATTGTCTGTCTGACCCCTATAGGGATTTAACTTCACAACCCAGACCTAGCCCAATTTTGTATTTTACCAAGGGGGAAACTGAGACACAGAGAGGACTGCTCTGTAGCAAGAACATGGCTTTGCTAATGAGCTCAGATTTTGCATGTGGAAAGATGTGTTAGAGAAAGAGCAAGACCCGTGACATAGGACAGCTGGGTCTTTTGATTGGTTCTACCCTTGTGTTGAGTCCTCTGTGTGTCCTTAGAAAAGTTGCCAGTCTTCTCTGGGCTCCCGTGTATCCATATGAGATGTATTGCTTGCCCCATGCCCTTTTCCTGAGTATAACAATGTGACTTATAGAATGTCAAAGCTGGAGAGTACCTTGGGAATTACCTAACCCAGGATTATTGTGACTGGACCGATGGCTTATGGGCTGGATTCATCCTAGAGAGATGTTTTATTCAACCAGAAATGCTTTTTTATTTTAAAGGAGTGGAAGTGCATTTCAGAATGTGTGTTCTTCACTTCTCTGCTAATTTCATCAGTCCTTGTTTTTTCGTATTCAGGCTGCTTCACACGCTTCCATTATCTGTCTGACCGCCCTGTAGGGATCTAACTTTACAACCCATATCTAGACCAACTTTGTATTTTACCAAGAAAGAAACTGAGACTCAGAGAGGACTCCTTAACATTTTGAAGTCACCCAGCTGGTGACAGGTAAAACCACACTGCCCCACAGATGAAAAGCACATTTCAGCCGAATTAAGTCTGTTCCCTGCCAGCGTTACCGTCATCGCCATTTCATTACACCATCATCCATTTTGTGATGACTTAGGTGTACTATGTCATTATCTTCCATAGTAGCCAATGTCTAGAGGTGGGTTTTCTGCTCATGCAGAAAAGAAATGCTAAGAATGTAGGTTTACTAATGAGGTTTCAAGTAATTCCCCTGAGTGAATGTCAGTGGATTTGTGGGAAGCCCGGTGAGAGGGAATTCTTTCTGGAATTCAGCGTGACTACCAGGGCAGGACCATCTTCAGCTTCCAAACCCTGAAGTCTCCTCATCACAGTAGACTTTTCTTGAGCAGCTGACCTGCACTGTCCTAGGACCTGGAAGGGAGGCACAAAGTCCAGAGCCAAAGTGTGTTGTAGTGAGAATAAAGGCTACCTGCGAGGAGACAGGTAACTCCAGTCTGAAGACAGAGTAACGAGGTCTGTTGCAGAAATGCAGACAGCTCTAGAACTCTGAGCAGACTGGCTCAGTGGAAGAGGAAGCATTTTTGTGCCACAGCCCTGGCTACCTGCCCTGTCTGGAGCCTAAGAACCTCCCCACACATCATGGTTGTGATTAAGTTGAAATCATTCAGGCATGTATTAGGACTTTTTCAAATGCAAGTGAGGAATCTCATCTCAAAAATGCCTTAAGCACATAACACACAAGTCTGGGAGAGGGTCAGGCACAGTGAGATCCAGAATCTCAAGTGAACCCATCAAGCGCTTGGCACTGTGTCTTTCTGTCTCCTATTTCCAGTTTGCTCCATTGTCAGACAACCTCTATATTCATGGTGATGAGATGGCTACCAGCAGCCCTAGGCTGACATCCTCCCTGCCAGAAATCTCATAGAAAAGCCCCTCCTTCTCACTAACTCCAGCAACAATCCAAGACCTAGTCTCAGACCCAGCTTGCATTGCTGGCCCATCCCTGAATTGATTATGGAGGCCAGACAGATGGGATGCTCTGATCCATCCTGGGTCATGTTCCCACCCCCTGGTGCTAGGGTGAGGATACAGACCCAAGTAAACTGAGATTTAAGGATGAGTCCAAAGTAAAGCAAAATGTGGTTCCCAGAAAAATCATAAATGGATGCTGAGCAGGCAAAAACAAGGCATGGAGCACCG
Organism: Homo sapiens; assembly: GCF_000001405.40. NCBI lineage: Eukaryota > Metazoa > Chordata > Mammalia > Primates > Hominidae > Homo > Homo sapiens. The sequence goes on along the minus strand of NC_000016.10, from coordinate 17,145,193 downwards.
ATACCTGCTGCAGCATGGATGAACCTGGAAAACATTATGCGAAGCAAAAGATGCAGACACAAAAGGCCATATATTGTATGACTGCCTTTATATGAAATATCTAGAATTGGTAAATCCATAGAGGCAGAAGACAGACTGATGGTTATCAGGGGCTAGCATGAATGGGGAGTGGCTGTGTAATGTGTATGGGGTTTTCTTTTGGGGGCTGATGAAATGTTTTGAAGCCAGGCAGAGGTGACAGTTGGACAACATTGTTAATGAACTAATTCCACTAAACTGTACACCTTAAATGCTTAATTTTAAACCACTGCTGTTACAGCAGAGCCCCTGATCCCCCTCCAGTCTGCATGGAGCCTGCATGGAGTAGGCACTCGGTGCTGCCTGTAGCAATCCACACAGCGCCTTTGTGGAAAATAGAAAAGGCAGCTCTTCCTCGAGACACTTAGATCCCCTTCATCATAAAATCATTTCTTGGTCTCTTGTTATTTTACATTGTGTGGATGTTATCTTTATTAAAAATGTATGACCTTTTCAATCTGTGTCATCTGCCCAGAGCAATCTCCCAATTAAGCCAAACTGGTCTGCTCCCCAGATCTCTGATGAGTCTGTTTTCTGTCTAGAATGTCCATTTTTCTCTCCTCCCTGCACCCCTCCTAGTCTGACTCAAGCCCTGCCTCATCCATGACGCCATCCCTGACCACCAACCAAGTCCACAGCATGCTGGCTTTTCACCCTTGCCCTAGTCCCCATTTTTCCAGAAGTTCCTCGAAACTCATTTAACCTATGGTTATATGTGCCTGTATCATATTTGCCCAGTCAGACTATGAGTTCCTAGAAGATAAAGCCTGTCGTTTATAGTGTTTCCTGTCTTTCACTGTACCCACCACAAGGCTGGGGTTGTGGTAGGTGCTGGACATGTATTTGCCTATTGATGGATTCAGTATCTATCCATTCTGTGAATACTCGCTAAGCACTTACTGTGTGCCAGGCACAGAGTGATGAGCAAAAACAAGAACAACCCTAGCTCACATGAAGCTTGTAGTCTACTGGAAAGGGTAGACAGTAATCACAGAATCACAGAAATGTGCTATGGCAAGTTGCTGAGTTCATACACCTGTAAATATGGGTTAATAAAAGTACTGTCTCTGGGGTTTTCATGAGAATTAAAGTAGATAATCCATATAAAGCCCTTGTAATGATAATGCTCATATGTTTTCATTGCCATGGTGATGGTGGTAGTGATAATGGGGATGAAGATGGTGGTGATACTGAAATTGGTGACGATGATGGTGATGATGACGATGGTGGTGATGACAGTGGTGATAATGGAAATTGTGATGATGATGGTGATGATGACGATGGTGGTGATGACAGTGGTGATAATGGAAATTGTGATGATGATGGTGATGATGACGATGGTGGTGATGACAGTGGTGATAATGGAAATTGTGATGATGGTAATGGCAATGATGGTGGAAGAAATTACAGTGTTGTAAGACTGTAAGGACTGAGAGAGTAGCTTTTGGTCTGCAATCTGATCGATGAAGTGAAGTTCACTCAGGGAACACTGAAGGGGAGAGGAAGAAGACAATCATTCCCAGCACATACGGAGTCCATGACCAAAGGCACATGTGTAGGGAAACTGTGGTGGTGTGGAGAAGCATTCATACAATAGAGTTATTCATAAGGGCTTGAAAAATCCAGAGTCCTGGTCGTGTGTAAGGGCCAGCAGCCTGAAGGAGCAGAAAGGTCCCTGAGTTCAACTCTAGACTGTAAGCTCCCATCTAGATAACTAGCTCCTTAGGAGCAGAGCTCGTCCTTACTTCTCCTTGACCTGTACCATGGGCCAGCACAGTACCTGGCACGTAATACGTGAAAATGGTGATAGTGGTGCTGATAATGAAGATGGAGATGATGATGATGGTGGCAGTGACAGTGATGATAATGAAAATGGTGATGATGGTAATGGCAATGATGGTTATGTGTGCAATGAATGCTAATTGCTAATGGACTGAGCGTTTGGCCCAAAAGCCTTGGTTCTAGCTCTGTCCACCCTCCCAACATGCCCACGTCACCAGCTCTGGGACCTGAACAGCTTTGGTTTCTGCATCTACAAAATAGGAAATGCCAACTCTGCCCAGCCTGCCTTGCAAAATTCTAAACAAGATGATTATATGTATATAGTTACTACAGTAGGAGTTATTAATCTAGGGTTCATGGGAAAAATTCAGGGGAGGTTCGTGATTTTGGATGAGAAGAAAATGATATCTTTTTTAATGGAATTCTAACTGAAATCTAGCTAAAGGTAGGTAACAAATCACAGTAGTATTAGCAGTAACTAACTGACTCGGTCACCAGTAGGAATCATCTATTTTCCTGTCACATTATAGTTGGTGCAGATACCTCTAAATATCATTTATGCTCACCACTACTTCAAAATTTCAGGAGTTAGGCCAGGCGCAATGGCTTACACCTATAACCCCAGCACTCTGTGAGGCCAAGGTGGGTGGATCACCTGAGGTCAGGAGTTCAAGGCCAGCCTGGCCAACATGGTGAAACCCCATCTCTACTAAAAATACAAAAAAAAAAAAAATTAGCTGGGTGAGGTGGTGTGTGCCTGTAATCCCAGCTACTCAGGAGGCTGAGGCAGGAGAATCACTTGAACCCAGGAAGCGGAGGTTACTGTGAGCCAAGATCATGCCACTGCACTCCAGCCTGAGCTACCGAGTGAGACCCTGTCTCAAAAAAAAAAAAAAAAAAAATTACAGGATTTAATAGACCTGCCATGATATCTTGTTATTTAATGTATTAATAAAGAAACACACGTAGTACCATACATTCAGTGTTTTAAAATGTATTTTGTAATCCAGGCCCCATGCAGTAGCTCACACCTATAATCCCAGCACTTTGAGAGGCCAAGGTGGGAGGATTGCTTGAGGCCAGGAGTTTTACGCCAGCCTAAGCAACATCGTGAGACCCTGTCTCTACAAAAAAATTTAAGCAGCAGCCAGACATGGCGGTGCATGCCTGTAATCCCAGTGCTTTGGGAGCCTGAAGCCAGAAGTTCAAGACCAGTCTAGGCAACATAGTAAGATCCCATCTCTACAAAAATAATTTTAAAAATCAGCCAAACATGGTGATGCATGCCTGTAGTCCTAGCTACTCAGGAGCTGGAGGCAGGAGGGTCACAGGAGCCCAGGAGTTTGAGGCTGCGGGGAGCTAGGATCACACTAGTGCTCTCCAGCCTAGGCAACGGAACACGACCCTGTCTCAAAAAATAAAAATTTTAAAAATGTTGTAATCCTGTATATAATGTGTGAGTCAAGAAGCACAGGCATTACTTTATATCAGAACTTTGGTGGATTTTTATTTTTCGCTGTTTCATAACCCTGTATATTTTGTTGTATGCATTGAAGAGTACTATTCTGAGACAAGGGTCCATGGTCTGCATTCACTAAACTGCCAAGACCTCTATGGCATAAGGAGGTTGTTGCCAAAGTTCTCTAGAGAAGGAGTAGCTGTAGCAGATGATCACTGTCATCTGACTGTGCTGGGTAAGTCCCCTGGGCTCTCTAAGCCTCAGTGCCCTCATATGAAAGTTGGGGGTCAAATAGTACCTGCGTCATAGGGGTAAATACGGTGACATGCCTCACTTGTGGGGATCAAGTGATAAACTCCACGCAGAGCCCTGGAGCAGTACCTGGCACACAGCAGGCACTCAATAATTGCCATCATCGCTATGATTGTGTTGTTTTATTTGGACTCTGGCTGGAGTTCTGTCTTTCAGGACACCTCTGGGCTAAGGGCAGCTTTCTCCCTCCCAGGTTCATTCGGAAGCAGGGCCTGGATCGGCTCTTCCTGGAGTGCGACGCTCACATGTGGCGCCTGGGAGATCGGCGGATCCCAGAGGGCATTGCCGTGGATGGCGGTTCGGACTGGTTCCTGCTGAACCGGAGGTTTGTAGAATATGTGACCTTCTCCACAGACGATCTGGTGACCAAGATGAAACAGTTCTACTCCTACACCCTGCTTCCTGCTGAGGTGAGTATCTGGGAAAATTTTCCCAAGAAAGATAGGGGCTTGTTCTAGCCTTTGTGGCAAAGCAGATGCTGAATTTTTGGCAAAGAGATTCTGGGTCCACCTACATTGTCCTCTACACACCCAGACATCCTTGCTGTCTTAGCAGGATGCCTGGTCTCCCTCCAGTCTGCACAGAGGCTGCGTGGAGTAGACACACGGTGCTACCACCGGCAGTCCACACAGTGTCTTTGTGCAAAATAGAAAAGGCAGCTCTTCCTCAAGATACTTGGCTTTCATTGGTCATAAAAATCACATGATACACAGATTTTGTTAGAACAAGAACCTTATGGCTATTTTCCAGAAAACTGTTATTTAAAAAACCCTTCTGACATCCACAATGCTGATGGCACCCCTAAAAGGTATGTAGTGTGTAACCTGCACAACTGTATATGCTGACCCTTTCAGGACACACCCACATCAACTTTTTTTTTTTTTTTTTTTTTTTTTTTTTTTTTGAGACAGTCTTCCTCTGTCATCCAGGCTGGACTGCAGTGGCACAGTCTCTGCTCACTGCAACCTCTACCTCCAGAGTTCAAGCAATTCTGCTGCCTCAGCCTCCTGAGTAGCTGGGATTATAGGCGCCCACCACCACACCCAGCTAATTTTTGTATTTTTAGTAGAGATGGGGTTTTGCCATGTTGGCCAGGCTGGTCTTGAACTCCTGGCCTCAAGTGGTCCTCCTGCCTCAGCCTCTCAAAGTGCTGGGATTGCAGGCATGAGCCACCATGCCCGGCCGCCACATCAACTTTTGACGCATCCTTCACAATGACCAATCATGTAATGACCACCTTTTTACACCAAGCATGCCTTTTCTCATGTTGAACATTGCTCTATTATTCCCTGAAGAAAAGGGTGTTGGTTTCATAAGTCATACTCCATTAATCCAGAGTATTCTAAAACAGTCCTAGCCCCATCTAGAAGTGGGGAGGGGATCCAGTTCTGAAGGATTGTCACTGACATTCCCTTAGCTGCCTGCCGGTCAGAGCTGGGTTGAGGGATTCCAGATTCATCTTCCTGACCTCCAGGTTGATTGCACCCTCATTTCCAATCCAGCTTGAGAACAGTGCAGAGCTGGTTCCGTTTCTATTGAGTCTATGGCATTTCTCATGAACGGTCCCTTGTTCCTTCCCGGGACCACATAGGTTATGTGTGTTTCTGCAGGCCACACTCCCAGCACATCTCTCACCTGTGTCTGGGGCAGTGCCAAGCTCCGGGGAGGGCTGACTGCCCCCATCACCCAGAGGGATGATGAGCTTGTCATCACTGGGCCAGGTTTTACTATTCTGCACACATGTTAAGTAATCAGCTTTTAATCCTATTTCAGCAAAAATCAATCACCTCTTCTCTCAATTCTGATAACCTCCTCATCCATTATATTGCAGGGAATTTCTGTATCATTATGAAAGGACACAGGGCAATCAGTAATTGGGTACATCTTCCCACTGCTTGTTGGAGAATGTATGCCTCCCTGGGCTTGTAGGCAATTCAAGCTTAAAATCCAGGTTCATGGGCTTGTCATTTAGTGTCACAGGAAGGTCAGCAGGGGGTGGCGGCTGGAGCCTCATTTACCCACCCATCCATTTAGAAGAGATTGTTTGGGAGTTTGGCTATTTTTAATCAAGACGCCCACCACGATACTGGTGACCAAAGCTCCGTGTGTGTGCTTTCTCTGCCCCTCCCTGGCCCCAGCACACACAAGCACATATACTCCAGGGTCTCTGTTCAGTCCCACCTCCTGCATCTCTGCCTTCCCTCCCTTCTCCCAGACCACTTCAAGAGGACTGGTTTAGAAGAAATCAGAAGGCTGTGCCCATTAACTTGTAACGGGCAGACACAGATTCCCCAACAGCTTCCCTTAGGGAGAGAGAACAGGGAGGAAATATATTTGCCTGGGACTGTCTATTATAGAAATCTTTCTCTCACTCTCTGGCAGTCTCTCAAGTACTCCAGTGATTGATTGTTTCTCCTCTAGTTTTTCTTTTCAGATCCAACATGGCCTCTTTCTCAGATCCCTTAAAGCAGTTGGCCAAGAATCCTGGGATTAGGGAGAAAATATGGCACCTGGTTCAGTACCATGGACAGCAAGCAGCCCCACCCACTCCCTTCCCTATGTTGCCGTCTGGCGATGCAGGAAGCCCTGGGTCTAATGCAACCATCAATCTGGTCTCCCTACCCCAGGGGTGAAATTCCAGCACACCAGTCAGTCAGTCAGACTTGAATCCCTTTGATTTGTCTGTTGGACAGAGCATCCGCCTGCGCTCTGAGTTGGACCACATGGGCAGCTGACCTCAAATGCATGCAGAGAACATAAGAGTCCCTTGACAGTCAGGTAGTTGTGTTATACATTTTTGCATTGCTATGAAGGAAAATCTGAGGCTTGGTAATTTATAAAGAAAAGAGGTTTATTTGGCTTGCAGTTCTGCAAGCTGTACAGGAAGCCGCCCAGCTTCTGATGAGATGCCACATTCTTTTAAACAACCAGTTCTTACATGAACTCAGAGCAAGGGTTCACCATTTCCCACCCCAGTTCATCTGTGGGAGGCTGGGAGAGGTCTCAGGCTGGGTCCCTCTCTCCCCTGCAGTCCTTCTTCCATACGGTCCTGGAGAACAGCCCCCACTGCGACACCATGGTGGACAACAACCTGCGCATCACCAACTGGAATCGCAAGCTGGGCTGCAAGTGCCAGTACAAGCACATCGTGGACTGGTGCGGCTGCTCCCCCAATGACTTCAAGCCGCAGGACTTCCACCGCTTCCAGGTGAGACTTTCTCATGGTCTGCCAGCCTCCTAAGTGATGCCTTCCCAACAAACCTCTGCAGAAATCCAAGGCCAGACCTGCAGGTCATCTTATCACATGGTGCCCAAACCTGGCTGTTGATAATTAATAATAGTTAACAGTATCAACAATAGCCAGTGTTTATTGAGCACTTACTTCAGGGATGTTCTAACCACATTGACTCATTAACCCAAAAACAACAAATGACCTTTCATTATTATTCCATTTTAGGGATATGAAAACTGTGAGGCACAGAAAGGTTAAAAAAAACTTTCCAAAGGCCATACTCATATCATCTTCTCTTTATTCCCTTTTCATCAGAATCTCCCAAAATATTTGTTACATTTGTACCCAGGAATATGCTTTTAAGTATATATCTAGGGCTGAGCTTTTCAACCTCAGAACTCTTGCCATTGTGGCTGGATGATTCTCTGTTGGGACATGCTGTCCCATGCATGGGTAGGATGCTTAGCAGCACCTCTGGTTGAGAAACCCTCATCAGTGATATCGACGAATTTGTATTTTTAATGAATTGCACTTTTCTGAGGAGCAGCCAGGTTTGGAAACCACTGTGTTCTGTGGGAAAACACTGTGTTCTGTGTACTTGAAGGAGTAAGAAGAGGTAGAACATTATCCCCTTTACAGCTGTCTCTGGGCAGCCTAACAATTTACAGTTCTGGGGAAGGGCAGAGCAGGAGGGTGGGGAATGCTCATCCACTTACCATGAGCCCTGAGAGTGCTTGGCCCCAAGATGGGCACCCCTTCCTGCTCTGCTCCCTCCAAGCCAGCATGGTGGCTTCTTCCTCCAGCCCTCCCCACACCTAGCAGCAGAGAGCACAAATATGAGTGCCACTGAATGGTTAAGCGAATCACTCTGAGGTCACTAGAGCCACCGTGTAGAGACGGTATGCTACTTCCCAAACCACTAACACAGGAAGGCAGGGACACAATGCCAGGCTCATAACCCAGCCAAGGTGCCCTTGATGTGGAGCGGGATGCTGTTTGTTTGTGTTTGATCTCCTCTGTGCCGGGCTGTGTGGGCATTGGCTTTACTGGGGCAGACATCACTTTTATTGTTCAGGTAAGGAAACGAAGGCATGGAGGGGTGTTCCAAGTGGGGTTTTTTTCCAGCAGTCCCTGCTGCCTTCCTGGTTTTTGTGCCTGTATGAATGCAGAGTACACTGCAGGTTTTCTGTCGTTCGTATTCCCCTTAAGGTTCCCACACAGCAGCTCCAGCCACCTTAAGCTGGCAGACAGGGGGCTGCCTAAACTCACATCTTCCCTGCAGAAAGGATATGCTGAGCCGAAAGAGGGTTGCAGGGGAATGTTTGTTTGACCTATTCAATGAATTCCCATGTTTGGAGAGGACCCGTCCCTCACTGCCCTAATCGCAGAGAATCTTCATCACTTAGAGCACAAAACCTCCACGTGCTGATTCCCAGAGCCCTGCACTCCCCCAGGCACAAGCATTTGTATCCTAGCCCGGCATCCTGGGGACATTGTAGCCTCTGACAAGGAGTGCCTCATGTGTTCACAGCAAGCAGAGATTAAGAATATCCCCCAAGATCTAGAGTCAAGACACTGCTGCCTGTAAGGAACTCAGAGTTCTTGCGCGAAGAACTTGGAGAGAAAGAATAATATGGTAACGTGCCCTGTTTGTTAGAAGATCCAGCTATGGTCGGAATCGCAGGCAGAGAAAGGAGTTTGTTCTGCCCCTAGATGGGTTCCTGGTAACAAGGGGCTGGTGATAATAATCAAAGAGCAGCCTACACTATGTGCTAGACACTATGCTAGTAACCCATTTTAAGGATGCTGAGGCCCAGAGAGTTTGAGTAACTTGACCTGCACAGCTAGACGGTAGCCAAATGAGGATTTGAATTCAGGTGGTCTAACTCTCTACAGTGCTAAGCTGTGCTCCCCACCACAGAGAGGTTTCCTGAAGCAGACTGGCAATGAGATGTTTAGAATAACACCAAGGGTACTTACGATCAGGGGGCTTCCCAGTTTACTCAGTTGCCTCAGTCCTGGAGTGATACAGTAGAAAGGGCTTGGATTTTGGAGTCATGCATTTGGGCTTCAAATCTTACAATGGTGTGAGTCTGTACATATCGCTTTGCCTCTCTGAGCTCAGTTTTCTCATCTGTAAAATGGGAATCATAATACCTGCCTTGCCAAGTTACAGGGAAAATTAGAGGTAATGACATAAGTCCATTGCCCTGCGTATTGTGTGTGGTCAGTAGTTGTTGCTGCTATTAATCTACCACCATGAAAACAGTGCTGGACCCAACTTTAGGTCAATAATAACACTAGACAATAATAAGCTCCTCAAGGGAGAGACCTGTGTTTTATTTGTCTCCGCAGCCCTACACAAGGGGTCAGCAAACTCTAGCCCTGGGGGCCAAAGTCAGCCCACTGCCTGCTTCTATAAATGAAGTTTAGTTGGAACACAGCCATACCTATTTATTTAGTCTCTTGTCTGTCTGTGGCTGCTTTTATGCTATAAAAGCGAAGCTGAAGGTTTCAAAGCTATTTTAAATATTTACTGTCTGGCCTTTTACTGAATATAAAGTATAACACCTGGTAGCTTACAGGTGCTTAGTATTTCTTTAACCCTGGACCCTGACTCTTCGTCCCATCTCTGATAGTGACTTGCTGTGTGTTCTCAGCTAAGTCCCTTACCATCTCTGGGCCTGTTGCCTTGAGAGTTTGGTTGCTATCAGTGGTCCTGAAACACTGAATCATAATCACCTGGGAATTTTTTTTTTTTTTTTTTGAGCTACACTCCAGAGCTATTGACTCAGTAGGTCCTTTTTCTCTGAGACAGAGTCTTGTTCTGTCACCCAGGCTGGAGTGCAGCGGCAGTCTCGGCTCACTGCAACCTCCACCTCCTAGGTTCAAGTGATTCTCCTGTCTCAGCCTCCTGAGCAGCTGGGACTACAGGTGTGTGCCTGGCCTGGAATCTGAATTTTTCAAAGTCCCAGAGATTCCGATCCCTTGTGAGTCTGCAAGTTGGCTGAAATACCAAAGAGGCAATAGGGCATGGTGGAGACTGCAGTGAGCAGAAGAACCTAGGTGCTGTCTAAAGGAACAGCCACCACCCTTCAGCTTTAACCAGTTGTTACCATGTGGAGTGTGGGCCTGGGGTTGCCAGATCTATTGCTGTTTAAAGAGAAGCCAAAAGAATTTCCGTGAACTCTTTCATGTTTTAAATATGGCTAGCTAAAATACATCTGCAGGCTGTATTTATTTGCCCTAGATTACTAGCCTGTGACCTGTACCTAAATGATGTCTGAGATCCATCCCAGCTATTACCATCTAAAATTATTTAGTTTATTTAACAGACATCTAAATGATGCTTACTAAGAAATGATGCTTACTAAGTGCCTATCATTGCTTTAGATGTTCTGCACAGATTAACTCACACCCTTATTATAACCCATTTTACAGATGTTGAAACTGAGAACACAGAGGTGCAAAAAGTATCGGAGCTAATTCGGGTCCAGCAGAGCTTTGCTTCTAACCACAGGATATGCCCTTAGGTTCCCCCCAACCCCCAGCACTCGCTGATGTGGCTTTTCTATTTTTAATCCCATGAGTACAGCAGACAGCCCGGCCTACCTTCTTTGCCCGCAAGTTTGAAGCCGTGGTGAATCAGGAAATCATTGGGCAGCTGGACTATTACCTGTACGGGAACTACCCTGCAGGTACCCCGGGCCTGCGCTCCTACTGGGAGAATGTCTACGATGAGCCTGACGGCATCCACAGCCTGAGCGACGTGACACTCACCTTGTACCACTCCTTTGCCCGCCTGGGTCTTCGACGGGCCGAGACGTCCCTGCACACGGATGGGGAGAACAGCTGCCGGTGAGCCCTATATGGGATGCAGAGAGGAGAGCTGAGAAGCAGGAGGGGAGGCTCAGGGTACAGAGTGGGGGTCCTTCTTCCTCTTTAGGGATCTGCAATGCAATGCCACCCTATGCTTTCTCTCTTCCTTTGCCCAAAACTCATCTAACGCCACCCTCCTAGCGTGCGTGGCATTTCCAATCCAAGCTGTGCTTTACTTTCTCAGATACCAGATATCCTATGTACCCAATGATTTTACTCATTCTTCATGCTACATATATATACTTTAGAAGGAAGCTTTTTGTCACCATATCATATGTAGCATTTGTCTTAAGTGGAAGGTACAAAACTTTTTTTGATGGAAAATGTCAAAGATGTACAACATAGAACAGTGGAACCCCATGTTCCCGTCACCCAGCCCCGGCAGTTTCCAACTCGGGGCTGATCTTGTTTCATTTTCATCTTCACCCACCTTCCGCCTCCTCCCGGATCAGTTTGAAGTCAATCCCAGACATCCTATCATTTCAGCCATCAATATTTTAATAATGTATCTCTGAAAAATAACTCTTTTAAAAACATTCACCATAATGTCATCACACCTAAAAATATCACAAAGAAAATTAATAGGCAGAACTATTGTTGAAACTTCTCAACCACCCCTTACAATTGTCTCATCTACCACTAACTGCCAACACTTCAGGAAAGAGTGTTCTAGAAGATGAGGGGGAGGTAGGAAAATAATTCAACATAATCCCTTCTCCTCTCATCTCTTTCCCTAAGCCAGTCAAGACTTTCACGTTGTGTACCCTTTCTTTTGTTCTGAAGCAATATGCATTTTGGATATTTACATAATTGCAACAAGAATTGGGTATCCTGTTTTCTTCCCTTGGCATTATACTATTAGCCCCCATTTCTCCACGCTGCTCAGTAGCTTCCGCAATGATAATGATTCCTTTTAATGCCTCTAGTATTCCATTGAGCAGAAGTTCCAGAGTTTGCTTAATCTGGCCCTTCACTGTTGCCATTGTCAGTAATGTACCCTTGTAAATAATGTTCTGATGAATATCTTTTCTCAGAAAGCCCTTTTTTTCCATTCTCTCTTTTGATTATTTCCTTAGGATAGATTCCCAGAAGTGCCTCTAATCACTCTCCTTCTTTTTCTTGTTCATTTAACAACATAGCATCTTTTTTTTTTAGCGTCAGTCTCTGACGGGGCTGGGGGGAAGAAGATTGTTCACTAACTCTCTGAAAACACAGGCAGGTTTCCCACCTGGTGTCTCATCCCTGGCCAGCAAGGTTTCCGCAGGGCTGTGACACTGTCCCATCACCTCCTCACATCCCTCGGCTTCTCTCTCCGTAAAGTTTCTGATTTAGTTTAAAGGGAGACTAGTGTGGGTTAGGAACCCAGGACCTGCAGTTTAAACTCTGCTTACAAGCTATTGACCTTGGGCAAGTCATTCATCTCTCTGAGCTTCGGTTTCCTCATCTGTGAAATGAGAAGAGTAATACTCATCATTTTTGTATCATAAGGTGTTGTGAAGTGTAAAGGAGATAATCATCAAAAACTACCTGATGAGTTAGTTATACAGTGCTCTTTTGAGACAGAGTCTTACTCTGTTGCCCAAGCTGGAGTGCAGTGATGTGATCTCTGCAACCTCCACCTCCCAGGTTCAAGCGATTCTTCTGCCTCAGCCTCCTGAGTAGCTGAGACTATAGGCATGTACCAGCACACCCAGCTAATTTTTGTATTTTTAGTAGAGACAGGATTTCACCAGGTTGGCCAGGCTGGTCTCGAACTCCTGACCTCAGGCAATCCTCCCGCTTCAGCCTCCCTAAGTGCTGAGATTACAGGCATGAGCCATTGCGCCCAGCCTTGTTATTCCCATTTTAACAGCATTTTATGTACTAACTGCTCAGGGTTCAGGTCATTGCTGGTATCTTAGTTGCCAGTTGCCATGTACTAACTGCTCAGGGTTCAGGTCATTGCTGGTATCTTAGTTGCCAGTTGCCATTATGATGCAGCCAACAGTGAACCTGCTGTGTGTGATGGTAACAATTCCTTGTTCTCTCCCTGTATTTTCTTTGCTCACTGCCTCCCACTGCACAGCCACCCCTTCTCAAGTCAACAAAGCCATCCAAGGACCACCTCCTCTATGACACTTATTAAGATAGCTCACCCCACACCCACCGTCTCCCAAGCTGAAAGTAGTTCAGGGACTTCACCTTCAGTATGTGCGGTATCTTGGCTCAAGGTCACCAGGGAGTCTCTCTCCCCCCCACTGCTAGTCTGGAAGCAGAATCCCTGCATGTATCCCCAGTAGACAGTGCAGTGCCTGCCACTTGGAAGGCAAATGTCGTTCCATAATAATTACAGTTGCAGGCTTCCTAGAATGTATAAGGTAAATGATCTTACAGGAAATTCCAAAAGACACCCCCAATTTATCTAGGGTTGTTGAAGGTTGCTCCCTAGTATTCATTTTGGAATGAAGTGAGCCGTCACGTTGCCTCGAGCCAGGAATCCTCTGGTATCCACCTCGTTTTTTATTGTAATGGAACTGTGGTGCCTTGCTGTGGGCAAAGCCAATGTATTTATGAATAGGAGCCTGAAAATAAATCAGGACAAAAGACCCTTATCCCAAAAGGCAGAAGAGAATGGATTCCTAGCCCCGGGGCATGTGGGGAAACAGCAAGTGAAAACTTTAACAGTCTCATTTTATCTGGGTATTTTAGGCAAATTGTGCCTTTCCAGTCTATAATATAACCTTTCATTAAATAATGTTTATTGATTTTTTTTTCTCATTATAAACTAACACATATGCATTGCAGAAGTTTCTGAAATGGCAGGTTGAGAGAATCAGAGTAAAGTTTGCATATAATCTACCATCCAGAAATAAGGATGTCAGCATTTTATTGCAGGTCCCCAAATGCCCTCCGGGGCAGGCACGAAGCACTAGAATCACTCAGTGTGCCCCCTGCAGGGTGGGCTGACCATGGGAACCTGGAGGTCCATGGAGCTGAACCCCAGTACATTCCGTGGGAATGCAGATGGAGTTGCCAACCAAATCTCCTAATTTTTTTTAGTGCTCATCGTATTTAAATAAGAAAGAAAAACAGCTTTGGGCCAAACGAATACTTCGGTTGCATTCCTGTAGATGATGATTGGTTGTGCGGCATCTTGATTATTTTTCTGTTTTGAGACATTAACAGTTTTCATTACTTAGATACCAAATACAGTCAGGATGAGGCATCAGAGGGCTTTTGTGCTCACTCCTTGGTTACAGGGACTGTAGATGTAACTTGAGGTTCAAGAGAAAATCCTTCTAGAATTTTCACTCCTTCAATAAGTACTGATTGAGTAGCTATCGTGTGTCAGCCTGTGTGTTAGGCACGGAGAATTCAGCCTTGATCCAGGCGGACCAGGCCTGTGAACTCAAAGCCCTCCCATTCTAGTGTGCAGACAGACAGTACCTAAGCACAAGTAAACCAGAATATAAGATCAATAAGGGTAAATGCTGTGCAAAAAATGAAGATAAAGTCATGTGAGAGTGACAAGTCAGAGGCAGCAATGAGGAAGGAAGTGGTGGATTAGGGTAGCAGGAAACAAAAGGGGGCTAGAGAAAGCGGTAGGGCTTTGTGGACCAGGTAAGGAGTTTGGATTTTACTGAAAGCATGAAGCAAAGTGCTTGTGGCATTTAAGTGAGGGACGATGGACGTGGCTACTATGGGAACAGGTTATAGTGGGCAAAAGTAAGAGAGGGTGACAATTAAGGAAGCTCCTGCAGAGGCCCAGGTATAAAAGGATGGTGGCTTTGACCGGGATTCTGGCAGTGTGTAAGGAGAATAGAGGATGGAAGGGGCCAGGTGTGATGGCTGACACCTGTAATCCCAGCTACTCGGGAGGCTGAGTCAGGGAGAACTGCTTGAACCCGGGAGGCAGAGGTTGCAGTGAGCCAGTTTCACGACACTGCACTCTAGCCTGGGTGACAGAGACTCCATCTCAAAAAATATAAAGAAGGTGAAGGGAGGCAAGTAATCAAAGATTGACTTCTAAATTTTTTGGACTGCTGCTTTCTGGAAACACTCTCTTCCTTTGACTCCCGTAACAGCAAATTCTCCTGCTTTACCCACCTCACAGAACACACACTGGCAGTGCTTTGTCTATTGTCACGATAACACTGTGAAACAAACAACTCCCAAATCAGTGTTTTGAAACAATATGCATTCATGTAATGCTCAAGTTCGCAGATCAGCTGGACAGTTTTCCCAGTATGGGCAGGCCTTGCTCCCCTATCTGCAGCCAACTGCAAGTCGGGAGGTGGCTCTGTGGTCCTTGGCTGGGAATAGTTGCCTGAGCCTAGGATGGCTTCAGCTGGGACAACTGGCGTAGCTCTGCTGTTTCAAATGTCTCCTTCTCCAGCAAGCTAGCCCAGGCATGCTCTCATGGTGACCTCAAAAGAGCAAGAAAGCAAACAGAAATGTGCAAGGCATCTTGAGGCCCTGGCTCAGAACTGACGTGACAGCCCTTCTACCACTTTCTGTTGTCCAAAGAAGATTCCAGAGGTAGAAAAATAGGTTCTGCCTCCCGGGTACAAGGAAACTTGCAAAGTCACATGGAAGAAAGCATAAGATAAAGGAGATGGGAGATTTGGGACATTAATGCAGGTGACCACTGGCTCTTTCATGACTATCTTTGCTGTCCAATACGGTAGCCACAAGTGGCTACTTCAGTGTAAATTAACTAAAACTAAATACAATTTAAAATTCAGTTCCTCAGTCACATTGGCCATATTTCAAGGGCTGAACAGTCACACTTTGCTAGTGGGTTGGGAGACAGCTTTCCCAAAGTCTCACAAATCATCACTAAAGAACTTACTCATGCAACCAAACACCACCTGTTCCCCAAAATCCTATGGAAATAAAAAGCTTTTGGCCTGGCGCAGTGGCTGACACCTGTAATCCCAGCACTTTGGGAGGCCGAGGCGGGCGGATCACTTGAGGTCAGGAGTGAGTTTGAGACCAGCCTGGCCAACATGGTGAAACCCCGTCTCTACTAAAAATACAAAAATTAGCCGGGCATGGTGGCTGATGCCTGTAATCCCAGCTACTCAGGAGGCTGAGTCAGGAGAATCGCTTGAACCCAGGAGGCGGAGGTTGCAGTGAGCCAAGATCATGCCACTGCACTCCAGCCTGGGCAACAGAGTGAGACTCTGCCTCAAAAATAAATAAATAAAATATTTCTGTCATCGCAGGAGGTTTTATGTGATAGCCCTGCCTAGATGTTGCTGCAGTGGTAGAATGACAGCACAGTCGCTGGACTTTCCACTCCCAAAGTCCAGATTTAAAACAGGTTTGCATGAACGGTGAATGCCCAACAAACCATCTGAAGACTGTTCAAGTTTTTTTTTTTTTTTTTTTTTTTTTCTATGCTCCCTGGAAGGCATCCCAGTAACAAGGCAATGATTTCAGGAGATGTGTGAACACAGGAAGGCAGCTTCCCTAACTGTTATAATTGGACATAAAGACTTAAAACTCCAGATCAGGACCAGAGGGAAGGCTGCGTTTAGCTGAGCAGGGACAATGATTTGTGAAATGCTATTATGAAGGACCCACAAGCGCCTTATAAAGCTGTGCAATTTACACATTGCAGAAGCGGCAGCTATTTATCTGACAAGTAGGAAATATACCAAACTGGTCTCCTCCGAGGTACTCCTTTTTTGCCATCTGCTTCCCCCTTTTCTCCGGACATCTCTGCTTCACTTCCCTGCCCTTTTCAGCCAGCAAGTTTTTGTGGATCAAAGACGTGCATTTTAAAACAACAAACCACTTTTGCATGTATGTGCATGTGTGTTTATCTCAGATTGGCAATCATGGTTAAAGATGATAACCAGTGTAAGTGGTAAGGACTGTGAGAGAATAAATCAGTACTTCTGAAACAGTTAAGCTGCAGACACGAAGAGCCTCAGACATTTAAACAGAGAGAGAGACGAATGAAAGGTTTTGCTCAAAGATGTTGAATGCAGCATTGTTTAGAGAAGCAAAAAATTAGAGTTATCATCCAATGCTAGAGAACTTGCTCTATCAAATCTGGTATTAACTATGATGAAACACACCGAGCATCAACACATACAAAATCGTGTCTTCAGAGACTTTTCAAAGATGTGATAATCCTCAGGAAATACTATACAATGAAGACAGAATAATAGCTAGGATAGATAGATGCCAACTATGTAGTATTTATGCAAATAGTATTTATGCAAATAGATGCATAGGAAATAAGGCCGAAGGGAAATCCATCAATATGAGTGTTCACACACCATTTTCACTGCCCGGTACCAAGCACCAGAGGACTCAATATCTGTGAATGGACATTATGTATGGGAAGAGGCATGGAAAGTAGTCATTTCACTTTCTTTGTTGTACTTTCCTACAGTCAGCATGTTTTTCATTCATAATCAGCAGAAGAAAAAAGTATTCATAGTCATTGAGATCATAGATACAGAGGACGCAAGGAAAACAGTAGGCATTGTGCACAATGGGGACTGCTTTAGGAACAAAACTAGCTTGGTGGGTGGGGAGCCTCACTGTGATCCTACACACCTTGGGCCCTAATGCATGAGCGCCTGTGTTTTCAGATACTACCCAATGGGCCACCCAGCATCTGTGCACCTCTACTTCCTTGCTGACCGCTTCCAGGGCTTTCTGATCAAGCATCATGCTACCAATCTGGCTGTGAGCAAACTAGAGACTCTGGAGACCTGGGTGATGCCGAAAAAAGTCTTCAAGATCGCAAGCCCACCCAGTGACTTTGGGAGGCTTCAGTTTTCCGAGGTAAGAGGCCAGGTCTTGTCACATTTCATTGTATTTTGCATTTCCCTCGGCCAGATTCTACTCCACTATCTGACACTTCTAGTTGGAGATGGAGGAGAAGAGGACTTGGAGATCCCTAAAGATAAGCTAACCCTGTGCCCGAAGAAGGTTCTCCGGCCCCAGTCACTGGCACCAGCATCTTAAACAGGGGAGGATCAAACCAACTGGAACACAGTTGTATTTTTTAGGGTAGAATTTCTGCTCCTCTGAATTTTTCCAGTGATGACTCCTAAACCAATGTCAGTAATATTAGTCCCATTTTACCGAATGGAGAACTGAGGCTTATAGAGATCCAAAGATTTTCTGGATTGCTAGGAAGTGGGAGAGCTCAAAATTCAACCTAGGTCTCTTTGGCCACAAATCCTATGCTTAGTTGTGGTTTTGTCTCCACAGTTTTTAGCACACCTGGATTCGCTCAAGGGAAGTACCAGATCAATCACTGAATATATGATTAGATGAGTAGATGAATGATGGATTGAAGGAAGGATGGATGGACAGATGGGTCACATAGCTAGCTTTGTTTTTGATCATTCTGATCTAAATCCAAATGATACACCTTCAGAGAAACCTTCCCCGGCACCCACTTAAGCTGCTGCAATAGCTACATTCTCCATCCAACCCTTCCCTATTTTAATACTTTTTCTTAGCATTTACTATCTAAAATTATCTTGTTGCTTTATCTGGTCACTCATTGATTGTTCACAAGAGAGCTGGAACTGTGTCTCCCTCTTCACTGTGGTATCCCCAGCACACAGACAGTATGTAGTCTTTGTAGATGCTGAGTAAGACTTTTGAATGAATGAATGAGTGTACTTGGGTCGTGGTGCAGGAAGGAAGGGGAAGCATGATCAAGCCTGGTGCGTGTTATTCACACAAAACTGCAGCACCTGGTTTCTGCCTTCCTCACATCCCTAAGTGCTAAGGACGTGATTTGTCACAATGGTTCTGACTGCTGGATTAGGGACCAAGAGTCTGATTGTAGACTATGGTACATCTTGAGGGGCTAAGAGTATGTTGGGGAGAGGGGGAGTCCCACCCTCTTATATTTTCCTTGACAGTCCTTCTCTAGCTTCTGTGGCCCTGCCTAACGAATGTATGTATCCCCATGACAAACAGGCACCAGTGAGAGTTTCTTGTTAAGCCACTGTTTTCAATTAAGACTCCCAGTGGATTTGCTGGATGTGAGCAGCCAAGGGAGCCCATTCCATAAATTACTGGCATCAGGGGGCAATTAGATACTGCCCCAGTTCGATTCTGTGCTAGGGGCCTGAGCAGCCAATTGACAACATTAATGTCCCATTAAAGAGATGAATGCCTGGTGTCTGGGCTCTCCCTGTTTATCAGCCTGCTGTTGGGTGACTGGGTACTTCTGGCAGTGACAAATGATGTTGGCCGCTCCATGGCTAGTGCTTTTGGGGGATGGTCCTCACTACACAGGTCTGGTACCCTTGGAGTGAGAACCATCAAAATCACTGGCAAAAATAACAGCATGTGATGCAGAGAGCCCTAACTTGTATTTTGAATTTTTTCTAAACTCTTAATTTTAGTAGCAAATGAACAGAAAGGCAAGGAAGAACTACAGGACCACTCTGTGGGCTATTTAGGATCTCCTTGGTGTTAGCACTATCCCAGGGCCTTGTACAGTGCCTGGCTCACAGCAGGTGGCTGAACAGCTCAGATACATTTCTCCAATACATGGGAATCTCATGCTGTTGACTTGGAAATAAAAGATGCTCATTCTTTCTGCAGGTAGTCACCAAGTGCCTACAGTGTGCCAGGTTCAGGAGGGATTGTGGTGAACCAAACAAACCAGGCCCCTGTGGTCATGGAATTGCATTCCAATGAGACAGCCAGCCAGTGAGTGAGCAAATAGATAAACAAAAACAAACAGCTCAGCTAATGACAGGTATTCTAGAGAAAACTTCATTCATGTGATTGCTGGGGACTCAGGACATTGATGGGGACAACCTTCAATAGAATGATTGATTCATCTAGGAAGGCTTTTCTAAGGAGATCACTGCAAAGCTAAAGCCTGTAAAAGAGCCAGTCCTCGGGAGATCTGGAGCATTCCAAGCAGAGAGAAGAGCATATACAAAGGCCCTTAGGCACTGGGAATGAGCTAGGAGTACTCGAGTTGCAGGGAGACCAATGTACTGGGTGCAGCAAGTGAGAAGGAAACTGGTAGGAAAGAGGCCTCAGGGAGTAGTCTTGCAGGCCCGGGAAAGATGTTCAGGTTGCATTTTAAATGCAATGGAAAGATAGAGGGAAAATGGCGGATAGGAGGCAAGACAAACTTGCAGCTTCCACTCGGATGGACAGAGCAGTGTATGGAGCCCCACATCATGAACTTTTGCTCCAAGAACTACTGCAGAAACATGCCAGGAAAGCCAAGAGAATCCATAGAGCCTTTGAAGGAGGTGGATTGCCCCTGCAGGCACTGTGGGACAGCCAAGGAATTGTGAATTGGCTTGCTTTAACATCCCCAAAAGATCACACTAGCTCACCAGCAATGGATTCAAATCAAGAAGAAATCTCTGAATTACCAGAAAAACAATTAAGAAGTTCGACTATTAAGCCAATTAAGGAGGCACCAGAGAAAGGTGAAGTCCAACTTAAAAAAAAAGATATAGGATACGAATGGAAAAATCTCCAGTGAAATATAGCCTAAATAGAACACAATCACAACTTCTGAAAATGAAGGACACACTTACAAAATTGCAAAATGCACTGGAAAGTCTCAGCAATCGAATCAAACGAGTAAAAGAAAGAACTTCAGAACTTGAAGACAAGGCTTTCAAATTAACTCACTCCAACAAACACAAAAAAGAATTTTTAAAAAATGAACAAAGCCTTCACGAAGTTTGGGAGTATGTTAAACAACCAAACTTAAGAATAATTGGCGTTCCTGAGGAAGAAGAGAAATCTAAAAGTTTGAATAATGGAATAATTGAGGAAAACTTCCCCAGCCTTGCTAGAGATCTAGACATCTAAATACAAGAAGTTCAAAGAACACCTGGGAAATTCATTGCAAAAAGATCATGCCTAGGCACATAGTCATCAAGTTATCTAAAGTCAAGACAAAGGAAATAACCTTAAGAGGCAAAAGCATCAGGTAACCTATAAAGGAAAACCCATCAGATTAACAGCAGATTTCTCACAGCAGAAACACTACAAGCCAGAAGGGTCCTGTCTTTAGCCTCCTTAAACAAAACAGTTACCAGCCACGCATCGTGTATCCAGTGAAACTAAGCTTCATAAATGAAAGATACAGTTTTTTCAGAAAAATGCTAAGATAATTCACCACTACCAAGCCAGCACTACAAGAACTGCTAAAAGGAGCTGTAAATCTTGAAACAAATCCTCAAAATAAACCAAAATAGAATCTCTTTAAAGCATAAATCTCACAGGTCCTGCAAAACAACACAATGAAACAAACCAAGGTATTCAGGCAACAAATAGTATGATGAATAGAATAGTACCTCACATCTCAATACTAATGTTGAATGTAAATGGCCTAAAAGCTTCACTTAAAAGATACAGAACGGATAAGAATTCACCAACCAAGTGTCTGCTGTCTTCAAGAGACTTGCCTGGCACCTGAGGACTCACATGAACTTAAGGTAAAAAGGTGAAAAAAGATACTCCATGCAAATGGACACCAAAAGTGAGCAGGAGTAGCAATTCTTACCAGACAAAACAAAACTTTAAAGCAACAGCAATTAAAAAAGACAAAGAGGGACATTATATAATGATAAAAGGACTAGTCCAACAGGAAAACACCACAATCTAAATATACATGCACTAACACTGGGGCTCCCAAAACAATACTACTAGACCTAAGAAATGAGATGGACAGCAACACAGTAATATTGGCACAGTTCATCAAGACAGAAAGTCAATAAAGAAACAATGGACTTATGCTATACCCTACAACAAATGGACTTAACAGGTACTTACAGAACATTTTACCCAACGACTGCAGAATATACATGCTGTTCATCAGCACATGGAACATTCTCCAAGATAGACCATATGATAGGCCACAAAACAAGTCTCAACAATTTTAAGAAAATCAAAATTACAGCACATACTCTCTCAGACCACAGTGGAATAAAATTGGAAATTAACTCCAAAAGGAACCCCCAAATTCATGCAAATACATGGAAACTAAATAACTTGCTCCTGAATTCAACACTTCTGGGATACAGCAAAGCCAGTGCTAAGTGCAAAGTTCATAGCATTAAATGCCCACATCAAAAAGTCTGAAAGAGCCCAAATAGACAATCTAAGGTCACACCTTAATGAGCTAGAGAAACAAGAACAAACCCAAACCCACCAAGGAGAGGTGAAAGACCTCTACAAGGAAAACTGCAAAACACTGCTGCAAGAAGTCATAGATGACACAAGCAAATGTCATGCTCATGGATGGGTAGAATCAATATTGTGACCATGACCATACTGCCAAAAGCAATCTACAAATTCAATGCAATTCCCATCAGAATACCACCATCATTCTTCACAGAACTAGAAAAAGCAATCCTAAAATTCATATGGAACTAAAAAAGAGCCTGCATAGCCAAAACAAGACTAAGCAAAAAGAACAAATCTGGAGGCATTGCATTACCCAACCTTAAAGCATACTATAAGGCCATAGTCACCAGAACAGCATGGTACTGGTATAAAAAAAGGCATATAGAACAGTGGAACAGAATAGAGAACCCAGAAATAAAGCCAAATACTTACTGATCTTCAACACGGCACACAAAAACAAAGTGGGAAAAGAACACCCTATTCAACAAATGGTGCAGAAATAATTGGCAAGCCACGTGTAGAAGAATGGAACCGAATCCTCATCTCTCACCTTATACAATAATCAACTGAGGATGGATCAAAGACTTAAATCTAAGACATGAAACCATACAAATTCTAGAAGATAAAATTGGAAAAACCCTTCTAGACACTGGCTTAGGCAAAGACTTAATGACCAAGAACCCAAAAGCAAATGCAACAAAAACAAAGATAAGTAGATAGGACTTAATTTTAAAAGTTTCTGCAAGGCAAAAGAAATAATCAGCAGAGTAAACAGACAACCCAGAGAGTGGGAGAAAATCTTTGCAATCTGTAGATCCAACAAAGGACTAATATCTAGAATCTACAAGGAACTCAAATCAGCAAGAAAAAACAATCCCATCAAAAAGTGGGCTAAGGCCATGAATAGACCGTTCTCAAAAGAAGATATACAAATGGCCAACGAACATATGAAAAAATGCTCAACATCACTAACGATCAGGAAAATGCAAATCAAAACCACAATGCAATACCACCTTACTCCTGCAAGAATGGCCATAACCAAAAAATAACAGATGTTGGCATGGATGTGGTGAAAAGGGAACGCTTTTATGCTGTTGGTGGGACTGTAAACTAGGACAACCACTATGGAAAACAATGTGGAGATTCCTTAAAGAACTACAAGTAGTTCTACCATTTGATCCAGCAATTCCACTGTGGGCTATCTACCAGAGAAAAGTAAGTCATTATACAAAAAAGATTCTTGCACACGCATGTTTATAGCAGCACAATTCACAATTGCAAAAAAAATGGAAGCAGCCCATCAATCAGTGAATAAATTGTGTGTGTGTGTGTGTGCGCATATATATATATATACCCCATGGAATACTACTCAGCCATAAAAAGGAACGAAACAATGGTATTTGCAGCAACCTGGATGGAATTGGAGACCATTATTCTAAATGAAGTAATTCAGGAATGGAAAAGCAAACGTTGTATGTTCTCACTCATAAGAGGGAGCTAAGCTATGAGGAAATCAAGGCTTAAGAATGATACAGTGAGTTTGGGGACTCATGGGCAAGGGTTGGGGGATATAGGGGAGGGGATATAGGGGATAAAAGACTACACATGGGGTGCAGTGTATACTGTTCAAGTGATGGGTGCACCAAAATCTCAGAAGTCACCACTAAAGAACTTATTCATGTAAGCAAACACCACCTGTTCCCCAAAAACCTATTGAAATATATACATATACATACACATTATAAACTCAAAAAATAAATAAATAAACGCAATGGAAAGCCATTGGTTGGTTGGAAGCCAGGGAGCAGTATGTTAAGCTTGAATTTGAATATGTATTTGAATTTGGGTAATTGACCATTCTGCAGTGGATGGTGGTGGACTTCCACAATGAGGCCCCTTGAGAAGGTCTTGGAGGATGTGACAGCAGCAGGGCCCTAGCTCAGGCTGCCCCACACCTCACCCTTCACGCTCCTCGGTTGAAAAACAAGATCCAGGTTGTTTGTCAGCTGCTCCAGAACTCTCCTGCCCAGGTTATCTTGGTTTTAAAACTCGATTTCAGGGAAGTGTTTATCCTCATTTCTTTGGAGGATCCAAGGGCAGTGTTCTGGAGGGTTCCCATCTTCCCCTAACTGGTGAAAAATCACCTCCTTAAATATGACCCTAAAGTAGTTTTGTGGCCATTCATCTGTTTTGTTAGTATCTGTTGGAAACTAGTGCATGGAGGGAAGTCCATGTGTTCAGCCCCTACTCATTCAATATGTGTTCAAGATAGATTGATAGACAGGTGATACATAGATTGATTAACAGACAGACAGATGGGTGGATACGTTAATAGGCAAACAGATGGATAGATGATTAATGGTTACAATAGAGTTGACAGATTAATGTGACAGATTGGTAGAGATAGATGATAAACACACATAAGTAGATGATCAATCTGTATAGATCATTGATCGATCAATAGACAATAGGTGCTCAATATATCTTTATTTTTAGATCTCTATAGAGATATATTGAGCACCTACTCTATGTTCAGCACTGTTTCAGACACTAGAGACATATTGGTGAGCATGCCATATATAGTCCCTGCCCTCTTGGAGTTGACGGTCTAGATCTGGAGAGAGAGAGACCTGTAAATTAAAAGATGCAGTACTGTGGGGGTCAGGAGAAAAGCTATGATGATCAAATGCTTAGATATGTACCTCAGTGGTGCCTCTATCCAGGAAAGACTTATGAGTAGAGGTGATGCCTGAGCCAAAATCTAGATTACAAGTTTGAGGTGGCCTGGAGGATGCGGGGAAAGGTAGACCGGTCCAGAGAACAGGCGGATCATGGCCAGAAGATCAAGAGGAAACACAGAGCCCTTCCGGATGAGGTGCTGGGAATAACCCAGGGTGGCCTGGAGCAAGGAGCAAGTGGAAGGGAGGGAGAGGGATAGAGATGACAGAAGTGAAGCCGGAGCCAGACCAGAAAGGTCTCCAGGACAGGTAAAGCAACTGGACTTAGAAACCAAGAGTTGCTGAAAGGGGTTGTAAGCAGGAAAATAGAAATCGGGTTTCTTTAGAAAAACCTCTAAGACCTTGAAGCTTGAACTGAATCCTGTTGATCATTCATTTATTCCTTCAATAAATAGTATCCTTTTAATTCCTACTGTGTTCCGGGCACTATGCTAGGCACTGGAGGGTCCCAGAAGGTGCTGGTCCCTGCTGATCCACAGGGTAGTAGAAAAATACCAAGATTTCATAAGTCTGGGAGGGATGGCAGCCCCCACAGGAACATCAGAGCAGTAACTACCTCTGTTACTCTCAGGATGCTTTCTTAGTCCTAATCTTTAGTCTCTGGCCTGATGAAAACTGAAAGCAAGACACATGCCAGTGAGTGTACACAGATGGCAGCCACCCCTGGTAGGCAGTAGGGATTTGGTTTATGTGTGTTGGGTGAATGAATGACTGAGAGAGTGAATGAATTCATGAATGGAAGGCAATATGTAGCACAGTGGATGAGAATGCAGCCTCTGGGGCTGGACTTTATGGGTTCCCATGCTGGCTCTGCCCCCTCTGACCATAGCGAGTTATCTCACTTCTCTGAGACTCAGTTTCCACATCTGTAAAGTAAAGATAATGACAAGGGTCTCCCCTTTATGGATTTGGGAGTATCAACTGAATGGACACGTCTGCCTGGCACACTGTAATCCCTCAGCAAATATTAGCAGTGAAGCTCTGTAAGCTGGGTAAAGAATGGACTGACATAGTACCTCTTGCAAGAACAATGAGAAGCTAGATCAGCTCCTATTTCCCCTGCACATAGGAAATCTCAGAATGTGGGTATGTGTATCCACACCCGACCTTCGTGCACACACACATTAGAGATGCTAATTATGGGAAGACAGCAGAGGCAGTGCAAGCTTCATACTGTACCCGTTATTTGCCCCAACATGCCCACATGCTGTGTCCTCAAAACCACTAAGTTAATCCACCTGGGGGAGATCTTTTTTTCAAATTAGATGACCCCTAATTTAATTTGATTTGAAATAGCAACAAAGGTCCTTGTCAGGAATCTCCCTAGTTCATTCAGTTTTTGGTCAAGCCATTCACCCATTCATTCAACAAACATTACTCGAGCACCTGCTGTGTACTAAGCATGGTAGTAGGCACCAAGAAAGAGCAGGGAACCAGCCAGGTAAAACCCCTGTTCACACAGAGCTTATATTACAGCTGGAGGAGATAAAGAATAAATACATCAACAGACAACTCTGAGATAGTGCTTATCACCACTGATAGGAAGAAAATAAAGCAGTAGGGAATGACACAGATTGACTGAAGGTCCATTTGAAATTTGGGGTGGGGGGTGGTCAGATAAAGACTCTGTGAGGCAGCTTTAGACATAAGGGGCTGGCTGTGCAAGAAAGGAGTATTCCACACAGGGCAGATGGTGCAGGAAAGCTGAGCTGGGAATGAGCCTGCCTTGATTGAGGTGGCTAAAACAAGGCATCCTGGAGAAAGATGGGGAGGGGGTCATGGAGATGGAGGATGGGGTGAGCTCAGACTCTGAGTGCACTAAGAAGCCTGGGGGCAGCAGTAAGAGGACATTTTACAAGGCCTTTCTGACTACAGGATATAGAAGAAATTGCAGGTGGCACAAGTGGAAGGAGGGAAGCCCACCAGAGAGGATTGCTGTGGGTCACAGCTGCACACACCCCCAGCTGGCTGGCAGGAAGGAAGGATCGCAGGATGACTCTCATGCTTACAGTCCAGATCTAGGTGCCTTGGGAAAGCCAAAGCTGTCTCTTCCTAGGAAACCTATTTGAACCCCTGTAGATGACAGGCAATGCTGAGGGTCTCTAGCTTATGATAGAGCAGCTGTAAAAACATGATCTCTATTCTTGTTCAGAACCATTGCACCAAGTGGAGGTGTGTGATTTAGAAAACCAAGGATGGAATTGGAAACCCGCTGTACCTGTTGAGTGGCAGGGTGTATGTTTCTGTGGAATGGCCTGCAAGCAAGACATGCATTCATTCATTCATTCATTCGTTCATTCATTCACTCATTCAGCTCATGTGTGGTTTTCTTTTCAAAGCACATGCCATACACCAGGCACAGGAGGCCCGGTGGTTTAATAAAAGGACCACAGGCCTTTTGATCCTTCAGACTGAGTCCAGATGCCAGATCTTCTGCTTACAAGCTGTGCAACCTTGAGCAGGTGACTTAGTTGGAGCCTCAGTTTCTTCATCTGTAAAATGGGTATATGAAAGCTAACAAAGGGGATCCTAGACCTTTCTGAGACCTAGCCCCCTAGTTCAGGCCCAGTGACTTCAGAATTCACTCCCCTGTTTCAGGTCGGCACTGACTGGGATGCCAAGGAGAGGCTATTCCGCAACTTTGGGGGTCTTCTGGGGCCCATGGATGAGCCGGTGGGTATGCAGAAGTGGGGGAAGGGACCTAATGTGACCGTGACCGTCATTTGGGTGGATCCCGTCAATGTCATCGCAGCCACCTACGACATCCTCATTGAGTCCACTGCCGAATTCACACACTACAAGCCCCCTTTGAACTTGCCCCTGAGGCCTGGGGTCTGGACAGTGAAAATTCTCCACCACTGGGTGCCAGTTGCAGAGACCAAATTCCTCGTTGCGCCTCTGACCTTCTCGAACAGGCAGCCCATCAAACCTGGTAAGTACTCCCAGTGTCTATGTGGGAGAAATACTCCTTCCCTGGGGACCTTGAGGGTCTTTGGTGTTGGTAGGCAGCACTGCTCAGACATAGGGTAAGCAGCGGCCTCACAGAACAGCACTCCTTGCTCTCAATACTTTTCTCTGTGTTTCCCTAGAGAAACCATCTAATGTCCTACCTGCACACGGAGATGATGTCATCTGTCTAGGTATTAGGTAGCTATTTGTTAGACGCTCCCCCATTCAACTTCCAGAAAGCCTAGATCATATTGAAGACAAGATGGGAAATAAACCCAGGCAGGTATTAAGGATCAGCAAATCTTGTTTACTATTTTAAAAAAATCAAAACAGGAAATTCTGTTCATCAAAAATATGATACACTAGGTGGAAAAGATGAACCACATAATAGTAGAAGATATTTGCTACATTTTTTTAAAGTACTCATGTTCAGAATTTATAAAGAAATGCTATTCATCAGAAGTTGGCCAATCCAGCCCACTACCTGTTTTTGTAAATAAAGTTTTATTGGAACACAGTCACCATGCTCATTCATGTACATGTTGCCTGCTTCTGCTTTAGAGCTACAGTGGCAGAACTGAATAGTTGTGACAGAGACTGCATGGCCCACAAAGCCAAAGATACTATCTGGCTCTTTACAAAAAAAAAGACCACCAACCCTGCTATAAAAGAGAGGAAAAAAATGGAGGAGAGAACATGAATGGCCCCTCACACACGCAAAAACATGTTCAGCCTCATTAAAAATGGGAGAAATGAAAATTGAAAGCAAAGAGAGGTTCCACTTCACACCCATCATATTGGGAAATGCGTGACAGATAAGAACCTGTGTTACTAAGGCTGAGAGCAATAGGCATTCATGCAGTGCTAGTGGGAGGGTGAAGTGCTAAGACGAGTTTAGAAAATGTTTTAGTATCTCCTAGTAAAGCTGAACATACACACACCCTACCACAGACGTCTGACCCCAAGGTATAGGCCCTAGAGACATGTGCAGAAATGCTCACATGAGAATTATTCTTAATAGCACAAAACCAGAAACGGTCTGATTGCCTGACACTGGAAAGGAGAAACAATTGGCTGGCTGTTCATACAATGGAGTACTATGCAGCCGTGAATAGCAGTAAAGCATGGGCATGTGTTGGCTTGGATGAGTCCCTAAAACATAGTGTTGAGGGGGAAATATCACAGATAAATCATAATTATGATGTATTTATGTCAAGTTCAAAAACAGGCAAAGTCAACAATATCTTATTTCAGGAGTCGTATGTCAAAGGCAGCTGTTAGGAAATGAAACATGAAATTAACATGAAATTCAGGTCAGGGTTTCCATCCCCATGGAGAACAGGGACTGGGATGTCAGTTCCTATCCTGCCTGACTTTTTTCTTTGTCCATTGAAAGGGTTTACTTTTATACTTCTATTTCCCCCGCCCCTTTTCACCTCCTTTTATTAAGGGGAAAGTCTTTCTCCCTGCTCAAATCCTACCTCTAGAGAAACCACTGCCAACAGTCTGGTGTGAATCCTTTTAGAAGTTTTTCCATACTTGTAAAGCATAAACATAATACACACCATAAATCACAAAACCTTTGCTATTTTTTAAAAATGAAATAATACATTGTGTACTGTAAGATTGCTTTTTTTTTTTTTTTTTTACTTTCTAAGTCAGTATATATAAAGCTACCAGCTACATGATATTCCACTGGGTTAAGGAACCACAATCTATCTGTTCCCCTATTGGTGGACACATAAGTTTCTGTTGTTGCTGCTGATGATGATGATGTTACTGATAATAGTGCAAGGAAAAGTCTTTTTTTTTTTTTTTTTTTTTTTTTAATATAACAGAGGTTGGCTGGGTGCCATGGTTTACACGTGTAATCCCAGCACTTTGGGAGGCCAAGGCAGGCGGATCACTTGACACCAGGAGTTCGAGACCAGCCTGACCAGCCTGGCCAACATGGTGAAACCCCATCTACTAAAAATACAAAAATTAGCCGAGTGTGGTGGCCGGCGTCTATAGTCCCAGCTACTTGGGAGGCTGAGGCACGAGAATCGTTTGAACCTGTGAGGCGGAGGTTGCAGTGAACCGAAATCATGCCACTGCACTCCAGTTGGGTGACAGAGCGAGGTTCTGTCTCAAAAAAAAAAAAAAGAATTTAGGTCAGGCTCTTTTGCCTAGGCTGGAGTGCAGTCATGCAATCATAGCTCACTGCAGCCTCGAGCTCCTGGGCTCAAGTAATTCTCTCACCTCAGCCTCCTAAGTAGCTGAAACTACACGAGTGTGCCACCATGCCCGGCTTTTTTTTTTTTTTTTTTTTTTTTTAACTATTTTTGTGGTTGTGTGGTCTGTGTTGTCCTGGCTGGTCTCAAACTCCTGGATCTAAACCAACCCTCCCACCTTGGCCACCCAAAGAGCTGGGATTACAGGCGTGAGCCACCCACCACACCCAGCCCCAACAAGGAAGAGTCTTAAACATAAAATTGTATGTGCCCAGCCGGGTGCGGTGGTCACACCTGTAATCCCAGCACACTGGGAGGCCGAGGCGGGTGGATCACGATGTCAGGAGATCGAGACCATCCTGGCTAACACAGTGAAACCCTGTCTCTACTAAAAATACAAAAAATTAGCTGGGCATGGTGGTGGGTGCCTGTAGTCCCAGCTACTCGGGAGGCTGAGGCAGGAGAATGGCGTGAACCCGGGAAGCGGAGCTTGCAGTGAACTGAGATCACGCCACTGCACTCCAGCCTGGGTGACAAAGCGAGACTCTGTCTCAAAAAACAACAACAAAAACAAAAAAGAAAAAAAAATTGTATGTTCCCATGCAGTTACATCCATAACACAAACTCGTAGAAACAGGATTTCTGGGTCTCTCTATATTTGGAATTATTCATGTCCATCTCTAACAGATCACAAACTCAAAAGCCAGAAATGCATTACAGCCTCTTAGCTTTGAAGAGTTCTGGATTGGGTGCCTTTTAGCCAATGATGCAAGGGGATGGGGACACAGCATGGGGAGGAGGTGCCTTGAGTCCTAGCAAAGGGAGTTGTTTGGGAAAAACTCTCAAACCACTTTTCCTCTGCTCTCACACTGCCATGATCAACACAGAAGATTTCTGTGACAGCAAAATACATGGGGAAATTTTCCCCGTCAGCAAGCAAGCAATCAGTTCTGCAGCAGACACCAGCTGGGTGTCCCCCAATTCAGTTCCAACACTCTCCACCCCAGAGGTAGCATCAGACACCACAGAGTGAGGGCTCAGTGCCATAAGACCACCCCCTTCTGCCCGCTAATCACAAGTCTGGGCCTTTGGAACTTCTGACCAAATGGTTTCAAACTGGGGTTCCCACAACCCCCTCTTTGGGCTCAATTACTCTGCTAGAGCAGCTCACAGAACTCAGGGAAACACTTATGTCTATTGGTTTGTTATGAAAGATATTTTAAAGGATGCAGATAAACAGCCAAATGAAGCTATACAGAGGGCAAGGTCCAGAGGAGTCCTGAGTGCAGGAGCTTCTGTCCCCATGGCATTGGGGTGCCCACCCTCCCAACAGGTGGATGAATCTGTCCCCATGGCATTGGGGTGCACCACCCTCCCGGCAGGTGGATGAGTCTGTCCCCATGGCATAGGGATGCCCACCCTCCTAGCAGGTGGATGAATCTGTCCCCATGGCATTGGGGTGCACCACCCTCCTGGCAGGTGGATGAGTCTGTCCCCATGGCATTGGGGTGCCCACCGTCCCGGCAGGTGGATGAGTTCTTCCTCACCTTCCTGTGAAGATGCTACCATGTATTCAGCTCTCCAGAAGCTCCTTGAACCCTGTCCTTTGGGCCTTTTATGAAGACTTCATTGGTTACCCATGACTGAAGCATGACAACTGTGTCAAAATGTGATTGGACAAAAAGGGTCTGACCTAACTCAGCAAGCCCTGTCTGTTCAGATTCTCCTTGGCCTCTCTGTGCAGTAATTCCTTCCTCCAGGGAGTGTGTCAGGGCCCTCTCTGGAATGAGAGTCCTATCACCCACAATCTGATTAGACTCTGGCATTAGGCAGGAGAAGGGGGACAGGAGGAGGCCAGAGCGAGAGAGAGATTCTATTTGCTGAGTCCTAAAGTGCCCAACATTGTAAGAAAAGACTGTAAGAAGGGTTACAGGAGTTCTGAGCCAAGAACCGTGGACAAAAACCACTATCATGGCCTGGTGCAGTGGCTCACGCCTGAAATCCCAGCACTTTGGGAGGCTGAGGTGGACGGATTACTCAAGGTCAGGAGTTCAAGACCAGCCTGGCCAATGTGGTGAAACCCTGTCTCTCCTAAAAGTACAAAAAATTAGCCAGGCATGGTGACGGGTGCCTGAAATCCCAGCTACTCAGGAGGCTGAGGCATGAGAATCGCTTGAACCTGGGAGGTGGAGGTTGCAGTGAGCCAAGATCACACCACTGCACTCCAGCCTGGGTGACAGAGCGAGACTCTATCATCTCCAAAACAATAAATAAATAGGCCAGACACGGTGGCTCACGCCTGTAATCCCAGCACTTTGGGAGGCTGAGGTGGGCGGATCACCTGAGCTCGGGAGTTCAAGACCAGCCTGACCAACGTGGAGAAACCCCGTCTCTACTAAAAATACAAAATTAGCCGGGTGTGGTGACGTGTGCCTGTGATCCCAGCTACTCGGGAGGCTGAGGCAGGAGAATTGCTTGAACCCAGGAGGTGGAGGTTGCAGTGAGCTGAGATCATGCCATTGCACTCCAGCCTGGCAACAAGAGCGAGACTCCGTCTCAAAAAAAGAATCAATCAATCCTCTATCATAGGAGTCTCGAAGTAAACGCTCAGCTTCTGCTGTCTTTGTGCAGAGCAAGCAGAAAGACAGAGACCTCATGTTTTCTTGAGCTGGAAGCCTGCTCCTTCTTCCCCATGAACCAGGCAAAAGACAGCCCCTCCAGAGCTGACCAGGCCCAATCCCACCCCCTTAGAGGTCTTAGGTTCCTTCTTGATCTAGTTCACATCTTTACCATCTCTAACGATGTCTAATGCCAGACATGGAGGAGAGGGGAGTAAATGGCTGTGTCTTCGCTGCTTCAGGTACACCTGTTGGTCAGAATGAAGCAGTGCTCCTGAACACACCCCCACGCCAGTGGAGTAGCCTGGGGGCCATTCATGGGGTCCTGATTTTTCCAGTGTTTTCTTCTAGGGTTTCTAAGGAAGGCAGGGCTCTCCCTACACATGCCCAGGATGACCCAGGAGTCATTTTACCCCCACCGAGAGCAGCCCTCCTGTCCTTGGTAATTGTATTTGTTAGCGATGTTCCAATGAATGACAGTGAACACAAAGGTGGGAGCAATGCAATTTGTAAAATGATTCATCAAGAGTAATTTTCTATTGATGCGTCCCTGGTAATCGCAAGAAATCCGATGAGGTGGAATTGAGGAAAATTTAATTATAGAGACGAGCATCGCAAGCTAATATTGTAATAGCGTTTCCCACATTAACCTCATTTCTCATAAGGGTTTTTTTGCATCAACCACAATATTTGGCTCCCAGCGTTCGCAGGTTTGTTAGCTGCTCTTTTCCCTTTGAATGTCCTGCCTTTTGTCAGTTTCGGTATCTCCTCATTCTCCACTTTCTCACTCTGCAGAATAGAGGCACTAAGGGGCTCTGATAGAGAAATTAGGGCCCGCACCAAAGACAGCAGGCTCTGTTCTCCTGGCAGGTGGGGCTGAAGCTGCCCACCCTACCCTGTATTAGAGAAAGATGGGTTAGGACCAGACTTCCAAACACTGTGGCTCCTAACTACCGTGGGAGAAAGCAGCTTTGCTAAACCCCTTGCGAGACAGAGTATGTGCTCAATGACTGCTCACCTCCTTCCTCCCACTTGTGCCCATCCAAACCACAGAACCCAACCCTTTTGCTTCCTGGGGCATTGGGAATTGAAGGAGTGGCGATCTTGTCTGTGTTAGTCAAGGCAAATTTTGAATTCATCTACTATTCTCACTGCTTTTAGAAGGGTTAGCATATGGTCTTTCTTCCTTCTTCTTGCCTGCTCTGGACACTTGTTAATATCCAGGCTGTCCTGGGTGCCTTTGGTGGTGGCAGCTGCTGTCAGGCAAACAGGAAGCACTGTCTTCTGAACACTGCATTATCTTGGAAGGTTTCTTGTAATCCTAGCTATCTCAGCTCTCGCAAAGCCTGATTTGGTAAAGCGCAACTCACCAGACTCATTGGCCAGCCTTTTTAAAAATATATATGTGCTTCTACTGAGCAATAAAACAAGCAATGAATGTGAACGTCTTCAAAATATTAGAAATAGCATCTATTAGAAATAATAGAAGTGTTTAGCTTCTTTCCTTCACCCCAAATTGCTATACTTCCTGATTCCTCATCGTGCAGCCCTGGGAGGTAGTAGTAGTAGTCACTCTTACGTACATGTTACTGTTTAACCCATTTATGCCTGAGGTTGCAATTTTTAAAATTTTTTTTTGAGATGAAGTCTCACTCTATCGACCAGGCTGGAGTGCAATGGTGTGATCTCGGCTCAATGAAACCTCCGCCTCCCAGGTTCAAACGATTCTCCTGCCTCACCCTCCCGAGTACCTGGGATTACAGGCATCAGCCATCACGCCCGGCTTATTTTTGTATTTTTAGTAGAGACGGGGTTTCACCATGTTGGCCAGGCTGGTCTCGAACTCCTGACCTCAGGTGATCCACCTGCCTCAGCCTCACAAAGCGCTAGGATTACAGGTGTAAGCCATCGTGCCTGGCCCAATTGTTTGAATTTTTGCATGAGTGAAAAATCAGACCTTGGTGATGGCCTTGAGCAGTAGAGTATCAGGGTGAGTGATAAGCACTGCCTTTGGAGTCAGTCGGTCCTGGATTTAACCCCAGATCTGTCTCTAACTCCAGCTGCCTCTCTTTCCCCATCTGTAAAGTAGGAATGATAAAACCAGCCCCCTAGTTTTTTAGGTGTGTGAGGATTATGGACTAATACCAACAGTAATAATCCTAGCTGTATTTGTCTGTTCTCATGCTGCTAATAATGACCTGAGGCTGGGTAATTTATAAAAGTAAGAAGTTTAATGGACTCACAGTTTCAATGGTCAGGGAGGCCTCACCATCATGATGGAAGGCAAAGGAGAAGCAAAGGCACATCTTACACGGTGGCAGGCCAGAGCGCCTGTGCAAGGACACTCCCCTTTAAAAAACCATCAGATCTCATGAGACTTACTTATTCACTATCACAAGAACAACATGGCAAAAACTCATCATGATTCAATTACTTCCCACCAGGTCCCTCCCACAACACGTGGGGATTCTGGGAGCTACAATTCAAGGTGAGATTTGGGTGGGGACACGGCCAAACCATATCACTAGCTAAGCTTTTCCCAGCACTTAGTATATGCCAGGTGTCATTTGTAAATACTTTATATGAGTCAGCACACTTAAGCCTCACAAAGTGAGAAGGAAGGCATTAGTACTTTACCCATTTTATTGATGAAGAAACTGAGGTACAAGGCATGGAGGTCAGAAGTCACACACCTGGTATGTTGGACGTGGGGCTGCAAAACCAGACAGCATGACTGCAGTACCTGGGCTCTTGTATGAAGTGCTTCACAAAGTGACTGGCACATAGGAGGGGCCCAGCAAGGCAGCACTGTTATGAGAGCTAGTTTGACCTCCCACCCCACCTCACCCGGGTCCAAGCTTCATGCTTTCAGAGTGATTGTTCTGTGGTCAGTTCATGCACCCTTAGGCTTCTAGGAAGCAGAAATCCAACTTACGCAGAGTACAAGGTGGACGCTCGGCAGCTGAGATCTGGACTTCCCAAACAGACCTGGGTACAGGTCACTGTCACTCTCCAACCCAGGAGTCAGCAAAATTTTTCTGTAAAGGGCTAGATATATTTTCAGCTTGTTGGGTAAAATACAGTCTGTCTCAAATACTCAGCTCTGGTAGCACAAAAGCAGCCACAGACAATATGCAAATAAATGGGCACAGCCATGTTCCAATAAAACTTTATTTACAAACACAAGTGGTGGGCCACATTTGGCCCAAGGACTGCAGTTTGCCAACCCTCTTGTCTCAATACCCTGTTTTTTTGCCTTCATGACACTTATCACTGCCTGAAATAACCTTATTTATCTACTTATTTCTTTGTTGTTGTTCTCCCTCCACTGGATCTTAACCTTCCTATCTGGTTTGCTCCACCACCTAGAATAGATCCTGGTACCTAATAGGTACTTAATATGTCTTTATCAAATGAGACAGTGCCTTGCAGATCATGGGTGTTTAGTAAATATGTGTTGACTGAATGCCTGGCACAATGTAGGTGCTTAAAAATATATATTGGCTGAATCAGTGTCTGCACTATCAAAGATGCGCTATAAACATGTGTTGAATGAATAAAGGCATGCACCGTGCCCTGTACAAAGTGGGCTCTGTCCTTACGGGCTCAGTTTTCTCAGCTGTGAAATGGGACTGCTAAAAGAACTTCCTCATGAGATTGTCATGTGAATTAAATGAGGCGATGCATGGCACCCAGTGCAGCACCAGGCACAGGGTAAGTATGAATAGGCATCCTATTGGTGGCTCTTCTGATCCTGAAATTGTTCCCTTTGGCTTTCAGAGGAGGCACTGAAGCTGCACAATGGGCCCCTCCGCAATGCCTACATGGAGCAGAGCTTCCAGAGCCTAAACCCCGTCCTCAGCCTGCCCATCAACCCCGCCCAGGTGGAACAGGCACGGAGGAACGCAGCCTCCACGGGCACAGCGCTGGAGGGATGGCTGGACTCGTTGGTGGGCGGGATGTGGACTGCCATGGACATCTGTGCCACGGGCCCCACAGCCTGCCCGGTCATGCAGACCTGCAGCCAGACGGCCTGGAGCTCCTTCAGCCCTGACCCCAAGTCGGAGCTGGGGGCAGTCAAACCTGATGGCCGGCTCAGGTAGCACTGGGCACGAGGAGTGGGCCACAGCAGGATCTCAACGGGAAAGCAGCCAGAGGGGTTGTGGGGCCTGAACCCCGGCCTCCCACCCTGGGGGAGGCCCTCTGTGAATGGGTCTCTCCTGGCCATAGAATGATGGAAAGGGAAGGTCAGCAGGTCAAAGCAGGATCAGCCAACAACCTGCCTTTGGCAAGCTGCGGGTGGGATGGCTCAGTCCCTGCACTGTGACTGTCTCACCTCTTCTGGTTGATCCTCAAGTCCTACAGGTTCCTTGTCTTCCCCTTCCAGTGACCCACCCCTGACCCCAGACGTGTGATTTTCAGACTTTTCTTTCGAGCAGCAGAACTTCGTTTACGGAGCACAGTCATAAGTGGAGGTTCAGGGTGCTGACGAAATCCAAGCTGCTCTGGTTGAAGCTGACAAGTGCGAGGTTCCCTCCCAAAGCTCAGCCCTCTGGGCGGTCCCCTTGCCCAGGGTATCTCCTACGGTACCTCTTCAGAACCCAAGGGCTCTGCAAATGCCAGTTTGACAAGCACTGCCCAGACCAACCATGGGTTCAAACTCCAGCCCTGCCCTTTGGTTCATTTTTCTGCTTCTCTTGGCTGGGGGACTCTGGTGCCAGCCTTGAAAGTCATGGTCGTGGGCCCTTTCCCATGGAGGCTGCAGCCTTAGGAGAGCTCTGAGCCTCTCAGCAGCCCTCCTTGGGTTGAACTATTCTCCTTAGTAACTAGGTAAGTGGGAAAGCCTTTTGATGTGGCATGGCCAAGGTCCAGCCACAAGTGCAACTGCCACCTGTCCAGGGGTCTGGGCCTCCTTCCCTCAAGGCTGCCACACAAAGTAGCAGAAATAGGATGATGTTTGTGAGCACCAGACTCAAGACCATGACCTTCTTTGATCCTTGAAAATGGGAACTTTGACAGCCATGACCATGAAACTCACAAGGCAACGCGATGAAACTCACAAAGCAATGCTTGGAGCAAAACTCCTGAGCTAGACAGCACAGCAGCACCCATCCCCTGCCAGAGCCCTTCCGTTCTGAGGTCAGACACACAAAACCTTCGTCAATTGCACACCGGTGCTGTTGGGAGTGACCAAACCACATGAACCAGACTTTTCCCGTCCAGGAAATAGCATTTCAGATTTGGTTTTTAATTTCATGCCCTTCGGCCACAGGCTCAACGGGACATGCAACATAAAAATGGGAAGGTTATTTAAACAACAAAAAACAGTATGATTTAAGTGTTGAGTTACCAGAAACCCAAAAGGTTTCCTTGCCACGAGCCCCCTGGAGTGTCATCCCTGTTCACCAGGAGAGCTCTTCGCAGGAGGCCTCCCTTGCTCCTGTAATCCCACCTCCCCTGAATGATGGGATTCCCTTGGAAAAAGGTCTCACCCCTGGTAGCCATCTGCCCTTCCCATGGAGAGCCAGTCCTGACACTTCTCTCCAGCGTGGGTTTGAAGGGGCTGCCCTTCGCTTTGTGTGACTTGTCCTAATCCTAGCCAGATGTGTTGCCCCATCCCAAGCCTCGCAAGGCAGGGTGTCCTGTTGGCAATGGAGGACGTAGAGAAGGGACACTTTAGATATTTATTATTTACATGTTTTAGTCGATGACTAATTAGTAGGTGCTGTTTTTGCAGCTTGTCAATTATGTTACCTTACTAACTGAAGCTGCCTTTATTCACAAAAGGCCCCTTTTCCCATCTTTTCCCACCCCCTGGTGTCTCTCTCTCTCTCGGTTTCTCTTTCTCTGCGTCTACCCCCCATCCTCCTCATCCTCAGAGTAAAGCAGGGGCATCGAACACCACGCAAAGAAAGCTCCAACCCGCATCTTCCACTGGCTTTGAGTGGGGTGCCTTGGGGACCGTTGGAGCCTTGTTTTTTTCCTTATGCAGAGTGTCAGCCTCACTCTCCCTCGGATTCCAAGAGTATTGGAATTCCTGAGCCTCCCATCCTCCCCCTACTCACCCCCCGTCACAGGCACAAGGAGGTGACAGGCAGAAAACGTGGAGGGTGAGTGGGGAATGTGCTAGCTGCAGAGAGTTTGTGGGGAATGTGCTAGCTGCAGAGAGTTTGGGCCATTCCTGCTTGCTCCGTGGTTGCCTTCCCATGGCCCATCTAATTATGGGCATTCATGCGACCTTAACAGAGGGAAACAGGCTCCTTTGAGAGAGATCCATCTTAGGAGGAGGGTCGTCAGATCCAGGCAGCAGAGTCCGGGAGATAGCCATTCTCAACAGCGATTCCAGGGATCTCAGGGTACTTTTCTCAGAAAGCCCCTATGATCTCTTTTACAGACTCTATGGTGGCCACGCGCTGGGTGCCACATCCTCTTTCTGCCCCCGGCCTCTGCCTCTGGCCAGGGTTTCCCTGGGGCTGCCGAAGCCACTTTGGGAGCTTCCCTTTCACCCTCCTTGCTGGGCCACCAGTGCTTTGTGTTCGCAGCGTTATTTGCAGTGGCTTTGGGGACTCAGCAGTGGCAAGTCCCTGTGCATAATGTGAACCTGCAGACTTCAAGATGGGGCCCCTCCTGCACCCACTAACATGTCTGCCTTTTTTTGTTTTTATCCTGGAACAAGTGGAGAAATGGCAGAGCTGGCTGACTCTGGGGACCCTTCCCTTTTTCCCATGGCTTCATTTCTTCCTCACCACAACTAATTCGGGGAGCTGAGAAGTCACACAGGGTATTCCTCTCCCTTCTCTGATGTTATTAATTAATAGACCAGAGAATAAGGTTGCAGATATTACATTTGTTGTGTTTTTGTGTTTTGTTTTTTTTTTTAAGGAAAATCCCAAACAAAGCCCAGCATGATTTGAGAAAAGAGGATGTTTTCCCAGGGAAAATAATTTTTTTAACCTGCCTGAGAATGATTTATTTATTTGTTGGAGGCCATTGGTCAGACAGCCTGGAGCTTGGGCTGTGGAAGATTTCAAAAGCATAGGGCTGTGGTCTCTGGAAACCTATTACAGCCTGCAGCTGTGAGCTGAGCCAGTGACGAGGTCCCTGGAAACTCAGGAAGGCTGACAGGTGGGCCTTGGGGTATTGGTTTGTGGAGAAGGAAGCATTCTTTAGGCTGCGGCACTCCTTATAGTTTCCCACCCACCGAGTGACATTCAGGCAGAAATTGAGCTCAGGAGACAGCCAGCCTTCCCACATCCCACTTCACTTCCCGGTCCACACGTAAAGCAGTGTGTCTCCAAGGAGGCAGTGAGCAATTCCCAAGGTCCCCGTGTTGTGAGAAGCGCGCTGCTTTCTCCCTTTGCAGGGGAAAAAAAAGGCTTTCCTGGTGAGATCATGAGTCCTTCCGGCTTCATTTCTCATTGTGGGTTTAACTTCTAAAACGCAAATGGAGTTTAGAGAGGATGAGCAGAACCACAGGACCTGCCCCCATCTCTCACTCACTGCAATTGCTTCTACTCTGGGCACAAGTAGGGTGTCTGAAGACCATGTTTCCCTCTGGTTCTCTAGTTTGCAGATAACACAGAAGACACTGGCTAGAACCTTAAGCTTTCTGCCAAAAAGATGCAGAGAGCAGGGCAGTAGCTACTGGCAGTGGGGTGTGAATAAAGAGTCCTTTCACAACCAAGTTCACTGAGGATTTGGAGCACCAGCTTCCCAGCAGTATCGAGGGGTGGAGAGGTGTACATTCAGGTGGAGGGGTACATCTAGGGGTGGAGAGGTGTACATTCTAGAAACAGCTGTTAACACACTCCACTTTAAAGACAGCAAGCTAGACCTGCAGGATCAAAGCCACACACTGTGGTAGGGGTTACAAATGTTTATGGGGCCCAGAATACTAGCATAGATGCGTGAAATGGTTGGTGTGAGGCAAAAGGGCATGGTGGGGGCAAGGATGGGGACTGTGGTCTTACTGGCATGCACGTGACCTACCCAGAATGAGCAGCTGCTACTCAGCCCCAACCTGTCATTGTTTGTAAAAATGTAAGCACAGTGTAGTGGAATCTTCCAATTTGGAAGGGAAGCCGGAAATCCAGATTTAATGGAAAAAATCTGATTTTTCAACGTCGGGTTGTTTGTTTGTTTGTTTTTGTTTTTTTTAACAGATAGTGGGCAAAGAAAAATTCCACTGTTCCACGTGTACACTGCCAGCAACCTCTGCTCTCTGGAGAGGTGGTTTAAAGTGAGATTATGCATTGCCCTGGTAGAAGAGGAAAAAAGCCAGCATCAGGTCAGGGCAAAAATAACAGCCCATGTTGAACTCGGAATGGGGACCTCTTGCTAAGTCATTCCACTCCTCAAGAGACCATTCCACAGAGGGGGGATGGATCATTCAGCTCTCCTGGTCCCAAGATTGTGCTGAAGGGAAGAAGGAATAGAATCTGGAGATCTGGACTGCTGCCCCTTAGATATGCAGAGGTCCACATCTGCCTGGGGCTACAGCTTGTGGGACTCCATCAAACCAGGCCGAAATGGCAAAGACAGTCTAGGAGGAGGAGGAGGTAGGGTGTGAAACAGCCAGGCTCTCTCCAAATCCCAAGTGTTGACACAGCCATCTTGTCCCATCCCTGGAAGCCTCTTTGGAAACCACATAGAGCTGTGCTGGCTCACGGGATGTCCTGTTTGCTTCTGCCTCAGTTACCTTACTTTGCCCATGGGTCTACCACAGGCGCTACCTCATTGTGTCTGCTGAGAAGTTTACCTGGGAGGGGGGAACAAAGTTGTCCAAATCTGCTTGAGCTGAATGTATGATCTATGCAAATTCTCTCTCTCCTCTCTCTCTTCCTCTCTGGCTCTCTTAGAAGTTTTTTTGTTTTGTTTTGTTTTGTTTTGTGTTTACCTTGCAAACAAGATACTGTATAGGACCCTCTTAAGATGGAGGAGGGCTTTCTTGCGCCACCTGTGTCTACCCCTCACGTTGTCTTTGGCTCTGGTCTTACCAGGCGTATGCAGGGAGAAAGTGACCTCTCTTCCCTCTCCACTTGGCTGGGAATATTCCAACTGCCTCTGCCTACAGATACCACCAGAAAGCGGGTTCTGCACCTTGTCATCCCCCTCCCTAACGTCATCTACTCCATCCCTCATGTTCCTCCAACTTGCTTCTCCCATCCCTCCTTCAAAAACAAAACAAAACAAAACAAAAGCCTTAGGTTTCTCCTTTTTGAAATGTGGCCTTAACATTATTTTTGGGAAGCTGACCATCCATCCTTTCCCTCCCATCTCCACCAACATCAGAGAAGACAGCATCGTGAAGCTTCTGTGGCAGCCTCCTAAGGAAGGGGCTGCCAATCTGTAGTTGGCAGATGCTATAGGAATTGCTTACAAATGTCGTCTTTAAGAAAAATGTTCTTATATTTTTCCTATGGGCAAAATGAAGGCTTGGGTGCTCATCTAAAGCTCAGCCAACTCCTGAAGCACTCTCTCAGAGCATACTGCTGCTGTAATGGGCTGGCTTAATTATCGGCAGAGTGCTTGAAAAGGCTTTGCAGACCTCCCCTGCCCCCAAGACTGGGTGACTTTATATGTACTTCATTCAAGGGTAAATCAGGAGACGTTCTCCATTTATCTCTTCGTCCTTCCTGCCTGGAAAGTGATAGCACTAAATATTCCCAGCAGATGGGTAGTGTTCTCAAAGGAATCACCCTTTCCCTACCTTCAGACTCTATTCTTTACCCTTCCATTGCTCCAGTGCTGATGGAGGCCAAAGACAACCCCAGGGTTTTCATAGGAAATTCACTGGAATTGTGCGCAATTGTCTTTGTAGTCCTTTTGCCTTTTTTTTTTTTAAATATTATGTTGTCAATAGCATTTGTTTGGGTATTTGTTTTAGAGGCCTCACTCTAAGTTATTACCGTCCCCTTCATTGTTTTCAAAGACATGTGGTGATATAGTTTTTAAAAATAACTATTTTGTTATAGATCATAATATGCATAAAACTGTACAGAAATATTTTGTAATGTGTTGATTTTAAAAAAAATCTGTAAATAAAGTTTTAAAAAAAGAATTCAAATGGCACACGCTGAAATATGTAGATATTTTGCTATTTATTTAAAGGAGTATTTTAAGAGATATTGAACTATCTGAAATTGACCAGTAATCAAAGTTCCAATCATCTGAATGCTTTTCCTTGAGGTAGAATGTGAGTCTCAGAAATGACTGCATTACCTGCCCTTTTTTGCACCTTTTCTGTCTTTTTATTTTGCAGAACAACAACAACAACAAAATTGTGCCTTAGCTGTATTTTTTTGTCTAGGGGAGTTTGTTTCTGTCTGACAAAGCAACATTTTTTGCAGAAAACAGTGGATGTATTAAATACTGTATCATACCAAAAACACTGCAGGTGTATATAGATGCTTTCTGTCATACTGTGTTTTCAGATGCAGAATTTTAAAATTAAAAAAACACTGCCTTTATGGAACAGTGACTATATGTGGCTTCTTTTCAGCAACATTGTGCATCTTTACACAATCTCATATTCTCTTCTGTCATCTGCATGGTGAAGATAGGATGACTATATAATTTATCATCCAAACTGGGATACTTTTGAGAGTTAAAGGAAGCACCACGTGGATGGGATGCTGAGACTGCAGGCATAAATGGCCTATCCTGGGAAAACCTGGGTGTGTGGACACATTTCCCTCATAAAAACTGCTGTCATCTTCTAACTGGATTATAGCAACAACCTCCTATAAGTACCTCCTGGTTGAGGCAGAAGTATATGATTTTTAAACCCGTACTGAGTAGAGAATAACAAGAAGGGACTGCCATGGAAAGTTGCAGTTTCCTATACCCAACTGGTTGGTTGGTTGGCAAACGTGTTTTCCTTTCCTCTTTACCACAGAGACTACATTTCCCAGACTGCCTTGCTCTTAGCTGTGACCATGTGACCAGGCCAATGGAACAGCTAGACTGCATCTTCCAGACTGCCTTGCTCTTAGCCATGGCCATGTGACTGACTCAGGCCAATGGAATGTAGGTAGAATAGGTACATGGCACCTCTAGCCCTGGTC
This sequence comes from Homo sapiens, assembly GCF_000001405.40. Taxonomy (NCBI): domain Eukaryota; kingdom Metazoa; phylum Chordata; class Mammalia; order Primates; family Hominidae; genus Homo; species Homo sapiens. The sequence goes on along the minus strand of NC_000016.10, from coordinate 17,101,731 downwards.
CCTAAAACCTCCCACTGGAGTCTCTCCTCTCTCAATCTTTCCCTATTTGCCAGCTCAGATGTTTTGAATCACCTTGATTTTGTACATTCATCCACTTGGCCTATTCAGGTGGTCTTTTTGGAAACTTTGCACAGCCTCTACCTTAAAGGAAGGCAGAGCCACAGTTTGGAAGGTAACTGAGCCCCTGCATAGCCACATAAAAGAATGCTTGACCAGAGTCACCCCTATTGACTATGACATGAAAAGAAATAAATATGTATTTTGTTATGCCCCTGAGACTTTCAATTACAGCAGGCTAGCCTTACCTTAATTAATCCAATCAGAAATGGAAATTCAAATGTTTCTTTGGGAAAATCCACATTTTGGTTCCTTCACTCAGTCGGTAAAGTAGAGAGCCAGACAGGTGAAGGGATTTGCCTGAAGCTACCCATGGTCATCAGGGTCAAGTCTAGAACCAAAGTTTCCCATCTTCCAATGAGACTTTCATAAGTCACTGGGAAGACCAGTTCCTCCACCCCTGAGGTTAGCTCACTATTATGTATATATGTGGTTTCTGAGGGCTATGCCCAGGGGTTGGGAGCCTAGATGCCTGGGTTGTAAAGATGCTTCTAATTCACCCTTCAAAATCCTTAAAGGAAGACAGGCACTGAGACACAGATAGGATTTTAGCAGCTAGAACAAAATAGGCTAGATATCTCCCCATTAGACACACAGAGGGGCAAATATATGGAGAGCTGTGTCAGCTTCAGCCTCCTTGAGCTTGGCTCAGGAGAGATGGTGACTGACTCCATATTTAGACAGATGGATGGACCCAAGATTCATTTGTCAAAACCTCTTTCCAGCCTGATCTTACAGCCAACTTCCCTTTCCTCTGCCCGGAGATAATTCCTCAAAAAATGAGTTCAGTTGCAAGGGAAGAATAAATTTCTAAAATCTGCGTAGGAGTAAGGATCACAGTTATCTTATTCACTGTGGTACCTCCAGTATTTAGCACAGTGAGTCCAGCGTATGGGCACTCAGTGAATATTCAGTGAACGGACAAGTGAATGAGACCATATATCTTAATTAATTAACAATATGGGCATGGGGCCATTTGTCCAAGATTCTGTCTTTAAAACCATCATTTGATGGATAGTATTTGTCAAAATATGGGTCATTGTAAAGTAAGCTGTGATTTTTTACCTTCAATAATGAGGTTTCTGGGCCTACTGAAGGGTCAGTTGGAATTTCTTTCCTGCTTATTTACTGGGTTTAAGTTCATTAAATTCGTGATTTTAAGAGTTTTTTTTTTCTTCTTTAAGGGGAATGCTTTTTCAAGCAGTGTACCTTAAACCTCCACATATATATATATTTAAAAAAAAAAAAAGACTTAAAAATGGGTGATTAGGAGGGGTGCCCTGGGTGAAGTGAGAGTAGAAAGCTTTGTCTCAGCAAGTGCACCCACCCCCACCAGCCCGCCTCTTTCATGGCTCCATGGGATACGTAGATGACCATGCTTTGAAGTCACACCACACCGATGTTGAAAACATCTAGGCTTTTTGTACGGTTGGCTTTGAGGCCTTGCTGCCAAGGTGCTGAAAGTTGAGTTCTAGGCTGGGTCTCTGAGCATGAGACCAAACCAAGAATAATTCAGTCCACCTGGTGTTGGCAAGTTGTAAGGGTGGAAACTTAGAGCTGGGGCAAAAAGGAGGTATGGCTGGCCTGACATGTTTTGGAGACTCTTGATCCTGTGCATTCATAGTTAGTTCATTTGTTCCACTGCTCTGCCTGGAAACATCATCAGCCCTAACCCTGACAGGGAGTACTGGCCTGAGAACCAAGAGGCCCAGGCCCTTCACAGCTTTGGTTGTGCCACTGATTTGCTGTGTGATCATGGCGAGTCTCTCTTCCATGATGAGTCTCAGCCCCCTCAACTGCCAAATAAATGGGAGAATGGGGCCTATTGATACCTGGGGTCCATTCAAGTTCAGACGTGTAAGTGTACAGTCCAATTGCCACCCAGCACCAAATACAGAACATGTTAAGGTGCCAGCTCCATGCAAGAAAATGTTCCCAAGATGTGATTGTTGATGTTCACATCTATGTTAGTCAAGGTTCTTTCACTTTCAAGTAACAGTAACCCAATTCACAGACGTGTAATCAGAAGGGGAATGTATTAAGTTATGAAACGTTAGAAGACAACAATTAAAACGCAAATTACAAGAACTAGGACAGCACTCAGGGGACTCAAGAACTGAAACTGGAGCCCCAATACTCACAGCCCTCTCTTCCTCCATTTTTGCTGGCCTTTGTTTGATATTATCTCCTACAGACAGCTAATTCCACATGGTAAATAAAGAAGGCCCCAGAAGTTCTTGCTGCTTGTCCTTTGAACTCCATAACACAAAAATATCAACGTCCTTTGTCCTCACTGCCAAAAGGGCTGGCTCTAACTCTGGACCTATCACTCAGATCAGGCAAACAAGGCACTACGATTGGCTGAACCTGGATGGTATGCTGACCCCTGCGACCAGGGCATTGGACGGTAAACTGTGATTGGCAGCCCCATCCCCATTACATGATAGGAGTAGAAGAGAAATGGATCCCCGGCGGGAGAGGATGGTGTCGAACAGACAAAAACAACAGATGTCCATTCACTGCCACAGCCAACTGCAGGCCCAGGTGGCTTCTCCGCTTGCCAGTCCAATTCGTTTCTGCTCCTCAAGTGCCCAAATTTTCTCCTCCCAGTTCCTCTATACCTCCCTAAGGAGAAGGACTCTGGGCCTATCTTAAGCAAATCATTTTAAATAAATATCACATGGATGGTGCAGATGATTTCACCCTCACTTAATTAGCTGTGGAGTGTTTATGCTTATGGAACATGATGGATTGCTCCTTGTAGCCTGGGCACAGGACACTTTAAAAAGGCCCTTGTAACAGCCCTTTGCTAATGATGGTGGATGATTTTAACTTGCTGCAGGAAGCAAGGCCTGCGTACCTGCCATGAAGAGCGGCATCTCTCTCCACGTTTCTGGAGCATCAGTATTCCAGGCTCCACACTGCGCTCTCCACTGCCCCGTCCCCTTAGCAGGCCCACAGAATGCTCGTGCTAGCCAGCGCATCCATGATACGGTGTTTGTGGCTTGCTGAGTCGATGCGTTAAGCTTCTAAACATAGAGCTGATGAGAATAGCAATGGCTAACCCTGTGTTAGAAAGCACTGGTAACGGACGGGCTATTAGGCATCAGAGCAGATTAGGTGAGACTCCAGAAAAACACCGGGAATATTTTCCAAATTACACATCCAGACTGATCCACCTACTGCCAATTTTCAATTGCCTCTGACCAAAATAAGAACCCCTCCCCCAACTTAAGGGTCAGATAATCCTGTGTCCAAACATTTGTTTTTTTATCATAGATTAGCTAAGTCAGATTTGAGACAAATTCCCTAATCTCTCTGGGCCTCAGATTCCATATATATATATATATATATATATATATATATATATATATACACACACACACACATATATATATACACACATATATATGTATATACATATATATACACACACATATATATGTATATACATATATACACATATATATGTATATACATATATATACACACATATATGTATATACACATATATATACACATATGTATATACACATATGTATACATATATATATACACATATATATACACATATATATATATACACACACACACACGTATAGGGGATAATAATTACCTATAAAGCTGCTGGGAGAATTTTAAAAAGACAAAGCCTGTGAAATAGATAGCCTAGTATCTGCATACAGAAAGAGCTCAGTAAATATCAGTTATTTTCGCCTTCTCACTCCAAAGGTGAAAGTTCCTTGAAGGCAAGGACAGTGTCTATATTCTCGGCACACATTACATGCCTTGACAATGTAAGATGTTGTGCCAGTGTTTGATGAATGAATGAATGAGCGTGTGAACTGGACTGCTGCTACATCCATAATTTCCTCAGGGGCGTTCCATTTAGTCTGGCCTCCACATTTGCTATTGCAGACTGGATATCTTCCTGAAGACTCCATTTGCGACAAAGTGGCATCACCTTGACTTCAGAGATTTAAATGAGATTTTTTCAAAACACCCCAAACTGTGGGAGACACAGTATTGCCCCCCAATCTCTTTGGAGGGTCTTGGGGAGTCAACTTCAGCTACAACCCTGGGTCTCATTTCCACTGAATTGGTTCATTTTACAGATCACCCCTTTATTCTGCAAGTTCTTTTTTTTTTTTCTCCTTTCTGCACTGTATGACCTCTCCCTAATAAGTACCCTGGTCCCTTTATTCCTCAAAATACAATTGTAGAGCTATGTAGAAAGCAGATTCCATCAAGGCATTCAGATAAAGGATTGCATAAGATTTCAAATGATTTAGAATATTACATACCCCCATTCTCAGAAGTTTTAGAAATCTCTCAATGGCCACCTGCCTGGGCAATTTCCAGCTTCCAGACACGTTTCCATCTCCCTCTCTTTATTCCCTGCCTGTTCTGTCTGCTCTCCTGCACCTCCCAAGACACTCTGTTATCTCTTTTCACCTTGCTGACTCTTCGCAGACCAGCCCCCCTCATGACTTCACATTCCACACCTAAAAAATACTGGAAAGCTAAGTTCTCTCGTAAGTTCCAAGCTTCTATGTTCTTACCTGAGAGGAGATCTGGTGCCAGCTATGATGACAATTACTACAAAACACTCTCCCTCTCCACTCCAATTACTCGGATTTAATACAATCCCTGGCTTCCATGCAGTGTCTGAGCATTTTGGCTCTATTCCCTAGGTGGTGCTTTTAAAAATTTTTTTGTAAAACCTCTGGGGCCTCCTTCACCAGCAAGAAATTATTTTAGCATCACTGGCCTCAGTCTCATTCTATCATCAGCATCTGCTAATTTAATCAAGAATGAGTTGTGAGCAGGGAGGTTGCAGGTATCCAAAGATGAAACTGGATGAATTCCAGGAGCAAGAATTTCTCAGAACTAAGAACATTGACATTGCAAGGTTGGGTCCAATAAAGTACACTTCTTCCTGCCAATTTCATTTTTCAACCTTGACTATTCATGGTTTGGATCAGCAGATAGTAATATCACCTTTGTCATCAAGGAGCCTAGGATTTATTAATCTAATATGGGTATCGGCCCAAACTTGGCTTCAAAGAAACAGGAGAAGAGCAAACAGGGACATTAGAAATATAGAGCCCTGGGTTTTGGTGCGGTCGCATGAGATGCATCAGGCGCTTGATGTCCCTGAGTCCCGGTGCCTCAGCTGCCCAGTGCCCACGTTCATAAGAAGGCAACAAATTCTTCTCCTCTACAGAAGGATTTTGCAAACAATTTGGCAAGTTCCAAATGATTCTGATTGCAAATACCTGAAGGACTGGGCAAGGGAAGAATTCAGAAGAAACAAAACTGCCACCGAAGAGGATACAATCCGGTTGATGATTACTCAAGGCAATATGCAGCTCAAGGAGTTAGAAAAAACACTTGCTTTAGCAAAATCTTAACTATAGCATTATTCTGACGGATTTTCAAAGTCTCCATGTATTTTGTTTCATTTAGGATTGACAGTGGACAACACAAAGCCCAGTCTTACTATTTGTATGTACAGTATTTGGTGATAGAGAGCAAAGGAAAACACATCAAAACAGTTGCCTTAACACTGAAAAACATACCCTGCATTTTGAAAATGTTTATGGATGTCTCAGCAGTTTTTTAAAGAAGAAAAAACCACTAACAAATGGCCAGTAGATGCTGGACACAATCATTAGGGAAGTGTAAATCAAAACTACTATGAGGCCGGGCACAGTGGCTCACGCTTGTGGTCTCAGTACTTTGGGAGGCCAAGGTAGGTGGATCACTTGAGGTCAGGAGTTCAAGACCAGCCTGGCCAACATGGTGAAACCTTATCTCTACTAAAAATACAAAAATTAGCCTGGTGTGGTGGTGCATGCCTGTGGTCCCGCCTACTTGGGAGGCTGAGGCAGGAGAGTCACTTGAGCCCAGGAGGTGGAGGTTGCAGTGAGCTGAGATCGTGCCACTGCACTTCAGCCTGGGTGACAGAGTGAGACTCTGTCTCAAAAAAAACAAAAACAAAAACAAAAAACAAAAAACAAAACAAACCCTGAGATTCACATTCATTAGAATGGCTGTAGTTAAAAAGAGAAATAATAGTAACTGTTGGTGAAGATGTACAGAAATTGCGGGTGGGAACGTAAAATGGTGTAGCAACTTCAGAAAACAGACTGTCAGTTCCTTGAAAGATGAAACAGCTGCTGTATGATTTAGCAATTCTACCCCATGCCCATAGCCATTATTTGGCACTAAAAAGAAACAAAGGATTGATATATGCTAAACGTGGATAAACCTTGAAAACATTAAGTGAAAAAAGCCAGTCACAAAATATCACATGATGATTCCATTCATATGAAATGTCCAGAATAAGCAGAAAGATTAGTGGTTGCCTAGGCTGGCTGTAGGTAGAATGGAGTAACTGCTAATGGGTGTAGGGTTCCTTTTCAGGGTGATGAAAATATCCTACAGTTAGCTTGTGGTGTAGGCTGCACAACTCTGAATATACTCAAATCCACTGAATCATACATTTTAAATGTAAGGTATGAATTGTATCTCAATAAAGCTGTTATTAAAAAGAAAAAACTCTGAGGTGTAGGACTGAAAGTACACTGACACCAGGAGATACCCTGGAACTTTCTCAAAAAATCCTGCATTATCCCTGAGGGTTGTTCAGGTATGTTCTTCACATGTGTCATAGTTTGATAGAGGACTCATCAAAAAGATCACTACTTGGAATCTAGATCTTTGTTGGAAAGGGAAGAGAAAGAGAAGCTTAATGAGCACATTGAAGTACTTAACAGAAAGAAGAGGGAAGACTTCTGGATGAAACCTCTGTGTGTACCTTAACATTCACGTGGAAGTAGTAAAAATAAGATTCTGGGTGCAGTTCTCCTCCAATGACAGGAAAAAAAACAAAGAGAATTTGAAGAATACGTTAGAGACAAATACATTACAACCAAAGTTGACTTCAGGGGACTTTTGAAGGAGATCAAATTTATAACAAATAATTTAGTGAAAAATGTGAAAGTGAAAGCTTGTGGAAGATGCTGGAACATCCATCCTGAAAATTGAAGTCTTCTGTTCGTCAACAGAACAGCTAAGAAGCTAATCTAAGAATGACCAGCACCTGAAAGATGTAGACAACATTTTGCAGAATGATAAATGGTATTCAGTACTGGACTGTGCCTGAGGAGAGGCTTCAACTGAATGTGGATGTTGATGACCTGGACTGTCAGGGTCCACCTCTACCTCCCAGAGCCTCAGAGCCCACAAGACAAAGTAAGTCTGAATACTGTTCCATGGGGGTAATCTACTAATTCAAAATGCTTGCCTGTGCCAATTTTCAGGTTTTTATGTAGATAAGTATTAGTTAACCTGTTGCAAAATGATCTGACAAATAGGAGAAGCATTTGTGACATTTATGAACAGAGAACACTTTGGAAATATTTTTTTGTGACATGATTGATATATACAAGCTATCTCTAGTAAATTTAACTTGAAACTCAAAATCATCCTTTTATGGGTATAGAAGGCAGTGATTTAATGATGCTCTTCCTAACAGTGGTGTGCATGGAAAGGTTTTCATTAAAGAGCATTATATGGTTTGCATTTGCAAGATGCAACTAGCACAGACTCCAAGAAAACCTAAGTGTTTTTTTTTTTGGGTTTTTTTTTTTGCTCGTTTGTTTGTGTTTTAAAGCAGGTAAGGCTGGGCACAGTGGCTTACACAAGTAATCCACATATTTCGGGAGGCTGAGGTGGGAGGATTGCTTGAGCCCAGGTGTTTGAGAACAGCCTGGGCAGCATAGTGGGACCATGCCTCTATAAAACATTAAAAAATTAGCTGGGCAAGGTAGTGTGTGCCTGTAATTCCAGCTACTCAGGAGGCGGAGGTAAGAGGATTGCATTTAACCCAGGAGGTTGAGGCTGCAGTGAGCCATGAACATGTCACTGCACTTCAGCCTGGGAACAGAGCAAGACCCTCCCTTCCCTCCCACATCACCCCCTGCCCACCCCCAGAAAAAAGTAAAACACTGAAAATTGAATAATCTGTCAGAGGCGAAAATTACTGTAATGGACATGCTTTTACATCATCTCTAAAGAACAATTTAATTTGTTCACTTACATGCTTTGCTTATACCCTCTGAATTATAGGCCAATCTCATTGGTTAACCTAAGGGATTTATTTAGCAGTTTCCTCTAAGGTACAGAGCCACAGTCATTAGGAAGTTGGTCTGAATCAAACTGCCAGTGATTTTTATGAAGGAATGAAAAAAAAAAGAAAAAAAATCTGCTGGTGAAACACACTTTATTTATCATGAAGAAATCTTTGTCAGTACTCTGGATTAGATAACAAATTATTTTCTGGATGTTTCCTGAAAACTGTACTTCTGTTTAAATGTTAAACTTTTGTTCCTAAAGTTTAAGATGTTTGAATGTCAGTTTATCTATTTGAACCACAATAAACTGATTTATAGTAAAAAAAACAAACAACAACAACAAAAAACAGAAAAACAAATATAGAGCCCTAACTACACCCTAACTCAAAGTCTGACCTTTAACCAGATATCTAAATTCAAGTTCTCTTCCTTTGTCATGTGCATAATACTAGCTACCTGGAGGCAACATTGGTAATGCAAATTGAACGAGCACTAACCAACTAACTTGAGTTTGAGTTCTGACCTTCCTACTTATTGGTTGTATGAATTTCAGGCAGTCACTCAACTTGCTGAAAAACAATTTTTTCATTTCTTTAAAAATAAAAAAAGACAGGTCATCTTATCTAGTTGTTGAGAACCACTAGTTTAATCTTACATGAACCCTTACCTTTATTAGTGAAGGGTTCATCTAAGATTAAACTAGTGGCTCTCAACCATGGCCACACAGTAGCATCACCTGGGAAGGTTTTAAACATTCTGATGCCCAACTTACACTCTAGACCCATTAAATCAGAATCTCTGGAGGTGGAACCCAGGCATCAGTAGGTGTTCTGTTGTTTGTTTTGAGACTGAGTCTTCCTCTGTTGTCCAGGCTGGAGCTCAATGGTGTGATCTTAGCTCACTGCCTCCTGGGTTTGAGCGATTCTTCCCACTCAGCCTCCTGAGTAGCCGGGATTACAGGCACCCACCATCATGCCCGGCTAATTTTTGTATTTTTGTAGAGACAGGGTTTCACCATGTTGGTCAGGCTGTTCTTTCAGGTGATCCTCCCGCCTCGGCATCCCAAAGTGCTGGGATTACAGGCGTGAGCCACTGCGCCCTGCTGGCATCAGTAATTTTTAAAGCTCACAGGGGTTTCCAATGTGCAGTTACAGCTGAGCACCACTAGACTAAATGGATGTGAAACCTTTCCCCAAACATTGGGGATTATTATTATTACCCTACGCTTACATTGGCCCTTCATGTGATAAGAAGACAATGCCCCACTTGAGATGACAGATTTCTCTCTCTCTCTCTCTCTCTCACACACACACACACACACACACACTCACACACACACGTGCCTCACCTTGGTAAAATCAGAACAGCAAGGATGAAGGTGAGATTCAGGGTATGAACAGAAAACATCTGGATTTGCTCAATTTTCTCTAAAATATGAGCCTTAGAATCACATATCTCAAGAACTGGCAGGAATAGTACAAATACGTTTCATAGTCTAACCCTTTTCCTCCAGCAAAAGTAGTGCTTCAACCACAGCAGACAGTCTGGGCTCATGAGTTCTCTGAGGTGTAGATGGGGACTCCATCACCTGCCACCACTCAACCCCAGCTTTCTTTCAGATCCCCCCCAAGGAGTTGACTCAGCCTCCCTCCACCCTTGCTCACGCTATGCAACCCCTTGGCATATACATGAGTGGCCCCCGCCCAGCTCTACCTTCCAGAGCCAAATGACAATATGCTGCCTACTTGGAAGGCTTCCTATATCACACAGACCCTTCCTTGACTGTCCTTCACTGACATCTCTTCAATCAATCAGGGCTGCTGGAGGGAAAGCGAGTCCAGTATACTGCAGGTTTGCCCATGACTAGGCTGACACTACTTCATGGCCAGCCTTGGGCTGCCCTACTGGGGGAAGTGTGTCTTCCCAGTTGGGTTATGAAGCTTATCTAGAAATGGGATCATATCTTCTAAACCCTAACCCACTCAAAGTGTGCTCCATGGAGCACAGCATCCCCTTGGAGCTTGTTAGGAAAACAGTCTCGGGCTGTACCCCAGACCTACTGAATCAAAATCCTCATTTTAGCAAGACACCTGGGTGATTTGCAGGGATGCCCATTAATGTTTGAGAAGCACTGATCTATACCTTTCAGGCATCTAGAACAGGTCATTGATTCACCAAATAAGTGGTTACTAAACAGTATTTAAGGAACTGTGACAGAATTTAGAAATATTCTAAATATTGTGAAAGGAAGTAAGTCTTCATCCTTGAAGAACTCATGGTCAAAGAGATAGACAATGACAACTCAGTGTGCTAACAGCTAATTTAGGGGTAAGTGCAGGAACTGTAAGGACAGGATACAAGGGTCACTAATGTTCACCAATTCTTTGAAACTCCTTCTTTCAATGGGTAGAGCATAGTTTTCTTCCCCCTTAAATGTGAGATGGATTGACTGGAATTGCTTCTAACAAATAGATTACGATAGAAGTGTGTGACTTCAGAGGCCAGGGCATACAAGGCATTGCAGCTTCCCCCAACTCTTTCTTGAATTGATCATTCTGGGGTGTATTAGTCTGCTCTCACACTGCTAATAAAGACATACCCAAAACTGGGTAATTTATAAAGGAAGGGGGTTTAATGGACTCACAGCTCCACACGGCTGGGGAGGCCTCACAATCATGGCAGAAGACAAAGGAAGAGCAAAGGGACACCTTACATGGCAGCAGGCAAGAGAAAGCTTGTGCAGGGGAACTCCCCTTTATAAAACCATCAGATTGGCGAGGCGCGGTGGCTCATATGTGTAATCCCAGCACTTTGGGAGGCTGAGGCGGGCTGATCACCTGAGGTCAGGAGTTTGAGACCAGCCTAGCCAACATGGCAAAACCCCGTCTCTACTAAAAATATAAAAATTAGCTGGGCGTGGTGGCACACACCTGTAATCCCAGCTACTTGGGAGACTGAGTCAGGAGAATCGTTTGAACCTAGGAGGCGGAAGTGGCAGTGAGCTGAGATCGTGCCACCGCACTATGGCCTGAGTGACAGAGTGAGACTTCATCTCAGGAAAAAAAAAAAAAAAAAAAAATCAGATCTCATGAGACTTATTCACTGCCACAAGAACAGTATGGGGGAAACTGTCCCCATGATTCAATTACCTCCCACTAGGTCCCTCCCATGACATGTGGCAATTATGGGAGCTACAATTGGAGATGAGATTTGGGTGGGGACACACAAACCTTATCACGGGAGAAGTCAACTGTCAGGTTGTAAGGGCATTAAATAGTCCTATGAAGAGGCCCACGAGATGAGGAACTGAGGCCCTCTGCCAACACCCATGGGAATGTACCATCTTCAAGGCAGACCCTCCAGCCCCAGTCAAGCTTTCAGATGACAGCAGCTCTGGCCAACACCATGACTACAACTCATGAGAGACCTTGATCCAGAAGCATACAACTAAACCACTCCTGAATTCCTGACCCACAGAAAATGTGAAATGTTTGTTGTTTTAAGGTGTTAAGTTTGGGGTGATTTGTTAAGCAGCAGTAGAAAGCTAATACAGGTACCTAACCACATCCTGAAGAAACAAGGAAGGCCTCCCACTAAAGGAAGTCATCTCTAATCTAGGACCTGAAGGGCATATGGAAGCTAGTCAGGCAATGCAGGTAGGAAAGAATGTTCCAGAGAGGGCAAAGGCCGGCTAGAGATTATGTGACACTTCGCAGGAATTAAAAGTGATTTAGACACTGGAGGAAGAATAGTGACAGATGATGCCGGAAAGGCTTCCAGGGATCAGGTTTTGCAGGCCCTCAGGGGCTATAAAGGAAAGCCTTGACTACCTTGAGGACTATGTGGGATTTTCATCAGCATGAGAGTGACATGGACAGATTCACACTTTGAAACATTTATTGTGGTATCTTGGGAAGAACAGGCTGAAAGAGAGGCAAGATGAAACATGGGGAGACCGGAGACCAGGCTACTAAAACAGTCCAGGTAAGAGATTACAGTAATTTGGACTACAGTGAGGCTTCTATAAACATGATGTGCTTATTTATTGCTTGGAGATGTGACTGCACAGCTGACTGGAGTGTCTTCTGTTTCCATATATGCATATTTACTCTCAGTTGCTGACTGGCTCTGCACCTGTTATCTCAAGTAGGACTTAGAGGTGAAAGGTAAAGTGGTAAAAAAGAGGATCTGTATCAGGACACTGGCCAGCACCCCTACTATCCCCCAGAAACTGAGCCTGTGAAGCGATTAAAAGTCTGGATCTTAGAGGGAGCTCCAAGGAAAACTAAATCCAAAATGCCTCATCTGGGAGGTGAGGACAGTAAAGTCTCCTCCCATGCCTCCTCACTCTCAAAAGATGATATTTTCTCTATCCAGAATAGACAAATCTATATATAAAGTAGATTTGTGGTTGTCTAGGACTGGAGGTAGGGTATGGGGTATAGGAGGGTGATAACTAAAGATTGCTGAGTTTCTTTTTGGAGTGATGAAAATGTTATAAAATTGACTGTGGTGATAATTACACAACTCAATATACCAAAACCCACTGATTTGTATATTTTCAATGGATGAATTCTATGGTATATGAATTATATCTCAACAAAGCATTTTTAAAATATGTGTTTATCTCATATTTAATCAATATACAAGTATCAGATGGAAATGCTGCTTGACATTATATATTTACTTCATTATTGTCTACCAACCTTAGGTAGAATGTATGCTTAATGTGGATGGAACTTTGCCTGTTTTATTCACCACTGGTACCCCTGAGTCCAAAACAGAGCCTGGCATCTAATAGGTGCTCAAAAAAGATTCCTCGAATGAATGAGCATTTTGACCAAATCATCTGAAGCAAATCCTCTTTGGAAAAAGCATCCTTCCTCCTTTCAAAGATCTGTGGGGGTGACACTGTGTTCCATAAAAGTAGCTTGGAGCAAGCTGCCACAAGTAACCTATGATATCGACATCCATGCAGAAACTTAATTCCCAGCAGCTTTGGGATCCAAACATCACACTGGTGGGCTCCTCTTCCATTTGACACCATCCATTTTAAGCTAGCGGAGTCAGCACCAATTAGTACTCGTTAATCTAATTTTCATGAAACTGGATAAGCAGACACAGAAGTTCACAGAGTAGAACAAATTGCTCAAAACCAGAGCGAAATACCTCTTCTATCTTCTTAGCCTCGTAAGGTATAAGGAGCTCTTCCAACAGCAATTGGAAAGCAGGTAGCAGTTCATGGTCACCTTGTATACAGACTTACTGTCTTATCAGAGGCTTAAGCAATGGGAGGTCACATAATAACAGGCCCTGTTAGGCTGGTGGGGAGCCAGAACACAATAAATGAATTATGGCACCCCTTCCAGTTATATGTATTCTGATGCCTGTTCACAAACACGCGTTCTTTCATTTAGCCTTGAGATGTGAGTAGGAATGGATTCATCTATCCAATGGGTGAGGGCATGAAGGCAAAAGGTGTTGGATGACTCATTTATGAACCCAGAGTTAGCGCAAGAGTCCTTGTAGCAAACTTGCTAAGCCCATGAATTTTAAAATCAGGCCCAAGTTTGAATGCTAATTTTGCCACTATTCTCTGGCCTTAGACTGATAAGTGAATGTCTCCAAGCCCCAGTTTCCTCATCTGCAAATTTAGCAGCATCTACAAATTAACTAGATAATGCATATAATGCGTTTATCACAGGGCTGGCAAAAAAAAAAATATGTTCTTGATAAATGTTAGCTTAAAAAGAAAAACTATCCAGGCTCTTTCTGTCGTATGTTTTGTGAAAAACTTCAATGTACCATGTTTTCCTAATAAATAACCATCTTGGCTGGGCACGGTGGCTCACACCTGTAATCCCAACACTTTGGGAGGCTAAGGCAGGAGGATCACTTGAGGTCAGGTCAGGAATTTGAGACCAGCCTGGGCAACATACTAAGACCCTGTCTCTACAAAAAAAAAAAAAAAAAAAAATTAAAAATTAGCCAGGCACGGTGGTGCACGCTTGTACTCCCAGCAACTCGGGAGGCTGAGGTGGGAGGATCATTTGAGACCGGGCGTTTGAAGGTACAGAGAGATATGAACACACCACTGCACTCCAGCCTGGGCAACAGAGCCAGACCCTGTCTCAAATAAATGAATAAATAAATAACGATCGGCCGCAGTGGCTCACGCCTGTAATCCCAGCACTTTGGGAGGCCAACGCAGGCTAATCACCTGAGGTCAGGAGTTCGAGACCAGCCTGGCCAACATGGTGAAACCCCATCTCTACTAAAAATACAAAAATTAGCCGGGCATGGTGGTACATGCCGATAATCCTAGCTACTCCGGAGGCTGAGGCAGGAGAATTGCTTGAATTCGGGAGGCAGAGGTTGCAGTGAGCCAAGATCGTGCCACTGCACTCCAGCCTGGGCAACAGAGTGAAACTCCATCTCATAAATAAATAAATAACAATCATGAGCCTTCACATTCCTTTCCCAGTCCCTCCTGAATGAACCTCAGCTTAGATGGTAAGGTCTGTATTAAATCTAGAATGCGTGGCATCTATTCATTCAGTGCAGCTTTGTTAAGCACCTACTATATGCCAGGTCGTGGGCTAGGTGCTCACTGTAGTTTTAGAAATAAAAGGCTCTATGCCTACATTCAAGGGGCTTGTAATATTGGATAATATAAGATGAAGGTACAGACACAAAAGGGAGTAAGAAAATGTCAAGTGATGTAATTTCCTGATGCTGACCTGCCCTCATACCTCCCCAGTTACAAATTCTCTAGTCTATTCCATCCTCAACCCTTCCCCCATGGCTCCAGAAAAGCTCACGTTAGCCTAATTTTGCAAACATAAGTCTTCGTAGTTGAGGAGTGCTGGGGTGTATTTATTCAATTTCCCAACTATATAATATTTACTCAGTGCCTACTATGTGTCAGGCACTTTATACTAAGTTCAAAATGGTAACATAACAAATATGGTCCCATTTCTTGAGGTGCTTAGAAACTGGATAGATGAGAGCTGATAATATAATAAGCTTGTAAATAAATATAAAATTGCAACTAGGAAGCAGTGAATGAGAGAATATAATGCTATAAGAATGTATAATCAGGGCACAGGAACTTGTCAGGGAGGTAAGAGAAGTCTTCATGAGAAATAGAGGCTGAATCTGAGCTTTGATACATGGTGAAGGCTTAAACAGCATGCAGGGAAGGGAAGAGCTTCTAGAGTGGAGATAGTCACATGAGCAAAGGCCCTAGTGTGGGAAGAGCCCTGTGCACATGAGGGGCAGAGGAGACACAGCAGCTGGACCACAGGGATGGGAGATAGTGGAAGATGGTGTTACAGTAGACAAGAACCAGACAGTGGTGGACTTGGAAGCCTTGTTAGGATTCTCAGCCACAAAACAATGGGCTACCAGCAAAGATTTGACTGGTGTTGGGGGGTGCTGGGAGGGGATAAGATAACCCTATTGGCGTCTTAAAGTGTAAATGAGCTAAGGAGGCTGGGGGGACAAAAGCAGATTGAGCACGAAGGGAGAGCGGTTGGTGTGGAAGTTGGAGAGAAGGGCAGATCATGCATTACCCTGCAGGCCAGGACTCGGAGCTGGCACTGAAGTCTGTGTTTAGTGAAAAGACTGAACTCTACTGTGCAGAGGACAGGTGGAAGTGAGCAACCCTCCATAGGAATGAGGTGAACAGTTATTCAGCTACCGTGATTGACCAAATGGGACTTGATTGACCAGGATGGGAGAGGAGGAAAGAAGAGATACAGTGGGAATGGGGGGAAATGGTAAAATTCAAGAGCTGCTTAAGACACTGCAGGATTTCCAGACAACTTGCTTGCACCATAGATGTCTCCAGGAATAGATATATGCAGGGCAGTGAGAAACCGGGCAAGTTAAGTTACCTTCCTAGTAGTCAGGAGCTGTCCTTGGAAGAGATTGACCTGGAAAGGTGCCCTTAGGCAGAGATGGCTGCTCTGGCCTCGACATGATACCCTGTAAGGCATGGTTCTTTTTCCAAGGAATCAAGTCACGTGGCTGCTCTCAACAGAATTCTTTAGAGAGAAAGTCTTGCTGTTTGTTATTCCATTGAGGAATCTTGGGCTGAGCTTTGTAGTTGTGGAGTCATCAATAAAATCAGGCAAGAATTCCAAAGGCACCAAGCATGAGCCTGCATTCCTTCAGGTTAGTGAAGATTTCCCTGTTGTAACCACTTCTTCGGTAAGCCTTGGAGATGTTTTTTGAATGAGCCACAATTCTCAAAGGCAATGCAAAGAGTTCCTGTGGGGTAAGATTCTGTTTTCAATTTCAAATAGTCCCCAAGTCCCTTCTGCTTTTCAGCACAAGAAAATATGCCTCTAAGAAACAAAATGTTGGAAAATGCTATTATTTCTACTGAAATTAAAGTCTTAGATTCATTTCCTTTCTAGAGAAATGCAGTAGATTAATTTTCCTTCCTGAGAAAGGTGTTCCTCTAAATGTGGGATTCTCAACTGAAGACAATTCCTCCCCCGCCGCCACCCCACTACCCATGGGACACTTGGCAATGTTTGGAGACATATTTGGTTGTCACGGCTTGGGAGTACTATGGGAATCTAGTGAACAGAAGCTAGGGATGCTGTCAACATCCTATAATTCACAGGACAACCCCTCCTACACACACAAAGAATCATATGACCAGGTATGATAGTAGTGCTGAAGCTAAGAAATTTTGCTCTAAACCTCATCTACATCTGCCTTTATTATGGCACTTGGTATGTTGAATATAGAAATAATATTATTCATATCCTTCAGGTAATGTCAGATGAAAGAATGAATGGGTGGATGGATGAATGGACAGGTGGATGAGTAAGTAATTCAGAATTAGCCAGATGAATAAATAAGTAGATGAATAACGACATTAATTAGTGAATAAATTAAATAAAAGCTAACATGTACTTAGCATTTACAACCTTTGTGCACCATGTTAAGGCCTTCACTTGGGATTGTGTTTCAAGTCTTGCTCAGTGGTCACATTTTCAGTGAGATCTTCCATGATGCTGTCATTAATACCATCAGCTTTTCTATCTCCCTCCATAGTGTTATCCTTGCATATATGAGCAGGGAATTTTTGCCTGTTACATTTACTTCAGTGCCTTCAGCACCAAGGACAGTACTGG
This sequence comes from Homo sapiens, assembly GCF_000001405.40. Lineage (NCBI taxonomy): Eukaryota > Metazoa > Chordata > Mammalia > Primates > Hominidae > Homo > Homo sapiens. Next base: position 17,084,321 of record NC_000016.10, on the reverse strand, counting down.
ACACATAGGGAACCCCAACCCTGAATATTTGTTTACATTAATAACGTGCCTTAATACTTTCAGTGAACCAATGAGAAGGGTACATTTTTTTGTTCGTGCATAACAAAATGAAGAAACTGAAGCCCAGAAATATAATGTAATTTGTCCAAGGACATGCAGCTGTTGAGTGGCAGAGCCAGGATTCCTTCTGACCCTAAAGAACACTCTTAACTGTCAAGTAACATTGCCTCTTTTAAGAATGAATGAGTGCAGGTCAGTTGCCTTAAAGACTTTACTTGACTAAGTTGAAGTTCTAAGCACAACACAACTAGTCCCTAGCCTATCTCCCCAACTCTCAACTCCTTTCCTTCCTAAGGTGAAGCAATGATTGAACAAGGATTGCTGAGCTTTGGCAAGGAAGAAAAGGTATGCCTCCACTAGGCTGGCTCTCTTAGAGGCAGGCCAGACTCAGAGGAATGTGCTAAAGGAGTGATGGACTCCAGTCTCTTTGTTTCAGCTTACAAACTTCAATTGGTTGCTAAGAGACTGTACAAAAGGAGGCCCATTAGAAGCCCTCAGAACCCACATGCAGTTACATAATACCAGGCCCTTTCTTTATACAAATGCAAATAGTGCAAGTGCAAGCCCTGCCTGCAATCTGTGCTGATGTGATAAGGTGATTTCTGTTCGGGTCCCAAGAAATCCTGTCTCATGGGGGATGGGCTGGAGGAACCAAACAGTATGGGAGGGTTCTTCCTTCAGTGCCATTTCCAAAGGACTTAAATATTAACATGCAATCCAATCCCCACTCCACAATAATCAGATTTTACACAATCAGGACCCACAATAATTAATTCAGTGATCCTGCGGTATTATTTTCAACATTGCATTTTTGGCATTTCCAGTCCATAAGCAGGGAGACCACTTATTTTATGGCCCTGACTGCTGGGAAACTATGACGTCTTCTATGCAGGCTGAGTAAGTGTCTCTTACTCCTGGAACTATTTCCTTCTTTGTGCTTATCAAACCTAATTCAAACAAGGGGGCCACTAAAGGGAAGTAAGAAACTTCAGAGAAGCCCTATTTGCTCCACAAGCTACCTTTGGTTGGAATCTCCTGGTCTGGAAAAGAACATGATTCCTGATCAGCACAGAAAGACAGGCTTTACGAGTCACCATTCAAAATGACAAAAGAGGTGTAGCAAGGAAAACTAATCCATAGCTACCTAACCTACAACAATCAAAGGACCTGACATTCAACATATTTTATTCCACAGATACTTATAGAATCTCTACCACCTGCTAAACATATTCAAGAAGATGAAGATTTAATGGTGAACCAGAGAGACAATATCCTCCTCCTCTTAAAGTTTACATTAAGCCAAGAGATAACAAGTATGTAAATGAGACAGGAGGTCAGTAGGACTGGTTTCACAAGATACAGGTCACAAGGACCCCGCGGATAAAACAGGATGCACCACAGAAGCTGGCCAAAACCCACCAATACCAAGATGGTGATGAAAGAAAGAAATGTGATGAAAGTGACCTCTGGTCATCCTCACTGCTCATTATACAGTAATTAAAATGCATTAGCATACCAAAGAAAACTCCCACCAGCGCCATGACAGTTTTCAAATGCCCCGGCAACATCTGGAAGTTACCCTATATGGTCTGAAAGGGGGAGGAACCCTCAATTCCAGCAATTTCCTGCTTTTTCAGAGGTGCTCTAACCAGAGTGACTCCATCTTGAATAGGGGCTAGGTAAAATGAGAATGAGACCTGCTGGGCTGCATTCCCAGGAGGTTAGGCATTCTTAGTCACAGGATGAGATAGGAGGTCAGCAGGACTGGTATCACAAGATACAGGTCATAAAGACCCTGCTGATAAAACAGCATACAGTAAAGAAGCCAGCCAACACTTGCCAAATCCAAGATGGAGACAAAAGTGACCTCTGGTCGTCCCCACTGCTTATACGTGAATTAGAATGCATTAGCATGCTAAAAGACACTCCCACCAGCACTACGACAGCTTACAAATGCCATGACGATGTCTAGAAGTTACCCTAAGTAGTCTGAAAAGGGGAGGAACCCTCAGTTCTAGGAATTCCCTAGTCCTTTCACAAAACTCATGAATAATCCACCCTTTGTTTAGCATATAATCAAGAAATAACCATAAGTATGCTCAGTTGAGCAGCCCATATCACTGCTCTGCCTGTGGAGTAGCCGTCCTTTTGTGCCTTTACTTTCTTAATAAACTTGCTTTCACTTAACTATCTACTGGCTCTTGAATTCCTTCCTGTGTGAAGCCAAGAGCCCATGTGGTCTTCTGGACTGAACCCCAATTTTGGGGTTTGACCTGTGACATAAATAAAAATATCAGCTAACGACAAGGGCTATGGAGATAATAAAGCATGGTGATATAGAGAAGGTGTGAATGATAAACAGGAAGGCTGACCACATCTCAATTCATCCAGGACTATCCTGCTTTAAACCCACCATCCTGGCTGAATTGGAGTAAAAGTCCCCTTTTACCCCTTATAAGTGCTCCAGGTTGAATAATAAATTATATGATCACCTTACAAGTGACTATAGCAGGATGCCTGTCACTCTATAGCTACATGAGACTATAGGTAGGTGGGCAGAGAAGGCCTGAGGAGGTAACAATTTTGCTAAGGCAGAATATGACAATAAACCAGCCACAGGAGGATCCAAAGGAAAGTCCTCCTAGGCTGAAAGAACTTGTAAATGAAAAATAAAATTCTAAGCCCCCCAACCATCTGAACAGATCCCTCCTCTTGGCCAAGGGCAATCCAAAGTTAACTTGAAAAACTAGTTCAGGCCATAATGGAAAGGCCAGTTGGAACTCAGGAAAAGCTGACCAGCATTAACATCAACACCGACCTTAAGTCTGATAAGAAACATTTACAATCTATTCTCCCAGAAGCCTGCTACCTGGAAGCTTCATCTGCATGATACAGCTTTGGTCTCCACAACCCATTATTGTACCCCAGACATTCCTTTGTATTTAGATAATAACTCTTTCAACCAATTGCCAATCAGAAAATCTTTAAGTCTATCTATGACTGGGAAACCTCTGCTTCGAGTTGTCCCACCTTTCCAGATAGAACAAAGGTGCATCTTACATGTATTGATTGATGTCTCATGTCTCCCTAAAATCTATGAACACAACCCGTATCCTGACTACCTTGGGCACATGTCATCAAGATCTCCAGAGGCTGTGTCACAGTGTGTCCTTAACCTTGGCAAAATAAACTTTCTAAATTGATTGAGACCTGTCTCAGATAATTCTGGGTTCACAAATCCAAGTTCAAAGTCTGGAGGGAGAAATGAGTCTCTTACAGAGGAGCAGTGTAGCAGGAACGTGATGAAGAAAAGGAAAAGCACAAGATGAGATTGTAGATATGGGCAGGGATCTGATCACATGAAATCATGAAAATTTGGGTACAGAGTCTAAATTTATTTCTAAGAGGCATGGGGAGCCGCTGGTAGTTTTAAAGAAAGAAGTGACAAAAGTTCAATTTTTAAAAGATGACTATTGCAGCATTATTTATAATAGCAAAGACTTGAAACCAACCCAAATGCCCATCAATGATAGACTGGATAAAGAAAATGTGGCACATATATACCATGGAATACTATGCAGCCATAAAAAGAATGAGTTCATGTCCTTTGCAGGGACACAGACGAAGCTGGAAACCATCATTCTCAGCAAACTAACACAGGAACAGAAAACCAAACACTTCATGTTCTCACTCATAAGTGGGAGTTGAACAATGAGAACACATGGACACAGGGAGGGGAACATCACATACCAGGGCCTGTCGGGGGTGGGGGGAAAGGGGAGGGAGAACATTGAGACAAATACCTAATGCATATGGGGCTTAAAACTTAGATGATGGGTTGATAGGTGCAGCAAACCACCATGGCACATATATACCTATGTAACAAACCTGCACATAATGCACTTAAATTAAAAACAAACCTGCACATTCAGAACTTAAATTTAAAAAAAAATTAAGATGACTCAGCTGCAATGAAGAAAATGGATTTTAAAAAGCCATGAGTCAAAATAGAAAGATCAATTAGGATGTAATTGCCACAGCCAAGATAATGGAAGGTGGAGGAGGAAAGTGGATGTTGGTGGTGGTAGAGATCAGGAAACAGAAATGGACTCAGACTTTTTTTTAGATAGAGCTCACTGCACTTACCAATGAGTTAGATGCACAGAGCATAAGCAAAAGAGAAGAATCCTAAGTTTTGGCTGGGGCAACTTTTGGACTAGGATGCTTGGAGCCCAAGAGTTGAGTGAAGATGAGATTTCCTGCACAGGTTTAACATGAAGCTAGATCGACAGTTTACTGAGGGCTTGTTATTAGCCAGGCACTGCAATGAGCATTGTACACCTGAATCTTATTTAATCCTCACAATTCTCCTAAGGGAAAATGCTAGTATTGCCTCTATTTTACAGGTAAAGGAAAAGGTCAGTTTAATTTCTACACAAGTGATCGAATCTTAATTTTTGCATGAGTGATTAAGTTGTGGTTCAAGGATGAGTGGCAGGATTTGTGTAACATTGAGTCCTAGAGGAAATAGAGCAGAATGTCATGGGGAACAAAAGGAACCTCATTTCACTGAGATCTAAGATTTTTGCTTTGAAGTGATTGATTGCCTTTAATAAACATTTAAGTGGTTAGAAGTAATCATGGGAACTCTTGCAAGACAATACTTTGGAGAAAGTTGAGGAGAGAGGAATAGTCCTTAACTGTACCTTCCTTCAAGACTCTAAAGAACAGGAAACCTAGTCTAAAGTCTCAAATAAGGAATTGAAAGAAACTTAGAAGATAATATAATTCAGGAAAATGGCTTGGAATGAAGGGTTCTGCCTCCTCCAGGCTGGGGCTGGGATCACAGGACTGAATAGAAATTTTTTTTCCCGAAGAACCTTAAATTCTAACTTGAGCCAAATGTTTTCCCTTTGAAATTCCAAGTCCTACGAAAATCCCCCCAACTCTGAAGCAGACACAACACTGATGTGGGAAAAGACTTACATGGACCCATTGCATGAAATAAATCCCACTTGCCACCGGCGAGATCTGATGTCCTGGAGTGTCTACTTTGCCCAGATGGGACTGCCTGTTGCAAACCCAACTGCCAATCTCACCTTCGGAAAGGCTGGCTTTAATCCAAATGCATCATGACCAGTCCAATCTTTCATGACAGCAACATCATTTCTCCCAGGGGCTATGTTTTCCCCCACCATCTGGCAGGAAATTATTTTATTAGCTGAAATACAATGAAGGTTGGGCTTAGGGAGAAGAGGAAAGTGTCCACTGTGGTCTCAGGAAACAAGGGGAGGCTGAATGCTTACTCTGAGACAAATCCTATTAGCAATAACATGGATCCGTGGAAAGATTCCGTTCAACAACTCTGAGGACAGACAGAAATGTGACAGGAGAGACATGCCTAATCTGTCAGGTTTGATGATTAAAAAAAAATGAATTCTTTTTCAATTTTCTAGATGTGGGATCAGTGCCACCATTCTCATTTACTTTTAGCCTCAACGAGAGAGAGGGAGGCGGGAGAGAAAAAAGCCGAGAGCTTGTCAAAGACTGCCCAAAGCAGAGGATGGTTTTCTCTTTGGTTGCTTTATTATTATTATTATTATTATTATTATTATTATTATTATTATTATTTAAATATAGCTGTGGTCTCAGCAGGGAAGATCCTACCTCCCCAGGAGGCGTTTTAGAAATGTATGAGGTTGCTTTTTGTTGCCAAAATGGTAGGAGGGGGTCACTACAGGCATTTAGAGGGTCAGGTCCGTGTGGTAGAGAGGACAACCTCAGCCCATGCAGAATTGCCCCATATCCTAGTTAACTTTCAAATGCCATTCTGGACACTCAGGTAGATGAAAAACCTACTTATAAACTCAATTTTTCCCATAAACACAAAGTTATTTTTCACGGTCTTAATTTACAACGAAACTTCTAGGTCTGGGATTCAATTGTAAATTTCACTTTGTTATTCAGAACCTGACGAGCTGTTGCGCATCAATTCAGAAAACAACACCACTGCTGGCAAAGCCACATATGGTACTATAGTTATCAATAAAACACATCCGCATCAGTGGGCTTCTGTGGCTCTCCCATTTATGGTGATTCCCAATATAGGTACAAGCATCTACCTACCTCAGCATGTCTTCTATGTTCATGGCCAAGTATTTGCATACTAAAATACTTATTTTATATAAATTACTTTCCTTCCACCTCCTTTATAATACCATTAGAGCATTAAATTTTTATGAAATTATGTGTGTCTGTGAGTTATATAATCTATGAATTTTATTTCAGGATACTAAAGAGATGTCACAAAATATTAATTTACCTGTATCAAAATATCATATGCACCACATAAATATGTTCAATTATGATCCACAATAATTTATTTTATTTTATTTATTTTTTTTTTGAGATGGAGTCTCACTCTGTCACCCAGGCTGGAGTGCAGTGGCACCATCTCGGCTCACTGCAACCTCCTTCCCCCAAGTTCAAGTGATTCTCTCGCCTCAGCCTCCCAAGTAATTGGGATTACAGGTGCCTGCCACTGCAACCAGCTAATTTTTTTGTACTTTTAGTAGAGACGGGGTTTCACCACGTTGGCCAGACTAGTCTTGAACTCCTGACCTCATGATCCACCCGCCTCAGCCTCCTAAAGTGCTGGGATTTACAGGTGTGAGCCACCGCGCCCAGCCACAATAATTTAAAATAAACCATTTAATAAATATCAAAAGGAAAAGAAGACATTGTGCCTGAAAGTGTTGAAAATCATAAAAATATCACGAAACATTAATAAAGGACATTGTTGAAGAAAAAAAAATCACCCTAATAACCTATTTCTAGCTTTTCAATATTCCCTCCCAGTATTCTCCCGCACACATGACCACTTCTGAATAGTCACAATTTTAGTTCACATTGTCATATTAACCATTCACACCCACCCTTTGAAAAAACCCATTTTGCGGATGGGAAAACCAAGGCTCAGAGAAGTTATGCATCTTCAGAGAATTTGTGAGTAGCTGAGCCAGGTTCTTACTCTAACTTTCACTCCAAAGTGGGCTGCTCCCCAACCAAAGTCCTTTTTCACAATCACTAGCTTTTGCTGGTATACCAATGACCCTTGGACAATAATGACAAGAACCAACAGTTTTGGAGAAAGAGAAGATGGAGAAGGATATGGCAAAGAGACAGAGGAGAAGTAGAAAAAAGAGAAGAGGGAGAGGAAAGAGGTGGATGATGGGGGGTGGAGAAGGTAAAGGGGGAAGGGAAGAGAAAGAGAAGAAAGGGAGTGATGGAGAGGAAGGAGATGAGTAAGGAAAATGGAGGGGAGGAGACGGAGGGAGAGGATGAAATGGCAAGTTGGGCAGGGAAGGGAAGGACCCAAGACGTGGAATCTAGTTCTGGCACTGCTATTTTAGTGGCCATAAGCAAGTCCATTCTCTCTGTGGCTGCTTTTCCATTTGGGGGATTGAGAATCTAAGTGTCTGCCCAACCAATTGCACAGGTTACAGTAAGGCCAATCAGTGCAAAAGATAGGAGAGCATTCTGGAAAAGTTCAAAGGCCTAATACAAAAACAGAAATGGGGCATGTTGTAGCTTCCGTACGGATACCTTCTAGCTGGAGCCTTCAGCCCTTGGAGCTCGTGTGTGTGTGTGTGTATGTTTGTGTGTGTCCAACGTGTACCTTCTCTCCTGTCCCCACCCACACAGAGGTCATTTCAGAGGAAGTGACTGAAATCCACATCTCACCAAGCAACGCGTAGGCTAGCATTTCTCCCCAGTTCACTTTCATTTCTGTGCTATGAGACAGCCCTGGCCAGATGAGGGAGATGTATGAAGCATTTGTCATTGAGGTCCATTGAATTTTATTAGCAATTTTCTCCTTTGTTAGCAATTTCACATTGCATATTAGCATTTGTTTTCATATCATATTAGCATTCATCACAAAAGGCTAATCCCATTAGCACTTTTCACATTGTATTAGAGAAAACAAATAATCGCATGGTGCCAATGCGTCATTGCAACAAGAATGGCCTTTTCATCTGCTGCTTTTCTGTTTATTCCAGATCTGCCCCACCCCTCTGCAGAGCTGCCTATAAATCGGGGAAAACTCACAGATTCTGACTCTATGAACCATCTGAGCTATTCCAGAATTGGGATTTGCCTTTCCAAAAATTTCCATTCATTCGTGAATGTAGTCAATATTTATGGAGCATATACCTGTACTAGCTGTTTCACTAAATGCTAGGGACACATATCAAACAAGACTGTGAAAAATGGGCAAATAATGTTTTCTGCAACTTTCGGGAATATATAAATAAATTGCAAGAGATTGTTTAAACAAACTTTTTTAGAGCACTTTATAGTTGTTCAATTGTCAACAGCATTGACGTGCCAATTTCAACGCTTTTTTTTCTATCATGATCTGTTCATTATAGCAGGTTAAAAAAAGGTTTTTGTTTTTGTTTGTTTGTTTGTTTTTGAGATGGAGTCTCACTCTGTTGCCCAGGCTGGAGTGCAATGGCGCGATCTCGGCTCACTGCAACCTCCACCTCCCAGGTTCAAGAGATTCCTCTGCCTCAGCCTCCCAAGTAGCTGGGGCTACAGGAATGGGCCATAACACCCAACCAATTTTTGTATTTTTAGTAGAGATGGGTTTCACCACATTGGCCCGGCTGGTCTCGAACTGCTGACCTCAAGTGATCCACCCACTTTGGCCTCCCTAAGTGCTGGGATTACAAGCGTGAGCCACTGCACCTGGCTTAAAGGTTTCTTAATAGTTACTGCTCTAGGCTGGGCGCAGTGGCTCACACCTGTAATCCCAACACTTTGGGAGGCCGAGGCGGGTGGATCATGAGTCAGGAGATCGAGACTGTACTGGCTGGCTAACACGGTGAAATCCCATCTCTACTAAAAATACAAAAAATTAGCCAGGCATGGTGGCGGGGGCCTGTAGCCCCAGCTACTTGGGAGGCTGAGGCAGGAGAATGGCATGAACCCGGGAGGCAGAGCTTGCAGTGAGCTGAGATCGCACCACTGCACTCCAGCCTGGGCGACACAGCGAGACTCCGTCTCAAAAAAAAAAAAAAAAAAAAAAAAAAAGTTACTACACTAGACCTCTAGGGCAACATTCTGTTAGCTTAGTTAGAATGTCTGGTTGGACCTAAAAGAAATAACGTATTTCATAATTCAATATATTTCATAATTCAAAATTTTCCTTAATCTTGATTTGTTTCTGAACAAGTGAGGTGTTTTCAAGATTTTGAGGTTTACAAACGTAGATCTTCAGCACATGCAAAGAAATTGTTTTTGTTAATTTTAAAAATGCCTATTTTTCAGATCATTCTCAAAGTAAAACTGACCACCTCTTATCTAATTAATCTCACAGATTGCTTATTAGGTTCAGATACTGGGATTATCAGCATTTCTGGTAAATCCCTCATTTTCCAAAGGAACAACTTTTGGAAACTTGATCTTTAGTCCTAGGTACCATCTGCAAGTCCCCACAGCTAGGCAGATGACGCGTGAAGATGGGGGAAAAGACTTTGTAAACTGTAAAGCTCTCTGCAAATGTGTAAGACTGTGATTCTGAAGCAAGCTGAAAACTCATGCTCAGGGAAAGCATGAAAAGGGAGAAGAGATCTTAAATATTTTAGTGTCAAGGAAATCTTCAGTTGTCTGGTGAAGCCTAGGGATCTCATCTCAGAAAAAGTGGGTTTTTACTATGCATAAAGTAAAATGCATAGTAACTCAGAAAAAAACCAATTATATTGAACTACAGTTATCACAATATTTTTAAGTTGTGATAAACTAATATATGAGGTTCTTTTAAAAATTTATCATTAAAAATATCTTTAAAAATTCATCATGGAAAACATCCAACATAAAAAGAATAAATAGAATAGTATAATGAACCCATGCACCCATTTCCCACCTTCCACGATCATCAATATCCTACCATTCTTTAAGATGTTGAAATCTCCAATATATGCAAAATTTACATTTACAATACAAATTTGCCCTAGTGTTCTAGTGCAGTAACTGTTAAGAAACCTTTAGAAGATCTGCTATAATAAACAGATTATGATGGAAAAAAGCATTGAAATTGGCATATCAATACTGTTGATGATTGAACAACTATAAAGTGCTCTAAAAAAAGTGTTTAAACATGGCCTTGCAATTTATTTATAGATTCCTGAAACTTGCAGAAAACATCATTTGCCCTTTTTTCATTGTCTTCAACGTAGGGAAAATTTACATGCGAGTCTGCAGTTCTGAACTGAACAATTTTGACAAATGGATATGGTTCTGTAACTCACACTTCTAAAGAAATGGGAAATCTTTCCATCCCCCCAGAAGACTCCTTGTTTCGTTTCTTGCCAAGTGTGCTCCCTCATTAATTTACTAAATAACAAGAACTAATGGTGTGTCTGAAATTAGTGTGAATTTGAAGAAGTGATGAGCATTAATACTATTTTGAGATGTCTCTAGCAACTGTAAAGAGATAATTACTTTTTGTTATCTGTTGATAACAAAATCACAGGTAAATGCTGCTACCACTGGGGTTTGTTGGTTAAATTTATTACATGTGCCAGGTACACTGCTGAGCACTTTGCATATATGTAACTCTGGAAATTACTGATAACTATGTGCACCACTCCCCGTTTTAAAAAATGTGGAAACTGGGGTCAAATTAAGTAATAAGCCCCAGCTCACCGAGCTCATGGGCAGTGCTGCTATTAGGATAGAAACCTAAGAATTTAGAACACCTGGACTCTGATTTGGACTCAGTCATTAGCTATGTGATCACAGTGAGATCCTTCTCTCAGTGTTTGCATTTTTGACTGCCAAAATAGAATTCGTAACACCTCCCTTCTAGAGTCATCATGATGATCCTGACGCTCACTAAAGAGTCTGGTAATTTAGAATTCAACGAAATTGTCTCCAACTCCCAACCAGAATATGACTGGAGCCCCACATCTCTCCGAGGTTCCCTAGAGGGACAGGAAGAGGGGACCTGTGTCTTTCCTCATCACATGTGGCTCCAACTTCCTGGTTTCACTAACACTGTTGGAATGGGGGCTGGGGACTGGAAGAGATTTACTGGAAACTTTAATCAAGGCCTGTTGCCCAAGGAGTAGCCAAAGAAGAGGGTGTACGTGTAGTTTATTTCCTGTAACTTTCTTTTCCTACAACTCAACTGTAGTTTGGGGCAAGGTTTTCAATGGGATAGGTTGAGAGTTAACCCTATGACCTAGAGTTGTTGGTGGCAAGTTCTGAAAGTCTTGGTGTTTAACAAGTTCCTCAGGTGATTTTGATGCACAGACATCTTCTGTGAAATATTCAGAATGGTTTTGGCATGTGTTAGAATTTCTTGCGGGCTTCTCAATGTCTAGCACAGGGCTTTAGGGTTCCCAGTAAGTTATTTTGAGATGGGATGTTTTGTTCACTGATGTAGCCCCAGTGCAGTGCCTGGGACATAGTATGTGCTCAATAATAATTATTATTTTGCTTCAATCGAATGACTGTCCTCTTTGAAGAACTTTATAAAGAGATCACTCATTATTTAAACACAGACAAAGGTAAAGAGAAGCTTGGTTCACAGAGATCATGAAGTTGATGATGATGATGATAGACAGTTACTGAACTAGAATGATTCTGGGGCCCCAATTCTTTACCTCTCTTTGTGTTCACACCCTTACTATAAAAATTTGCAATTACTTCAACAAAAGGGAGGGTATGCTTTCCCAATTCTTGACTTTGGGCTCAACTTCGTGACTTGCTTTGGCCAATGGGATATTAGCAGATATGACATGGGATAGATTTGAAATGCACTTATGTGGTTGGGCATACCCTCTAGTGACTAACATCATCACCGTGAGAAGCACTTTCCCTTCAGCCTGAGTCCCAGAATAATCACAGAGTCATCCTATCCTGCAGCAAAGTAGATGCTTATTCACTGCATGCCACTAAGATTGTGTGGGTGTTTGTTATGCAGCACTGACCAACTCATGATGGTGATGGCAGTGACTTTAATAAATATATCCACCTCCATTTTTACAGAGTAAGTTTTAGTAACACAGAGGAGACACAAACTACAAGGGTCCTGGGTTGTGAGGTCTGACTTGGCTTAAATCCAGGCTCTACAACTTACTGTGAGATTAGGACTCGTCATCCCAATGTCCTCATCTCTAAAATAAGAATAGTGTTTATCTTACAATGTAGTGATGAAGAATACATGAGACGATGCCTATTGGGTGCCTGATGCAGAGTAAGCACTCAACAAAACCAGAAGGCAGGGAGGGAGGGAGGGAAAAAAGGAAGGAGGGAGGGAAGGGGGGGAAAAGCAAAGGGGGAGGGAGGTAAAAAAGGAAGAAGGGAGGGAGGAAGAAAGGGAGGGCCAACAAGAGAAAAGGGGAGGGGAGGGGAGTGGAGGGGAGGGGAAGAGAGGGGAGGAAAGGGGAGGGGAAGGGAGGGGAGGAAAGGGGAGGGGAAGGGAGGGGAGGGGAAGGGGAGGGGATGGGAGGAAAGGGGAGGGGAGGGGATGGGAGGAGAGGGGATGGGAGGAGAGGGGAGGGGAGGTGATGGGAGGAGAGGGGAGGGGAGGGGAGGGGACGGGAGGGGAGGAGCGGGGAGGGGAGGAGCGGGGAGGAGAGGGGAGGGGAGGAACGTGGAGGGGAGGAGCGGGGAGGAGCGTGGAGGGGAGGAGCGGGGAGAGGAGAGGAGAGGAGAGGAGAGGGGAGAGGAGAGGGGAGAGGAGAGGAGAGAGGAGAGGGGAGGGGAGGGAAGGGCAGAGGAGGGGAAAGAGGGGAGAAAAGAAAACATTTTTATGCAAACAGAAAGTTCACCTGCAATTGAGGGCAAAAGTTCACAGCTCACACTTCACCTCCTCTCAGCTCTGTTCACCCAGCCTAGACTCTAAGAAGAATGCCATGCCTTTCTCCCTGCGCCTCCCGAGGCACCCAGCATTTCCAGGAGTCCCACGCCAGGTGTTTCATGCTTTCACAAGGCTCTCTTCCTTTAAAACCTGTTGCCACAGGAATAGAGCTTCCGTACTCACAGTACTGGCAAAAGACCGGCAGAAAGAATAAAGAGGGGAGAAATCCACCCTCCTGTATTCTCGCTGGGAAATTACCCTTAGCCTTTGATATATTAAAATTGAAGAGCTGTAAATGCCGGTTGCCATGGCGACGTTTTGCATGCCATCCTGCGATTGGTGGCGTAAGTTCACTTTCCTTGGGGTGTTGCAGCCTAATTAGCTGTTATTTTTGTCAGTGTGGAGGAACAGCCCACACTTGCGGTTTTTGGCGGTGATTGCAGCCCCTGCAGACTCAGTTAATTTTCACAGACTACAAAGAGAGAAATGACTGGGCCCCAGTCAAATTTATAGTCTCGGAAAAGTTGCCAATGTTTAACTAAGAGTCAGAGAAAATGTTAGAGTACTCCTCAACTACTCTGGCAATTTCGGGGTCTCTAGCAATCGCAAAACTTATTGGGGTTGGATTGGGGATAAAATAAGCAGTAGGGCCCGGCACAGTGGCTCACGCCTGTAATCCCAGCATTTTGGGAGGCTGAGGTGGGCGGATCACAAGGTCAGGAGTTCGAGATCAGCCTGACCAACATGATGAAACCCTGTCTCTACTAAAAATACAAAGATTAGCCAGGCATGGTGGTGAGCGCCTGTAGTCCCAGCTATTCAGGAGGCTGAGGCAAGAGAATCACTTGAACCCGGGAGGCGGAGGCTGCAGTGAGCTGAGATCACACCACTGCGCTCCAGCCTGGGCAATAGAATGAGACTCTGTACCAAAACAAATAAATAAAATAAAATAAGCAGTAGTTAACCCAACCCCAGACTCAGTCCTTTGTTCCTGGTTCCAGCTACCTCTGCCTCTCCCGCCAGACATGCGAGCACTTGTGAGTCTGTCCTCGCTGGAATGTTTAGCGTTGCACCGCCATCTCCTAGATGTGGGTACTACACACTAACAGTATTCAAGCAAGGCTAGCAGGGACATGTGAACGCCATTTATTTGATCCACTTCTCTATCTCCACACCCAAAGATGACATAATTATGCCAGCCCACTTGGTAGATCCAGCCAATTCCCTAAAGACCTCCAGGAAAGGAATTCCATGTTGCCACAAGCCTGAAAACCAGAAAGCTGTCTTGCTGCAATTCAAACCAATTTGTTTGCAATTTTGATTATTAAATGGTCTGAAGTTAACTTTGTATTATAATATGAATTGTTCAACTCAAATTCTTTCTCAATTTTTTTTTAAACTATCTACCATGTGTTTTTGAGAACTGAAGGATTCCTTCTCTCTAGGAAAGAGAGAAGCAGATTTTGCTTTGCTAATAATTTGGGTTTCATTTTTATGACTAAGCTAAGCCCTTCCTGAGGGACTGGTAGTGGGGAGAAATTGACGTGTGTGTGTGCGTGTGTGTGTGTTGAGGGCTCAAGAACATAAAGGATATGGAAGAAACTTGAGGTTAATTTAAAAAGAGGGGAAAAGTAGAAAAAACACTGGATAAAGGCCCTAGATGCCTTGAACCTAATCCCAAAAAGCTGTCTTCAGAGGTATAATGGGCACTGTAAAATCCCTCTTTATCACTCTGCTTCTCTGTGTACCCTTCTTTTGTTTGAAGCGTTTACCCACGTTGTGGCAGAAGCTTAAAACTTTCTTTCCTAGAAGCTTTTGCAGAGAGGGCAGAGGCGTGTGGCCTAGGGTCCACCATTCAGTCATATCTGTGTGAGACTTTTCCTCTAGTTCCCACACAGAATCTATCCCAGAGAGAGGAGCAGTAGGAATGTCCAGCTTCCAGAGATAACAAAGGCAGAGATCCCTGCAATAGCATCCCATACCCAGTGCTGGTTCCCAGAATGCAGTTCCTGGCCCAAGATATCAGTAGTGGGAATTCCACCAGCACAGGGCTTCAGCGATGTCCCTGAATCCACGGCCTCTAAGCCAGGTTTCTCTGGAGATTCTCTGAGTGTCTGCAACAAATATCCTTTAGTAAGAATCTATATGTGTGTGTGTGTGTGTGTGTGTACAAGCATACATGTGTGTGTGTATGAGAGAGAATAGAGAGATTACCAGTGGTTATGGTTTTAAGTAGATGAAACCAGCCCAAGGAGTTCCCTAGAAAGAGAATACACATCAGTTCCCTCATGACCCAGGGTTCCAGCTCTTATCCAAGAGACCACGTTTGGGATTATTTTTGACTTCATAACCAACCAAGTGTTATTCTGCCACCATGACTCAAACTAACAGTTAAACTGAATTTGATGAAGGCTTGCTTCTTGGGGATAAGGATTTTCTGGCATTCCTGGAACTTGAGTTTAGCCTTGAGTTGGGTTCAATTATATGCTCCTTGTCCCAGACTTGATGACTTGACTGATTGGACCCAAGGCTCTCCCAGCACCCTGCATGTCTGTCTGTGTCTATCAGCTCTTGCATAAGGCAGATTCTGTTGATGTGTATGGTGCAAGAGGGATGGAATAATGCACTTGATGGGAATGCCCCGCCATCATACTTTGCCCATTGTGAGTAACTTGAGCGTAGACAACTTTCAGCTTCAGAGGAGAGCTGCTCATGTGTGTCAGCCACACACAGGCACAGAGACAGAACACACCCTTCTGCTGTCTTCCAACTGAGATCTAAGATGCAGCAGATGACTTGGCAGAAATGGAACTTGGGTCTTCTTTTTTCTTTTTTTTTTTTTTTTTTTTGAGATGGAGTTTCGCTCTTGTTGCCCTGGCTGGAGTACAATGGCACAATCTCGCTCACTGCAACCTCTGCCTCCCAGGTTCAAGCGATTCTCTTGCCTCAGCCTCTTGAGTAGCTGGGGTTACAGGTGCCCACCACCACTATGCCCAGCTAATTTTTGTATTTTTAGTACAGATGGGGTTTCACCATGTTGGCCAGGCTGGTCTCGAACTCCTGAGCTCAGGTGATCCACCTGCCTCAACCTCGCGAAGTGCTGGGATTACAGGCATGAGCCACCGTACCCGGCCTGGGACTTGGGTCTTCTTAAAGCATCAGTAACACTGGACAAGGTCATAGCCGATAGTGGTAATAGGCTCTGTGGTAGCCCAAAGGGAAGCTGTAAGCAACTCATTTCCTCATTAAACTAGCAAGTGATTACTGTTGCTGCCAGCTAAGAACACTAACTGATGCAGAAGGGCTTAGCTGCCTATTTTTGTAAATAAAGTTTTATTGAAACACATGCTCATTCATTTGCATTGTGTGTATAGCTGCTTTTGCATGACAACGAAAGAGTAGTTGCTCCAGGAGCCTAAAATATTCACTTTCAGGCTCTGTATTAGTCCATTTTGCATTGCTATAAAGGAATACCTGAGGCTGGGCAATTTATAAAGAAAAGAGGTGTATTCAGCTCATGGTTCTGCAGGCTGTACAAGAAGCCTGGCACCAGCCTCTGCTTCTGGTGAGGCCTCAGGAAGCTTTTACCATGCAGGAAGGCAAAGAGGGAACAGGCAAGTCATACGGTGAGACAGAGAGCAAGAGAGGGAGAGGAGGGGTGCCATGCTCTTTTTAACAATCAGATCTTTCATGAACTAATAGAGTTAGAACTCACTCAATGCAGGGACTACACCACGCCATTCATGAGGGACCCCTATGACCAAAACACCTCCCACTAGGTCCCACCTACAACACTGGGGATCGCATTTCAAAACGAGGAGACAAATATCCAAACTACAACAGGCTCTTTACAGAGAAAGTTTGTTGACCCCTGGTCTAGGGCATTGCCACTCAAAGTGTGGTCCCAAGCATAGCAACGGCAGCATGTAGAAGCTTATCAGAAGCGCAATGGGTCACACTCCATCCCAGATGTACTGAATCAGAATCTCTTTGGGGAGTAGGGGGTGAGAAGTGTGTGCATTAACAAGCTCTCTAGGTGATACATAAGCACACTCATGTTTGAGAAGCCCTGGGTTAGAAAGTGTGTCCTTCATACTGTATGGGAATCTGTCAACTTAGAGAAAACATGATGTTTCTAGGTTTTGCCTGAAACTACCCAAAACAAATCTAGTTCTTGCTTCCCTGATGGTCCCCAAGGGACCTGAAGGTGCTTCTTTTTCTTGGAGAGTCTTTACATTCTCCCTGATAAATAGACTCCCACAAAGGTTCTCCATCCATCCCTCCATCACTTTAATCTGGTTTCCTAAGATAGATACTTCAGTTTATCAGTGTTCCTCTCACTGGTGTTGCCTGAACTCTAAACCATAAAATACTTTTGCGGGACCACCGTTACGGCACTGTCTGGTGGTAAGTAAGTAGCAGAGTGCTTAACTACTGGGACCTCGGAATCAGACCGGTGGATTTATACCCTGGCCTTGCCCTATTAGAGGTATGTGACCTTGGCCAAGTTACTTAATCTCTTCCAGCCTATAAAAGGAGCATAATAATAACATCCCCGTTCATGGGACCATTATGAGAGTTAAATGAGATAATGCACAAGCATCTAGCTCTTGATAAATGTTCAAAGAGTGTTATTATTATTAACCAGTGGCCCATCACAAACATTGAGCCTGTTTAGTTAC
The DNA here is from genome assembly GCF_000001405.40 of Homo sapiens. Classification (NCBI taxonomy): domain Eukaryota; kingdom Metazoa; phylum Chordata; class Mammalia; order Primates; family Hominidae; genus Homo; species Homo sapiens. The sequence continues at coordinate 17,066,708 of NC_000016.10, read as the reverse complement.
AGCTTTGTGGCAGCCAAAAAGGATGCAGTAAATGGTAGGCTGCCTTTGTACACAAGCCTTGTCTATGGTCATACCATCATGAAGGAAACCATCAGTTCTCTGTGTGCCCAGAAGGCTGTTTCCTTTCTATGACTTAAGTTTTCACTCATAATTACCTTTCCCTGGTTGTCATTCAGCATTTCAGTTCCATTTGACAGCTCAACAATTATTAAGTGCCTACTGTGTGTCAGGCACCACACCAAGCACCAGGTGGAGGTAACCAGAGGACTTTATTCTTGAGACTGTCTCAGTGTAGATCAATGGTTAGAAAAGGGGCCTTTGTAAAAACAACAACGGGTCAGGTGCGGTGGCTCACGCCTGTAATCCCAGCACTTTGGGAGGCCAAGGTGGGTGGATCACCTGAGGTCAGGATTTCGAGACCAGCCTGGCCCATATGGTGAAACCCCGTCTTTCCTACAAGTACAAAAATTACCCAGGCATGGTGGCAGGCACCTGTAATCCCAGCTACTCGGGAGGCTGAGACAGAAGAATTGCTTGAACCCAGGAGGCAGAGGTTGCATTGAGTGGAGATCACACCACTGCACTCCACCCTGGGGGACAGAGTGAGACTCCACCTCAAAAACAAAACAAAACAAAACAAAAACAAAACAAAAAACAAAACAAAACAACAAGGTCTTACGGAAAAATGCAGAAATGGGTGACGAATGACAGAATGCTCTGGTGGAAACCAGGAGAGAGTGTGAGCTCTACCCATTGAGCTTCCTTCTGAACCCCAACCTCATTCTTTGCAGAGAATCCTGAGGAACCCTCCCACAGCCGTAAGTATCTGTAGGACAAAAGTGGAAGACCACTGCTGTATGGTCTGCAGGGTATGGGATGTGGGAATAAGACAGGACTGTTTTTTATTTTTTTTATTTTTTAAACAGAGTCTTCCTCTGTCGCCCAGGCTGGAGTGCAGTGGTGCGATCTCGGCTCACTGCAACCTCTGCCTCCCGGGTTCAAACGATTCTCCTGCTTCAGCCTCCTGGGTAGCTGGGATTATAGATGCCTGCCACCAAGAACTGGGCTTTTAAAGCATTTCTTCCTAAGTGTTCTCTCTCTTGAGTTGAAGGGAACCCTTTCGGATTCTTCTCCACTTCTGTGTTTCTGTTTGCGAGCAAACTTACCTGAAAGGATTCTTTTGTATTTCCCTCCTTTTAATTTTTTAGAGACAGGGTCTTGCTCTGTCATCCAGGCTAGGGCACAGTGGCACAATCACAGCTCACTTTAGGCTTTAACTCCTGAAGACAAATAATCCTCCTGCCTCAGTCTCTCCAGTAGCTGGGACAACAAGCACCACCACATCTGGCTTTTTTTTTTTTTTTTTTTTGGAGAGATGGGGGTCTCACTATATTGCTCAGGCTGGTCTCAAACTCCTGGCCTCCAAAAGTACTGGGATTACAGGTGTGAGCCACCACACCTGGCCTGTTTTTCTCTTATCTTCCATTCCCTTCTGTGTCTCTTCCTAATACATTCTCCTACAACCCCCAGAGCCCAGAGGAGTTGAGAGGCAGGGAAGCTTCACAAGTCCAGTGGACATGTGTTGGGGGCATTTCTTCCCGCTTCCGCTCACAACACCTTAGTCATCCTGACAAGTACCGGGACCTTTCTCCTATTCTCAGACTACCATATTCAGATGGTGGTAACTTCGTTCACAACTCCAGGAAGGGGCATGTGACTACCTGGCCAATCAGAGCACCCCACATCCCCTGCCTCGGCTCAGTGATTGGTTTAGTTATGGGGAGGTGCTCCATTCAGAGATGGGACTACTGGGAGATAAGCAGAAGCTTTTCTTGGGGGCTGGAGTGGTGAGGGTACAAGCCTGACTGTCCCAGACTGTGGTGCAGAAGGGATCTACGTCCCAGACAAGCACATCCTCTGGGCTTTGTCACCACCTCATCCCACAGGGTGGGAGGCAGCTGGAGGAAGCCAGGGAACCTGACTGTCCAGTTCCAAGCAAGGTCCTTCACCAGGGTTCCACTCGATCAATATTTGTACAAACATTCTTAAAAAGACATGCCTCCTTAGCATTAAATATATCCAGTTTAGGAATGACAGGAGTGGCCTCTGAAGTCAAGCAGAACTGGTTTCCACTACTCCCGCCTCTGCCATCACAGGCTCTGTGAATTCAGGCAAGTCACTTTATGTCTTAGAGCCTCAGTTTTATCATCAGCAAATCAGGGTAGCATTTTTGTCATAGGTTGTTGTGAGAATTTAATGAGGTCATGAAAGTAATGTGCTTTACCATAACACCTGATTTTACATAAAATGATTAGTTAACATTTTAAAATACATTATTAGCTAAGAAAGAAAAGAAATAGAGAAGAAAAGAGAAGAGAAGAGAAGAGAAGAGAAGAGAGAGATCAAAAGTAGATATCCAGGCTCTAGTACAGTATGAATTTTCCACAGGCTTTTGGTGAATGCTGTAGTAGGTAGGAGAATGCGCAGCCAGTTTATTCTAGCATTTAGAAAGAAAAGGGATTGGGAGATGGGGGACAGTGATGACAGAAATACAGAACTTTAAGAAATGGCTTAAGACCTAGTCTTAAAAGAGCTGCCATTCCTTGACAGTAGCCATTTTACGCTTGACTGTCAGCTTTGACAAGCTGGAAGAGGCCAGTCTTTGCAGCCAGGCAGACAGTGTTGCTATCATATTATCATGCTATAAATTAGTATTTCAACATGAAACCGGTATTGAAATGCAGCTGAAATCAATTCTACCACTCCCTCTTCAGCCTTGTCTTGCAGTTACTGCCCTCTGATTCTTATTGAGCAACCAATGAACCCAACTGGCCTACCCTCCGTTTTTGTTGTCAGCAGGAGAAAAAAATAGGGAGGATTCTGTTGATTCTCAAATAATAACTCAAAACAATGGTATTGCTTGTGCCAGTGACTGGCTTTTTGTTGTTGCCGCTGTTGTTTTATTCTTGGTCATTGTTATTGGCTTCTATAGTAGACTCAAACAGTGTCTGAAATCTCACCCCCTTTTATTTCTCCTCTGCTTTGAAGGGAACCGCTATGCACAGCCCACCAGTGGGAGATCCCCTCCTTCCCCTATCATTTTATGCTACATTACAACAGAAGTTGCATGACTCCAAAGGATGCTTTTGACTTTAAAGTTCTTGTGATCTATTTGTGCAATACACATGTTAAATTAGAAATTCATTTGTCACTCCCAGATAATAATGTTCAGAATGGCGCTTCCTGCATGAATCATTATCTTCGGCCTGGAGTTGTTCTAATTATGAATATGCATGAACCCATAGAGAGGGGAAGAGAGACTTGCACAACCTGTTTCGTGGAGGAGCTTCAGATGGTTCAGCTTAATGTTCTGAGTTCGGGCTTCCAGAGCCAAGCCCAGTGTCTGCCTCACCACCCACAGCTCCTCCAGTCTTCCCAGAACACCTGCTTTCTGTTGACAGCAAGTGCCCTGTGACAGCAGGGAGCCCACGCAGTCAGAAATACGCCACTGCTTGTCCATTCATGGGATGTAAGGTAGACTCTGGGATGTAGAAGAGGGTCAGGAGGCAGCGGAAATGGAAGTGGCCTCACAGTGTCCTTCAGAAATTCCAGCTGGAGAACGGAGAAACCATGTGGAGATGCCTGCTGGCTCTGCCTTCAGGAAGCAGAAATTAGAATAAGCAGTCTAAAGAGTGATTAATTTCAAAGAGACAAATGTGTAAGCTGGCTGTGGTTATGGTGACTGAAGAAAGCTATCCCCATATGAGTGGCTGAATGTCAAATAAAGGAAAAGTGAGAACGTGTCGCTGTAACCGGAGCTTCCCTGGAATGCCATGACGGCTTGGCCACACCTGGATGATGTCATGGACGTAGGTCCCTTTCACAAAATGTAGGGTCCAGTCTCTAAGGCAGAATTTGTTTCCTGCTGTAAAGAATGATTCTTCAGAATATCTCATTCTCTTTGGATGGGTTTCATATTAGATCAAGGAATCTAGATGCTAACGCTCTCCTGTAGCCCTCTGCCACAAGATCATATTTGTTTATCAGCTACTCTGATCCAGGCACAGTGCCAGATATAATTACTCAAAGAAGATGATGTTCTTGCAATATATGAATGCCTCCACTCCCCAGTCAGAGAATCTATTGCTTTGGGAAGGATTGGGATAGTTGCAGCAGAAACACAAAGAGAATGGAGCAATGTCTACTTTTTGATTTCCAAAATAGGCTGTCAATGTCATCATGAGACAATAGTCCAGGCTTTCTTGAGAGAGAAAGGTATATTTCTAAATTCTAAAGCAACCCTTAGAGTTCTGAGCATAGAGACTTTCTACAAGGTGTAGGATAGAGATGATATAGAAGAAGGCAATAGGTCCTACCTGTTACAAAGAAGATAAGTAGTTCCAACCCTGGGTAAGGGGTGGGAGTCCAAAGGGGGAAAACCACAGGAGAAAGAAATTTTGAGGCTGGGCACAGCGGCTGTCACTTGTAATCCCAGCACTTTGGGGGCTGAGGCGGGTGGATCACCTGAGGTCAGGAGTTCAAGAACAGCCTAGCCAACATGGCAAAACCACATCTCTACTAAAAATACAAAAAAATTAGCTGGGCATGGTGGCATGTGCCTGTAGTCCCAGCTACTTGGAAGGCTGAGACACAAGAATTGCTTGAACCTAGGAGGCGGAGGTTGCATTGAGCCAAGATCACGCCATTGCACTCCAGCCTGGGTGACAGAGTAAGACTCCGATTAAAAAAAAAAAGACATTTTGAGAAAGAAAGATGAAGATACTGCTGGGTCCCTCAACCTGAAGTTGGAAACCCCAAATGGTATGACAGAAAGCTGGAATCCAAAAAGAAACTCCTTGCAACATTCCCCAAGCTGGTATGGAATGGCACTGGTCAGACAGCCATGGCTGAGGGACCTCACTGAGTCCCACCTGCTACAGCCTGGTACAGAAAGCCAGGGCTGTCACATACAGCCACATAGGATATGTCCTGCACAACCCTGGACTCCACCACAAAGACCAAAGGCCAGCAAACTTTTTCTGCAAAGGGCCAGACAGTAAATATTTCAGCCTTGCGGGCTATATAACCTTTGTCACCACGATCAACTCTGCCACTGTACTGCAAAAGCAGCCATAGACAATATGTAACTGAGTGGGTGTAGTTCTGTTCCAATAAAACTTTATTTACAAAGTCATGTGACAAGCAACCTTTGGGCCAATGTTTGCCAACCCCAAACATACATTAGGATGTTATGGTGTCTCCCCAACATAGCCATCCTGCAGAAAAACCTAACAAGATTCCCTGCCTCCTTCCTTTTAGAGGGGCTCAGAATTTCTGAGAGAATTGATAGAGCAGAAGAGGCCTGGCTTAGGGTGAGGAGATCACAGAATGAGGTAACCTTAGGACCAGAGCCAATGGCAGAGATCTATAATGTCAGCAGGGGCGATCAGTAACATGCTCAAAAAATATCAGGAAGGAGCAGTTTCTCTGCAGTGGACACCAGTGCAGGGCACTCAGGGTCAAATTGAGACTCAGAATTCTGCAGCAGAGGCCAGAAAGGACGATGTCCAGCACACGGACAGAAACAAACTGTTTTACGAGCTCAGATGTCACCTTCAAGAGACAAAGGAGAAAGAGACCTAGAGAAAGGAAATAATCCTGTGAAAGAATTTGAATGTTTGATTCTTTGCCAAGAATAAATTTACAATGGAAAAAATTATGTAAAACCAGTTTCTCTTGTATATCTGTCCCAGGCAGCAGCAGGAATGGAAACTTAGGGCAAGACAAGATATGTGATGGAAAATTAAAGAAGTCACACAGACCCCTGTTCATCTGATGTCTAGTGAGGATATTCCAAATCTCCTGCATGTGGGGGCTAGTCTAGGGCTTCAAGGGATCCCAGTGCAGTGTATTCCTGCCAGGAAAGGCTAGAACTCTGGCCTTTTTGTGCAAGGCCAATGCTTTTTTATAAGAAGTTTTTATTGTGGTAAAAATATCCTACAAGCTGTACCATATCCTACAAGCTGTAGGATAGAGATGATATCGAAGAAGGATATAGGTCCTCCCCTCTTTTCCCTGTAGGAGGCCGCAGGGGAAAACCACAAGGGAGAGGGAAAAACACATAAAATATAGTTTACCAGCATAACCATTGAAGTATTAAATACCTTAATTTAATTAACCATTGTACAGTTCAGAAGTATTAAATACCTTAATAGGCTGGCCGCGGTGGCTCAGGCCTGTAATCCCAGAACTTTGGGAGGTCAAGGCTTGAGCCCAGGAATTCAAGACCAGCCTAGTCAACATGGCGAAACCCCGTCACTACTAAAAATATAAAAATTATCCAGGCGTGGTGGTGCATGCCTGTAATCCCAGCTACATGGGGGGGCTGAGGTGGGAGGATCGCTGGAGCCTGAGAGGTTGAGGCTGCAGTGAGCCGAGACTGTACCACTGCACTCCAGCCTGGGAGACAGAGCAAGGCCCTGTCTTAAAAAAAAAAAAAAAAAAAAAAAGAAAGCATTAATTTAATAATATGCAGCCATCATACCATCCATCTCACTAACTCTTTTCATCTTGTAAAACTAAGAAAAACTCTACACCTGTTAAAAAGTAACTCCCCATTTCCCCTTCCCCAAGCCCCTGGAAACCATCATTCTGCTTTCTATCTGTATGCATGTAACTGTTCTAAGTACTTCATGTATGTGAACTCATACAGCATTTGTTCTCTGATGACTGGCCTATTTCCCTTAGCATAATGTCCTCAGGGTTTATTCATGTTGCAGCGTTGTGTGAGAAGTTCCTTCCTGGCTGGGCATGGTGGCTCATGCCTGTAATCCCAGCACTTTGGGAGGTTGAGCCAAGAGGATTGCTTGAACCCAGGAGTTCAAGACCAGCCTGAGCAACATAGTGACACCTCATCTCTACAAACAAACAAACAAACAAACTTTTTGTTTTAAAGTTACCCAGGCATGCACCCATAGTCACAGCTACTTGGGAGGCTGAGGAGGGAGGATTGGTTGACCTTGGGAGCTGAAAGCTGCAGAAAGCTATGATCGTACCACTGCGCTCCAGCCTAGGTGACAGAGTGAGACTCTGTCTTCAAAAAATAAGAAAGAAAGAAAAAGAAGTTCCTTCTTTTTAAAGGCAGACTAATATTCCCTTGTATGTGTATACTACATTTTGTTTATCTGTTCATCCATCCAGGGACACTTAGGTTGCTTCCAAGCTTTAGCTCTTGTAAATAAGGCTGCTGCTTTTCAGAGCAGCAGGCATCACTACACTGGAGAAGGCCAAAGTTGTCATGTTTGGCATCATGACGGTCTTTACTACATGTACTGGCCTGGAATGTTCTATTTTGCGTTTTTATTTTTCCATAGCAAGCCCTGGAGTGGCACTCGGTCTAACTGGAGAGAGAAATGAATAGAGATTATTAGAGTCCAAGTTGGGAAGAAGCCCATCAGAAATACTATAAAATGTCATGTGGGTTCAAAGGGAGCACATAGGAGGAGAAACTCCATTTGCCAGGTGAAATTAGGTTTCAAGACAGAAGGAGCATTCTTTCCTTTTTTTTTTTGTTTTTTGAGACAAAGTTTTGCCCTTGATGCCCAGGCTTCAGTGCAATGGCAGAGTCTTGGCTCACTGCAACCTCTGCCTCCCAGGTTCAAGTGATTCTCCTGCCTCAGCCTCCCAAGTAACTGGGATTACAGGTGTGTGCCACCACGCCCGGCTAATTTTGTATTTTTAGTAGAGACGGGGTTTCTTTATGTTAGTCAGGCTGGTCTTGAACTCCTGAACTCAAGTGATCCGCCCGCCTCAGCCTCCCAAAGTGCTGGGATTATAGGCGTGAGCCACCGCGCCTGGCTCACGTCTGTTTGTTAGAAATGCAGAATCTCACGTCTCACCCCAGACCTGCTAAATCAGAATCATCTTAATCAGTTCCCCAGGGGTTCTGGCAAAACAAAAATGAGACTGGAACTCTACAATGAGGTAAAGAGCCTGGTGCTCTTGGGCTGCTAAAAAGCTTCAATAACCCAGATGGAAGCAGCTGAAAGGCCACTGAGCCACGCCTATCAGGGCTGCCAGAGCCCGAGCTTATCACAACCTTTTCAGGACATAATCAAACTAAGAGTCCCCTGAGGTACCAATGCACAAACTATGGAAATCAGATTTTCCTCTAAATCAAACCTTACAAAGTGTTTAAAATAGACTTAGAAATGCCAGAGAATCCCAGCTGCTAAGAAAAATGATAAAATGCCAAGCCAAAGAGGAAGCTGTCAAAGGGAGAACAAGATCTAAAAAAGACACACTCAAGAACAAGAGACAGAAAGAGATTGAGGGATGGGGAACAGGAGAGATAGCCGAGGCAGGTGGATTGCTTGAGCTCAGGAATTTGAGACCAGCCTGGGCAACATGGCGAAACCATGTCTCTACAAAAACATAGAAAAAAATTAGCCAGGGCCAGGTGCGGTGGCTCATGCCTGTAATCCCAGCACTTTGCGATGCCGAGACAGGCGGATCACGAGGTCACGAGATCGAGACTGTCCTGGCTAACACGGTGAAACCCCGTCTGTACTAAAAATACAAAGAAATTAGCCGGGCATGGTGGCAGGCGCCTGTAGTCCCAGCTACTGGGGAGGCTGAGGCAGGAGAATAGTGTGAACCCAGGAGGCGGAGCTTGCAGTGAGCCGAGATCGCGCCACTGCACTCCAGGCTGGGCGACAGAGCGAGACTCCGTCTCAAAAAAAAAAAAAAAGAGAGAAAAAAGAAAAAAGAAAAAATTAGCCAGGCGTGGTGGTGCGTACCTGTGGGCCCAGCTACTCAGGAGGCTGAGATAGGAAGACTACTTGAGCCCGAGAGGCAGAGGTTGCAGTGAACAGAGATTGTGCCACTGCACTCTAGCATGGGCAACAGAGCCAGAGCCTGTCTCAAAAAAGTGTCCCTCTCCATTTCCATGCCAATGGAAGACATCACTAATCAATCAAAGCATTCTTTCCTACTAATCCCAAATGTGACCTCAGAATCTTTTTAAACACCAATATAACATAGACTGGTTTTTAACACCAATGTAACAGACTCTGCCACTCAGAGTTGGCTGATTGATTTCCATCATGCAGACCCGAACACAAACTAGTAAAATTGATTATCTTGGGTGTAAAATAATACTTTTACACGCTATACGAATTCACGAATTCATGAACAGGTCCCTAGGGGAGCGATGCCAGCAAGATGGCAGAATAGAACTTTCTGGTTCTCATCCCCTCACAGAAACATCAGTTTAAACAACAATCTATGCATAAAAATACCTTCACAAGAGCTAAGAGATTCAAGTGAGAGATTACAGCACCTAGGTGTAGCACACAAATAAGAAAAAAAAATGCACTGAAGAAGGTAATAAGGACAGTTTCACATTATCCACACCACCGCTTCCCAACCCCAGCACAGTGCAGAGACACGTGTGCTCCCTGTGGGGGAAGGAGAGTGAAGTGAACATGTGAATTCACCACAGACCCAAACATCAGGCCTGTGCCAGTGAAACCTGGCACCAGGTCAGCCCCATGGCCTTGAGCCCCAGGCCAGTACCCATAGATCAAGCCTCCAGGCCCACCCCAGCACCAGGTCAGCCCTCATAATCCCATGGATCTAGGCCTACCTACCCTGGCAGACTCAGGCTCCAGGCTTGCCCCAGCCTGGGGACCAAGCCCTAGTTCCAGAGAATCCCCTATAGTTCCAAGCTCTAGGATGACTGCCACAGACCCAGGACTCAGGCCTGCCCCCGTAGACTCAGCCTCCAGGCCTACCTCAGCACTATGTTGGCTCCCACAGCCCAAGGCACCAGGCCAGCACCTGCAGGCCCAGGCTCCAGGCTGACCACTCCAGACCTAGGCTCTTGGCCCACCTAGCACTAGGCTAGCCCCTTATAAATCCAACCTCTATGACTGCTCCTGATGGCCCAGGACCCAGGCCCACTACTGTGGGCTCAGCCTCCAGGCCCATCCCAGGCTCCAGGCTTGTCTCCAGAGGCCCAGGCTCCAAGAGACTCAAGGTTCAGACCCACTCCAGTAGACATCAGTGCTCCCAGCCCACCTGAGGATTCCAGCAGCAGGCAACCCATGAACCCTGCAAGATGGCCTGACCAGAGTCTCTAAACAGGCTAACTGGTAAAGTGCTTTCTCTGCCAAAGCCTGTCCTTAAAACACTGAAAGTGGTATCTACCTCTTCAAATGTGCAGATACTAATGCAAGACTACAGGATTACGTGTAATTGGAGAAACATACCATCACCAGAGAAACAAAATAAAGGACCAGTAGCCAACCCTAAAAAAATGAAGATCTCCAAATTGCCTGACAAACAATAAAAAATAATCATCTTAAAGAAGCTCAGTGAGCTACAGAAGAACACAGATAGACAGCTATGTCAAATCAGGAAAATAATTCATGAACAAAGTGAGAAGTTCAGTAAATAGATAAAAATAAAAAAAATAGAACCAAACAGAAATTTTTGAGTAAGAACGCAATGATTGAGCTGAAAACTTTCAGAGAGCTTCAACATCCACTTGGCTAAGCAGAAGAAGAATTAGCTCAAAGACAGGTCCTTTGGAATTACCCAGTTAAGGTGACAAAAAGAATGAAACTGAGGGAAAATGAGGAAGAAAACCTACAGGACTATGGACACCATTAAGTGAGCCAATATATGCATGATGAGAGTTTCAGAAGGAGAAGAAAAAGAAAAAAAAGGGCAAAAAGCTTATTTAAATAAATAATGACAGAAAACTTCCTATGTCTGGATGAAGAGGAACATGAACATCCAGATCCATGAAGCCCAAAGAACTCTAAGTAGGTTCACTATAAAGATATGTTCATTGAGACACATTATAATAAAATTCTCAAAAGTCAAAGAGACAATTTGAAAGTCGCAAGAGAAAAGCAACTGATCACACATACAAGGGCACCTCCCTAAAACTTTAAGGATACTCCTCAGCAGAAACCTTGCAGGCAAGGAGAGAATGAGATGATATTACCCCAAGTGCTGGGAAAAAAAAAAAAAAAAAAAAGAACTATCGACCAAGAATGTATACCCAGCAAAGTCATCATTCCAAAATGAAGGCAAAAGGCAAGATAAAGACTTTCCCAGACAAACAAAAGCTGTGGGGACTCAGCACCACTAGATCTGCTTTACAAAAAAAAACCCTAAAAGAAGTTCTTCAAGTTGAAAGAAAAGGATGTTAACAATATGAAAATATATGAAAGTATAAAATTCACTGCAAAGGTAAGAATATAGTCAAATTTAGAATACTCTAAAACTGTAATGGTGGTCCATAAATAATTTCTGACTCTGCTATATAAGTTAAAAGACAAAAGTATTAAAAATATAGGTACAATAATTTGTTAATGGATACATGATACATAAAAGATGTAAATTGTGACATCAATGACACAAATACGGGGGAAGGAGAAGTTAAACTGTAGATATTTATGTATATAGTTGAAATTAAGTAGTTATCAGCTTCAAATAGACTATTATAACTACAAGATGTTTATGTAAGCCTCATAACAACCACAAAGAAAAAATATGTAGGGTATACACAAAAGATAAAGAGAAAATAATCAAAGCATACCTCTACAAAAAAAAACAAAAACAAAAACAAAAAACAGAAAGAAAGATAGCAAGAGGGGAAGGATGAGACAAAAGAAATACAAAATAGAGAACAATTAACAAGATGGTCGTAGTAAGTCCTTACCTATGAATTATTATTTAAATGTAAATGAGTTAAATTCTCTAATCAAATGACAGAGTGACTGAATGGAGTAAAAAGCCAAAACCCATCTACATGCTGCCTACTAGAGATTTGCTTTAGCTTTAAGTACACATATAAGCTGAAAATTATGGGATGTAAAGAGATATTCTATAAGCTGTAATAAATAAAATATAATAGTAATCAAAAAAGCAGAGATATGTACATCAGGAAAAAAAAATAGATGTTTAAGTCCAAAACTGTGACAGAGATAAAAAAGGTCATTAAATAATGATAAAAGAGTCAATTCACTTAAGAAGATATAATAAGTTTAAATATATATGTGCTAAACAATGGAACACCTAATTATATAATGCAAATATTAACACAACTAAAGGGAGAAGCAGACAGCAATACAAAAGTAATAGGACAGGGGGCCCCACATTCCCCATGGACATGTGAGCTAGCAGGGGGATCTGCCCAGGGAATAGGCAGAGTCAGGGCTTCAGCCACCAGAGAACCCAGAAATGTAGTTCTGGCAGAGTGTAGCCACAGACACGCATACCCCAGTGCTCCCCATCTCCCTCCAAGAGGTTCTAGCCCCAGTTGACCACCAGGCCAGAAGAGAGCAGGGTCAGCCTTCCCACAGGACTGGGGAACATCTGTTCTATAAGCCTTCCTGCCCACTAGCCTTTCCCAGGACTCCTGCCTGCCTGCCCCACAGGACCACGGGCACAGCACAGGCTGCATAGCACAGCCTCCACTGCCCAGCCTGAGTGCTTTGCTCCACCTGAACACTTTCCCAGCAACCTGGGAGCACTTCGAATCCACCACCACAGTTGGGCCATCCTGATGTCTCAGCCATGGTACACAGCTTATGAGTGTTGAGCTGAGATCTGTGGCCAGCACTTGAGTGGGAGAGGAGCCCCCACACTCAGAGCATTGAGAATGGTAAAATGTCCAAGTTCATGGGCCAGCAAGGGAGTGAGGCATACCTCCCTCTATAGGGCCAGTCCAGAAAGAATGTGGCCTGTCTCTCTGCCACAGCCTCTGCCCAAGGGAGCCCTGCGGCCCTGAACACCTAACAAAATAAATATGGGTGTGGAGCCAGTGATAAGAGGGGAATCCTCGAAGGCCTAGGAGTGGATCTGGTGAGGAGGTCATCTCTCCCCACCTCCCTTTGCCATGGCAGAGCATGCCTGCAAACGTGAGGAAATATAAAAGAGCCATGTGGCTAAGACCCTACCTGCTGGCCATTACTTTTAAGCACCATCTACTGGATCATGGCTCAAACTACATTGCCAAAAATTATTTGGCTAATACCCCTGTGAAACCAAGCACAGGCATTCACCCACAAATAAAGATCCTGTACAGAGTCTTGGCCCTCTAAAAACATCCAGAAATGAGCCCAACTGAAAATACTCAACTTACACCACAGGTGAAGGAACACCAGCCCTCCCAGATCAGTGCAAGAATCAGTGCAAGAACTCTACCAATTCAAAAAGCCACAGTGTCCCCTTACTTCCAAATGAGCCCCCTAGCTCCTCAGCAAAGCTTCTTAACCACTATTAAATGACTGAATGACAGACATATAATTCAGAATATAGATGGCAAGGAAGTTCATCAAGATTCAGAAGCAAGTTGAAACTCAATCCAAAGAATCCAGTAAAATAATCCAAGAGCTGAAAGATAAAAGAGCCATTTTAAGAAAGAACCAAACTAAACTTCTGGAATTGAAAAGTTGACTGCAAGAATTTCTTAATTTAGTTGAAGGCATTAATAGTAGAATAGACCAAGCTGAGGAAAGAATCTCAGAGCTCCAACACTGGTTTTTCAAATTAACTCAGTCAGACAAAAATAAAGAAAAAGGAATTTTAAAAAAATAAACAAAACCTCCAAGAAATATGGGATTAGGTAAACAGACCAAACTTATAACTCGTTGGCATTCCTGAGTGAAGAAAGAGAGTAGGCAACTTGAAAAATATATTCGAAGATATAGTCCACAAAAAAAATCTCTAATCTCACTAGAGAGATTGACGTTCAAATTCAAGAAATACAGAGAACCCTGGCTAGATACTACAAAAGATGCCCCTCCCCATGACACACAGTCATCAGAGTCACCAAGATAAATGCAAAAAAAAAAAAAAATCTTAAAGGCAGCTAGAGAAAGATCAGATCATGTACAAAGGGAGCCCCATCAGGCTAGCAATAGACAGACCTCTCAGCAGAAAACGTATAAGCCAGAAAATATTGGGAGCCTATTTTCAACATCCTTAAAGGAAAGAAATTCCAACCAAAAATTTCATGTCCTGCCAAACTGAGTTTCATAATCAAAGGAGACATAGAATCCTTCTCAGACAAGCAAATGCTGAGGGAATTGGTTACAATTAGACAAGCATTACAAGAGTTCCTTTAAAAAGTGCTAAACATGGAAACCAAGAAATGGCACCTGCTCCTACAAAAACACACTTACGCACATATCCCATAGATACTATAAAGCAACTACACAAACAAGTCCACATAATAACCAGCTAACAACACAATGACAGGATCAAAGTCTCATGTATCAATAATAGCCCTGAATGTAAATGTACTTAATGCCCCACTTAAGACATAAAGTGGCAAGCTGCATACAAAGACAAGAGCCACCTCTCTCCTGTCTTCAGGAGACCCATCTCACATGAAGGGACATAAACAGGCTTAAAGTAAAGGGACCAAAAAAAAAAAAAATCTACCATGCAAGTTGAAAATAAAAAGAGCAGGTTTCTATTCTTACATCAGATAAAACAGACTTTAAACAAACAACTATTAAGAAGGACAAAGAGACAAAATCAATGTACAAAAATCAGTAGCATCTACCCACCAATAATGTTCAAGCTGATAGTCAAATGAAAAACATAATCCCACTTATGATAGCCACACACAAAAAATGGAAATACCTAGGAATACAGCTAACCAAGGGGGTGAAAGATCTCTACAAGAACTACGAAACACTGTTGAAAGAAACCAGAGATGGAATACCAATCTGTGCTTATGGATTGGAAGACTCGATATTGTTAAAATGGCCACACTGCCCAAAGCAGTTTACAGATTCAATGCTATTTATATGAAACTACCGATGTTCTTTTCATGGAATTAGAAAAAAAGTATTCCAAAATTCATATGGAACCAAAAAAGAGACCGAATAGCCCAAACGATCCAAAGCAAAAAGAACAAAGCCAGACGTATCACACTTCTAATTATTCCATAAGGCCACAGTAACCAAAACAGCATGGTACTGGTGAAAAAAAAACAAGCACATAAACCAATGGAACAGAATAGAGAACCCAGAAATAAAGCCGCACGCCTACAACCATCTAATCTTTGACAAAGTCAACAAAAACAAGCAACAGGGCAAGGACTTTCTACTATTCAGTAAACGGTACTGGGATAAGTGGCTAGCCATATGCAAATGAATGAAACTGGAACGCTACTTTTTACCGTATACAAAAATTAACTCAAGATGGATTAAAGATTTAAAGGTAAGACCTCAAATTATAAAAATTCTAAAAGAAAACCTAGGGAATACCCTTCTCAATATCAGTCTTGACAAAGAATTTTTGGCTAAGTCCCTGAAAGCAATTCCAACAACAACAACAACAACAACAAACAAAGTTGGCAAGTGGGGCCTGATTAAACTAAAAAGTTTCTGCCCAGCAAAAGAAACTATCAACAAAGTAAATAGACAATCTACAGCATTGGAGAAAATACTAGCAAACTATGCATCTGACAAAAGTCTAACATCCAGAATCTAAAAGGACCTTAAACAAATCAACAAGCAAAAACCAAATAACCACATTAAAAAGTAGGCAAAGGACATGAACACTTGTCAAAAGAAGACAGAAGACATACAAGTGGCCAATAAACACGAAAAAATGCTCATCATCACTAATCATCAGAGAAATGCAAATCAATAACATCTCACACGAGTCAGAATGGCTATTAAAAAATCAAATAACACATGCTGGTGAGACTGTGGAGAAAAAGAAATGCTTATACACTGTTGATTAGAATGTAAATTAGCTCAGCTACTGTGGAAAGCAGTTTGGAGGTTTCTCAAAGAATTTAAAACAGAGCTATCACTTGACCTAACAATGCCATTACTGGGTATATACTCAAAGAAAAATAAATCTTCCCACCAAAAAGACACATAAACTCATTTCTTCCACACAGTGCTATTCACAATAGCAATGGCATGGAATCCATCTAGATGCCCATGAATGGTGTATTGGATGAAAAAATGTGATACACATACACCATGGAATACTACACAGCCACAAACAAGGATGAAATCATGTTCTTTGTAGCAGCATGGAGGCTTCTGGAGACCATAATCCTAACAATTAACACGGGAACAGAAAACCAAATACCACACTGTAGGAACTAAACATTGGGTAACTATGGACATAAAGATGAGAACAATAGACACTGTTGACTACTAAAGTTGGGAGGAAGAAAGGGGTTGTGAGTTGAAAAACTACCTATTGTTATCTAGAAAACCCCATCGTCTCAGCCCAAAATCTCCTTAAGCTGATAAGCAACTTCAGCAAAGTCTCAGGATACAAAATCAATGTGCAAAAATCACAAACATTCTTATACACCAAAAACAGACAAACAGAGAGCCAAATCATGAGTGAACTCCCATTCACAATTGCTTCAAAGAGAATAAAATACCTAGGAATCCAACTTACAAGGGACGTGAAGGACCTCTTCAAGGAGAACTACAAACCACTGCTCAATGAAATAAAAGAGGATACAAAGAAATGGAAGAACATTCCATGCTCATGGGTAGGAAGAATCAATATCATGAAAATGGCCATACTGCCCAAGGTAATTTATAGATTCAATGCCATCCCCATCAAGCTACCAATGACTTTCTTCACAGAATTGGAAAAAACTACTTTAAAGTTCATATGGAACCAACAAAGAGCCCGCATTGCCAAGTCAATCCTAAGCCAAAAGAACAAAGCTGGAGGCATCACGCTACCTAACTTCAAACTATACTACAAGGCTACGGTAACCAAAACAGCATGTAACTGGTACCAAAACAGAGATATAGACCAATGGAACAGAACAGAGCCCTCAGAAATAACACCGCATATCTACAACCATCTGATCTTGGACAAACCTGACAGAAACAAGAAATGGGAGAAATGGGGAAACGATTCCCTATTTAATAAATGGTGCTGGGAAAACTGGCCAGCCATATGTAGAAAGCTGAAACTGGATCCCTTCCTTACACCTTATACAAAAATTAATTCAAGATGGATTAAAGACTTAAATGTTAGACCTAAAGCCATAAAAACCCTAGAAGAAAACCTAGGCAATACCATTCAGGACATAGGCATGGGCAAGTACTTCATGCCTAAAACACCAAAAGCAATGGCAACAAAAGCCAAAATTGACAAATGGGATCTAATTAAACTAAGGAGCTTCTGCACAGCAAAAGAAACTACCATCAGAGTGAACAGGCAACCTACAGAATGGGAGAAAATTTTCGCAATCTACTCATCTGACAAAGGGCTAATATCCAGAATCTACAATGAACACAAACAAATTTACAAGAAAAAAACAAACAACCCCATCAAAAAGTGGGCGAATGACATGAACAGACACTTCTCAAAAGAAGACATTTATGCAGCCAACAGACACATGAAAAAATGCTCCTCATCACTGGCCATCAGAGAAATGCAAATCAAAACCACAATGAGATACCATCTCACACCAGTTAGAATGGCCATCATTAAAAAGTCAGGAAACAACAGGTGCTGGAGAGGATGTGGAGAAATAGGAACACTTTTACACTGTTGGTGGGACTGTAAACTAGTTCAACCACTGTGGAAGTCAGTGTGGTGATTCCTCAGGGATCTAGAACTAGAAATACCATTTGACCCAGCCATCCCATTACTGGGTATATACCCAAAGGATTATAAATCATGCTGCTATGAAGACACATGCACACATATGTTTATTGCGGCACTATTCACAATAGCAAAGACTTGGAACCAACCCAAATGTCCAACAGTGATAGACTGGATTAAGAAAATGTGGCACATATACACCATGGAATACTATGCAGCCATAAAAAATGATGAGTTCATGTCCTTTGTAGGGACATGGATGAAACTGGAAACCATCATTCTCAGCAAACTATCACAAGGACAAAAAACCAAACATTGCACGTTCTCACTCATAGGTGGGAATTGAACAATGAGAACACATGGACACAGGAAGGGGAACATCATACACCGGGGCCTATTGTGGGGTTGGGGGAGGGGGGAGGGATAGCATTAGGAGATATACCTAATGCTAAATGACGAGTTAATGGGTGCAGCACACCAACATGGCACATGTATACATATGTAACTAACCTGCATGCTGTGCACATGTACCCTAAAACTTAAAGTATAATAACAAAAAAAAAAAAAGAAAAACTACCTATTGTGTAGTATGCTAGCTACCTGGGTGATAGGATCTATCCCCTAAACCTCAGCATCATGCACTATATCTATGTAACAAACCAAACTAAATGAACAAAAGTAGTAGGAGACTTCAATACCTCACTTTCAACAATAAATTATTCACACAGAAAAATCAATAAGAAAATAACAGACAAACACTATAAACCAAATGGACCTAACAGACAAGAAGAGCCTACCATCAAACAGCAACAGAATAAATATTCTTAAGTGAACACCAAACATTCTCCAGAATGGGAGGATTATGCCACAAAACAAATCTTAATAAATTTGAGAAGACTGAAATCATATCAAGCATCTTTTCTAATTACAGTGGTATAAAATTAGAAACCCGTAAGAAGAGGAAAATAGGGAAATTCACAAATACTGACAAATTAAATGACATGCTCCTAAACAATCAATGAGTCAAAGAAGAAATCAAAAGAGAAATCAAAACATAACTTGAGACGAATGAAACAGAAGTACAACATACCATAACTTATGGAATGCAGCAAAAACAGTTCTAAAAGTTTATAGTGCTAAATACCTACATTAAGGAAAAAAAGATCTCAAGTAAACAACCTGACAACCAACCTTTATACCCCAAAGAACTAGAAAAGAAGAAAAACTAAGCCCAAAGTCAGTGGAAAGAGGGTAGAAAACAATAGAAAATATCAATGAAACTAAGAGTTGTTTTTTTTTTTAAGAAAAAATAAACTAAATTGAGAAACTAAGAAAAAAGGAACTCAAAGTTATAAACAAAAGAGATGTTATAGCTGATATAGAAATATAAAGCATCATAAGAGATACTATGAATGATTGGATAACCTAGAAGAAATGAATGCATTTCTAGATGCATACAACCCACCAAGACTGAATTATGAAGAAATAGAAAATATGAACACACCAACAATCAGTAAGGAGATTAAATCAATTATCAAAAAGTTCCCAACAAAGAAAAACCCAAGACATTCACTGGTGAATTCTACCAAACATTTAAAGCATAATTAACAACACATTTTCTTTTTTTTTTTTTTTTAATTAAAGAACAGGAAACACTTCCAAACTCATTTTACAAGACTGACATTACCCGGATACCATAGCCAGAAAAGTACACTACAAGAATGGAAGAGTATAGATCAACATGCTTTAGGAACATAGATAAAATCCTCAACAAAATACTAGCCAACTGAATTCAACAGCACATGAAAAGGATTATACACCATCATCAATTAGGATTTATCTCAGGATGCAAGAATAGTTTAACATATGCAAATCAGTAAGTATTCTACATCGCATTAGTAGAATAAAGTATAAAAATCATATAATCATCTCCACAGATGCAGAAGAGGCATTTGAAAAAATTCAACGTAATTTCCTAACTACAAACTCTCAACAAATTAGGTATAGAAAGAATGTACCTCAGCATAATAATGTCCCACAGATAACATTATACTCAATGGTGAACTGGTGAACAGCTGAAAGCTTTTTCTCTGAGACAAGGAATAAGACAAGAATGTCCTTTTTTTTTTTTTTTGGGACAGAGTCTTGCTCTGTCGCCCAGGCTGGAGGGCAGTGGTGCGATCTCGGCTCACTGCAAGAATGTCCACTCTTGACACTTCTGTTCAATATAGTACTGGAAGTCCTAGCCCAACCAATTAGGCAAAAGAAAGGAATACAAGGCACCCAAGTTGGAAAAGAAGAAATAAAATTATCTTTGTTTGCAGATAACATAATCTTATGAAGTCCTAAAACTCCATCACAAAATTGTCAGAACTAATTAATGAAGTAATGTTGCAGGATACAAAATCAATATACAAAATCAATAGTGTGTTTATACACTAATAAATAATCCAAAAACATTTTTAAAAGTCCACTTACAATTGCTACAAAAAAATGAAACACTTAGAAATAAGTTTTGCCAAGGAGGTAAAAGATTTGTACACTAAAAACTGTAGAACTGTGATGAAAGAAATTGAAAAAGATGCAAATAAATGAAAAGATAGTCTGTGTTTATGTATTGGAAGAATTAATATTGTGAAAATGTTCATAATACCCAAAGTTATCCATAGACTAAATGCCATTCCTATGAAAATGTCATTGGCATTTGTCACAAATAGAAAAAAAATCCTAAAATTTGGTATGAAATCATCAAAGACTGCAAATAGCTACCACAATCTTGAGCAGCCACCACAGTCTTCGGCAAGAAGAACAAAGCTGAAAGCATCACACAACCTGATTTCAAACCATAATGCAAAGCTATCTTAATCAAAACAGCATGGTACTGGCACAAAAATAGACATATAGACCAATGGAATAGAAGAAAGAGCCCATAAAAACCCGTATGTTTATGGTCAATTTGTCTGCAACCAAGATGCCAAGAACATACAAGGGAAAGGTCTGTCTCTTCAATAGGTAGTGTTGAAAAAAATTAGATATCCACATGCAGACGAATGAAATTGGATTCTTATCTCACACCACATGCAAAAATCAACTAAAATTAATTAAAGATTGAAACATAACACCTGAACCTATAAACCACAGGAAGAAAACACAGGAAAAGATCCTCCTGACATTGGTCCAGGCAATGATATTTTGGATATGACTCAAAAAGCAACAATAGGCATATCAGATTGTATCAAACTAAAAAGCTTATGCACAGCAAATAAAACAATCAACAGAATGAAAACACAATCTATATAAAGGGTGAAAATATTTTCAAACCATACATCTGATGAGAGGATAATATGCAAGATGTTTAAGGAACTCAAACAATTCAATAGCAATACAACAACCCAATTTTAAAATGGGCAAAAGACTTGAAAAGACGTTTCTCAAAAAATAACACATAAGTGGCTGACGGGTATATGAAAAAATGCTCAACATCACCAATCATCAGGAAAATGTAAATCAAAACCACAATGAGATAGATTACCCCGTATTTGTTAGAATGGCTATTATCAACAAGACAAAAGATATCAAGTGTTGACAAGAATGTGGAGAAAAGGAACCCTTGTATACTGTTGATGGGAATGTAAATTAGTACAGCCATTATGGAGATTCCTCAAAAAATTAAAAATAGAACTACCATATGATCCTGCAATCCCACTTCTAGTCTTCTAGTTAGCATATGTCCAAAGGAAATGAAATTGAAGAGATATCTATATTCCTATGTTCATTGCAGCAATATTCACAATAGTCAAGATACGGAATCAACTGAAGTGTCTATTAATGGGTGAATACCATATTTTCTTTATCCATTGACCCACGGATAGACATGTATAAACGTGTGTGTATACACACACACACACACACAAACAATGGAATACTATTTAGACTTAAAAAAAGAAATTCTGTCACTTGCAACAACATAAATGGGCCTGGATATTATAATAAGTGAAATAAGTCAGGCACAGAAAGACAGACACTGCATTGTCTCACTCACATGTGGAATCTAAAAATGTCAAACTCAGAAGCAAAGAGTAGAAGGAAAGCAATGGTGGTTGCCAGGGGCTTGGGGTGGGGTGGAGGTGGGAGAATAGGGAAATGTTGGTCAAAGGATACAAAATTTCAGTTAAACAGAATGAATATATTCTGGAGACCTAATGTAGAGCATGGCAACTATAGTTAATGATGTATTGTATACTTGAAAGTTCTAAAAGAATAAATCTTAAATGTTCTCACCACCAAAATATTAAGTATGTGAGGTGATTTTATATATATATAAATATATATAGTGTATATATACTAGTATATATACACTATATATACACTACTATAGTATATATATAGAGTATATATACACTATATATACACTACTATAGTATATATATAGTGTATATATACTAGTATATATAGTAGTGTATATATACTAGTATATATAGTAGTGTATATATACTAGTATATATAGTAGTGTATATACACTAGTATATATAGTAGTGTATATACACTAGTATATATACTAGTGTATATACACTAGTATATATACTAGTATATATACACTAGTATATATACTAGTATATATACACTATATATACACTACTATAGTATACTAGTATATATACACTATATATAGTATACATATACACTACTATAGTATATATAAATATATAGTGTATATAATATATAGTATATATAAATACATAGTGTATATATACACTGTATATAATGTATATGTATATTATATATAATATATAGTATATATTTTTATATAATATATAGTATATATAGTGTATATATAAATATATAGTGTGTATATATACTATATATAGTGTATATGTATATTATATATATTTTTTATTTATGGTATATTTTTAATATATAGTATATACACTATATATAAATACATAGTATATAGTATATATACACTATATATAAATACATAGTATATATACACTATATATTTATATATAGTGTATATACACTATATATAAATATATAGTGTATATACACTATATATAAATATATATAGTATATATAAATACTATATATATTTATATAGTAAACATAAATATATACTATGTGTGTGTATATATCTACATATATAGTACAATAGCAAAGACACAGAATCAACCTAATACCCATCAATATAGACTGGATAAAGAAAACGTGGTACATATACACCATGGAATACTATGTAGCTGTAAAAAGAATGAGACCATGTCCATTGCAGGAACATGGATGGAGCTAGAGGCAATTATCCTTAGCAAACTACACACACACACACAATGTAAATATATATATACACATGTATATATGTGTATATACATGCGTATATATGTATATATAAGTATATATACACACACATATACACATATATACTATATATACAAGTATGTATATACTATATATACCTATATACTATACATACTTGTATATATAGTATATACTACATATACAAGTATATGTAGTATATACTACATATACAAGTATATGTAGTATATACTACATATACTTGTATATATAGTATATGTATACATATATTATATATAAGTATATACTATATAGTGTATATATACTATATATACACTATATATACATGTATATGTGCATATATACATATTGTGTATATATACGTGTATATGTGTGTATATATGTATATATATACACACATATATATATAGTTTAACTTTTAAGTTTGGGGCAAATGTGCAGTTTTGTTACATAGGTAAATATGTGTCATGGGGGTTTGTTGTACAGATCATTTCATCACCCAGGTATTAAGCCTAGTATCCATTAGTTGTTTTTCCTGATCCTCTTCCTCCTCCCACCCTCCACCCTCTGACAGGCCCCACTGTGTGTTGTTCCCCTATACGTGTCCATGTATTCTCACCATTAAGCTCCCACTTATAAGTGAGAACATGTGGTATATGGTTCTCTGTTCCTGCATTAGTTTGCTAAGGATAATTGCCTCCAGCTCTATCCATGTTCCTGCAGTGGACATGATCTCATTCTTTTTACGGCTACATAATATTCCATGGTGTATATGTACCACGTTTTCTTTATCCAGTCTATATTGATGGGCATTTAGGTTGATTCCGTGTCTTTGCTATTGTAAATAGTGCTGCAACGCACATATATGTGCATGTGTCTTTATGACAGAACGATTTCTATTCCTTTGGCTATATACCCAGTAATGGGATTGCTGGGTCAAATGGTATTTCCATTTTTAGGTCTTTGAGGAGACAGATATATTAATTAGCTTGATTGTGGTAATCATTTCACAATGTGTACATCTATTAAAATATCACATTGTGAACCATAATGTATACAATATTTTTTAGTTATATTTAAATAAACCTGGAAAAAAGTCATGAACACATTCACATATTCATGTTTATAATATTATCAATAATATCAATTCACATGCAAAATGCTTTTTATCTGCTTTCTCAGTTAATCCTCATACAACCCCAGGGGTTTGGTACTATCATCCCCATTTTATGGTTAAGAAAACTAAGGTTCAGAGAGATCAACTGACTGCTCACGGTGAGTAAATAGAATGAAAATTTAAAGCCTTGTTTGTCTGATGTCAAGATCAATATTCTTAACAATTATGCTATACATAATGAATAAAAATCTTCAGTAGGAAAAACAATTAGTAAGTTTCATGGTCTCCTGTGTAAATCTTTTTTTTTTTTTTTTTTTTTTTTTGAGGTGGAGTCTCGCTCTGTCAACCAGGCTGGAGTGCAATGGCACCATCTCGGCTCACTGCAACCTCTGCCTCCCAGGTTCAAACAATTTTCCTGCCTCAGCCTCCCAAATAGCTGGGATTACAGGCGTGTACCACCATGCCCAGCTAATTTTTGTATTTTTAGTAGAGACAGGGTTTTGCCATATTGGCCAGGCTGGTCTCGAACTCCCGACGTTAGGTGATCCACCTGCCTCAGCCTCCGAAAGTGCTGTGATTACAGGCATGAGCCATCACGCCTGGCCTAGACTTCTTTTTGATGCTGTTATATACCATTGTTGTTGTTCATCCTTTCAGTGTGTATCCATCTTTGAAACAAGACACAGGACTTCACCCATTTTATAACTTTGTCGTCATAACAGTTATCAAATACTGAGAGCTTGCCATGTGCCCGATACTGTGCTAAATATATGTGGATTATGTCATTTAATCCTCAGTATAACCCTACAGAAAAGGCAAATTATCCACTTAACAGACATGGAAACTGAGGTTTAGAGAGCATTCAAAATCTGCTTGAGCCTGCACAGCTGCTAAGAGCCAGGATTTGAATCCAGACCATTTGATTCCACATCCTGCATCCCTATTCTCCACATAGCACCTCCAGTTGGTCCCCAGCATAGCTCTCGCCCTCACGTAGCCATCAACATGCAGTAGAAGAGACATAACACATTCCATAATACATATAAACCAGAGTTTATTTTTACTTCCTGATAAAATTGTTCCCCAGCACTGACTTAGCAAAACGTTGCTTTTTAAAAATCCCATCTTTTTGCCTTAGCTAAACTAATTGCCATTCTTTGTCTCTAATTTTCAAATTCCCATTTTCCACTTCAAATCTACCATCTAAGTCTATGTTGACAAGGAGAAGAGACCTCAGTAGCTGCTAGAAGTCAGTCTTTTCTATCTGCTGTTCTCTCTCCACCTGCTAGGTGATAGGAGCCATCACAGCCTGATAATTTAAGCTGCATGGTTCCACGCCATTCAGCTTCTGTAAAACTACACTCTTCTCTACCCCAGCAATATAATAGTTTTGTTCTTTCCAAGGGGTTTCATCTGGCCATGGGAACAAACTGAAGGCAGAAGTGGAGATCACAGCAACCCAGACATCATGACAAGGCCATCTATGGAATTTGCAGAGATGAGTAGATTGGGCTTCTTCTGGAGTACCTCGCTGCTTTGCACTAAATGCTATCGTTTATGAAGTTATCAAATAAGGAAACTATGATGTCTCCTTTCCCCTAGGCTGCTGGGATGGCAGCGAAATTGCTCCCTAGGTTCTGCTGATCTTGTGCAAAGAGGCAATACAGCAGAGGGGTTACCAGCATGGACTCTGAAGCCAGACCACCTAGGTCCAAATCCAGCTTTGCCCTTTCCTAGCTGTGTGACCTTGGGAAGGTTGGCCAACGTCTCTGGGCTTCACATTCCTCATCTGTGACATAGGGATAAAGAACTTTCTGTGTAGAGAAGTTTTAACAGTTTCTGCCAGAATGAAAGCACCATGTGAGCACTTGTTAGAAATATGAGCCATATTAATACACAGGTTGATGGAATATGTCAGAAGTATAGATGCTGAGGGGTTGACAAGAGCTTCAAAAAGCAGTAGACTGCTCTCTACCATGACAGCTTAGGAATTTGTGGAGTCTAGGGGTCCTTTAATCTCCTCCCTTAGGATATACCTCCTTTTTTGCCTTCCCATGTCCTCTTTCTTAACTTGAATGACAAAGATGAATAATAAGAATGTTGAGTCACATGCATACACATGAACATGACCGATCACATCATGAACACATACAAAAATACATATTTATAATAACTATTGATATCAATAATTACAATTGTGTAATTATAATAATATCAGCATCCATTTTTTAATAGCATATTATATCTCAGGCATCGGGACAGGTCACTGCCTATATTCCTTCTTCCTCCAAGCAGGCAAGCTTCATATTAGTGTCTCCACTTGCTGGGGAACTTTGAGGAAATTAAGGAACATGCTCAGGGTCACAAGGGCAAATAGCCAAACTGGGATTTGAAACTTTGAACCCAAATCCCGAGCTCCCCTTTGCAGGCACTCTCTTAGTTTGGGTTTCCTTGAAAGCAAAGTCTGCAACATGGGTGTGGAGACAGGTAATGTTTTGGAGGCGACTTTTTAAGAGCCAGGAGTGAAAAACAGAGGGGTGCAATCCTGCAAAGATCCTCTGTAATGCAGGTACATGCCACATAGCATGTGCTGCAGATTCACCCCAGCAAGGGGTAGGACCTTGGGACATTTATCCACCCACACCCACTGGTTGAGGGACAGGTGCCCCGGGAACATCCTCTCCTGCTCACAGCCAGGCTGTTCTGCACATGGACTAAACTTCCTTGCTCCAAGAAAGCCCAGGGATAGAAAAGCTGGGATATACACAGGTATATGTATCAGAGGTGTATATACCTGTATATAGCTCAGAGGTGAGACACCTGGAGCATGCTTGAAGTTGTCCACTTCTGAAATTAGATGAGCCAAAGGGATGTACTCCAGGCACACACACACAAGTCTATTAATGGCACCCTCTCATGGCCTCACTGAATTCCACGTACTCTGTATGGTAGTGTGCGCTCTCTGAGGGGACGAGGCACGCATTCCTTTGGCTTCTAGCAATGACCGGTGAGGAAACCGGGAAAGATATGATCACCTTCAACTGTCCATTGAGGAAGTGGAGGTGTCTGAATGTGAACACACCCTTTTCCCATCTGTAACTTTGGGCAAGTTATTTTAATTCTTTGTGTTTCCATTTTCTCATCTGTCCATTCTTCATATTTACTGAGCACCTCTCTGTGCCAGGCACTGTTGTAGGTGCTACAGAATACAGTCTTGAACAAAATGCGGAGAAAAATCCCGTCCTTCACTGAGCTTACTTTTCATCAGATGAAGACGGATGAAACACAGAAGATATAAAGAAAATGGGCTAGTGGGCGTGGTGGCTCATACCTGTAATCCCAGTGCTTTGGGAGGCTGAGGTAGGAGGATTGCTTGAGGCCAGGAGTTTGAGACCAGCATGGGAAACATTGCTAGTCCCCGTCTTCACAGAAAAATTTAAAAATTATCCTGACATGGTAGCTTGAGTCTATAGTCCCAGCTACTCAGGAGGCTGAGGCATGAGGATCACATGAGCCCAGGAATGTGAGGCTACAGTGAGCTATGATCAGCACTCCAGCCTGGGTAACAGAGTAAGACCTTCTCTCAAAAAAAAAAAAAAAAAAAAAAAAAAAAGGAAGAAAAGGAAAATGAAATGTTTGGAAGTAAAAGGCTGTGAATTAAAGTATAGAAGGAGAATGTAGTGCATGTGGGGCAGGAGGGAGAGACGGCAATCTGTGTTAAAGTGATTAGGAAAAGCCTCCCTGGGAAGAAGGCATTGGAAGCATGTGGCTATCTGAGAAAAAGACTTTCTAGACAGAGGAAACAGCAAGTACAAAGGCCTCAGGGTGGGATTCCACCTAATGTGTTCCAGGAATATCAGGAAGGCCGTGTGGCTGATGTGGACCCAGCAGTGGATATGAGTGAGAGCTGTTGAATGGTGAGTAGCGTTGCATGGGGACTCCAAATGTCACCGTGAGTGGGAGGTGAGTGGGATATGAGTGGGAGGGTTTTGAGCAGGGAAGTGACATGATGTGACATATTTTCATGGCATCATTCTGGCTGTTAAGAACAGACTGGCAGGGGGAGTGGGCAGAAGCAGTACCATGGAGAGCAGTCAGGAGACTATTGTAGTAATGAGGGGAACATATGACGGAGGCTTGGACTAGGGTGGTGTTGACGGAGGGGGTGGGAAGTGATGGCTTTTGTAAAATGTGCATGCTTTCCAGACCTTAGACATATGATCTCATATGATTTTCACAAAGACTCACATCTGTTGGGGATTCTCTCCCATTTTTACAAAAGAACGGGAAGCTGAGACCATGCCCTGAGTTGACATGGTCAGCATGTGGTCAGACCAAGCTGAGGGCTCAGGTCTTCTGAATCTTAACCCAGAGATCCTTCTGCTGCATTTCAGCCATTCGGTGTCATCATCTGTGAAGACGACTTCTTAAGGACAGGGCTTCCTCAATACTCTCTACTGCAAGACCCCCATTTCCAAAACTAATCGCAACTTGAGAATGAAAATGTCCCTAGCAAATAAGTGGGGAAAAAAAGAAGAAAGAAAGAAAAAAGGAAGAGAGAAGCAGAGAGGGTAGCCACCCAAAATTCCAAAGCTCTGCAGGCACGGATCAATTCTTTAGGGTTATTTTTCCCCTTTACTTGGGTTGTAAGTGGAAACTTAATTAAACATGTGACTCAATTCAAAGAGGGGCATGGAGGATGTGACACTTTAAAAATATCACAGTGTTGGGCTTGGCAATGATTCTGAGAAAATGCCTCCTTGAGACTTCAGACATCTGCATGCAGGATGATATGCAGGGAGACTTCGGCAAGAAGGAATTATATTATAAAATATGTCGTAATGTATAATTACAGCCCTGACCTCCCCTGGTAGCTTCAGCTCTGTATATCCAGCTGTCTGCATACTTGCGTCTTCACTGGGATTAAAAATTAGCATCTCAAACCTGTAAGTCCAAAACAACCTCCCAAACCTGTTCCTTCTGACATCTTTCCAACGCAATGAATACCACCACCACCTACTCAGTGCCTCAAGCTAAAATCCTAGGAGTCATCCTTGATTTCTCATTCCCCTCACCCCTGGGATCTGATGTCTTTAAGTGCTGTCTGCTCTACCTTCAAAACATATTTCTAACCTGTCCGTTTCTCTCCACCTCCACTGATAAAACGCTAGCTTCATCGTCACCATCTCTTGCATGAGTGACTGCAACAGCCTTCTGATTTTTTTTGACTCTCTTTAATCCACAATGCAGCCAGCATGAGTTTTTTAAAATGTGAAATGTAAAACTGAACAGGGGGTGTGTCTTATTTCAACGTGCTCGAAAGGCTTCCTAGTATTCTTAGAACAAAAGACAAACTCTTTATGTGGCTTCTGAGATCTTGCATGATCCAGCTGCTAACTTCTCTAATCTCTGCACGTGCCAACTCCCATCCTTACAGCGTTCGAGCCACTTAGTCTCTTTTCTGATCCCTGAATACAAGAAGTTCTTTCCCTCCTCTGGACTTTGCAGTTACTCTTTCCTCTTTCTGAAATGCTCTCTGGTCAGCTCTTCTCACCACCTGTTCCTTGTCTTCCCTGAGCTTTCAGCCCAAATATGCCCTCACTGAAAAGACTCTTTCATAACCCTGTCTCAGGGTTTCTCAATCTCAGCAGTATTGACATTTGAGACCAGATCATTCTTTGCACTGGGGGGCTGTTCTGTGCACTGTAGGGTGTTTAGCAACATCCCTGGCTTCTACCTACTAGATGCCAGTAGCACTTGCCTCCAAGCTGTGACCATCAAAAATGTCTCTTGACATTGCCAAATGTCCGCCGGGTGACGGTGGGGCAGGTCACTTACAGTTAAGAACCCATTCCCCATCTAAAGCGCCCTTGACAGCTTCCCTTTATCTCTTAGCCTATGTGCTTCCTTTGTATATTTACTATTCTCTGCAATTAACTTTTGTATTATTATGTGTTGTATAAGAACAAGACGTAATACGAATGTAACCTCCGTAAGCATAGGAACTTTGAGAATCTTATTTATAGTCTGTCTTCCTAGGACCTAAGAGAGTTCCTGGCCTGTGGAAGGTATCCAATAGATATTCATTGAATGAATGAGAGTTGATATTCATTGCCATGAGCCGAGCTTTGTGCTCAGCACCATTCATGTGTTAGCTCCATTTAAGTCAGCTAATGAGGTAGGTAACACTATTATCTTATCTGCATTTTCAGGTATGGACAAGTGAGATTCAGAGAGAGAGTAATTTGTGAAGCAACTAAGGGATATCAGTTGAGCTCTGTGACTCCCATAACCCCTTTGATGAAAATATCAACCAAACCTAGAAGCTTTGAATTCTTGACTCTTCTCCCTTCATTTTTGTATCCTACCAGTGCGTCAGTCTCATTATTTATACCTCATAAACACTACCCTAAGTTCTGTTCAGCCCCTCCTCTCCATCCTGTTACCATTGAATTCATCAAGGTCCTCATCAATTCATGGCTGGTAGTAGGAACAACCCCCTAAATCTGGTCTGTACACTACTACCCTCTACCCACTCTTTCCCATCTCTATATGACAACAATGTTCATTTCTCTGTCAGGTCAGGTCATGCGCTGGTTTTGAAAGTGTGTTCGCTTCCTGATACCTATAAGATAAAGTCCAAACTATGTAATGCGGCCTTTGGTATATGATTTGATCTCTCTTAGCTTCGCTTTCCTATCTATGAGAACGGGAATATGAGAATAGCACTTTCAGAGCAGGTTTTAGGATTCAATGGGACAAGCTTACAAGGGATGCTCAATGGCAATGATTTCCTTTCCTTCCCTTTCTTTACAATTGGAACCTAATTCTCCAACTTCATCTCCCATCAATCTCCCCTCCCCTCCCCTCCTCCTCTCCTTAGTGAATTCCTATTTATCCTTCAAGCTGCAATTCAAATGTCCCTGCCATGGTCAAGCCTTCCCCAACCTTTCCTGGCAGGGTTGATGAACCCTGGTCTGGAGTCTCAGAACTCCACTCTAGCATTTAACATGCTGTGCCTTTAAACACTGAGTAGTCAGTGTTTGTTTACACATCTTCCTTCTCTGTTAGACTAAGGGCATTTACACATTTCTGAATCCCTAGTGCTAAGCAAGGAGACTAACACATAGTTTGTGCTCAATAAATGATTATATGTAGGAAGATTGCAACACAATTTTAGAATTGCACAGACCTCGGTTTCAATGTTGACTCTACCCCTAATTTGTCAGACAACCTTAAGCAATTTGTTTTCCTTCTGGGACTTGGTTTTCTTTCTGTTAAAAAATAAAGACAGTTTTATCTTCTTAAGCGGATATAATTAGATAATTAAGGTAAAGTATCTTGCATAGGCCAGATGCATGGTTATCATTCCATAAATGACAGCCTATTATTATCCAAATTTATTAATTACTGCACTTAAGTAAATGAGGTTCTACTTCAGGAATCAGTAAAGCTAAAATATTGACACTTGAAAAATTTTGGAAATACCACAAAGCACTATATAAAATGAGCCTAACAAAGGCTCAGAACAATAACTGTGATTGATAGATTGGTAGAAAATGAGATTGGAGAAGTCAGGGAAGACTTCCTGAAAGAGGTGGCATGATAGATTGTCTCTGAAGATTCCTTCCCTCCTTGCCAAAGGATGAAATCCATTTTTTTCTCCCAGTGAAATCTGGGCTGGCCCAGTAACTTGTCAATAGAATGCAATGCAAGTGACTTGTGTCAGTAATAACCTTTATGAGTCCTGGCAGCTCCCACTGTTGCTCTTAGGAGGACCCACCATGCTGTAAAGATGCATGGGCTTGACTACTAACATATGAACTATCACATGGAAAGAGGGAGGTCATGTGAAGAGGCACCAAGTCCCCAGAAATGTGAGAGAAGTTTCTTGGACTTCCAAACCCAGTCCAGGCAATCAAGAAGGCAGCCAAGTAAGAGACTTCAGCCAATGTCACATGGAGTGGAAGAACCACCCTGCTGAACCCTGCCCCCACTGCTGACCCACAAAAGCTCAAGACATAATAAATCATTGTTTTAAGCCACTAAACTTGGGGATTTTCTGTTTAAAAGCAATAGTTAAAAGAAATAGATAAGAATTTGAGTATGGGTGGGCCTGACGCAGGCAGACACAGTGAAAAAAAATCTTTCCAAATAGAGAAACCCACTGTCATGAATGAGGAGTTAATCTTAATGATTGCCTCAGGCTTTCCTTCCAGGCTTTCAACCTTCACTTGTCTCCCTTTACTTGCTACACCCCAACCATGGTGAATTTTTCTCAGGCTGTCTTTGAACTCACAGCCTTTGCTTGTGCTTTTCCTATTGCCTCACTTTTTTCTGGTCCTCTTTGATAGCCTAATTTTTAGCTGTCTTTCAGATCTCAAGTGCTGTTTCGTTTGTCATGCCCACTATTCTAGCATATATCACTGTGTTGCTCTTCTTAGTCTAATGTCTTTATTTCTCTATTGTGATGAGTGATTAATTAATTAATGGAGGGAAGGGAAAGCACTTCCTTACTGTAGAATGCAAACTAATTAATGGAGGAGCAATGGAATTAGAAAGTTATTTGCAACCATCATAGTAATAATTGATTCAGGCAAGTATCATCAATAGATGCTGAGATAAGTGCATGAAAGTTTGATGAAGTACAGTATACTTACACAGCCTCAGAGTATATCCCCTAAAGTTATTTATTAATTACAAGGGGATGAAAGTAATTTTATAGTGAAGAAGTTTAGCATATATTACTTTGACAAAGTGATTAAAGTCAACAACAATAGTGACAGAACAAACCAACGTCATGTACTGAGAAGAACACACTATCACTTATATAATAATTCACCAAAAATGTATAACCTGAATCTCATCAGGAAACATCCAATAAGCCAAAATTACAGTAATTCTTATGCTCTTCATAACATGTGAATATCCTGAAAGACGACAAGAGACAGGAAACATTCCATATTAAAGAAGACTACAGAGGCATGAAAACTAAATGTAATGCATGATCCTGGATTAAATCCAGAGCATGAAAAAAATGCTACAAAAACATTACAGGAATATTTGGAAAAATTTTAATAAGATCTACAGGTTACATAATTATATCGTATGAGTGGTGAGTTTTTCTGATTTTGATTACTATACTGTGTTTATTTAAGAGATAGTTCTTGGTACACACACTCTGAAACATTTAGTGGTAAATGAGGCATGATATCTGAAACTTACCTCATATTTTTAAAAAGCAGTATGTGCACGCCTACAGAGAGAAAATAAAGCAAATGTGGAAAATGATGAACAGTTGATGTATATGGGTGAAGAGCATACAATTTTGTACTAATCTCGCAACTTGCCTGTAAGTTTGAAATTATTTCCAAATGAAAAGTTGAAAAAATAAAATATCAGCTATCTGATGGATAACCCACAATATGACTACACACCCACCATGTTGTTTAAAATGAACAAAATCAATGATACCAAACATTGGTGAGAATGTAGATCAACTGGAATTATTTTTCATTGTTGGAGGGAGTGTAAATTTTACAACCACTTGGGAACACTGACAGTGTCTACTAAAGTTAAACAGATCCATAACTTGTGACTCAGTAATTTCATGCTTAAATATATGCCTATAAAAATGTATACATATACAAATTCTCCAAAATATATGCATTAGATATACTATAGCATTGCTATATTTCATAGCCCAAAATCAGAAACAACATACATGTCCACCAAAAGTAGAATGGATAAAAATTGTGACATATTCCCAAAATAGAACACTATACAGCAATTAAAAATGAATTATATCTGCTGACTACAACAGAGAATGAATCTCATGAAAAATATCAGGAAAAGGAAATCAGACAAAAATAGTGCATCGTGTTTGACTCCATTTATATAAAGTTCAAAAATAGGTAAAACTAACCTGCAATTGTTACAAGTCAGGAGAGTGGTTACCCCTTGCGGGGAAGGATTTAGTGGCAGGAAAGAGCTGTGAAAGTGCTCTTAGGAGTTTTGCCAATGCTTTGTTTGTTGATCTGGATGCTGGTGACTCAGATGTGTCAATTTCTGAAAACCCCTTGAGCTTTATACTTATGACACAGGCACTTTTCTGTATGTACGTCATTCTTCAGTAAAATGTTTACATTAATAAAGAGAAAAGGATAATGATAACAACGCCCAATAGCATGAACAGGACACTGTTGTATTTTCCATGGAGTGATTCAGATTGGTCATGAGATGTAGCTGCTATTGCTACACATGGAGAAACTGAGGTTCAAAGACGTTGAACAACTTCCCAAGGGTCACGCAGCCCAGAAGCGGCTAAGTAGAACTCAAATCTAGGCTTTTCAGTTGCCTGCGGAGTCTGTGTTCTTAGGTGCTGTGTTCCACTGTGTCCTAATGAAGAGGCCTTTGGAGTAGAGAAGACCTTCTCCATTCCTTCATCAAAAGGCCTTCTGAATAAACCCGGGATGTTAGAAATTATGCAAATAAGCTTAAAAAAATCAGAGACTCTGCTAATAAAGATGGAGAGAGGAATAAGGTGCCAAACTGCAATGTGATAATGAGGCTGATCTTAATGCCACTTCTCAGTCCTTGTTTGCAAAATTAAGATCTAAGAGGGGGAGGAAAAGAAAACCACCCCAACCATAAAAGGCAGGGTAGATACCCATGAGATAAAATGGTTGAAGAATGATCCAATTAGGAAATGCAATATAGCTCAGTAAGCCTTATTCCTATTATCACAGAAACCAAGCTTTGTAGTATATTCACTGCTGCAGGAGAAAGTGTAAGGAGAAATTAATGGTTTGATTCTAATTTTTTTTTTTTTTTTTTTTTTTACCAGTGGCAGATATGTTTTTGAATTATTAATCTGTGTTTTCTTTGCTGTATGTTTGGTCTTCCATCTCAAAAGAGATCTTAGGGATTTTTGCCATAGCAATTTGCAGAGGATTCACAAGATAAAGACATGAACTGGATTTATCAGACCAAGGAAGGGAAAACTAGCAGGAAGAGGCAGGATTTCCACCCCTAGAAATGGAAAGGGGGTTGCAGTTGGGAAGTGAGTGTCTTGCAAACAGTGGGAACTTTGGCCTTTATGAAGGAGCAGCACCCAAGAAATTTAGATATCAAAGGAGAAGCTATCAAGTACCCCTCTGAAAGCAGGACCCCAGGGTAAGGGGACAGCAACCCCACAAAAGGGTCTTGGGCTCCAATGTTAAAATAGAAGAAGAGGGTCACATGGTTTCAGGTAGTATGCACATCAACAGAAAGTCCTATCTCAAGGATTCAATTCAATAACTACTGTAATAAACAAACTCTAGGGGTAGGGAAGCCTCAGTATTGACCAAAATTGTTTTTATTTTAAGCAACCTAACTGTTTGAGGGTTTGGGGTGAAGTTTACTAGAAATAAGGAAAATAAAGAAAAAATATTTCTTCCAACTCTGAGACTGAGGACTTGGATGCATGTCTCCTACATGCAAAATGGGTGGAAATTAACCCACATGGACTCCGAAAAAGCATTTTGCATTGAGAAAAATTACTTCAATGGAAAGAACATTATCCCCTTTGTTCTTCCCACTGCCTGCTTAATAATTCCTGAAGCTCCAGTCTGCTGTGACAAGCAAGGCTGGATTTGACTACTCATTCCCCTTTTTTGACCTTGGGGTCCCATTGCTCATGAATTCCTGACGTTAAATATTTCTGTCAGGCAGCGCTGTTTCAAGAAGACTTCAAGTTTTAACAAAACTGAATTAAATATTCAACCAAGAGTATCTCCCTTCTGTGAGTAAAGATATGATTGAAACTTATGTGGTGATTGCTATTATCATCACATGCTATGAGCCAGGTATATAAAGCCAGGATATTTAAGTTTGTCTAGAAGCCAACTGTTACTGTTACCAGGGGCAGGACAGAACCACTCAAATATGGAATTGGGTAACATATGAGAATCATCATGGAAGCTGGAACCATTAGCCCAGATGCGTAGAAGGCTTGCAGCGATGATAATTACACATCATTAGTGCATTTGCAGAATGAGATCTTTTCCTCCAGCAGGAAAGGAAAATCCACCGGTGTAGGTGAACAAAAACCATCATGGTACAATCCATCACCGTCTGGGCCCTGAGAAAAGTGCATTCTTTCCAGGTAATTTTTTTCTGCAGGTATGAGGATACTGGAACCTTCAGTGGAGGGTAATTGGCTAACAGAGAAAATAGCTGTTGTCTGGAGACTAGAGAAGGCTGCACAAGCAGAGTGCCAAAAGTGGTGAGCAGAAGATGTCTCGATTAAAAATAAGAAGTGTTAAGTGTTGGATGGGAACATCATTTGCAAATCTTTGCTCCTATGAAGCCCTTGTACTGGTGGGAGAAGTGAAGGAATTTGGAACTGCATGGCACAGTTTCTCTGGAATTTATGGCTAGACATATTTGTGTGAATGATCTCAGCAGCCCCAATCAATGTAAATACAACATTTAAAACACTGAAATTGCATCATCAATCACAAAAGGAACAGAACTAGTTGGTGAAAAGGTGAGGCCTTTGAGGGCTATGGGATTATGTTCACAATGGGTTGCTTAAGATTGAGTGTTCTAGACAGGCAAGACTTGAATGCCAGCTCCTTCTTTTATTGATGACATTTGTTGAATAAATGGCTCAAAACCCGAATTTACTCCAGTTAGCACTCAGTGCTATCATTTGTGCAATGTGGTATCAAAGTGAAGTCTCCTTTAGCCTAGGTTCCAAAGTGACTGATGAGAAAACTCCAAATAGTCAGTGTTAGAAATACAGTAAGAGTAAGAAATGAATTTCCATTATGCCAAACCACTGAGATTTGGGAGCTGCTTGTTACCACAGCACAACACAGCTCATACTGACTGATACAAACCAAAAATTGTTTCATCTCACTAAGCCTCTGCTTTTTCAATTATACAATAATGATCTCCCTCAAAAGATTATTGTGAGGGTTCTATTAGATATTCCTGTAAAACCACATGGGATTGTGCCTGACATATAGTACATGCTGCAAATGTTAGCTATTCTTACTGAGGAGTATGTAGCCTTCTAGTTAGTTTGTGGCTCTGTCAATGTGAAAAACACCAAGACTAAAAGAAAGGTATAGATATAAGAAAGCAAATATAAATGTACCCTAAGCCTCACCAGCCCGAGGGACAAATGAGGTCAGGAACAGTAATAATTCTCATTTTT
This sequence comes from Homo sapiens, assembly GCF_000001405.40. Taxonomy (NCBI): domain Eukaryota; kingdom Metazoa; phylum Chordata; class Mammalia; order Primates; family Hominidae; genus Homo; species Homo sapiens. The sequence goes on along the minus strand of NC_000016.10, from coordinate 17,029,446 downwards.
TTAGCTCCTGGCTTTAAATGTAAATTCCAGGACCTCTGGACCCACCTTAACATTTCACATGGTCCCTTGTGAAAACAGCTCTGTTGGCTTCTCCCTACAGTCCTCCGTGATGAAAAGTTCAGAAATAAGTTCATGGGACCAGGTGTGGGGTAGACATTACAATAGCAGCTAAGCTTTATTGAACACTTACTCTGTGCAAGGCAAGTTGCTAAGTCCCTTTACATACATTACCATGTTGAACTCTTAATTACCACCATAGGAGCTTGGTTATAATTGTGCTCATTTTGTAGATACATAAACAAGGCCCCTCAAATCTAGTTAACCTCCCTCAATATTACAGAGATAGAAAGTGGGACTAAGAATGTCTGTCCCCAAAGCCAGCAGTCATTATAACTATGTCATTCTCCCCAAGGCCTCATTTATAAACCACCTTCTCAATTGCCCCTTACAACTATCATCATCATGAAAATCAACTCATTCAACTAGATGCTTGTTGAGCCCATAAGACATGCTCAGATGCCTTGAATCCAAGTGGGAGTCAAAATTAGACCCAAAATGAGCCATTACATCCCCGTGACATAAATCACTGTATTCATAAAAAATGGAGAAATTGCAAATGAGCCTACAGCCCAATGGCTTGCACCAAATCTGAAAGATGCCATTTTAAAAAAGAAAGTTAATAGACTTAGAGCAGTCTACTGGGTAGAGAGGCCATTAATATAAGATAAATAATAGTAGTGGGTTGGAAGCAAAGGAGTTCATAAATTCTCACTTGCTTATTAAGGGTGGTATCCTTTGGATTCCCATTTATAATATATATGACTGCATATAAATGAATTATAAATGTATGTTTTGCTTAAATACCAAGCACTGGCTGCTATTCTTCCCTGATGCAGAAAAATTAAGTTACAAAGGAATGAGTTAAGATTGTTTACCATCCTATTATGAAACAGAATACCTCATAGCTGGAAGGGTACTTAGGGATCAACTATCTGTTCCAACTCCATCCCTTTGCATATGAGAAAACTTCTAGTTTAGGCCACACAGGGATTTCCAGTGATTTAAAATTCAAACACACTAGTGGAGCACAAACACATTTTAATTTACTCCCTACCACTGACAGCTCTAATCAAGGCATGAGCCTTCTGTTCAAAGCCAACAACTGATCAGCCTTCATGATGAATGGACACAGAATCCTAATTCATACTGATTCTGGCTTCAGGCCTTTGCTTGTATTTCAGTCCTGAACTTACACCATTATTATCCCTATTACAAAATAGTAGTGATTAGTTTCCATCTGCAGCTGGAACACTGATTGGCCTATCTTTTCAGGGGCATTTATTTAAGGTCACTTAAAACCATTACACTTGTATACGTTGATCCTGGATAAACAGAATAACTATGGTCTAGGGTAAGGATGATGAAAGAAGCCATAAATAAGTTTAGGGAAATCCCAGAGCAGGGGAGCCACTGCTACAGTTCCCAGGAGTCTGTACGATTTATAGAGAAGTTCTTTGACCTACATGGTACCCAAGCCACAGAGTAGAAATGGCCATGGGGATTTTCTGGGTGGGGAAGACTGAGGGCAGCCTTGCAGATCCTCATGCCAGTGTGGTGTGGAGAGAGCAGCCGGAAGCACCTAAGTTTCCACGAAGGGCACAGAAGTGGCCGTGAGAACCAGAGGACCAAAACATTCTCACATTTGGGGATTAGGGATGTGGATGTATTGACCCCAAAACAGATACAGAACCACGATCAATCAGCAGTGGTAGAAACAAAGGGACACATAACTACACTAGGTGGGGACAGGTAACAACAGATGATACTTCCCAAAGTCTGGCATGCCTTAATACTAAAGCCTGCACCTCACACCAGGAACTTTAAACACAGTGGGAAAGACAGAGAGAAATGCAAAGGGTAGAAAGTTGGGTCAACTGAGCAGTATCCACAAGAGACTGAGTTTTAAACCAGAAGTGATTACATTTTCTCTAATTCAATTTTGCAGTGGAAGTGGGTGCTTAAGAGTAAAATGAAATTCAGTTACAGAAAAATAAAATTCTGTTTTCCCTTATCTGAGTTTTCTGATTGGGAAAACATCTGCATCATAAAATAAGTTCTTGATACAGTGCTGGGCTTCATAAGTGATCAGTAACTTTTCGCTGCTGCAGCTACAGTTGCTGTTGTCCTTGTTATTGCTGTTATTATGCTGTGAGCTCCTGGAAGCAGGTACAGTATTTTTTGTTTGTTTCTGTCTTTCCAATGTTTATCACAGAATAGGTTCCTCAGCACATATTTGCTGACTGGACACCCGAATTTACCACCATACCCCCTTCCCCCACTAGCACTCAATGCTATTATTCATGCAACCTGGAGCCAAAGTGACATCTCCTTTAGACTAGGTTCCTAAGTGACTGATGAGAGAGCTCCAACAACCAGGGTTAGAAATAGAATGTGAGTAAAAAACAAATTTCCATCATGCTAAACCACTGAGATTTGGGGGCTGCGTGTGGTAACCACAGCACATCCTGTCTGATACAAACTAAAATTGAAATGTACTTGAGAAGAATTACCTAGTCTGTAGCATACTGTTTTACCTCCTTTATGTCATTGAATTTTTACTCTCTGTATTTTATAGTCAATGAATCTGAAATTCCATGCTATTAAATCATGTGTCTAAAGTCACAGTCAGTAAGGGACAGGGCCATCTGAGTCCAGAATTCTAGAATTTTCCATTACACTAGACTGCCCCCAGATGAAGACTTTTTTTTTTTTTTTTTTTTGAGATGGAGTCTCACTTTGTCACCCAAGCTGGAGTGCAGTGGAGTGATCTCTGCTCACTGCAACCTCTGCCTCCTGGGTTCAAGCAATTCTCCTGCATCAGCCTCCCAAGTACCTGGGATTATGGGCGTGCACCATCACACCCAGATAATTTTTGTGTTTTTAGTGGAGGCGGGGTTTCACCATGCTGGCCAGACCAGTCTGGAACTCCTGACCTCAGGTGATCCACCCACCTCTGCCTCCCAAAGTGCTGGGATTACAGGCATGAGCCACTGTGCCTGGCCCTAAATGAAGATTTTCTTATACCTACTTCTCTAATATACATTTTACTTTGAATATAATAGGAGATAGCTACTTGATCTATATTACTTTCCACTTTTCCAAACAGAATTAAAGTAAGTAAGATTTAAGGTAGGGGAGAAGGAAAGCTGGATGGCAGTTCGGAGAAATCCAGGGTGAAAATGAAAAACCATGATCTTAAACTTTGGTGTATATGTCCCCAGTAGGAACAGCAACATATATACAATATGGCAGAAAGTACAACATGGCGGAAAACTCTGATGGAGAAAATAAGCATCCAGTTTTCCTGTAGACTGGGATGGAATAAAAAAGAATAATAGACGTATTGGCAAGGATGTAGAGTGACTGGAACTCCCACACAATGCTAATGGGAATATAAAATACAGAGTAACTCAATTACTCTGGAACACAATTTGCCAGTTCCCAATAAAATTAAATAAGACCCCAGTTTCAATCTTAGAGTTATACCCAAGAGAAACAAGTATGTATTATATTAGGCCATTTTTCACATTGCCATAAAGAACTTCCCAGAGACTGGATAACGTATAAAGGAAAGAGGTTTAATTGACTTACGGTTCTGCATTGCTGGGAAGGCCTCAGGAAACTTACAATCACGGTGGAAGGCAAAGGAGAAGCATGCACATCCTTAACAAGGCTGCAGGAGAGAGAGAGCAGGGGAAATCGTCACTTACATCACCATCAGATCTTGCGAGAACTCACTATCACTAGAACAGCATGGGGGAAACCACCCCTGTGATCCAATCACCTCCCTCCCACTAAGTCCCTCCCCTGAAATATGCGGATTACAATTTGAGATGAAATTTGAGTGGGGACACAGCCAAACCATCTCATGGATGCCCACAAAAACATTTGTACAAGAATGCTCATAGAAACTTTATTCTTACTAGTCCCAAACTGGAAACAATGCAAAGGTCTATAAAAAGGAAAAGAGATAATTGCTGTATGCAAATACAATGTAATACGAAACATTAATACAAATAGAATGAAATGTGGTAAAACCAAATAACATGGATGATTTTCAAAAATATTTTGGGCAAAAGAAGCTAGAAACAAAAGAGTACCTTCTGGATCATGCCATTTATATGAATGGCAAAAACAGGAAAGCTAAGCTACAGTGATTGAGATCAGACAGTGGTTACATCCAACAGTGGGGTAACTTTAATAGGTCATGAGGGATTTTTCTAAGGTAATGAAAATGTTCTGTGACTAGATCTGGATGGTGGTTACCTAAGGCATATACCTGTATACAAATCCATTGATCCGTATACTTAGGATTTGTGCATTTTAGTGTATATAAGCTATACCTCAACAAAATAAGAAAAATAGTTTAAAGAGAATGATAAAAATGTTATCTACATCTCAAGATGGCAAGCACGGCTGTAGGATCTTGCAGGTTTGGGCACTCCTACTCTGCCACAGGGGGCTCGGCTCTGGAGTCTGAATACAGAACTGACCCACTCCTAGGATGATACATCCGCAAGACTAGCGTGGGTATTCTGCAAGGGGTGGAAACCTTGGTAACAAATATTTGTCAATGGCAACAATGACTGCTGCAGGCCTGTGCAGTGTGTGTATGATACTAGAGCATCGGTGTGGATACCTATGGCTGAATCTGTGGTCCACGGAGATGACACTTCAAGAGACACCTCTGAGCCATCCAGAACAGAAAACAAAAGCACCTTCAATAATGATACCCACAGGGCCGGGCACGGTGGCTAACACCTGTAATCCCCTCACTTTGGGAGGCAGAGGCAGACAGATTGCTTGAGCTCAGGAGTTCGTGATCAGCCTGGGCAACATGGTAAAACCCTGTCTCTAACAAAAATAAATAAATAAAATAACGTAGCAAGGCGTGGTGGCACACATCTGGGGTCTCAGCTACTTAGGATGCTGAGGAGGGAGGATCTCTTGAGCTCAGGGGACAGAGGTTGCAGTGAGCCAAGAATGCGCCTCTGCACTCCAGCCTGGCTGACAAGAGCGAGACCCCATCTCAAAAATAATAATAATAGGGGCCTGTCGTGGGGTGGGGGCATGGGGGAGGGATAGCATTAGGAGAAATACCTAATGTAAATGACGAGTTAATGGGTGCAGCAAACCAACACGGCACATGTATACATATGTAACAAACCTGCACGTTGTGCACATGTACCCTAGAACTTAAAGTATAATAAAATAAATAAAAATAAATAATAACAACACCCACAGAAAACACAGGACCCATCTGGGCTTTATTTTTCCCAAAAACTCACAAGTCCTAAGATACTTGTATAACCTCAAGAAGGGACAAGGATCTCTTAAAAATGACTACATTGAATTTCTTCTCCTCAAATTATGAAGTCTAAGGTAGAGAACCAGGTTCAGTGTTTATTACGTGTTCCTAAGTATTATGAATACTAAAGTCATTTTTTGTTTTTAAACACACGGCCCTTGCAAATGCTACCTGCCAGAAGGGGGAAAGCAAATTTAACTTCCTCATACCCAAACCCTCAGCTTTCTCAGCCAGCCTCACCCACTTGCGGCTGTATAACCCAGGGAAGGTAACCTTCTCTCCCTGGGACTCAGTATTCTCATCTACAAAATGGGGATGACAGCTCTTCCTCACAGAATGGTTTTGAGGATTAAATATCAAAACGTTTTGAGGATTAAATATCAAAATATGTGTCATCCAGAAAGCCCCATGCAGACCAACTACTGGTTGACTCAACTCACTTTCCAGCTGTTTGCTCAGAGATGGGGGACACAGAGACACGATTAAGTGTGAAGACAGGTCCATTTTCAGAGATAAACTTGCTGAGGCCCGCAGCTGGAAGCCCAAATTCACTTACTGACACTGCGACTACTCAGATGCAGCCAGGTAGAAACAGATGCAATGACCCAGCAAATTTGAGAGGTGGGGAGACCATCAGGGGACATTTGAGGAAAGAAAGGAACAGCTTGAGCAGATTTCTGAGGGTGGCTGTCTTAGAGGTTGAATTTGCCAGGCTGCCCGAGATAAAGTTTTCTTGCACTTTCTTCCCCATGAAGTAAACATGTGCGCGCGCACACACGCACACAATTTCAGAGCATGGAGACAGGTGGAATATCATAAAATCTAGTTTTAAACCTTGTTTCTCATGGGCAGCCAGATTTCTCCCTTTCTCACTGCCCCCTCCTGCCCTAACTAGAAACATTCATCCCCCTCACGATTCTCTGTGTGTCAGATTTCCCCATATAACAAAAGCAAATCAGGAGGCCTGCTAAGCAGTCTGGTCTGTGAAAGCCTCAGGAGAAAAACCGTGAGAGCAGGTGTGGTCCTAGCCTGCCCCTAGCCCACCACACAACACCGGTTGTCACTTCGTTTCTCCCCAGCCTCTGTTTCTCCATTGGCAAAACCAGAGTTTGAAGCAATTACTCACTCCCATTAGAAATTTGTGATTTCCAATTTTATAAATTATTAAACAGTGGGATGCTAGCAGATAGTTACTTAAAAGACCAAATAAAAGGACATTTTCAATTCATCATTCAACAAACATTCTTCAAACTACAAATTGAGAATGCAGTGACAAGGCAAGACATGTCTCTTTTCCTCAAGGAAGTTATACTCTAGTGATGAACAATGAACAGAACAAGGAAATTAACACTGAAGAGGTCAGCTTGCTAGTCTTGTGAGATACACACAGTGAACACACACAGGAAGGGTATTTATAAGGACTGGAGGGCAGGAAGGCTTCCCAAAGGATGAGATGCTTCAACTGGGACCTTTTTAAACATTTTCCTCATTGTAAACATATTGATAAATAAAAAGAACATGAGGCTGGGTACAGTGGCTCATGCCTGTAATCCCAGCACTTTGGAAGGCAAAGACAGATGGATTACTTGAGGTCAGGAGTTCGAGACCAGCCTGGCCAACATGGTAAAACCCCGTCTCTACTAGAAATACAAAAATTAGCCAGGTGTGGTGGTACATGCCTGTAATCCCAGCTACTTGGGAGGCTGAGGCAGGAGAATCGCTTGAACTCGGGAGACGGAAGTTGCAGTGAGCCATCGTGCCATGGCGCTGGGCAACAAGAGCGAAACTCTGCCTCAAAAAACAAAACAAAACAAAACAAACAAAAAGGAAATGAAAATTACCCATAGTCCCACCCCTCTGAAACATCCCCCCTTGCACACATTGATATATAATTCTTCCAGTGTTCTGTATGATATACATGTACGGACACCTTTTTAAAAAGATGGATTTATATAATTTTTAATTTTTCACTTAATACATTGCAAACATCTTCTGAAGAAATTAAGTCACTTTAATAACCTTCATACTATTCTATTGAACAAATATGCCATCATTTGTTTAATGAAGATTATAAACAGGTTGTTTACAATTTTCTTTGCTACTATATGCACCATTGAGACGAATAGATTGGTAGCTCACCCATAGTCCTCTTTATTTTCTCTTAAGGGATTCCTAGTGAAATCACTGAGTCAAAATCATGCATAGTAGACTCCCTTTTCCACAGGGCGGTGGTGGAGTGTATACTTTCCAATACCCCCATGGGATGGCTGGAAGTAAGGATGGTACCAAGCCCTATACATACTATGTTTTTTTCCTATCTATACACACCTATGATAAAATTTATTTTATAAATTAGGCACAATAAAAGATTAGCAAAAAATAAAACATTATGACAATATACAGCAATAAAAGTTATGTGAATGTGATCTCTCTCTCTCTCTCAAAATATTTTATTGGACTGTCTATATGTAACTTAAACCCCAGACATCCAAACCATTAATAAAGGGGGATACTGTATCTTTTTAAAGGCTTTTGATACATAGGGCCACATTTTCTCCTAGAAAGTTTTGTTGATTTTTCAATTCCACCAGAATTATATGAATGTGCAAATTCCCCTACATTCTCCCCATCAACAGATATTATTTATTTTTATGTACCAGTTACACTTAGTTTTTGCTCTCCAAAATTGCCTGTTGTGGCTGGGCACAGTGGCTCACACCTGTAATCCCAGCACTTTGGGAGGCCAAGGTGGGTAGATCACTTGAGGTCAGGAGTTTGAGACCAGCCTGGTCAACATGGTGAAACCTGTTTCTAGAAAAAATACAAAAATTAACCTGGCGTGCTGGCAGGTGCCTATAATCCCAGCTACTTGGGAGACTGAGGCACGAGAATTGCTTGAACCCAGGAGGCAGAGGTTGCAGTGAGTGGAGATCACGCCACTGCACTCCAGCCTGGACAACAGAGCACGACTCAGTCGCAAATAAAATAAAATAAAATAAAATAAAATACCTGTTTTTTCTTTCTGTATGAATTTGAAATATCCCTTTACATATTAAGGATATTGTAATTCTGGTCCATTGTATATGTTGCAGATATTTTCCTAGTTTTTCATTTATGTAAGATTTTTAAAACTGTTTTAATTACAGAAGAATCTGGTTAAAGTTTCCACCTTCAGTTCCATGTAAGAAATATTCATTCCTACCATTGGATTTTTAAAATAGTCCCCAATTTTATCCTAGTGCTCTACAGTTTAGTTTTAAGATATTTAAACCTTTATACAGATTAGTTGTGCCTGGGATACAATGGAGATGATAAAAGGCAGATTTCAATTTTTGCTCTTATCAAGTTTTATTATCCTGGTCTTTGCATTTCTTATGGTGAGCAAGTGTTACTTTTGTAATTTAGGCAATTATGAAAAAGAACCATCTATTGGGCTTTTATTATGGAATCTGATGGAAATTAATTTTCGCTGATTTTCCAAATGTTTACTTAGATGTCTCATCACCTGTCATTAACTTGGAGCTGAGACTGGAGGATGCTTAGGAGATGCCCAGGTGAGGAAAAGGAGGACAGTCCAACTGGGGCAGGTAGTATGTCCAGAGAGGGTCAAAAATAGCCAGTGCAGGGGCCAAGCATGGTGGCTCATGCCTGTAATCCCAGCACTTTGGGAGGCTGAAGTAGGCAGATCACCTGAGGTCAGAAATTCAAGACCAGCCTGGCCAACATAGTGAAACCCCATCTCTACTAAAAATATAAAAATTAGGTGGACATGGTGGTGCACACCTGTAATTGCAGTTATTCAGGAGGCTGAGGCAGGAGAACCACTTGAGGCAGGAGGTGGAGGTTGCAGTGAACTGAGATCACGCCACTGCACTCCACCCTGGGTGACAGAGTGAGACTCTCTCAAAAAAAAGAAAAAAAATAGCCAGTACATTCCAGGAATTTCACACTGATTCATGCGACTTGGAGTAAAAGGTGCAAATAGAGTCCTCTTAATATTTGAGGAGATTCTGGAAGGACAAATTTTTAAAATTCAAAATTCAAATATTAATGTTATCAAAGATTTCCACCATCTATAATTCAAAGCTATTAATACTAAACTTTTAGTATATTTGTCTTCTTTTACTTAAAGAAATAAAAGGTGTCAGAGGAAGTTGAAGTTCCCTCTGACCATCATTTCTCATTCTACTCTCTCTTCCTCAGAGATAGCCACGCTTCATAAGTTTAGTATGTTCACACTTAGAGTCCAACAAATCATATGAGCAAATGTGTGTGTGTGTGTGTGTGCATGTGTGTGTGTGTATTAAGATTAGATTTGACTGCAAGTGAAAAAACCCCAACACAAAGAGAAGAGAGGTTTAAAAGATAAATATTTATTTATTTTGCATATGAGAGTCTTCATAGGTAGTCTATACCTGATGTGGCCTCATTATTATGTTAGGAACCCAACTGTCTTTGATTTTTTAGGTCCTCCATTCCTGGAGTCTATTTCTGAATTTACCTCATGGTCCAATACAGCTGTTATAGCTCCTGCTATCACATTCACATCCCAACCCACAGAAAGGTTTAGAAGGATTAAAGAAATAGGAGGAGGATAGGAAGATGGTGTGGGTTGAACTGTGTTCCCACAAAAAATATGTTAAAGTCCTAACCCCACCCCCCCTGATTTTCAAATGTGGCCTTACTTGAAAATAAGGTCTTTGCAGGTGTGATCAAGTTAAGATACTGGTTTAGGGTGGGTCCTGATCCAGTGTGACGGGTGTCCTTATAAGAAGAGGAGAGACCCAGAATCGGACACATGTGAGAGGATGCAATCTGAAGACAGGGGCAGATAGTGGATGTATCTGTAGCCAGGGAGGGCCAAAGATCACCAGCAACACAAGGAGGTGGGAGCAAGGCACATAATCCATTCTTCTCTAGAGCCCCCAGAGAGCACTGACTTCAGACTTCTAAAGCCTCCAGAGCTGTCAGAGAATAAATTTCTGTTGTTTAAAGCCACCTAGTTTACAGCTCTTTGCTACAGTAGCGTTACCCGAAAAACACCGGGGTTCATTCCCCTGACAAGTAACAAATGACTCTCCACAAGGAAGCAGGTTTTGATCAATGGGAGTTTTATTACTTGGCTCAAGTAAGGACGACACTGGGAGGATTCTCCAAAGCAGTGTCTCTCAGAGGGAAAGTGACGAGGGTTTTATGGGGTGATAGAGAGGAGAGAGGGTACACGTCATCCCACGTAGATGTACAGACACAGTAAGTCATCATGCCAGCACATAGTTTGCATGTTATGGTAAGGAAGCTATAGCTTTTCCCAGGGTAGAGACTTGAGCATGGTAATAAGGAACGTTCACTTGGGTTCATCACTTGTCAGGAGCTGGTTTAAACTGACAAGATGACCTCTTTCTACCCAGGGCTGGGGAAGAACAGGCTGCAGGGCAGGAAGCTGTAAAACAGCCTGATTGCTCAAATGGATTAAATTCCTACAATCCCTGGAGACTCCTCCTGTCTGCTTACAGTAGCCCTGGGAAACAAACACAGAAAGAAAAAAGGGGGAAAGACAGGTAGGAGAAGGAAGTGACAGAGTTAAAAGGTTTTCCTCAGCTGTCACTTAGGGAAGGTTTCCAGAATTGCTGAACACACCTCACATCCTGTTGAACATAGCTTAAACATGGGCACACCTAGCTGCAAGGAAATCTTTATTCTGGATTTCCACATACTCAGCTAAAATTTTTATGACACCGGGGGAAGAATAGTGCTTTTAAAAATTTATATATAAATGGCATCAACTGTAGTTCCTTTGTAATTTTTTTCTCACTCCTTTGAGGGATTTGTCCAAGTTGCAAACATGTAATTTTAATTTGCTATATTTAAGAGCTATTTTACCATGTATGTTTACCACCATTCACCTCTGAGTGATGGTTACATTTTTAATTTTTTTTTCTCTTACAAACAGAACTGCAATAAATGTTGCATCATCTCTTTGAGCACATGTGTGAGGATCTCCCTAAAATGTGTCCCTGTAGGTGATAGCATATAATCATTTCCCATTTTAAAAGAATTTCCAGGCTGGGTGTGGTGGCTCACGCCTGTAATCCCAACACTTTGGGAGGCCAGTGGGGGGTGGATCACTTGAGGTCAGGAGTTCGAGACCATTCTGGCCAACATGGTGAAACCCCATCTCTACTAAAGATAGAAAAATTAGCTGGGTATGGTGGAGCATGCCTGTAATTCCAGCTACTTGGGAGACTGAAGCAGGAGAATCACTTGAACAAAGGAGGCAGAGGTTGCAGTGAGCCTAGACTGCACCACTACACTCCAGCCTGGGTGACAGAGTGAGACTCCATCAATCAATCTATAAATAAATAGTATTTCCAAATTGTTCTTCCAGGTGGTTGTGGCAATGTATACCCTCTCTTGCAGTGTAGCCTATCTTACTGCCAACACTTGATATGATTAAACTTTTTAACTTTTTTCATAAGTACAGGTAAAAATAAAATGGTATCAATTGTAAATTTTTATTGAACCACACTGAGCTATAATTTACATATAATGTAAATACATATAATGTACCCATTTTAAGTGCACAGTTGAATAAGACTTGACAAATGTATACCCCCATGTAAATATGACCACAATCAACACATAGAACGTATCTATCACATAAAATAATTCCTTGATGCGTTGTAGAACAGCTTTAAGTCAATAGATTGGAAGATTTAGATAAAATGGAAGTTTTTCCCTAAAAATGACCTAGCAAAACTGACATAAGAAACAGAAAATCCGAATACTCCAATAGCTAATAAATTAAATCTAGGGTGTTCCTCAAAAAAACTAAAAATTGAACTACCCTATGATCTAGGAATCTCACTGTTAGATATATACCCAAGAGAAAGGAAATCAGTGTATCAAAGAAATACCTGCACTCCCGTGTTTACTGCAGCACTTGTCACAGTAGCCACGATCTAGAAGAATCTAAGTGCCCGCCAACAGAGGAATGGATAAAGAAAATTTGGTACACATACACAATGGAGTACTATTCCTCCATAAAAGAGAATGAGATCCTGTCATTTGCAACAACACGGATGAAACTGGAGGTCATTCTGTTCATTGAAATAAGCCAGGCACAGAAAGACAAGCTTCCCATGTTCTCACTCATTTGTGGGAGCTAAAAAGAAAAACAATTGAACTTGTGGAGATAGAGAGTTGGACCGTGGTTATCAGAGGCTAGTGGCTGGGGGGATAGTTAATGGGTACAGAGTTCAACAGAATAAGATCTGTATTTGATAGCACATCGGGATGACTACAGTCAATAATTCATTGTACATTTTAAAATAACTAAAAGAGTATAACTGGATTGTTTGTAACACAAAGACAGGATAAATACTTGAGGTGATGGACACTCCCTTTACCCTGACATGATTATCACACATCATATGCCTGTATCAAAATATCTCGTATACCCCAAAATACATATGCATACTATTGACCCACAAAAATTACAAATTAAAAAAAGAAATTAAATCTGTAATTATAATTCATCCCTTCTCTCAGTCCCTCCACACCACACACACACACACAACCACCCCAGGCCTACGTGTTTTTACCAGTGAATTATTTTGAATACTTAGGGAAGAAAGAACCAATCTAACAAAATCTTCAGATTAATCAATCAATTCAATGCAATCTCAATCAAAATCCCAGCAGGATTTTTTTGTTGTGGAAAATGACCGCATCATGCTAAATGGCATGTGGAATTGTGAAGGGTCACTAGAGTAAAGATAATTTGGAATAAGAACAAAGTTGGAGGAAGGCTGTCAGTGGTGCTAGAAATGCTTTATATCCTGGTCAGGTGGTAGCTGCATGGTAATAATCACTTTGCAAAAATTCACTGAGCTGCTCACTTAAGATTTATGCACTTGTCTGAATGTTCCATATTAACAAAGACGTTTACAAAACAAAACCACCTCCAAAAACCAAACCCTCTACTGGCCAGGAGCAATGGTTCTCCGGGAAGTCTCTCTTATTTATACTTAGTACTTTCGTAGGATATAGTACAATGGTTCAAAATATTAGAAGCTGTTTTTGCCTGCTATGAATTTTATATATCTTAAAATATATGTAAAATAAATACATAAAAAATATATAAACATATACATGTAAAATATACATGTAAATATATATGTGTAAATGTTTCTAATATATATGTAAAATATATAATACATAAAATATATATGTAAAATATATATAATGTAAAAATATGTGTAATACATTATATATACGTATATAAAATACACACACATATATATTAGGGGCCAGGCGTGGTGGCTCACACCTGTAGTCCCAGCACTTCGGCATGTTGCTTGAGCCTAGGAGTTCGAGACCAGCCTGTGCAGCATGATGAAATCCCTTCTCTATAAAAAATACAAGTATTAGCTGGGCATGGTGGAGTATGCCTACAGTACCAGCTTCTTGGGAGGCTGGGGTAGGAGGATCACTTGAGCCCAGGGAGATCAAAGCTGCAGTGAGTTGTGATTGTGCCACTGTACTCCCACCTGGGTGGCAGAGTGAGACCCTCTCTCCAAAAAAAAAAAAAAAAAAAAAAAAGTTAGAGCTGGAATCAGCCAGATCCAGCTTCAAATTTGGCTGTGCTGCTTGGAAAAAATTGATACAAATGGGTATAACAGCTTTGGAAAATGAGTTGGCAATCTCCAGCAACTAAACATACGTCCAGCCTGTGACCCAGCAATAAAGCTGCTAGACATATACTCAATATAAATGGCATCTATGTAATAGTCACAAACATCAAACAACCCAAGTTCAAAGGACTGACCATCTTTGGGTGTGTTGCTTTACTTTTCACATGTGTACAATGGACCTAATGACATTCACAGAAAACTCAGAGCTTTCACAGCCAATGAAGAAAGCACTTAAGATTTTTTAAATAAGTGCTCAATTTTTAAATAAATATGTTGTCGATCACATTACTGGGCATATACCCAAAGGAATATACATTGTTCTGCCATAAAGACACATGCACATGTATGTCCATCACGGCACTATTCACAATAGCAAAGACATGGAATCCACCTAAATGCCCATCAACGGTAGACTGGATAAAGAAAATGTGGTAATTATACAGCCTGGAATACTACACAGCCATAAAAAAGAATTAGATTATGTCCTTTGCAGCAACATGGAGGAAGCCGGAGGCTATTATCCTAAGTGAACTAACTCAGGAACAGAAAATCTAATGTCGCATGTTCTCACTTATAAGTGGGAGCTAAACATTGAGTATATATGGACACAAAGAAGGGAACAGCAGGCACCAGGGCCTACTTGAGCAGGGAGGGAAGGAGGAGGGTGAGCATCAAAAAACTACTTATTGGGTACTGTGCTCATTACAAGAGTGATGAAATAATCTGGACACCAAACCCCAATGACATGCAATTTAACCTTTATAACAAACCTGCACATGTACCCCTAAACCTAAAATAAAAGTTAAAAGTAAATAAAGATGTTGTTATTCATACCCTAATAAAGTATAAAATGCTTCTCCCACCACTCGTAATACCAGAATTCCTTCTGATGTCCACATTAAAGTTATATTTACCGGCCGGACGCGGTGGCTCACGCCTGTAATCCCAGCACTTTGGGAGGCCGAGGCGGGCGGATCACGAGGTCAGGAGATTGAGACCATCCTGGCTAACACGGTGAAACCCCGTCTCTACTAAAAAATACCAAAAAAATTAGCCTGGCGTGGTTGCGGGCGCCTGTAGTCCCAGCTACTCGGGAGGCTGAGGCAGGAGAATGGCGTGAACCCGGGAGGCGGAGCTTGCAGTGAGCCGAGATCGCGCCACTGCACTCCAGCCTGGGCGACAGAGCAAGACTCCGTCTCAAAAAAAAAAAAAAAAAAACAATTATATTTACCAATTGAGACTACTAGAGTAGGAAATGTTACTTCATCTGAGAAATCTCAACCCACCTCTGCACAAAGGGTGTTGATGGGTTCAACGGAGAGGTGTGGCTGTTGAAAGGCATCACAGCCCTTCCAGGGGCGAGAGCTTGCGCACTTACCCCTGAGTCTGAGGTCATGTAACCCCTGCCAGTTCAGCCGGGACTTAAAACCGTAACTAATGCTCCTCTCTCCTCTCCGCAAGATCATCAGCCGTCGAAGCACCGCCTCTACTGAGTTCACTCCATCTGGAATCCTCTGGGGAAAGAAACATGGATTGCGTACACAGCAGAATTAGCCTTTTGTATTTCATTGTGTGTCTGTTGAGGCGGCGGTGAACCAGATGTGGTTTTCGGCAGACATAACTTCAAAAGCCGGAAACACACTTATCAGGAAACTGCAGAACATGAGGCAGCCGGCAACAGTCAAGGTCACTGACAGGTGACGTGGCCAATAAAGGGAGATTAAAAGCCATGACTTGTCTGACACGGGCCCATTTGATACTTACCAATGGCAGGATACGGAACATTGCCTACTCTTGATGGGAAGTCATTGAACATAGTGTAATTTCTTAGAAAGTGAATCCCTGTCATTTTTCTCTACGATAAAAAAAAAAGGAAGGAAATAAAATAAAATCCAGGTAGCTCTCTGCTGACGACCAAAATGTGTTTATTTACTGAATACCATTTACCATTGGCCAGATTTTTCTGCCAAATATTCTCTTATTGGATCCTCAGTACAACCAAACGTGTTCTCAAATTAATAATTATCCTGCCTTTACAGTAGGGAGAAGTGAGACTCAGAGGATTTGTGGTAAACTTTCCAAGCTAGTCAGTGACCAGCCAGGACTGTAACCCAGAGATTATGTTATAATGCTTACGCATGGTGACAGCGCCTTACTCTAGGTGAAGGAATGACATCCAGATGGCATTGTTTTCTGGCAACACGGACAACTGGAATGCAAAGCAAACCCTACCTAATTTTTGGACACCATACTTTCTGCAGCCAAAAAAACAAGAAATGCATACTCTAAAGAACTGCTGGAAACGTTTATTTGCATGCCGGGCGGCGATGCCAGAGTCCCCTGATTCTGCACTACGTGGCCTAGGGAAGATTTTCATAAATCAAGCTTTCTTCTATCCCAAATAACATTTTATGCATGCCAAGGAATCTCACTATTTAAAAAAGCTCATTCACAAAGCCTCCTTCTGCTTTTCACCCACCCGTGTATTATTTAGTGTAGGTTTAAAAAAAACACAACAGCTTGAAATTCAGGTTTAAACCAGTGGGAGCATCTACTAAGAACAAACCAAATTAAGAAGAAATGATTCTTCAAATATTTGGTATACTAAATAAGCTTGGCCCAGAGGTAAGCTGTGGTCACCTCTTCCTTTGCATTTTAAATAAATTTGGCCTGAGCTTATATCCCACATCCTATGAGTTGAACATCTTGCCAAGACTTTTGCAGATTCCTCAGGGTTCCTGTTTCTTTTGATTATTTCTACCTCCAAGTTCCTGCTCCCGTTTCTCTCTGTCTCACATTTATTCTCTTCTCTCTGCACTGCATGGACCCAGAGAAAAACTCAGCCTCTTTCTCTGACATTCCCCACACCGCCTGCCCAATATATTTGTCATTGTCAGTACTTTGGGGTGACCCAGAAAGGTTCTATCACAGCAACACCAGTGCCTTAAAATTGTATATTAGATATCTCAGGTCTGCTCGACTCCAAAATCTCAACCTCTACTTCCTACCTCCTCAACTGGGAGGATAAGCTCTGCTCCAGCCATTACAGCCCCTTGTGATTCCTCCATCACGCCAAGCTTGTTTCTGCTTAGGGGCCTGTGGACTTGCCAGACGGCTGTCTCTCAGCCTCAAGACACATTCACTCATTTCCCCCACGTCTCTGCACAATGTCACCTTATAACACGAGCCTTCCTGATCATCCTTCATTAGAACACCTTGGTCTTCTCCCTTCTCCTTTGTCTCCATAGCTCTCATCAACACGTGAAATATTGCGTATTTTCTTGCATTTTTTTTCTGTCTCTCCTACCAGAACTCATGCTCCATGAGGGTGGCAGTTTTGCCTGTTTTGTTTTCTCCAGTACCTCCAGAATCTAGAATAGAGGCATGCATACCCAGTGGAATATTGATGCATTTTATTGACTGAGTCAGAAGATCACTAAAGAGACTTTCCATTTGGAGTACTATTCAGCCATGAAAAAGAATGAGGTCCTGTCATTTGCAACAACATAGATGGAACTGGAGGTCATTATGTTAAGTGAAATAAGCCAGGCACAGAAAGACAAACTGCATGTTCTCATTTATTTGTGGGATCTAAAAATAAAAACAATGAACTTATGGAGATAGAGAGTAGAAGGATGGTTAACAGAGGCTGGAAAGAATAGTGGGGTGACAGGGAGAATGTTAATGAGAACAAAGAAATACCTAGAAATAAATAAGGCCAGGCATGGTGGTTCGTGCCTATAATCCTAGCATTTCAGGAGGCCACGGCGGGCAGATTGCCTGAGCTCAGGAGTTTGAGACCAGCCTGGACAACATGGCGAAACCCCATCTCTACTAAAAATATAAAAAATTAGCCAAACGTGGTGGTGCATGCCTGAAATCCCAGCTACTTGGGAGGCTGAAGCACAAGAATCGCTTGAACTCAGGAGGCAGAGGCTACAGTGAGCCCAGATCATGCCACTACACCCCAGCCTGGGTGACAGAGCGAGACTGTCTCCAAAAAAAAAAAAGAATAAATAAGACCTACTATTTGATACCACACAGGGTGACTATAGTCAATAACTTAATTGTACATTTTTAAATAACTAAAGGAGCTTAATTGGATTGTTTCTAACACAAAGGACAAATGCTTCAGGGGATGGATACTCCATTCTCCATGATTTGATTATTTCACATTGCATGGCTGTATCAAAATATTAATTTTTTTTGAGACGGAGTTTCACTCTTTCGCCCAGGGTGCAGTGCAGTGGCGCAATCTTGGCTCATTGCAACCTCTGCCTCCTGGGTTCAAACAATGCTTCCTCAGCCTCCTGAGTAGCTGGGATTACAGGCACGCACCACCATGCCCGGTTAATTTTTGTATTTTTATTAGAGGTGGCGTTTCCCCATGTTCATCAGGCTGGTCTCAAACTCCTGACCTCAGGTGATCTGCCTGCCTCGGCCTCCCCAAGTGCTGGGATTACAGGCATGAGAAATTTAAAATTTTCTAATAGCTATAATAAAAAGTGAAAAAACAGGTAAAATTAATTTTAGTAGCATATTTTATTTTTAAATACTTCAAATATTAGCATTTCAACCTGTAACCAATAGAAAAATTATTAATGAGATATTGTACTATCTTCTTTGGTTCTAAATCTCTGGAATCCAGCATGTCTTTGACACTTACAGCACGTCTCAGTTTGGACCAGCCACACTTCCAGTGCTCAGGAGTCACGTGGCTCATGACCACCAAATAGCACAGGGCAGGTCTAGCAAGATTCACACACACTGTTAGATACAGGGGACTGATCTTTGGCTGGTGTAGTTATGACATTTTTCCTTTCTTGTGCATACTTTACTGAATTTTCTGAGTTTTTTATAAAACAAAGCTGATCATCAGTAAAGCAATAATGCTATTTACAAGTGGGGGAGAAAAAATAATAAAATAAAAAAGAAATAATAATAATAAATAAAAAAGAAAATTTTAAATTACATATGTGGCTTGTGTTATGTTTTTGTTGTGCAAAATCTCAGAAAAGCTGAGATGTCCTGGCTTCTCTCTTTCCTCATTTACACATATATATACACATATGTAGTTTTTTTTTTTTAGAAAAGGGATACATTACATATATTGTTTTATGGACCTGCCACTTTTATAACCTGCAGACACATTTTTTACATGTCAGTAAACTAAGATTCTCTTTTTGAGACTGGATCTCACTCTATCGCCGAGGCTGGAGTGCAGTGGTGCCATCCTAGCTCATTGCAGCCTCGACCTCCCAGGCTCAAATAATCCTCCCTCCTCAGCCTCCCAAGTAGCTGGCACTACAGGCACGTGCAACAATGTCCAGCTAGTTTTGTTTATTCTTGTAGAGATGGGGTCTCACTATGTTTCCCAGGCTGGTCTTGAACTCCTGGACTCAAGCTATCCACCTGCCTTGGCCTCACAACTCATTTTTGATGGTGTTACAGTATAATACTAAATAAATGCATCAGGATTTATTTAACATATAATTGAACATTGTTGAGCCATTTCCTTTTTTCTTTCCTCTTTCCTGCTTTTTTACTGGTGTATAAAACCCTGTGACAACTTGTATTAAAAGATACCACATGGAAAAAGTCCCTGCTTGACAGTTCTGAAGAGAGCAGTGGTTCTCACAGCATGGTGTTCAAGCTCCAATAACGGACAGATTGCCTCCTCAAGTGGGTCCCTGACCCCCGTGTAGCCTGTCTGGGAGACACCTCCCAGTAGGGGCTGACAGACACCTCATACAGGCAGGTGCCCCTCTGGGATGAAGCTTCCAGAGGAAGGATCAGGCAAAAAGATTTGCTGTTCTGCAGCCTCCGCTGGTGATACCTAGGCAAACACGGTCTGGAGTGGACCTCAAGCAAACTCCAACAGACCTGTAGCTGAGGGGCCTGACTGTTAGAAGGAAAACTAACAAACAGAAAGGAATAGCATCAACATCAACAAAAGGACATCCACACCAAAACCCCATCCATAGGTCACCAACATCAAAAACCAAAGGTAGATAAAACCACAAAGATGGGGAGAAACCAGAGCAGAAAGGCTGAAAATTCCAAAAGCCAGAACACCTCTTCTCCTCCAAAGAACACTACTTCTTGCCAGCAAGGGATCAAAACTGGATGGAGAATGAGTTTGACGAGTTGACAGAAGTAGGCTTCAGAAGGTCAATAATAACAAACTTCTCCGAGATAAAGGAGCATGTTCTAACCCATCGCAAGGAAGCTAAAAACCTTGAAAAAAGGTTAGACGTATGGCTAACTAGAATAACCAGTATAGAGAAGAGCTTAAATGACCTGATGGAGCTGAAAACCACAGCACGAGAACTTCGGGGAGCATACACGAGCTTCAGTAGCTGATTCCATCAAGTAGAAGACAGGATACAAGTGATTGAAGATCAAATTAATGAAATAAAGTAAGAAGACAAGATTAGAGAAAAAAGAATGAAAAGAAATGAACAAAGCCTCTAAGAAATACGGGGCTATGTGAAAAGACCAAATCTACGTTTGACTGGCGTACCTGAAAGTGACAGGGAGAATGGAATCAAGTTGGAAAACATTCTTTAGGATATTATCCAGGAGAACTTCCCCAACCTAGCAAGGCAGGCCAACAATGAAATTCAGGAAATACAAAGAACACCACAAAATACTCCTCAAGAAGAGCAACCCCAAGACACATAATTGTCAGATTCGCCAAGGTTGAAAAGAAGGAAAAAGTGTTAAGTTCAGCCAGAGAGAAAGGTTGGGTTACCCGCAAAGGGAAGCCCATCAGACTAACAGCAGATCTCTCTGCAGAAACCCTACAAGCCAGAAGAGAGTGGGGGCCAATATTCAACATTCTTAAAGAATTTTCAACCCAGAATTTCATATCCAGCCAAACTAAGCTTTATAAGTGGAGGAGAAATAAAATCCTGTACAGACAAGCAAATGCTGAGAGATTTTGTCACCAGCAGGCCTGACTCACAAGAGCTCCTGAGGGAAGGACTAAATATGGAAAAGAACAACCAGTATGAGCCACTGTGAAAACATGCCAAATTGTAAAGACAATTGACACTATGAAGAATCTGCATAAATTAACGGGCAAAATAACCAGCTAGCATCATAATGACAGGATCAAATTCATACATAACAATATTAACCTTATATGTAAACGAGCTAAATACCCCAATGAAAAAACACAGACTGGCAAATTGGATAAAGAGTCAAGACCTATCAGTGTGCTGTATTCAGGAGATCCATTTCACGTGAAAAGACAAACCTAGGCTCAAAATAAAGGGATGGAGGAAGATCTACCAAGCAAATGGAAAGCAAAAAAAGAAGCAGGGGTTGCAATCCTGGTCTCTGATAAAACAGACTTTAAACCAACAAAGATCAAAAGAGATAAAGAAGGCCATTACATAATGGTAAAGGGATCAATTCAGCAAGAAGAGCTAACTATCCTAAATATATACGCACTCAATACAGGAACACCCAGATTCATAAAGTAAGTTCTTAGAGACCTACAAAGAGACTTAGACTCCCACACACTAATAACAGGAGACTTAAACACCCCACTGTCAATATTAGACAGATCAACAAGACAGAAAATTAACAAGGATATCCAGGACTTGAATTCAGCTCCAGACCAAGTGGACATAATAGACATCCACAGAACTCTCCACCCCAAATCAATAGAATATACATTCTTCTCAGCACCACAACACACTTATTCTAAAATTGACCACATAATTGGAATTAAAACACTCCTCAGCAAATGTAAAACACTAAAAATCACAACAAACTGTCTCTCAGACCACAGTGCAATCACATTAGAACTCAGGATTAAGAAATTCACTCAAAACTGCACAACTACATGGAAACTGAACAACCTGATCCTTAATGACTACTGGGTATATAACAAAATGAAGGCAGAAATAAAGATGTTCTTTGAAACCAATGAGAACAAAGACACAAACTACCAGAACCTCTGGGACACATTTAAAGCAGTGTGTAGAGGGACATTCATAGCACTAAATGCCCATAAAAGAAAGCAGGAAAGATCTAAAATTGACATGCTAACATCACAATTAAAAGAACTAGAGAAGCAAGACCAAACAAATTCAAAAGCTAGCAGAAGACAAGAAATAACTAAGATGAGAGCAGAACTGAAGGAGACAGAAACATAAAAAACTCTTCAAAAAAATCAATGAATCCAGGAGATGGTTTTTTGAAAAGTTCAACAAAACAGACCACTAGCAAGACTAATAAAGAAGAAAAGAGAGAAGAATCAAATAGATGCAATAAAAAATGATAAATGAGGTATCACCACCGATCCCACAGAAATACAAACTACCATCAGAGAATTCTATAAACACCTCTATGTTATTAAACTAGAAAATCTAGAGGAAATGGATAAATTCCTGGACACACACACCCTCCCAAGACTAAACCAGGAAGAAGTTGTATCTCTGAATAGACCAATAACAGGTTCTGAAATGGAGGCAATAATTAATAGCCTACCACCCAAAAAAAGTCCAGGACCAGATGGATTCACAGCCAAATTCTACCAGAGGTACAAAGAAGAGCTGGTATCATTCTGTCTGAAACTATTCCAATCAATGGAAAAAGAGGGAATCCTCCCTAACTCATTTTATGAGGCCAGCATCATCGTGATACCAAAGCCTGGCAGAGACAAAACAAAAAAAGAGGATTTTAGGCCAATATCCCTGATGAATATCGATGCGAAAATCCTCAATAAAATACTGGCAAACTGAATCCAGCAGCACATCAAAAAGCTTATCCACCATGATCAACTCAGCTTCATCCCTGGGATGCAAGGCTTGTTCAATATACACAAATCGATAAACGTAATCCATCACATAAACAGAATGAAAGACAAAAGCCACATGATTATCTCAATAGAGCAGAAAAGGCCTTCAACAAAATTCAACAGCCTTTCATGCTAAAAACTCTCAATAAACTAGGTATTGATGGAATGTATCTCAAAATAATAAGAACTATTTATGACAAACCCACAGCCAGTATCATAATGAATGGGAAAAAACTGGAAGCATTCCCTTTGAAAACTGGCACAAGACAAGGATGCCCTCTCTTGACACTCCTATTCAACATAGCATTGGAAGTTCTGGCCAGGGCAATCAGGCAAGAGAAAGAAATAAAGGATATTCAGTTAGGAAAAGAGGAAGTCAAATTGTCTCTGTTTGCAGATGACATGATTATATACTTAGAAAACCCATTGTCTCAGCCCAAAATCTCCTTAAGCTGATAAGCGACTTCAGCAAAGTCTCAAGATACAAAATCAATGTGCAAAAATCACAAGCATTCCTATACACCAATAACAGACAGAGAGCCAAATCATGAGTGAACTGCCATTCACAATTGCTATAAAGAGAATAAAATACCTAGGAATCCAACTTACAAGGGATGTGAAGGACCTCTTCAAGAAGAACTACAAACCACTGCTCAAGGAAATAAGAGAGGACACAAACAAATGGAAAACATTCCATGCTCATGGATAGGTAGAACCAATATCATGAAAATGGCCATACTGCCTAAGGTAATTTATAGATTCAATGCTATTCCCCTCAAGCTACCACTGACTTTCTTCACAGAATTGGAAAAAAACTGCTTTAAATTTCATATGGAACCAAAAAAGAGCCCACATAGCCAAGACAATCCTAAGCAAAAAGAACAAAGCTGGAGGCATCATGCTACCTGACTTCAAACTATACTACAAGGCTACAGTAAACAAAACAGCATGGTACTGGTACCAAAACAGATATATAGACATATGGAATAGAACAGAGGCCTCAAATAACACCACACACCTACAACCATCTGATCTTTGACAAATCTGACAAAAACAAGAAATGGGGAAAGGATTACCTATTTAATAAATGGTGCTGGGAAAACTGGTTAGCCGTATGTAGAAAGCTGAAACTGGATCCCTTCCTTATACCTTACGCAAAAATTAATTCAAGATGGATTAAAGACTTAAATGGAAGACCGAAAACCATAAAAATCCTAGAAGAAAACCTAGGCGATACCATCCAGGACATAGGCATGGGCAAAGACTTCATGACTAAAACACCAAAAGCAATGGCAACAAAAGCCAAAATAGACAAATGGGATCTAATTTAACTAAAGAGCTTCTGCACAGCAAAAGACACTATCATCAGAGTGAACAGGCAACCTACAGAATGGGAGACAATTTTTGCAATCTATCCATCTGACAAAGGGCTAATATCCAGAATCTACGAAGAATTTAAACAAATTTACAAGAAAAAAACAACCCCATCAAAAAATGGGCAAAGGATATGAACAGGCCCTTCTCAAAAGATGACATTTATGCAGCCAACAGACATATGAAAAAATTCTCATCATCACTGGTCATCAGAGAAATGCAAATCAAAACCACAATGAGATAGCATCTCATGCCATTTAGAATGGTGATCATTAAAAAGTCAGGAAACAACAGATTCTGGAGAGGATGTGGAGAAATAGGAACGCTTTTACACTGTTGGTGGGAGTGTAAATTAGTTCAACCATTGTGGAAGACAGTGTGGTGATGCCTCAATGATCTAAAACTAGAAATAACCATTTGACCCAGCAATCCCATTACTGGGTATATACCCAAAGGATTATAAATCATTCTACTATAAAGACACATGCACACATATGTTTATTGTGGCACTGTTCACAATAGCAAAGACTTGGAACCAACCCAAACATCTATCAATGATAGACTGGATTAAGAAAATGTGGCACATATACACCATGGAATACTATGCAGCCATAAAAAATGATGAGTTCATGTCCTTTGTAGGGACATGGATGAAACTGGAAACCATCATTCTCAGCAAACTATCGCAAGGACAAAAAACCAAACATTGCATGTTCTCACTCCTAAGTGGGAATTGAACAATGAGAACGCATGGACACAGGAAGGGGAACATCACACACTGGGGACTGTTGTGGGGTGGGGGAGGGGGGAGGGATAGCATTAGGAGATATACCTAATGCTAATGACGCGTTAATGGGTGCAGCACACCAACATGGCACATGTATACATATGTAACAAACCTGCACGTTGTGCACATGTACCCTAAAACTTGAAGTATAATAATAAAACAAAATAATAAAAAAAAAATAAAAAAAGAAAATGTGGCACATATACACCATGAAATACCATGCAGCCATAAAAAAGGATGAGTTCATGTCCTTAGTAGGGACATGGATGAAGCTGGAAACCATCATTCTCAGCAAAATATCACAAGGACAGAAAACCAAACACCACATGTTCTCACTCATAAGTGGGAGTTGAACAATGAGAACACATGGACACAGTGAGGGGAACATCACACACTGGGGCCTATTGGGGTGTGGGGAACTGGGGGAGGGATAGCATTAGGAGAAATACCTAATGTAAATGACGAGGTGATGGTTGCCCCAAACCAACATGGCACATGTATACCTATGAAACAAACTTGCATGTTGTGCACGTGTACCCTAGAACTTAAAAAAAAGAAAGAAAAAAAAAGAAACCATGTGTACCTGTTATTTCTCTAGGATAAATTCCTAAAATATATTTAGAGCTCATGGAAACCAAATAAGTCACAGCTCCTCAGACCAGCAACTTTATGAACTTTGGATGCTGTTAGGTGGAACTGCAGGACGATTTTAGCAGCCTTTGACAAATCTCTTTGAGGCTTTAATACACTTTGTTCTAGAACACAGGAGATGAATGGTCTAATACAGAGGCTGTGGAGACAGACAAGCCAAGTTCCAATTCTGGTTCTTTGTCATTTCTAATGATGTGACTTCAGGCCACTTTTTTGACCTGAGCCTCAGTCTCCGTATCTAAAAAATGGGAGCACTAACTATACAGCCCTCCTAAAGTTACTCTTAGGATTGAGTGAAATGCTGTGTAAAATTGTTCAGCACAGTGCCTGGCTCTTGGTAAAACCTCAGGAAATGTGGTTATTAACATTTTTGAGATCTGGTTTGGATATGTCAATCAATATACACATACACGCAGATTTCTGCATTTTTGTCATACTCACCCTCTCTCAATGACTTTTTTTTCAAACAGAGATCTATTTGCTAAAATAAATTGAAATGGGTAAAGAATATGAGGCACAATTTATACTAGATATATCTGCAATTACTAACTCTGAATTAAACATATCCCTTCATGAATAATGAAGCAGAAATAGGCCAAAGGAAAAATGAGATAAGATCTTAAATCCATGTATTTTTAATTGCTTCATTATCTAAAATTTGCTATGAATAGCAGTGGATACAGTTTGCTGTTTAAAGCACAAAAAGAAATAAGAATTTCCAGCCAAATCACAAAAGGCTATCAAAAATTAATTTTGTGTGCTATGATCACTGAAAATGTAAGTGATTTTGAGGCAGAGTGACATTTAAAAATGCCATTTATATGCTAATAATAAATGAGTCTTTTTTTCATTTTGATGCAAAATAAATTTTATTTTCATTTTAATGAACTGTAATGAATTATAAGCATTCTCTTTTTATCTTTAAGTAAAAGTCTGGGACAGATAGCAGAAGGTTGGCAGAGACAGGCAAGATGTCTAAGAGGAAGTGAAAATGGAACCTGTCCTATCAGCTGCTACTGACCTCCTAAGCTGGATGAGATCCTTTGCAGCTGAGGTGGTTGTCTCTTGGATTTTAGAAATTCACAAAAGTTGGGTTTACCCCAAAGACGGTGAACTATCAATTCATGCCATCTTAGAGAATGATATCTATGAACCACATTGAATTGATCACCCTTTTTCTCTTACACTGGATGACATTCTTATTCTAGAAACTAAAATCAGCAATGCAATTCTTCACATCCTTCAGTCTCTAAAGGATATTTTTCGATAATAATGCTTATTTTCTTTTTGAGATGGAGTCTCACTCTGTCGCCCAGGCTGGAGTGCAGTGGAATAATGCTTATTCTTTATTGAAGTCTTACTCCACGTCAGCCATTTTTCTATGTTTCATATCCATTCTTTTATCTAACTTTTATGACAGCCCTAAGAAGTTGGGACTATTACAATCCCTGCTTTATAGATGAGAAACTTGAAACCAGAGAGGGTAGGCAATTTCCCTTTGATTTCACAGTCAATGAAGTTTAGATCTGAATTCATATCTATGACTTAAGTGCTATAATATTTAACTTATGTCCACTGTCAACTCTTTTTTGGAAAAGAGGAAACAGAAGGATGTCAGCTTTTACTTTAAAAAAAAAAATTGCTAATGGTGACATTTCAGGCATCAGCTAGAAAAACATCACATCAGGGGCCGGGCATGGTGGCTCACACCTGTAATCTCAGCACTTTGCGAGGCTGAGGTGGGCAAATCACTTGAGGCCAGGAGTTTGAGACCAGCCTGGACAACATGGTGAAACCCCATTTTTACTAAAAACACAAATATTAGCCAGGCATGGTGACACATGTGTATAATCTCAGCTACTTGGGAGGCTGAGGCAGAAAAATCACTTGAACCCAGGAGGCAGAGGCTGCAGTGAGCCGAGATCACACCACTGCACTCCAGCCTGGATGACAGAGTGAGACTAAATAAATAAACAATAAATAAATAACATACATACACTTTAGGGAAGACAGAAAGAAGGACTTTGGGTGTTATTGTCCACTCTGTTCAAGGTGCAGGTAACTGCCGGACACCTCGCCCATATCCAGGCTAGGTTTAAAGCCCAGTTAGTCATTTTATTAGATCTGAAAGGATGCATGCTTGAGACATCTGGGTATGTTTGCCAGGGCTTTGGTGAAAAAACACCCAGAGCTCTGCTGAGCAGAGAGGCCTTTGGTTTTTTATGGAAGGTTTTTTATTCTCTGAAGCCTGCCTTCTTTGAAGTGAGAAGCCAGAACTTTCCAAATTCATTTCTGTGTTATCCTCATCTCTTACTCTTAGGTCTTGGGTTGCCTTTTCCTGACTTGGTTGTTGATGTTAATTCTCTTTAACCAGGGTCTCTTTAAATGGGAGCTAGTGAGTTATGGAGCAGTAATTCACCCTTCAGATCTAGTGGACTCAAGGCCACAGGCCAGCCCCTATTAAACAGAAAGGTCTGAATTATTATCCTGTAATTCACCCACTGGTAGCGTCTTAATTCAATTATACTATGCCCCTGAATGAAGATTAAAAGAAATAGAAAAAAAAAAAAAAAGGTTCTGGATCTTTTTTTGGTTACAATCTAGAGTAATTTTCAGTGCCAAAGAGTTCTTCCTTTAAAGTAATTAGGAAGCAAATTAAAAAGGAAGATTAAAGAAGACAGCCCCTTATCACTGGTAAGGCTGCACTGTAGACAATCAACTGTATTTCAACCAATGGAAACGTGGCAGGAACTACAGCAATACAAGTATCTTCTCTTTGACCAAATCCTTTTGATTTATATCTTGCCTCCCCTTTTATTTTAGAATTCTTCTACTAGTAAGCTTAAGTTAAAACTAGTTCTAAATTCTGTTGTAATCTGCCCAATATTACCCTAGACATTGCATAATAAATGCAGATGGGATTGGGCATGGTTCATGCCTGTAATCTGAGCACTTTCAGATGCCAAGGCAGGGGGATCACTTAAGGCTGGGAGTTTGAGGCCAGACTGGGCAACAGAGTGAGACCCTATCTCTACAAAAAAAATTTGAACTAGTTGGTTGTGCTGGCATGCACCTGTAGTTCCAGCTACTTGGGAGGCTGAGGCAGAAGGCTGACTCAAGCCCAGGCGTTTGAGGTTGCAGTGAGCTGTGATTGGATCATACCACTGCTATCCAGTCTGGGCAACAGCAAGGGACCTCTGTCTAAAAATTTAATTGAATGCAGATGGATAAACTTGATGACATGACTAGCCTAGTTCAAAAAGATGCAAACACAATGCAAGTTAAACAAAAAACAAAGAATTTGAGGTTTCCTTGTGTCTTAGTTTGGGTTCTCTCAGGAGAAGACCCTAAGACAAGCATTTGTAGTTGATGTGAGAGGTGAAAGTAGTGAGATAAAAAAGGGAAAGAAGTCAATGTACAGTGTTATCAATCAAGCTACTCCTGTGGGCAACGAGGGCTGCAAAGCTCTGGTGAATGGTATAGAACAGGCACTTAAGGGCAGTGAGGGAGCTGGGTATTGATACACCAACTCCCATAGGTCATAGGTTAAGAGCCATTGAGGACGGCCAACTTTGTCTTTGCTGTCTTCTTGCCTTTCATGAGTCTAGAGAACTCTCGGATGGCTAATTGACTTTGTCCCACTCCACATATAGGGATATGGCCAAAAACTACAAAACACTTTTCTCAAGTTCAGAAACACTCAACCTCAGCTTTCTCTAGAGTCTTTACATTGTTAAGAAAATAATCTGCCAAACTATATCTGTCTTTTTAAAAACTCTATCTAAAGATGGGGCCTCATTTTGTTGCCCAGGCTGGTCTCAAACCCCTGGCTT
This sequence comes from Homo sapiens, assembly GCF_000001405.40. Taxonomy (NCBI): domain Eukaryota; kingdom Metazoa; phylum Chordata; class Mammalia; order Primates; family Hominidae; genus Homo; species Homo sapiens. Next base: position 16,999,928 of record NC_000016.10, on the reverse strand, counting down.
CAAGGAATCCTCCCATCTGAGCCTCCCAAAGCACTGGGATTACAGGCATGAGCCACAATTTCCGGGCCTTTTTTTAAAAACTTTTTTTTTTTTTTTTTTTTTTTGAGATGGAGTCTCATTCCATCGCCCAGGCTGGAGTGCAGTGGCATGATCGCGGCTCACTACAGCCTCCACCTCCCAGGTTCAAACAATTCTTTTGCCTCAGCCTCCTGAGTAGCTGGGATTACAGGCATGCACCACTACTCCTGGCTGAGTTTTGTATTTTTAGTAGAGATAGGGTTTCACCATGTTGGTTAGGCTGGTCTCAAACTTGTGACCTCAAGTGATCCACCCACCTCAGCCTCCCAAACTGCTGGGATTACAGCCATGAGCTGCTACGCCCAGCCTAAACATATTTTAAGTTTGTTTTATCTGAAAAATGACACTGGTATTTTGATAGGGATTACATCAATCTAGAGATTGCTTTGGGCACTATGGTCATTTAATGGTATTAATTCTTCTGATCCATGAGTATGGAATGTTCTTCCATTTGTTTGTGTCACCTAGGATTTCTTTCATCGGTCTTTTAGAGTTTTTCTTGCAGAGATCTTTCACCTCCTTGGTTAAATATAGTGCTAGGTATTTTATATGTTTTTATAGCTATTGTAATGGGGATTGTCTTCTTGATTTGGTTCTTAGCTCAACGGTTGTTGGTGCGTAGAATTGCTACTGATTTTTGTATCCTAAAACTTTACTACATTCATTCCAACCTATATCTATAGTCAGCAGTAATAGATCAAATAGTAATAGATCAAAGCTCAGAATGTAGAGTCACAGGCTCAAATTCTGGGTATGCACTCATTTGTCATGTGATTATGAAGAGTCAGCTCTCTCATCTGCAAAATGGGTCACAGGGTGTTTTAAGAAACGCATGAGTTAACGATAAGGCCCTTCCCTTACGATGCTGTGCACACAAATGGCCATTATGATACTGATGAGGATGACGAGGCTTTGGTTTAGGGGCAGGAAAACCACTATTCCTGAGTTGGGCAGACCTTGAATCCACCATCCCTTCCTTCTTCACCCAGTCCATTTTTAACTTTCTGGACTGAGTTACTCTCACATGCAAAACCCAGATAGTTCCCAGAACCTAACTAGAGATCACCATCTGATAACCCACACACTACATCTACACTACATAAATGTCAAAGAATTCCCATTCAGTGTATTAAAGCAGATAGAGTTCTTTAAAAATCCAGAGTTTGACCAGGGGTGGTGGCTTACGCCTATAATCCCAGCAGTTTGGGAGGCTATGGTGGGTGGATCACTTGAGGTCAGGAGTTCAAGACCAGCCTGGCTAACATGGCGAAACCTCATCTCTACCAAAAATACAAAAATTAGTCAGGCGTGGTGGCACATGGCTGTAATTCCAGCTACTCAGGAGGCTGAGGCAGGAGAATCACTTCAACCCAGCAGGTGGAGGTTGCAGTGAGCCGACATCATGCCACTGCACTCCAGCCTGGGCGACAGAGCGAGACTCCATCTCAAAAAAAAAAAAAAAAAAAAAAAATCTCAGATTTCTAGTCCTATTAAAATGTCAAAGAAAAAGTCTTGCCCTACTGGTCCCAGTTGCCATTCTGCCATATTGGCTGGACCTGAGGACTAGATGTCTCCTCTAGTCTAGGTGAGCTGCCTCCAGTCTGCCCCAGTTACCACCACCTTCTATTTTGATGACCCGGTTCACATTTTCCCAGTACCTCCCAGGGCTTTGTGGGGATTTTTTAGTTTATGACTAATGTTCTAGCTCATTGCACCAAAAACAGTTGCTTTAGACATACCCTTGCACAACAATAAAAGTCTATCCAAAATTATTTGTCTTTCAAATCATTTTAATGAGGAAAAGACTAATGAAATGTGATTTGCATAATCAGCTATGAATACAGTATGCAAAAGGGTGAATATTGCTGCTGCTCAGAACATATCAGCGGAGCTGTTCCATTTAGAATAGGAAATTGTGCTCTGCTGGCCAGAATTAGAGAACCAGGCTGGGCGGGCATTGGACTAAAGTACTGATCAGGCGCAAACCCACCATCGTGAAGAGCTCAACCCACAGAGGCAAGATAAGGAAGGCACTGCATTTTCATCTAATAGCCCTGTAATTGGCTGATCTCCATCTGACTCCTATGAACAGGGCAGGCGTCTTTTACACCTGGACTGGCTACAAACATGGAAATGAGTGGCTGTGGATAGTGATTACTTAATGAGGAGGAGTGTTAGGCATGTGGTGGAAAATCACTTCTGCTGCAGCATAAAGGAAATGGGTGGGCATTTTGGGAGGCGTGGAGGGAAGAGGGCCGTAGTGGAGCTTCTGGCCCATCTGATCCTTTCCTGGAATTGCTGACCTCATCAACAGTTTCCATTCACAGCTATGTTCTATTTAGCGCAGAGTTTTCTACCTAAGGCACAATTGATGTTTCCAGCCAAATCATGCTTCTTTGCAAGGCGGGGGGAGTGGGGCTATCCTGTGCGAGGCAGGATTTATTTTATTTTTTTATTTTTTATTTTATTTTTTTGAGACGGAGTCTCACTGTCACCCAGGCTGGAGTGCAGTGGCGCGATCTCGGCTCACTGCATGCTCTGCCTCCCGGGTTCAAGCAATTCTCCTGCCTCAGCCTCCCGAGTAGCTGGAGTTACAGGCACCTGCCACCATGGCCAGCTAATTTTTTTTTTTTTTTTTTTTTTTTTTTTTGTATTTTTAGTAGAGACAGGGTTTCTCCATGTTGACTGGGCTGCTCTCAAACTCTTGACCTCAGGTGATCCACCCACCTTGGCCTCCCAAAGTGCTGGGATTTACAGGTGTGAGCCACTGCACCCGGCCGCAAGGCTGGATTTCAGCAGCATCCTTGGCCTCTATCCACTAGGTGCCAGTAGCATCTGCTTCCCGGTTGTGACAGCCACACATATCTCCAGATGTTCTGTGGGAGGCAAAATTGCCTGCAGTAGTGAACTACTGATTTTAGCCTATGCAGTGTTTAATTATTTTTTCATATTAGTAGACTTCCTTTAAAAATTAAGAGATACCACTTTAAAATCCTGATTTCCAGCCTCTAAGTTTGAATGAGTTGGCAATATTGAGTTCAGCTCATTCTCTCTGCATCTTGGCCTATTACCCCTCTAACCTCATCTCCTGTACCCCTTCCCCTGCTAACTCCTAGCCTTCAGTCACACTAGTTCCTCTCCAAGTGTGGTGCAACCCCAGGGGCCTTTGCACCTGCTGTTCCATCTGCAGAGAAAGTTATTCCCAGATATTTGCATGGATTGCTCCTCTCTTCCTTCAAGTCTTCACCCAAGTAGCATCTTCTTGGTAGGGACTTCTCTGGTCACTCCACCTACAACCTCAACACCTCTCTCCACAAAATTTCCTGTTCCCATTCCCAATTCTTTTTTTTTCTCATAGCAGGCTGTATAACCATCTTGTCTTTACTGAAGATTTTGATGTTTTGTCCATTGTGGATATTTTTGCATTGTGTTTTAAAAATTGCATTAAAAATTGCATTAAAGTTGTAAATTGCATTAAATTATTTATCCTAATTACTCCAGTTTTTTGCACTGCCTTAAATTTTGCACCCAGTCAGTGCCTCATGTGTATCACCCTAGACCTGGCCCCATTATGTATGTTTACTTCTCTTGCTTGTTATTTCTCTACGTCTAGCACGATATAAGACTCTTGAGGACAAGGATATTTTTTAAATCTCCTTTGTATACTGCATTCTTCCTAGCACCTAGGTTAGTGTCTGGTATATAGTATGCATGGAATAAGTACTTGATGAATGAAATTTCTGCACAGCAATATTTGACAAAAGCTAACCCTCAGCATCCTGACTTTATTCCCAAATTCTTTCATTCATTCATTTTACAAACAGAAGACACTTCTTATATGCCAGGCCCTGTGCCAGGTTCCAGGAAGGAAGAGGTGAGTTCCTTCTGCTCTGAAGCTTCGAGTTGGATACAGCCAATTATAATGCAGAGAAATTAAGTATCTTGATGTGGAGAAACAGAAGGGCTGCCCAGAGCAGGGGATCCTAACCCAGTCTCAGGCAGGGGTATCAGCTTGCTGGACCTGCCATTAAAATAGCACAGACTGTGTGGCTTAAAGAGAAAATTACTTTCTCTCAGTTCTGGAGACTGAAAGTCCAAGGTCAAGGTGTCTGCAGGTTGGTTGTTTCTGGGGTCTCTCTCCTTGGCTTGCACATGGCTGTTTTCTTGCTGTGTCCCCTACGGACTTTCCTCTATGCACATGCACCCCTGGTGTCTCTCTTCTTATAAGGACAACAGTCATATTGGATTAGGGCCCATGCTAATGACCCCATTTTAACTTGCCTCATTAAAGACTAACTCCAAATGTAGTCACATTCTGAGATATTGGGGATTAGGACCTTAATATATGAATTTCGGGGAGACACTATTTTGCCGATAGCAGTGGGGTTAGATATCACAGAAGGCTTCCATGAGAAATACACACTCAACTTCAATGGAACAAAAGCTTTTCCCATCAATCAAAGGAGACGCAGTCCATATTCACAAAATCATCTATTCTGCAAATGTCTATTGAGGATCCATTAGCTGCAAATCACTCTTCTAAGCCCTAGGCATACAGCAGTGAGCAGCAGACAGAGGCAAGCATAAAAAATAACCGATTCCAAAATTGCCATTTAGTTACTATTATGATAAGTTCTCTGAAGAAAACATAAGCAATGTGGAAAGGGGTTCAGTTCATTTCCTCTCAAAAGAATTGAGAATGGGGGAACCAACCTTTAGATTGGAAATCAGTGAGACTTTCCTGAAGAGGTGACGTTTAAGCCATATAAAAAGAGTTGGCTAGGCAAATAATAGGAAGGAGAAATGGCATTCCAGGCATAGCTACAGCCCATGCTAAGCTCCTGGGGTGGGAATCAACAAGAAGTTAAAAGCAAGTCAGTAGAGCTGGATCACAGAGTACAAGCTGAGATGGAGACGCGATGGAAATGGAAAGGCAGAGGACAGATCACATGTGACCCTGGGAATACGTCCAACGCCCTCAACTTCATCCATGGAGAGTAAGAATGGAAACCATCTATTAATGCCTCACTCTCTGCCTGGACACTGAGAACAAAAACAGCACCTTCTTAGGCCGGTCGCGGTGGCTCACGCCTGTAATCCCAGCACTTTGGGAGGCCCAGGCAGGCGGATCACAAGGTCAGGAGATCGAGACCATCCTGGCTAACACGGTGAAACCCCATCTCTACTAAAAACACAAAAAAATTAGCTGGGCGTGGTGGCGGGCACCTGTAGTCCCAGCTACTTGGGAAGCTGAGGCAGGAGAATGGCATGAACCCAGGAGGAAGAGCTTGCAGTGAGCCAAGATCGCGCCACTGCCCTCCAGCCTGGGCAACAAAGTGAGACTCCGTCTCAAAAAAAAGAAAAAAAAAACAGCACTTTTCTGTCCACATGAACATGACTTCGTGCTATTCCTCTGTCTTCATTAGCACGACTTTCTTTTTCCATCAGTCATCTGCCAGGTAGAGGAATTGGTGTTCATTTTAAGAATCTGCAAAAGATCAGCTCCTCCATGGAATACATCAATAATTGATACTCTAAACATCTTTAATCCCTTTTTTCAAAATCTACGTCTTGGTGTGTGCACCAATCCTGGGTTGTTACGACAAGCTCTCTACCTGATCCTTCATCAAGCCCCCACTTTGGAAGACCCTGTCTTCCGTTGAGCTTCCGATTCTCATTAAATTCTCACCCTGGCCGGGCGCGGTGGCTCACGCCTGTAATCCCAGCACTCTGGGAGGCCAAGGCAGGCAGATCACAAGGTCAGGAGATCGAGACCATCCTGGCTAACACAGTGAAACCCCGTCTCTACTAAAAAATACAAAAAATTAGCCAGGCATGGTGGCGGGCGTCTGTAGTCCCAGCTGCTCCGGAGACTGAGGCAGGAGAATGGCGTGAACCCGGGAGGCGGAGCTTGCAGTGAGCCGAGATTGTGCCACTGCACTCCAGCCTGGGCAACACAGCGAGACTCCGTCCCCCCCAAAAAAAAAAAAATCTGACCTTACCATCCCTACTGAGGCATGAGGTGGTGTCCTTTTTTTTACTGCAGTAAGCAATAAACTCATAGCTTTATCTTATAAACAGGTTGTGTTGTGATATTAGGGGATGCTTGGGACTGGAGCCACAGAAGGAATTTGAACAGGAGACTGATAAACACATATAAGAAGTCAGATACGGAGTGAAGTCCAGAGAACATCTAGAGATACAACCCTGCTTGCAAGTAGCGTTGGTTTTTTACAGTCATTACCTTCTAGCTCTCTAGACAATTGGAAAAAAGCACACAGAGCCAGCGGAGGGATGAAAGAAACAAAAACCACACAGGAAGCTGCCGTAAGGGGAAGGAAACCCATGAACAATACCCACATTCCCATTTTCATTTCTCTCCAGCAGGAGCCAGGCTCTAAATTCTTTAAAGATGTTTTTAAGTTGCTATCTTAACACATACACTGGAGATTGCACAGGTTTTAGTTTTGTCTTTAATCAAGTAAAATTACACCATAATTTTGTTTAGTCATTAAGATGTTCTATAGTAAATCTTGTCAACAAGAGCCATTTTAAACGGTTTTAATCAGTCTTAGTGGATCTTGAACAAGGTAGAGTTACGATATTTGCAACAAGGCAAGTGAGGCGTGAGATGCCCAAGACAGGCAGACCAAGCTTCCTGCTTCTGTTACGCTGCAAGCAGTTTCCGCTCTGCTGGCTTTTCCTGCCTTTCAGACTTGCCAGGTTTCACATCCATCACCGTGTCAAACTTAGCTTGTACATAAAGTTGTTTCAGGGGTCTTAACATGTACGTGTCTGGGCCAGGCACGGTGGCTCACGCTTGTAATCCCAGCACTTCAGGAGGCCAAGGAGAGCAGATCACAAGGTCAGGAGTTTGAGACTAGCCTGACCAACATGGTGAAACCCCATCTCTACTAAAAATACAAAAATTAGCCGGGCTTGGTGGCACATGCCTGTGATCCCAGCTACTCAGGAGGCTGAGGCAAGAGAATTGCTTGAACCCGGGAGGCAGAGGTTAGAGGTTGCAGTGAGCTGAGATCACACCATTGCACTCCAGCCTAGGTGACAGAATGAGGCTCTGTCTCCAAAAAAAAAAAAAAAAAAACAAAAAGTACATATCTGTGTATGGATGGGAAGATGAAGACAGGACTCTGTGAATGGATGGTATTACCGCCATAGTAGGCAGTTGCTTTTTTTTGGATTTTATTTAAGACAGGGTCTCTCTGTTGCCAAGTCTGGAGTGCAGTGGCTCAACCCTGGCCCAATGCAGCTGTGAACTCCTGGGCTCAAGTGATCCTCCTACCTTAGCCTCCTAAGTAATAGGGATCACAGGCGTGAGCCACCGCACCTAATTTTTAATTTTTTGTACAGACAGGGTCTCATTATGCTGCCCAGGCTAGTCTCGAACTCCTGGCCTCAAGGGATCCTTCAATCTCAGCCTCCCAAAGTGCTAGGACCACAAGTGTGAACCACTGAACCCAGTCTCGATTTAATTTGTAAAAAAATCATGCCCTAAATGTCTTTGTCCTTCAGAAGAGGCTACAGTTCAAGGAAACCTTTTCAAGATGAAAGACTACTGAGAAGAGGATAGCCCAGAATGCATTGCCGGAGGTAAAACGTGAAGGTTTTCCTTAGATTGAACCCAGCCCAGCCTTCTCTCTTGAATTTTACAACTTCAGACGTCCGTTCACATTTGTATCTGTTGCCAGCAAATAACAGAAATCCCAGCTCAAACGGTTTAAAATGATAAGGAAAGTGTTTATCCAATTGTCACCAGAATCTTCAAATGAACACATCTAGGTAAGTCCCCCAGAGAGAGCCTGTATCATGTACAGTGGTAGAGAGGGTGGATTCTGGCAGTCTGTCTGGATTTGATATCCTGGCTCTGTCTCTTGTTAATTGTGGAGACTTGGAAAAACATGTTAGCCCCTTTGGCGCCTCCATCTGTAAAATAAGGATAATGCTGGTCCCTCCTTCATAAGATCGCTGTAAGGATTATATGAGCGGATGGTTGAAACCTGCTTAGAATGGTGCCCAGTGCACATAGTGAGTTCCACAGGTGTTTGATTTGCCTCAACCTCCAGAGTAGCTGGGATTCTAGGCGTGCACCACCACAACTGGCTAATTTTTTGTATTTTTAGTACAGGTGGGGTTTTGCTATGTTGGCCAGGCTAGTCTTGAACTGCTGACCTCAAATGATCTGCCTGCCTCGGCCTTCCAAAGTGCTGGGATTACAGGTGTGAGCCACTGTGCCCGGCTAGTGTTTGAGTCTTATTTACCGTTTTAAAGCCCCTCTACACCCAAACCTGGTCTTCCTCCTGAATTTCCCATCCCAGCAAACTGATCATTCTCTATCCAAGACCTGAGACCAAGCTGGGCTACATCCCCCAGTGCCCTGTACTTCTTTCCTATAATATTTATGACAATGCCAATTTAAAATAATTATTTGGATATCATTAGTTTAATGTCTGTCTGCCTCTTCCACTTGACTCTAAGCTCTAAGGCCACTGAGATTTTGTGTAGTTTTCTTCAATGACTGGCACACAGCATTGAATGAATGAATGGATACATGAAAGAGCTCTATTAGAAATTTTAAAGAAGTTACAAAAATTGAAATCCATGATGATATGAAAGAAAAATAATTGTGCTGCTTGGCTTGATGACATAGCAGAAGAAGGTAAAGAAGGATTGTGTGGGCAGCTAGGAATACCTTTGTCTAGGCTGCCTGACTTTTTCTTTAGGATGGTGTGAAAACTGCCTAAAAATGTAATTTGGAGCTGTGGGCTGTATTCTAGGAATTTTTTTTTTTTTTTTTTTTTTTGAGACAGAGTCACTCTGTGGCCCAGGCTGGAGTGCAGTGGTGCCATCTTGGCTCACTGCAACCTCCGCCAAGTGATTCTCCTGCCTCAGCCTCCCAACTAGCTGGCACTACAGGCGCCCGCCACCACACCTGGCTAATTTTTCTATTTTTAGTAGAGACGGGGTTTTGCCATATTGGCCAGGCTGGTCTTGAACTCCTGACTTCAGGTGATTCACCTGCCTCAGCCTTCCAAAGTGCTGGGATTATAGCTGGGAGCCACTGTACCCGGCTGGTACTAGGTATTTCTACCTATCTTCCAGGGAGATTTTAAAGATGGGAAATTGGCTGTTTCCAAGAAGAGAAAGGTTTCCTAGACAAAGTTGCTCAAACATTTCTGAGTCTTCAAGCACCCAACTTTCTCAAGCCCAGGCTCCGATCTCCAGCTACCTTTTGGGTATCCAACTGGATGTTCTTCAGCTCCTCAAACAAATCAAGACAAAAATTGAGCTTATTGGTTTCTCCCCTAAACCTCTTCTTGTGTTTATGCCATTAACATCCACCTAGTCACTTGGCCCTAAACAAGGAAGTCATCCTTGGTTCCTCCCTCTTTCTCAACCTCTTCTTGCAGAGGTGATATTAGATTGGAAGCAGTAACTAGAGCTCTTCATAAAATATCTAGATGGGAGGTAGGGGCAGTTTGCCCCAAAGAGAGGGCCCCCTGTATGGGTTCCCTTCTCTGCCAGACAGAAAACCCAGTGCTCATGGGCAGGGATCTGATCCTGTGCTCCAAACCTGGTCATCCTTCTGGGTTTCCTGTTGCAGAAAATGGCATCACTCTACCCAGACACCGAGACCAGACTGGGCTATATGTCTCAGTGCCCTGTACTTCTTTCTTATAATATTTATGCCAAACATGGCCAGGCACAGTGGCTCACGCCTGTAATCCCAGCATTTTGGGAGGCCGAGGTGGGTGGATCACTTGAGGTCAGGAGTTCAAGACCAGCCTGGCCAACATAATGAAACCTCGTTTCTACTAAAAATACAGAAATTAGCCAGGCGTGATGGTGGGTGCCTGTAATCCCAGCTACTCAGGAGGCTGAGGTAGGAGAATCACTTGAACCCTGCAGGCAGAGGTTGCAGTGAGCCTAGATCATGCTACTGCATTCCAGCCTGGGTGACAGAGCGAGACTCCATCTCTCAAAAAATAAGTAATAGTGTTTATGCCAAATGCAATTTTAAATAATTATTTGGATATCATTACTTTAATGTCTATCTTCCTCTCCCATTTTACTCTAAAGCTCTGAGACCACTGAGATTTTATGTAGCTTGTATGAGGGCTCCTTGTATGAGATGCTTTCTCTGCCAGACAGAACACCCTACACTCATGGGCAGAGATCCAGGAAAGAGAACAGCATCATGAAAACAGGCACAGCACTGAAGATATCCTGGCTCAATTAAGATCCTTTCCATTTGCTTATGGAAATTGAAAGACATTCCAGTTCTGGATTGTATTTCCTTCTCTCCTGGAACAGGCTACACAAAGACGCCCTCATGATCGACTTTTCTCTGTCACATCTTCCGCTGCATCCCAGGGTGGTCCGGGTGATCCAACTTGTAAAAACACTGATCCACACCCACATCATTAATGCACATGCCATGAGGGCAGAAAGGGGCCAGTTTATCTGTGTGGAAGACCAAAGCCTCCAGCATTCAGGAATCTGAGGAGATTCAGGGAGCCCCTTATGTTGTGCCGAGCACACAATTGTGGGATGAAGACCCATCTTTTAGCCACGGCTCATCAATTCTGAGCTTCTGAGACACAGAAGCACTACTTCCTTGTCTCTCTTTGACTCTAGCCCCTTTTGCTTTGGCTACAGTGAGCTTTCTCTCACTTCCCCTAGCATGCTGTACTCATCTCCAGCCCGGGGCTTTACACCATGTTTCTTCTACCTGGAATGTTCACCTGGTTAGGGCCACTCTCCCTGCAGATCTCAGCTCTAACATTACTTCCTCCTGAGGCTTCACTGACCTTTCCAACAAGCTCTAGTCCCCTCCCATGTGCTTTCAAAGGCTTATGTACCTCAGGTGTCAGTTTAAATGTATTTGTGTGATTATTTTACTGATGCCTCTCTCCCACACTAGACTCCAAGTTTCTTGGGACAGGGAACTTATTAATGTATCCCAGACTCTAACATAGCATCTGGCACATAGAGGCACCCCTTACATTTTTTGTTTAATGAATGAATTATTTAATGACAGGCAATTCACTAAGCACTGGACACCCCCAGATGAATCAGATACACAAAATCTTTTCTCAGGAAGCTCACAAACCAGTCAAGGCAATGACAGAAACAAAAAGCTACAACAGTGCCATTAGAGCTTACAGGCAAGAGGAGGGGATTTCTCATTTTTTTTTTCATAGAGGGAATTGGAAAAAGAACAGCAGATGAGCTGAATCTTGATGGATAATGAGGAAGAGAGAATGACCCAGAAGATTAAGAAAAGATACAAGGATGGGAAGATGCTGAAAGTTAAAAATCAAGGGAACGTAACTAGGCATGGTGGCTGGCACCTGTAATCCCAGCACTCTGGGAGGCTGAGGTGGGTGGATCACCTGAGGTCAGGAGTTCAAGACCAGCCTGACCAACATGCTGAAACCCTATATCTACTAAAAAATATATATATATATATATATATATATATACACGTGTATATATATATATATGTACACATATATATACGTGTGTGTGTGTGTGTATATATATATATATATACACACACACGTGTATATATATATATATATATATATATATAAGCTAGGCATGGTGGCAGGTGCCTCTAATCCCAGCTACTCAGGAGGCTGAGGCAGGAGAATCACTTGAATCCAGGAGGTGGAGGTTGCAGTGAGCCGAGATCGCACCATTGCACTCCAGCCTTGGTGACAGAGCAAGAGACTCTGTCTTAAAATAAAATAAAAAATAAAATAAAAATCAAGGGAAAGTTTTCATGTGCTGTCAACAGTCATCCTGGCCACCCTGAATGTTCCCAAGGGGACTGGATATGGAAGGTTTGCAGGAAAACATCAAAGCACCATTTTATCAACAGCTTGACCTGGTGACCCCAGTGCAGAGCTCTGACATGGCTCAGTTGGAGCTTACTGCAAGGGTCTGGAGGCCCCACCTCAGCCCAAATCCTGCACTTGGATCCCCACTACCTTCTATGCGGCTGCAAGATGCCCTCACACTCAATGATCTTCACGCTCAGGCTTTTCGTGGCCAGGGTACAATAAGGACCTTAGTTTGGGAGCTGGCCAGATGGTGTAGGAGAAAAACCAGAGAGGGAGGGGAATGAAAAGGGTTAGGTCTGAGCTTTTTATGAACATCACTGAAACTGACCCAATAGTCAACTAGTTTTTTTTGGATAAACACAGAAATTGATCCTTCTGTTCTTAAAGCTTGAAACTTACATTTGTTGTTTTCTGAGACAGGGTCTCACTCTGTCACCCAGGCTGGAGTGCGGTGGCGCAATCTCAGCTCACTGCAACCTCTGCCTCCCAGGTTCAAGCGAGAGGTGGGATTTGCCATGTTGGCCAGGCTGGTATCAAACTCCTGACCTCAGGTGATCCACCCACCTTGGCCTCCCAAAGTGCTGAGATTACTGGCATGAGCCACCAGGCCCCACTCTTACATTTCTTTTATCTGAGTTTCTTCCTCAGGAAAAGACCTTCAGGCCTCTTTTTAAAAAACTATTAAAGAACTGAAACTCACCAGATCACCACATTCAGACAGCAAAATGTGGGATCCCTCATTCATGAGATTGCTTCCTTGCCCCTCACTATAACTGCTTTTTCACACATTGTTACATTTCTTCCCTGCTATATAAACCCCTTAGTTTTCATTGGTCAGGGAGATGGGTTTGAGAATGAGTTCCCATCTCCTTGGCACTGGATCAAAGCTTTCGTCCTTAGCAATACTGGTCATCTCAGTGATGGGCTTTCTGTGTGGTGAGCAACAGGACCCAGACCAAACCCCCAGTTTTTCAGTAGCATCGCCACCCACTGGTAAACAATGTCTCAAACAAACCTAGCTGGCATTCCATTCCCTCCAAAAGCAGTGAAGAAAGGAATAGGTAGAGAGGGTAAGAGAAGGCAGATAGGTATAGGAAGACAAGAAGAGAAAGGTACTATTCCCTCCATCCCTGACATAGGGGAAATAATGGGGCATGGAGTTAATCTGTTTCTTCTGCCTGATGCAACTTTCCCTTTTGACTTAACTTTTTTGAGACGGAGTCTAGCTTTGTCCTCCAGGCTGGAGTGCAGTGGTGGGATCTTGGCTCACTGTAATCTCCACCTCCCAGGTTCAAGCGATTCTTGTGCCTCAGCCTCTTGAGTAGCTGGGATTACAGAAACCCACCACCACACCCAGCTAATTTTTGTATTTTTAGTAGAGACAGGGTTTCACCAAGTTGGCCAGGCTGGTCTTGAACTTCTGACCTCAGGTGATCTGCCCCCCTCAGCCTCCCAAAGTGCTAGGATTACAGGTGTGAGGCACCACACCCAGCCAATTAACTCTTATTCAAACCTCAAAAGCAAGCACAGGCCAGGTATAATTTGAAGTAGCTCATCAGACCTCTGTGAGGGTCTTCTTACTAAAGACTGTCTCCTCCCAGGGCTTATATCCTGAGGTTTCTGGGCTAAGACAAAGAGCTGTTGCCCTTTACTTCTCCTTTGCACATGGGTACAGGCAGCACTTCATTATATTGAAGAAAATATAGCACCCAGGGTGAGACTTGGAGCTGGCCCATTTCAAACTGTAGCAGTTTTTATTATTTTGATTTTAGATTCAGGGGGTACACGTACAAGTTTGTTACATGGGTATATTGTGCAAGGCTGAGGTTTGGGCCTCTATTAATCCCATCACCCAGATAGTGAACATAGTACCTAATAAGTTTCTCAGCCTTTGCCCCCCTCTTTTCCTCCTTTTGGAGTCACCAGTGTCTATTCTCATTTTTATTTCTGTGGGTACCCAAGATTTAGCTCCCACTTATAAGTCAGAACATGCAGTATTTTGTGTTTTCCGTTTGTGTTATTTCATTCAGGAGAATGGCCTCCAGCTGTATTTATGTTGCTGCAAAGAATATGATTTTGTTCTTTTTCATGGCTGCATAGTATTCCATGATGTATATGTACCACATTTTCTTTATCCAGTCTACCATTGATGGGCACCTGGGTTGATTCCTGCCTTTGGTATTGTGAATACTGCAGCAGCAGATTGTATACAATCAGTCTGCAGGCCCCTCTGTCCTGCCTATTTCTGCCTCAAACTCACTGGCCCTTCAACACTGAAACCCACTATACAAGTTAGGGTCTCGAAGCTGGTTAGTTTCCTATGCAGCCCAGATTCAGCCCTTTTTCTTACTCCTCCCCCAACCTGCTAGTCCACCCTTGTCCTTTGTTCAAGCTTATGTTTGCTTGTTTCCCCATCTTTAGCCATAACCATGCTTTCAGCATCTTTGACACAAGGAGTTGAGCCTTATTTATCTGTATATTATCTCCCATGGCATGAAACTGTTTCCAAATCATTATTTTGCACAATGTAGTGAAGCCCTAATTCTGCTAAAGTTGAGGGACCTTGGGAAAGTTGCTTAACCTGAGATTTCATTGTCTGGCCTCTCTAAAGGGATGATAATGGTCTCATCTCATAGGGCCATTGTAAGAATGAAATGCATTATATGTGCAAAGGCCTAGCTTATGGTTAAAGCACAAAAAGTATTAGCTATTATTAGGCACTCAATCCATGTGTTTATCAAATGAAATAATTAGCAGATCTCCCTTTTTTGAGCTCTGTTTGGCAGCAAATGGATAATGAGTAAATGTTGAGGCTAGGATGGGGAAGGAGAGGGGAAGGCAGAGAGAAGCCCCCAGGTTTCCTTTACCCTAGCCTATTAAGAAAACCTGTCGACTTAGGTTTGGGATTTAGAATAACAGCAGTGAGCAGAAAGATAAACGGGGATATGTCAGTCTTCTCTGAAATCTAGGGCATTAGCTCATTTCCTCTTTAAAATAAAATAGGTCAGCTAAGTGAAATTGTATGCTCAAAGATATGCTGTGTGTATATCTAAGTGTGAATGCATGAGAGAAAAAGCAAGAGATCTAGCCAGGAAGCTTAGAAGGGGAGGGCGCCCTGTACCTGCATCCTTATAACAAGGGTCTCCTTGTTGGATTTCACACTATTCATATCTCCTCACATGGGAATTACAGCCATTCAGCAGGTGAATCGTCTGCTATGGTTTTCTTCTCTCCCCACCGCCACCCCCAGTAGAGCATCCTGGTTGAGAAATAGAGTCAGAAATCTGGCTTCACACCCCAGTTCTGTCACTCACTGGGTGATATTAAACAAGTTACCATAATGTTTGAGCCTCAAGATCTTCATCTGAACAACAGAGTTAGTATTCCTCACACTGGTTGGCAGGTTTTTTTTTTTTTTTTTTTTTTTGGAGACAGAGTCTCCCTCTGTTGCCCAGGCTGGAGTACAGTGGCGCCATCTTGGCTCACTGCAACCTCCACCTCCGGGATTCAGGCGATTCTCCTGCCTCAGCTCCCAAGTAGCTGGGATTACAGGCGCGTGCCATCACGCCCGCCTAATTTCTGTATTTTTAGTAGAGACGGGGTTTTCACCATGTTGGCCAGGCTGGTCTTGAACTCCCGACCTCAGGTGATCTGCCCGCCTCGGCCTCCCAACGTGCTGGGATTACAGGCGCGAGCCACCGCGCCTGGCCGGCATTTGTATTAAGTGACTTCACACATATAAACTGATGTGCACTCAGGAGGTGTTAAAAATAAAACGGCGACTGCTGGTAGCCGCGGCAGTAAGAGCAGTAACCATCACGGTAGTGGTAGTAATACCAAAAGTAGTGGTGGCAATAATAGTAATAGTAGCAGCAGCAGCAGCAATACTAAAGGTAGTAATAGTAGTAACGTAGCGGCAGTCAGAGTAATAAAATAGAAGCAGCAGCAACAGTAGTTATCATGGTAGTAATGGAGATAGTAGTACGAAGGGTTACTGGATCGAGTTGTCCAGGTTCTTGGCGTATTGAACAACACAGACAGTAACAAAAGAACGAAGCAATGGAGGACAACGCAGCAGAATGGAGTGATGAAAGCACAGATTTATTGAAGACAGCTCACAGAGTGGGAGGGGGCTTGAGCAAGCGGCTCAAGAGCCTCCTTAGAGTTTTCATGAAGCCAGAGCCCAGCAACACCCCTCGGTCCCTTTAGAGGCCTCCAGTTGGCTACACCCCATGAAGGCTTGGCCTGCCACCAATCAGAGGCTGAAGTGGAGACCTGGCCCGCAGTCAATCAGGGCCTGAAGTAGCTTGTATTCCAACAGCCTTAGCAACCGCTTGAGTTATTTGGGAGATAAAAGATGGGCTGTTATTACTTTGGAGACTTTGTGGTGGAGGCTTTGGGGTAATCCAAACCAGGAGATGATTTCCTTCAAGAGAACCTTTATAACCTTCTTAGCCTTCTCTGTTCTGTTAGGGTAGGCTTCAACCAAGCCAGCAAAGGCGTCTATTGGTACTAGCGAAAACTCGTCTGAATATTGTTTCCCATAGTGATCTGGCCTAAGGAGGGCCTATCTGTTGCTGATGCCTCTGACCCTAGGGGGTCAGGCATCTCTGAGGATGTTTTTCCTCCATAGGCAATGGAATGGTCTATGATTCCCTTGGTCAACGGATGCAACGCTCAGCTCTTTGCGTCTCACCAAGTGAAATAAGCTTCTTCGGCCTGAAACTCATGAAACAAGCAATCTTGCAATGTACTGTGAAATTATTATGGGGTTTATCCCTACAAACAATGGAAAATTCCACGCTCTTATGCATAAAGAATTCATACATGAAATGAGAGTCCCTCGCCCCACTCAGAGAAGAGGAATATTAAAAAGTCCCAAAATATTGTCTTACCTCCTGACTGGTTCGCCAAAATATGTTATCAGAAGGTCCTAATCGTGAGTTGTCCAGGTTCTTGGCGTATTGGACAAGGAATTGAACAAAATGCCACACGATGGGCAGAGATATTGAACACAACTCACAGAGAGCAGGCTCGAACAAGCAACTCAAGTGCCTGCTTACTGCAATCCTCCCAAGAGTTTTTATAAAGCCAAAAGAACTTGGCAACACCCCTAGGTGCCTTTTAGAGGTCTCCAGTTGGTTACACCCTTTGAAGGACTGGCCCGTGACCAATGGGAAGCTGAAGTGGCTTGTTATCATGGGAGCAAGGATGTGGCCTATGTGCTGCACCTGCTGTTTTTTTGCTTATGCAAACTGGCTGGACCTGCTGTTCTTTTGCTTATGTGAACTGGCTGCACCTGCTGAACCTCCGTTACCCTAATTCCCTGTTCTCCCACCACAGAGTAATATTTTTTACTCTCTTCTAGTTTATCCTCTCGCTCATAAGTTTCTACCACCTGAGACCATCTTAGGAACCCCTGATGATCTCCTAAGTAATTCAGTGCACAACAGGGACCTAGTTAAAATGTGTGATCTTCCCAGAAGTGTTTGAACCTGAGCGACTCCATCTTGAATAGGCGCTGGGTAAAACAAGGCTGAGACCTACTGGATTACATTCCCAGGAGGTTAGGCATTCTTAGCCACAGGACGAGATAGGTCGGCAGGACTGGTATCACAAGATACAGGTCATAAAGACCCTGCTGATAAAACAAGATCCAATAAAGAAGCTGGCCAAAACCCACCAAAACCAAGATGGCAACAAAAGTGACCTCAGGTCATCCTCGTTGCTCATTACACACTAATTAGAATGCATTTGCATGCTAAAAGACACTCCCACCAGTCTCATGGCAGTTTACAAAAGCCATGCAATGTCTAGAAGTTACCCTATGTCGTCTAAAAAGGGAGGAAACCTCACTTCCATGAATTTCCTGTCCCTTTCCTGCAAAACTCATGAATAATCCACCCCTTGTTTAGTATATAATCAAGAAATTACCATTCGTATACTCAGTTGAATAGCCCACGTCACTATTCTGCCTATGCAGTAGCCATTCTCTTGGTTCTTTAATTACTTACTTACTTTTTTTTTTTTTGAGACAGAGTTTCACTTTTGTTGCCCAGGCTGGGGTGCGATGGTGCGATCCCGGCTCACCGCAACCTCTGCCTCCCGGGTTCAAGCAATTCTCCTGCCTCAGCCTCCTGAGTAGCTGGGATTACAAACACCTGCCACCATGCTTGGCTAATTTTAGTATTTTTAGTAGAGACAGGGTTTCACCATGTTGACCAGGCTGGTCTCGAACTCCTGACCTCAAGTGATCCACCCTCCTCAGTCTCCCAAAATGCTGGGATTACAGGTGTGAGCCACCGCTCCCAACCTGTTCTATACTTTCTTAATAAAATTTCTTTCACTTCACTCTATGGACTTGCCCCAAATTCCTTCTTGTGTGAGATCCAAGAACCCTTTGTCGGAATCTGGATCGGGACCCCTTTGTGGTAACAATAGAGCACCTTGTCACAACTGAGCTTCACGTTGAGGAAACAAAGGAATGTTGCTTTATTGCATGTTTGTACCTGGGTTTATCTTAAAAACAGGTTAAGGCGGGCTGTGTGCAGTGGCTCACGCCTGTACTCCCAGCACTTTGGGAGGCCAAGGCAGTTGGGTCATCTGAGGTCGGGAGTTCGAGACCAGCCTGACCAACATGGAGAAACCCCATCTCTACTAAAAGTAACAAAATTAGCCAGGCACAGTGGTGCATGCCTGTAATCCCAGCTACTCAGGAGGCTGAGGCAGGAGAATCGCTTGAGCCCAGGAGGTGGACGTTTCGGTGAAAGGGGATCGCACTATCGCACTCCAGCCTGGGCAACAAGAGCGAAACTCCGTCTCAAAACAAACAAACAAACAAACAAACAAACCAGGTTGAGTCTGGTTAAAAAATAAAAATAAAAATAAATTCTTCCATGGGCTGGTAACCTATTTGCAAGTTTGTCTTAAACACCATATTGTCGCATCATCCTCTAAAGGGTGGCAATGACCTTGGCAGTGCGTATGTGTTAGAGTAAATCAAACCCTAGAAAGGCAGGAGTGTTGAGTTCTTGAGCTTGAGATCCTCACTGGCGGGCTCTAACTCCAGCCAAGCATATCCACTCTGGCAAGATGATAAAACACTTCAAAAAATGCCCGCTGTACAACTGGGATCCCAAATCATTTTCTTTACCCACTGATTCTTTGTTCAAACTTCCAGGGAAACTAATGTGAAAAAAGGTCAGTGTTTTAAAGGGAGGAGCTTATATTTCCTGCACATTCTGTTTAAGCTGTTTGAAGACAATAAAGAGCATCAGGAGTTTTGAAGCCGTCTCCTTTCCACCAAAATTACTTTCAGTATGAAAACCACTTGTGACCTCAGACCCAAACCTCTTTGGAAGTCTCTCCTATATGTCATTGGGAGAATAGGGCTAGCAGGCGGGTTCTGGGGGCACTGCTGTCTAAACGAAGATCACAATGGTGATTTCTGGGTGTATGCAAATCTTGCCATTTGCCAACCCTGCAGAGTTGACTTTATCCCCTACAGACACCGGTGGCAAAGTGTGAGCAGATCTGGAGGCTGCAAAACGTCTTGTGTCTAAAGTCTGTGTTTGTTTTTTGTTTGTTTGTTTTTTCCTCCAACTAGAATTCACAGAGAAGTTGCTGGAAAGAATGAGCAATATAAAGTGATTTTGTAATGCCTTCATCAAGTCCAAGTTGTAAGCCAGTGCTTGGGTTCAAAGACTACTGCCTGTCTGTCTCGATCAGAAGTGGTTCTGCCAAAGGCTTCTTAATTCCCTCTGGGAGCCATCCAAACAGGATGACCCCAAATCCAGGAATGAGCACACCCGTGTCCCCAGAGTCTCTCCCCAGATCAGAGCTTACCTCCACTGGAATTCCTGTTCCTCTGACACCCTGAATCCTGAACCCAGAATGTAAAAACGGTAGGGCATGCCTATGTGTGTATGTAAATGTATTACTTTAACAAAAATGAAAAATAGACTGGTGTGGTGGCTCACAACTGTAATCCCAGCACTTTGGGAGGCCGAGGCGGGTGGATCACTTGAGGCCAGGAGTTCAAGACCAGCCTGGCCAACATGTCTCTAACAAAAAATACAAAAATTAGCCAGGCGTGTTGGCATGTGCCTGTAATCCCAGCTACTTGGGAGGCTGAGACAGAAGAATCACTTGAACCTGGGAGGCAGAGGTTACAGTGAGCCGAGATCCTGCCATTGCACTCCAGCAAGACAGAGTCTTGCTCTGTCGCCCCCCCCCCCAAAAAAAGTAATAATGTTTGTTGTCAAAAATAGAAAACGTAGAAAAATGTAAAGAACATGCAAAGTACTTAGAATGTCACAATCCTGAGATAATCACCATTCCTGTTCCTCTGAATTTCCTTACAAACTTATTATTGCATTTTTAAAGAATTGATGGTCATAAAATATTATGCTTTTCTTATTTTACATATTTCATCTAATATTATACCATAAGAACGTTGTCAAGTCATTAAAATGGTTTAAAACATGATTTTAACATCTGCATTATAGTCCATTAAATAGATTTACAATAATTTACTCAATCAGTCCCTTATGATTAGACATTTAAGTTCTGTCCAATTTTTTACTTTAATTTTTTTAAGTACCACAATGAACATTTTTGTACATAAACCTTTTTCCTCATCTCTATTTCCTTAAAAGTGAAATTACTGGATCAACAATGAGAAAAACAGAAACAATGAATGAGCAAAAAGCAGTAGAATTGTTATATGAACTTAAAAAACCCCTGCATAATTGTTATAGGTTGTTTAAACACCACATTTAAAATATCTTTCTTAAGATGTTCTCTACCCTGGGGCAAGTCACATCTGCCAACTTTTAGGCAAAATAGCTAGACTGCATTTGGAAAGGAATGCTTATTTAGACGATGACTTCTGCATTGAGAGATTACTGAAAATAGTTAACGTCATTAAATGATTTGCCCTGTGGCTTCCTCAGCCTTTTTTCTTGTAGATTACCCCCAGAGAACATCACTGTCTTGTCCACACTTAGTGACAGAGCTGAGACTAGAATCTTGTACTTCTTCCTGATTTCCAGTCTCGTGCACACCATAGTGTCACTTGATTTGAATAGATGAGTAAACACTTAACTCTTTTTTTTTCTTTTTTTTTTTTTTTTTGAGATGGAGTCTCGCTCTTTCGCCCAGGCTGGAGTGCAGTGGTGCGATCTCGGCTCACTGCAAGCTCCGCCTCCCGGGTTCACGCCATTCTCCTGCCTCAGCCTCCCGAGTAGCTGGGACTACAGGCACCCGCCACCAAGCCCGGCTAATTTTTTGTATTTTTAGTAGAGACGGGGTTTCACCGTGTTAGCCAGGATGCTCTCGATCTCCTGACCTCGTGATCCATCCGCCTCGGCCTCCGAAAGTGCTGGGATTACAGGCGTGAGCCACTGTACCTGGCCAACACTTTACTCTTTTAACGTTTCTTTTAGATTCAGGGGTACATGTGCAGTTTTGTTACATAGGTAAACTCATGTCACAGGGGATTATTGTACACATTATTTGGTCACCCAGGTACTAAGCCTGATATGCAATAGTTATTTTTTCTTATCTTCTCCCTCCCCTAACCCTTCACCCTCAAGTAGGCCTAGTGTCTATTCTTTCCCTCTGTGTGTCCTTGTGTTCTCATCATTTAGCTCCCACTTACACGTGAGAACATGTGGTATTTGGTTTTCTGTTCCCACATCACTTGCTAAGGATAATGGCCTCCAGCTCCATCCATGTTCCTGCAAAGAGCATGATCTCATTCTTTTTTATAGCTGCATAATATTCTGTGGTGGATATGTACCACATTTTCTTTATCCAGTCTACCATTGATGGGCATTTAGGTTGATTCCACGTCTTTGCTATTGTGACTACTGCTGCAATGAACATATATGTGCCTGTGTCTCTATGATAGAACCATTTCTATTACTTTGGGTATATATCCAGTAGTGGCATTTCTGGGTCAAATGGTAGTTCTGCTTTTAGCTCTTTGAGGAATTACCACACTGCTTTCCACAAGGGTTGAACTAATTTACACTCCCCCTAACAGTGTATAAGCGTTCCCTTTTCTCTGCAACCAATACTTAACTCCTTAATTATCTTGACTGGTCATTGACATTTAAAGATGAGTCAATATCAATACACATTTCACCTTCAGCCAAAGAGTTTCTGGAGACCTTGAATAAAAAGTACATGATTTTCTGAAAGGAAAAATGAGTCACTGGTGGAACAAATCTATGATTTTGTCAAATAGAAGGAAAAGAAAGAACTCAATCTTTACTTGGATTGTAGAAAATAAGGTCAATTCAAAAGATTTGAGATATGAATCCAAAAGAGAGAAAACTGTATGTTTCTTGGGTACCTTTTGTATATATAAGTGGTCTCAGATTCTTTACCTCTTCTTACTTTGCATGGTAGGTGACATTATTTTTCCCCAAATCTGTCTTGTCTCTTACGCTAAATGGACTATACTTCTCTGCCCCACTAGTATTGGTTTTGACGATGTGACTTGCTTTGGCCAATAGTATGTAGGAAAAGGTGTCAAAGTGTGGGTTAGAGTTTACAACGTAAGAGGCATCCTGTGTTTCTTCTCTTTTATTTCTTTTTTGAGATGGAGTCTTGCCTTGTCACCCAGGCTGCAGTGCAGTGGCACGATCTCAGCTCACTGCAACCTCCGCCTCCCGGGTTCAAGTGATTCTTCTGCCTCAGCCTCCCAAGTAGCTGGAACTATAGGCATGCACCACCTTACCTGGCTCATTTTTGTATTTTTAGTAGAGACGGGGTTTCACCATGTTGGCCAGGCGAGTCTCGAACTCTTGACCTCAGGTGATCCACCCTTGTCGGCCTCCCAAAGTGCTGGGATTACAGGGATGCGCCACCGCGCCCAGTCATGTTTCTGATTGCTGTTCTGGCACCACTGTCATTGCCCATGAAAGAGCACACCCCGGGTGGTACACAGGGAGTAGACCTAAACCCAATTTGCAGCCTGAAGCTGAGCTGTATTGACTAACCCACAGGCCTATGAGCAAAAATAAACAAGTAGGTAAATTTATATGACAAATATACTATTTAATTAATATTGTTGTAAACCAATGAAATTCTGAGGTTATTTGTCACACAGCATTGAGGCAGCAATAACTGACTAATACATGTTAACTGACATTTTTTTATCTGCTCACAATCTGTGCCTTAGCACCCTCCTCAAAGAGAGCTTAATCTTACACAAAGAAATGATAGCGACTTCTTAAATTATAATTAACAGACTATATGATAACCTGTTGTTGCATTTATAGTCATTCGTAGCTTAATGACAAGAATACATTCTGGAAAATGCATTATTAGGCAGTTTTGTCAATGTGTAAACATCACAGAGTATACTTACATGAGCCTGGAAGGTATAGCCTACTACATACCTAAACTATATAGTATAGCCTATTGCTCCTGGGTTGCAAACCTGTACAGCATATTACCGTACTGAATACTGCAGGCAATTGTAACACAGTGATAAGCATTTGTTTACCTAAACATAGAAAAGCTATAGTAAAAATACAGTATAAAAGATTAAAAAGGTACACCCCAACAGGGTACTTACCACGAATGGAGCCTATACCACTGGAAGTTGCTCTGGGTGAGTCAGTGAGTGAGTGGTGAGTGAATGTGAAGGCCTAGGACATTACTGTACACTACTGTAGACTTGATAAACACTGTACACTTGAGTTATACTACATTTATTTTTTAAAAAGTTATTTCTAGCTGCGCATGGTGGCTCATGCCTGTGAGCACTTTGGGAGGCTGAAGCGGGTGAATTTCTTTAGTCCCGGAGTTCGAGACCAGCCTGGCCAACATGGCAAAACCCCATCTCTACAAAAAATACAAAAATTAGCCAGGCATGGTGGTGCATGCCTGTAATCCCAGCTGCTTGGAAGGCTGAGGCAGGGGGATTGTTTGAGCCTGGGATGCAGAGGTTGCAGTGAGCTGAGATCACACCGTTGCACTCCAGCTTGGGTGACAAAGTGAGACATTGTCTCAAAAGAAAAAAAATTATTACCCCAATAACAAATTAATCTTAGCTTACTGTAACTTTTTTACTTTATAAACTAATTTTTTTAACTTTTTGACTCTTGTAATAACACCTAGCTTAAAACATAAACACATTGTACAGTTGTATAAAAATATCTCCTTATTCTATATTTTTTTTCTACTTTTAAAATGTATTTTTTTTCTCTTTTTAAACTTTTGTGTTAAAAATTAAGGCACAAAGAGAAGCATTAGCCTGGGCCTACCCTGGGTCAGGATCATCACAATCACTGCCTTCCACCTCCATATCTTGTCCCACTGGAAGGTCTTCAGGGGCAATAACAGGCATGTGTTCATCTCCATGACATGGAGACCTGCCGTCTCCTATGACAACAACGCCTTCTTCTGGAATACCTCTTGCAGCACCTACCTGAGTCTGTTTTACAGTTTTTTTTTTTTAAATACATAGGAGTATATTCTAAAATAACCATAAAAGTATAGGATGGTAAATACATAAACCAGTAACATTGTCTTTTACTATCATCAAGTACTCTGTACTGTACGTAATTGTATGTGCTAGACTTTTATAAAAGTGGCAGCAAAGTAGGTTTATTAACACTAGCATCACCACAAACACGTGAGTAATGTGTTGCATTACCATGGCTATGTATGACATCACTAGGTGATAGGAACTTTTCAGCCCCATTTTTTTTTTTCTTTTTCTTTTTGAGATGGAGTCTCAGCTCTGTTGCCCAGGCTGGAGTGCAGTGGTGCAATCTTGGCTCACTCTACAACCTCTGCTTCCCAGATTCAAGCAATTGTCCCACCTCAGCCTCTAAAGTAGCTGGGACAAGCATGTGCCCACCACCCCTGGCTAATTTTTGTATATTTAGTAGAGACAGGGTTTTGCCATTGTTGGCCAGGCTGGTCTCGAACTCCTGACCTCAAGCGATCTGCCCACCTCAGCCTCCCAAACTGCTGGGATTACAGGCTTGGCCACTACACCCGGCCTTTTCAGCCCCATTATAATCTTGTGGGACCACCGTTGTCCATGTGGTCCATCACTGACTGAAACGTTGTTATGCTGTGCATGACTGTAATTCTCACAACAGAAAATAAAGTCCAGAGAGGTAATACAATTTGTATAACATCATACATTGACTAAAAGGTAGGGCTGGGGCTTGAACTCCAGTCAAATCAATTAATAAGACACCCCCATGCACACAGAACTACAAAGAATAGTCATATAAATAGTCTAATAAAATTAAGGTGCTGAGATGTTGACAACAGATACACTCTGAAGACAACTGCCAGTTGAAATGGAAAACAAGGAGAATCACATCAATGTGGTCAGAGAATGTCACTGGATTTTCATTGGTAGTCATTTCTTACATTCCTCTGTATTTGGGGAGGAATCTGACATGTCAATGTTATTTGAAAAGCAAACCTTGCATTTCCTAGGGAAATTTTTCCCCTGTGACATCGGGTACAGCTCTGTGGCCACATAAAATGTCGCAGTACACAACTCAATATATATTTCAAACGTTAATTGTCTTCCCAGACCTTGGAATTTCTCACTGAGCTCACTCACAAGTTTTATTGAGGGCATAAAATTTATTGTGTTGACATACCCTCTGAAGTGCTGAATTCATCAAGGCCAAAGCAAGCCTGGATGACATTATGGAGACTGAGTCCAAATTTTTTTATTGGAAGTTTTGTTCTATGCTTCTTTTTTCACATCACAATCCCAATTAAGTGGCTGGAAGGAAAAAAAAAATGCCAACGCTTTTTAAAAGAAATGCAATGATCCTTTTCCAGGCACATTCACACAGAACCGTAATGAAGCTGCATTATCTATTCTAAAGAAGTCTGGGGCCCCAGCAACCAGACTAAATGATGAGAGTCTGTGTTTGAAATGTCTCGGTGTGACAATCCAGTGTCAGAGGGGCCCCTGGAGATCCTCAGATAAAAGGAGTTTGCTATGGGACTTTTTTATTTGTTTAAAGAGAAGTTCATTGTGACATGATGTCTTCAACTGATAATTGTTCAACATTTTGCTTCTCAGAGGCTTTGCTTGCAACTCACATGTCAACATGCTTGGCGAAGAGAATATCTTAAAATATAAAAGATCCCAACACAGAGAGAAAGGCCCAGCCTCCTGTGAAGGGCTTAGCAAAGAAAACAGCGAGATGAAAAAGGAACAGGATGCTTTCGGAATATATTTTAGACAGCAAGATGTCGACAACAAATACCACACAAGGGGTTACGAAAACACCAATGAAGAAATGAAGGACAGGAGTCATCCCACAGTTTTACTCCCTCATTTACTCCAACCCAAATATTTATTAAGAACTCCGAAGCCAAACTGCCTGGGTTCAAATCCTGCCTCCTCCATTTACACATGACATCACTTTGGGCAACTTAATTCTTCTCCGCCTCAGTTTCACATCTGCAAAATGACGATTATAATAATACATTTATCATAGGATTGTTCGAAAGATAAAGGAAGTCGGTGAACATACAATGCTTAACTACATGCTGGACACGGGCTTACAGTATATGAGTTATTACAAGTATGCAAGTTTCCTTGTGGATCTTACATTTTAGTGATGGAAATGATCCACTAAATGTACATTTATGACCCAGTGTGAAAAGGCCTTGGGATGCCTATTTTATCTAAGGAAGAGTATTTTTCTGGATACCATGGCCATCTGCCCCACTCAGTAGAGAGAGGCAAACCCATACAGACCCATAGATGATCATTCCAGTTTGACTGTGTAGTAGTTATCTATTGCTGTGTAGCAAATTACCCCAAAATGTAATGGTGTAAAATACAAACATTTATTATCTCACTATTTCTGTGGGTCTGAAACCTTAGGAGCAGCTTGGCTGGGTGCCTCTGGCTCAAGGCCACTTAGGCAGTTGCAGTTGTCAGGGCCGAAATTTCGCTTGAGGACACAACTTGAGAGAATTCACTTTCAAAGCCACGCAGGTGGATTTGGGCAGGCCACAGGCCTCTGTTCCTGCCACGTGGGTCTCTTCACAGACCTGCCTCATGACATGGAATCTGGCTTCACCTGGAGTGAGTGATCTAAGAGAAAGCAAGACAGGGAATACCTAAGGTAGAAGCCATGGTCATTTTATGATGTAAACGTTGAAGTGACAGCTCATCCCTTCCGCCATTTTTTTTTTTTTTTTTTTGAGGTGGAGTTTTACTCTTGTTGCCCAGGTTGGAGTGCAATGGCATGATCTTGACTCACTGCAACATCTGCCTCCTGGGTTCAAGTGATTCTCCTGCCTCATCCTCCCGAGTAGCTGGGATTACAGGCACCCACCACTACACCCAGCTAATTTTTGTATTTTTAGTAGAAACGGGGTTTCACTATGTCGGCCAGGCTGATCTCAAACTCCTGACCTCAGGTGATCCACTTGCCTCGGCCTCCCAGACTGCTGGGATTACAGACGTGAGCCACCACACCTGACCTCCCTTCTGCCATATTTCATTTGCAAGAAGTAAGCCAATAAATCCAGCCCACACTCAAGGTGTAGGGATTCCATGGAGCATGAATATCAGGATGTAGGAATTCTTGAGGGGCTCTCTTACTGTGTCTACTGTGGTCTGTTGGATCATTTCAGGCAATTTGGAAGAGATTTGGCAAAAAAGCACAGAAAGCAAGGAAGTTAAAAATTCTACTGTCCATTGTTTTTATCACAAGCCACCAAGCTAACACCAAAAAGAGGGAGAGAAGCCAGTCAGTCCATTCAAGTGTCTACTCAAATGCCATCTTTTCAAAGAAGCCTCCTTTGGCTACCTTATTAGGGTTTCCTCTCTTCCCATTGCCCATTATCTGATCTTGTTCTTGTTTTCATCCTTACATAGTATCTATTTACTTGTTTATTGTATTTTCCCACCCACTATATTGCAACCTTCACGAAGGCAGGGACCTTGTCCATCTCGAATCTCAGCACGCAACAGACATTTATCAAATGACTACCGGACTCTCTATATAAACAAGAGGCACATCTGATATACAGCCCCTAAAATGTGGTTGGAAAGACCAGGGTAGAAACAGGAAACAGTAAGAAATAAGTATTTGCCATGATTTCTGTCTTTAATTGCAATCTGGTTAGAAGACCGAAGAAGCCAGAAAGCTCTCAGTGAAGAAAACAAAGCTGATCAGGGATTCGCAGGGTTGTGGATTTGATAAAGCAGAGAGATGAGTTCTATTTAAGGGAGGAAAGAGTGACAGTAGCAGTTGGATAGGTAAGGAAGGATCAGGTTCAAGCTTAGAAAGCTAAGCAGGGCACATGCAACAAGCTGAAAGCCAATCCCAATTCCTTGCCAGTAGCCCGGCCAACTGATACACTGAGGCCATGTGTCTCCATGCACCACTCAAAAAGCTGAGCAAAAGCATTGATATTGCCAGGGTTTTTCCAAGAGTCTCCAAAATGTCCCCAAATGAGAAACACTGCCTCTCTCACAAAACTAGATATGTGTCCCTTTAGAAGAATTTGCTGCCAACTTGTCTTGTCTTTCCAGCATGAGTGAACATCTTTGAGGATCACCTAATTCCCTTTACTCTGATGTTGTGCTTACCCAGCAACCTGTTGAGGAGTGATTGACAGCCCAGGGATTTCTACAATGATCCAGCTTGAGCCAAGTGCCCAT
Organism: Homo sapiens; assembly: GCF_000001405.40. NCBI lineage: Eukaryota > Metazoa > Chordata > Mammalia > Primates > Hominidae > Homo > Homo sapiens. Next base: position 16,971,299 of record NC_000016.10, on the reverse strand, counting down.
CACTGAACCAGTCTCTTGGGGCCAGGGCAATGGTGTTCCCTGATTGGCCAGCCAAAGACATGTGACTGCCCTGTTGTCATGGAGTGAGGTCAGTCACAGACACAACAAAGTCACATAATCTAGAAACTGAAGGAAGATGGTGCTCCCAATTAAAGCTGGGATGACTTTGTCCAGAGATGTTGAAGGATCCTGGGAAGATAAAAAACAGAGGTTCACATAACATCCTGAACCACCCTAAGCAAATCGCATTGCATTTCTAAGTACAGTTCTCTGTATCACAGTCCCTTAAGAGGAATTTTCACACACTCAGACTGTGTGGAAGAACAGAGATTGTTTAAACTAGATGTCAGGGAAGGAACCTCACGGTGTGTGAACCACCTAAAAAACACGCCATAAAGAAAGATAAATAGGCCAAACGTGATGGCTCACGCCTGTGATCCCAGCACTTTGGGAGACTGAGGCAGGCAGACCGCTTGAGCCTAGGCATTCAAGACCAGGCTGGGCAACATAGTGAGACCCCGTCTCTACAAAAAAAACAAAAATTAGCCAGGCGTGATGGCACGTGACTGTAATCCGAGCTATTCAGGAGGCTGAGGTAGGAGGATCACTTGAGCCTGGGAGGTCAAGGCTGTTAGTGAGCCATGATTTTACCACTGCACTCCAACCTGGGCAACAGAGGAAGACCGTGTCTCAAAAAACAAGAAAGAAAGAAAAATAGTATTATTTACTGTATCTCTCTAAAGAGTAGGCTCAGGGATACAGTAGACACTCAACAGATGTTTGTTATAAATGGCAGAAATCCATGAGAAAGAGGGACCTCTAACAGATTAAGAGATTTAGAAGCATTTATGTGCTAATGTACGTAAGTCCTCATTTCTCCTGGATAAATAATTAGAAATGAGATGGCAGGATTATATGTAGGAATATGTATCAGTTTGCTGTTGCTGCTGTAACAAATTACCACAAACTTAATGGCTTAAAACAATACAAATTTACTATGCTACAGTTGTAAAGGTCAGAAATTTGGAACTCATTTCGCTGGGCTGCAATCAAGGCATAGGCAGACCTGTATTCCTTTTGAAAGCTCTAGAGAAGACTCATTCTCTTGTCTTTTCCAGCTTCTAGAAGCCACCTGCATTCCTGGCTCATGGCCCCTTTTCCTCATCAAAGTCAACAATGTAGCATCTTCATATTTCTTTCTCTGGCCCTCCTGCCATCCTCTTATAAGAATATTTATAATTACATTGGACCACACAGATAATCCACATAATCTTCCCATCTCAAAATCTTTAACTTAATCACAACTGCAATGTCCCTTTTTGTTTGTTTGTTTGTTTTTGAGACAGGGTCTCTCTCTGTTGCCCAGGCTGGAATGCAGTGGTGCCGTCTTGGCTCACTGCAACCTCCACCTTCTGGATTCAAGCGATTTCCCCTGCCTCACCCTCCCGAGTAGCTGGGACTACAGGCACATCCCACCATGCCCGGCTAATTTTTATATTTGTAGTAGAGACGGGGTTTCACCATGTTGGCCAGGCTCGTCTCGAACTCCTGACCTCAGGTGATCCGCCCACCTCAGCTTCCCAAAGTGCTGGAATTACAGGCGTGAGCCACCGTGCCCAGCTCCTTTTTCTATGTAATATATTCACAGGTTGCAGGGATTAGCACATGCACTTCTTTGGGAGGTGGGACATTATTCTGCCTACCACAGTGTTTATTTAACTCTGAGAAACTGCCAAACTGGTCTCCAAAGTAGCTGTATCATTTTACATCCCCACCAGCAGTATATGAGAGGTCCCATTGCTCCTCATCTTTCCAATATCTGGTATGGTCAGTTTTGTTTTTTGTTTTTTTGTTTGTTTGTTTTTTGAGACAAGGTCTCACTCTGTTACCCAGGCTAGAGTGCAGTGGCACAATCTCTGCTCACTGCAGCCTCAACCTCCCAAGCTCAAGTGATCTTCCCACCTCAGCCTCCCAAGTAGCTGGGACTACAGGTGTGCACCACCGTGCTGGGCTAATCTTGTTTGCTTTTTGTAGAGACAAGGTCTCACTGTGCTGCCCAGGTTCATCTCGAATTCCTGGGCTTAAACGATCCTCCCACCTCAGCCTCCCAAAGTGCTGGGATTTGAGGCATGAACCGCTGTGCCCGACACAGCGTTTTATATTGTAGCCATTTTAATAGTGGTATCTTATTTCCGGTTTTATTTTGCATTTTCCCAAAGTAAAGATGCTAAGTATATTTTCATGTGCTTATTTGCCATCTGTATATCTTCTTCGGTGAAGTAGCTGTTTAAATCTTTTGCCCATTTTTAATTAGGTTGTTCAATTTCTTCTCATTGAATTTTGAGGGTTCTTTATATACTCTGGATATAAGTCTTTTGTTAGATCTATGCTTTGCAAAATTTTCTTCCAGTCTCTGGCTTATTTTTTTTTCATTCTTCTAACAGCCTTACTTATAATAGCAAAAAACTGGGAATGATCCAAATATTCACCAACAGATGAACAGATAAATTGTGGTATATCCATCCAACAGAATGTTACTCAACAATACAAAGGAATAAGCTATCTATACCCAACAACATGGATTAATCTCAAACTAATTATAATTATAAAAGAAGGTCAGATAAAAATCAGTACCTGTTATATGATTCCATTTATATAAAATTCTAGAAAGTATAAACTAATCTAAAATGACAGAAAGCAAATTACTGACAGCATGGGGCTAGCAGGTAGGTGAGGTGAGGTGGGGAGAGGTGGGAAGGAGGAATTTCAAAAGGCTACAGAGAAACTTTTGGGGTGACGGAAATGTTATCTTGATCGTGTTGATGGCTTCATGGTTATAAACATAAGGCAAAGCCTATCAAATTGTACACTTTAAATACTGTGTGCCAAATTACACTTCAATAAACCTATTATTTAAAAAGAAGACTTAAGAGATTTACTGACTAAATGCAATGCCCAGATCTTATTTTGATCTGGGTTGAAAGAAATTAACAATCAAAGAACATAAGTCAGGGAAGTTTAGACACTGGCTGAACATTAATGATTTTAAGGAATTACTGTTAATTTTAAAATCAGGTCACCTTAAAATGTTTTAGTCCTTATCCCTCAGAGATGTGTATGGAAGTATTTGCTGATAGAGTAATATGAGATCTGAGATTTCCTTTCAAAGAATCTATGCAGGGTGGCAGGTGGAGATGAGACAAGATTGGCCACGCGCTGATAATGGTCAGTACTGGGTGATGGGCACCTAGAGGGTCATTACACTGTTCTCTCTAACTTTATGTATATCCCCAAACTTCCATCCTATAAAGTTGAAATGTTTAAATTTCTTTACAAAGTGTTTGTTGGATGAATGATACAAGAAGGCATATTTTGACTCAATACATGATTGATGCTTTCTAAAAACAGCACCTTTCTGAAAGCAGAATAATCTGCCTTAGGATGCAGTCTGTTGGCTGGAGTTAAAAAAGGAAAGATTCAGATGCCAGAGGACCATTGATGAGGAATGATACAGGCACAGTCGATGATCTATGGCCTGTAGGTCAAGTCCAGCCCTCCTCCTGCTAGCTAAGGATGTTTTCCTACATTTTTAAATAGCTGGGAAAAAATTATTAAGAATATTTTCTGACAGGTAAAAACTATATGAAATTTCATTTCAGGGTTCATAAAGTTTAATTGGAACACAAACACATCCATTCATTTACTGATAGTCTCTGGCTGCTTTCGTGTTAGAATAACAGAGTTGAGAAGGCGCCACAGACACCGTGTGACCCAGAGACTAAACTATGTACTGTCTGGCTCATTACCGAAAAAGTCTGCTGATTTCTGATATAGGAGATCACCTTGACCCCTGAAGGTGTTTTCCTAAATAGACTCCACTCCAGAGAAAAAAAAGTGAGTGGAAAAAGTCAGATATGAATGAATCTAGCTTTCAGCTCTGTCTCTGTCTGTAATAGGGACCCCAAGGATGATGGGAAGATGTTACGCTCAATTCATCATGATAAACACTTGGTCATTCCTGGGAACAGAGTGAGTTGAGGGTGGGAAGCTGAGTTTACCCTCCAGCCTCAGGGTTCAGTATCTCCTTGTGGACGTCGTTAGAGCCAACAGATATGTTTCAAGAGGAAGGTGCAATACTTAACCCTCACCTCTGTCTGGACCACTTGTGTGTTTGCTCACTGGTTTATTACCTGTCTCCCCCACTAGAACATAAACTCCACATGGACAGGGACTTGGTCTGTCCTGTTCACTGCCATATTGCATGTCTGGAGCAGTGCCTTGCACATAGTAAGTTCTTCATCAATGCAGACGGAGGGAATAAATTGACTGTGAAGGAAGCCTCAACAAATCAAGAATGAGTGAAAGTCATGGCACTGAATCTCAGAGATTAAAAGTAGTTTTTTTTTTCTTGCACAAGGAGAACTATCTTTATTCTCAATTGAGGCTTCTTCATACATGTCTAAATACAGCACCTAGAAATAGTGCAATATGAGTATTGAGGGAATTTTGCCTATCTAGATTTCTGTGCAAATCAGAAGTTCAGCTCCTGTTCTAGAAGGCAGCCACTGCTCAGAGTTCTGCTGCATAATATACACACACTTCTCCTCTTCGTGACAAAGAGTAATGTGCCCTGATTTGCTGTGTGACCCTGGGCAGGAGACTCACCCTCTCTGTTCTTCACATCTGTAAAAATGGGGGAGCTTCGTGGGGTTACTGTGAAGATCAAATGAGATAATATATGTGAGATGACTAAGAACAGTGTCTGTCACCAAAACAATCTGGATTTCTCCCCTGTCCTCAGTGATACAATCCTTCTCCACCTTCAGTATAAAAAAAAAAAGCTTTGGGCTCACATCAGTTTTATTCACAATAGCTAAAATGTGGAAGCAAACAAAGTGTCCATCAACAGACACATGGATAAACAAAATGTGATCTATCCATACAATGGAATATAAATCAGCCATAAAACGGAATGAAATTATGACACAGGCTACGTCATGTAGAAACCTTGAAAACATTATGCTAAGAGAAAGAAGCCAGATACAAAAGACCACAGATCACATAACTTCATTCATATGAAATATCTAGAATCGGCAAATTCATAGACACAGAGAAAAGATGGGAGGTTACCAGGGGCCGAGGAGAGGAAAGAATGTGTGGAATGACTGCTTAACTGGTTCAGGGCTTCCGTTTGGGGTGGCAAAAATTTTGAAATTGATGGTGGTGTTGAACGGGTTTGCACGACATTGTGAATATACTTAATGCCATTGAATCGCACATTTTTAAATGGTTGAAATGGCAAATTTTACATGTGTTTTGCTACAGGAAAAAAAAAGGCTTTGGAGACTGAAGTGCTATGGAAGCATAAAACGCTGATTCAAGGAATTAAAGCCAGAATTCCTGCACTGGAATCCTAATTCTGCTAACTTTGTAACTTTGGGCAACCCTTGATCATCCTATGCCTCAGTTTCCTCATCTGAAAAGGGGGAAGGAAACACACTTTTATCTCCCACCTGTTGTAAGTATTAAAAGAGTTCATCAATGTGAGCACTTAGAAGCATGCCTGCATATAGTAAGTGCTCCGTAAATCCTAGTTAGTAGTAATAAGGCTACTACTGGTAAGTGATTCTATCCACACGTACCCTTAGAGCAGGGTTTCTCAACGTCCACACTATTGACATTTGGGGCCGGGTAATTCCCTGTGGTGGGGGACTGTCCTGTGCAATGCAAGACACTTAGCAGCACCCCTGGCCTCTACCCATTAGACGCCGGTAGCACACGATTTCTCCACAAAGTCGTGACTATCAAAAACGTCTCCAGATGTTGCCAAATCTCCCTTGAAAAGCAAAATTGCCCCTGCTTAAAAACCACCATCTTACTGACACCATATTGCAAAATTGCAAGGGGCCTTAGCTATTACCTGCTCTCATGACTTCCACGTTCTTTTGACCATATTCCATGACCTATTACACCTGTAAATAGTGTATGTTACATATTTATCATACATATCATATGTATCAAAAGTTTACAACATTTACCCTTACTATGTGCACTGCAATGTATCCTGATATTTGCTTTGCTTTGCTTTGCTTTCTTTCTTTTTTTTTGAGATGGAGTCTTGCTCTGTTGCCCAGGCTGGAATGTGCAGTGGCACAATCTCTGCTCACTGCAACCTCCACCTCCTAGATTCAAGCGATTCTCCTGCCTCAGCCTCCTGGGTAGCTGGGATTACAGGTATACGCCACCACACCTGGCTAATTTTTTTGTATTTTTGGTAGATGGGATTTCGCCATTCTGCCCAGGCTGGTCTCGATCTCCTGACCTCAGTAGATCCACCCGCCTTGGCCTCCCAATGTGCTGGGGTTACAGGTATGAGCTACCATTCCCGGCCTGCATCCTGACAGTTTCAATTCCATTGTGTTGCATTCTATTTCTTTTTGAAAAACAAGAATACTACTTATGACCCTTCAAATTGATTTCATGATCCATTTACAGGTCACAACCTACAGGTTGAAAGATACTGATGTGGTCAACTTTATAAAGAAATGTTCAGGCATTTCAGACCAACGCTTAGCCCCCAGCACAGCTCAGCCTGCCCATGAACATTTCACACTGACCCTCACTGGCTCTCCAACTTCCAGAATGGGCTGGCATTCCATGAAGTGCAGGGGAAATGGGGATCCCAAACCTCAAAATGGACATAAGTTTGAAATATTGAGGGGAAAAATTTAATTCCAAAGGATAGAATCAGCCCTGAATTGATTCTATATTAAAAAGCATTCTCCCTCTCCCTCTCCCTCTCCCTCTCCCTCTCCCTCTCCCTCTCCCTCTCATTCTGTTTGTTTTTGTTGTTGTTGTTGTTTTTGGTTTTTTAAAGAGAGGGTCTCACTCTGTCACCTACGCTGATGTGCAGCTGCAATCTGCATGATCATAGCTCAGTGTAGCCTCGAACTCCTGGGCTCAAGTGATCCTCCTGCCTCAGCCTCCTGAGTAGGTGGGAGTACTGGCATGCATTACCATGTGTGGCTTGACTTTTTATTTTTTTGTAGACATGGAGTCTCCTTATGTTGCCCTGGCTGGTCTCAAACTCCTAGGCTCAAGCGATCCTCCCACCTCAGCCCCCCAAGTAGCTGGGACTGCAGGTGCACCCCACCATGCCTGGTTAATTTTTAATTTGTAGAGAGAGGGTCTCGCTATGCTGCCCAGACAGATCTCGAACTTCTGGCCTTAAATGATCCTTCTGCCTCAGTATCCCAAAATGCTGGGATTACAGATTACTGGCTACCACGCCTGACCCTCATTCTGTTTTTGTTCATAGCAAGCAGCAGTTTGAAAGGAGCTGTGCCTATTTCCTAGAGGCAGGACTCAGCCCTACCCCCAGCGACCTGCCTTTACTGGCCCCTCAGAAATTTAACACCCAGATACACCACCCAGAGATCAGTCAAATCTGGCCCTGAGTGGGGTTGGGAGTTGTTGGAAGAGGAGATTTTAGATGCAATCAACCAATCCATTCTTTATAATCTACTATTAAAGAAATGAGAGAGGGCAGCTTCAAGGACCTTTTCAAAGAGGAGAAATATTCCCTAGTTTAAAATTTAAAAGGCTGAATCATAAAATCCTTTCAAAAAAAAAACACTCGGTATAATGCTTTTTTCACCCCAAAAGTTACTCACCTGAGGATAATGGTGAATAATAACAGCTGACATTTCCTGCGTGCTTGCTACAGGCAAGGCTCTGTGTGAAATCCTTTATACGATTACTTGATCGTCATAATTACTTTAGGAGACAGCTGGTATTGTTACCACCCCCATTTTGTAAGTGGGGGATACTGAAACTCGGAGAGCCAAATGATGGGCCTTAAACAGCATGGCTCCAGAGTAACAGCACTGAGAGTTAAACCCAACAGGGTTGCCAGACATAGCAAGTAAAAATACAGGATGCCTCTGACATGGAACTTATACTAAAAAATTATTTGTTGTTTCTGTGAAATGCAACTTTAACTGAGCGTATTTTACCTGGCAACCCTAAGCTCAAGTTGTTTGAATCCAGAGTCCTTGTTCTAAGCCAATTGGCTGGTGGTTCTCAATGTGTGGTACCTGGACCATCAGCGTCACCATCGCATGAGAAATTGCCAGAAATGCAGGTTCTCAAGCTCCACCCTAAACTTACTGAGTCAGAAACTCTGTGGTTGGGGCCCCACAATCTGGGTGTTTTTTTTTTTTTTTTTAGATGGAATCTTGCTCTGTCTCCCAGGCTGGAGTGCAGTGGAGTGACCCTGGCTCACTGCAACCTCCGGTTCCCGGGTTCAAGAGATTCTTCTACCTCAGCCTCCCAAGTAGCTGGGATTATATGTACCCACCATCATGCCCGGCTAATTTTTAAATTTTTATTAGAGACTGGGTTTCACCATGTTGGCTAGACTGATCTCGAACTCCTGACCTCAAGTGATCTGCCTGCCTTGGCCTCCCAAAGTGCTGGAATTACAGGTGTGAGTCACTGCGCCTGGCCAATCTGGGTTTTAAGAAACCTCCCAAGTGATTCCAATGCACGCTCAAGTTTGAGCATCACTGCAGAATGTTGCCCTACCCACCACAGTATTCTAAGGGAAGTGGGGATGCAGGCAAGCTTAAAATTGGGCCCCCAAATCTGAGTCTTAAGGTTTTTCCATGACCCCTTATCTCTTTTTTTATCTTCTCTTTCACTCAGTGAAGTCCTGCATACATCAACCCCCAATTCTCCGTAAAACTCCTAACAATATACTTCACTAAAAACACACCCAAGTGTCTGGCACTTTCTCATGGACCTTCATTCATTCATTCCTTCATCCATCCATCCATCCATCCATCCATCCATCCATCCACCCATCCATCCATCCATCCATTCCTGCAAACATTCAATCATTCCACACAACTTTATTAAGTGCCTATGATGGTTAATTTTATGTGTCAACTTGATCAGGCCAAGTGGTGCCCAGATAGCTGGTAAAACATTATTTCTGGATGTGTCCGTGACAGTGTTTCTGGAAGAGATTAGCATTTGAATCAGTAGACTGAGCAAAGATGATTACTATCACCAATGTGGGTGGGTAGTATCCGATCTGTTGAGAACAAAAAGACAGAGGAAGAGTGAATTTGCTCTCTCTGCTTGAGCTGGGGCATCCATCTTCTCCTGCCCTCAGACATAAGCACCCCTGGTTCTTGGGACTTGAGACTCGGACTGGAACCACACCACTGGCTTTCCTGGTTCTTTGGCTTGCAGATGGTATATCATGGGACTTCTCATCCCTCATAATCAGGTAAGCCAATCCTTACAATACATTTCTTCCTACACTTTTTTCTTTTATAAATTTCATTTCTTCTGGTTCTCTGAAGAGGTGCGGCTAATACAGTGCCCACGATGGGGCAGGCACTGTGCTGAGTCCTAAGCACAGTTTACTTTGTATTAAAGTGGCTTATTTAAACGTACCTATTTCCTGCACCAAATTAAGAGCCCCTGGGAGGATGGGGAAGAGGAGTCTTTAATTTCTTGAGTCCCTAGTTCTTAGCCAAGGCAAGCTTAAAATTGGGCCCCCAAGCCAAGGGTCATAAAATGTGTAATAGGATTGAATGGGAAAAAACTGAAAAGAATTCTCACGCCTCTTTCATTTTTAATTCAAAGTCCTCCAGGTCTGAGAATGCTGCCTGTCCTTCCTCTTCCCCAAGGAAAAACATAAAAACGGTCTCATTAATTCTCCTGCACATGTTTGACAACTCAGTTGTCCCCCCGCCATGATGCTAAGTGGGTTTCTCTGTTTGTGGTTAAGCAGGGAAGAGGGTTATTCAGGTTTCACGCCAAGAGTTCACCAGTTTTTCTTCCTGTCACTCAAAACAACCATCTTTGCTTGCCCACTGAATAAGGATAGAGAATTGGCATAGTGAAGAGATGTAATTGAAGATGGGATTTTTACAGCTACAAGACACCCACACACACACACAAATGTCATTAGTCTTACAATTTGCCAAGGGCCAATCACAAGCCTTTGGTCAAGAAAAAGATTCTAGGAAATGATGTCAAAATCCCTCTTACAGAGAAAACACATCTGTCAGGACCCAGGGCTGTCAGACAAATTGGCAAAGCAGAGAATGGAAGTTACCACCAACCAGGGTTGGAGCCAATGCTGTTGTTGAATAGGCAGGAGGGACAGGCATGAGGAGTGAGGACACTGTGAAAATGGCCTCTAGCCTGGAGCATTCTTCACACACCCCACCTTGCAGATCTCAGTTTAAATGTCACTCCTCCCAACCAGGTCAGATCCTCACCCTTAGCCCTCACACACCGCCACCATCCGAACAAAGTCTTAGTTGCACCAGGAATTGGTGCAGGTGTCTCCACTGGAATGTAAGTGCCATTAGGACAGAAAGCTTGTCCTACCTATTTACTCATTGTTGCCTTCTCTGTTTCTAGTGCAGTGTGTGGCCCAGTAGATGTTCAATAATTATTTGTTGTAAGGGATAATGGAATGAATCCCAGCCCCACACCTGCTAGAGGTGCGACCTTGGGCAAATGACTCAATGTCTCTCTTTAAGCCTCAGTTTCCTTATCGACACAATAGGGATAAAAACAGTACCTGCCGGACACGGTGGCTCACGCCTGTAATCCCAGCACTTTGCAAGGCCGAGGCGGGCAGATCACAAGGTCAGGAGATTGAGACCATCCTGGCTAACACGGTGAAACCCTGTCTCTACTAAAAATACAAAAAATTAGCCAGGTGTGGTGGCAGGCGCCTGTAGTCCCAGCTACTGGGGAGGCTGAGGCAGGAGAATGGCTTGAACCTGGGAGGCGGAGCTTGCAGTGAGCCGAGATCGTGCCACTGCACTCCAGCCTGGGCCACACAGAGAGACTCCATCTCAAAAACAAAACAAAACAAAACAAACAAACAAAGAAACAAAAAAACAGCACCTGCCTCTTATTAGGGTTTCTGTCTATTAGAATGAGATATGTGTGTAAGATAAACACAGGCCAGGCGCAGTGGCTCACGCCTGTAATCCCAGCACTTTGGGAGGCCAAGGTGGGTGGATCACCTGAGGTCAGGAGTTTGAGACTGGTCTGGCCAACATGGCAAAACCCCATCTCTACTAAAAATACAAAAATTAGCTGGCTGTGGTGGTGTGCGCCTGTAGTCCCAGCTACTTGGGAGGCTGAGGCAGGAGAATCGCTTGAACCTGGGAGGCAGAGGTTGCAGTGAGCCAAGATTGTACCACTGCACTCCAGCCTGGGCGATAGAATAAGACTCCGTCTCAAAAAGCAAAAAAAAAAAAAAAGATAAACACAGTGGCTTGGCACACAATAGACATTTGATAAAGGTCAGTTGCTGTGACTATTAGCTGTATCTCTCACCCAATGGGAAAAAGCAAGGTTATGTAAAGGATGGTGGTCGGGCACGGTGGCTCACGCCTGTAAACCCAGCACTTTGGGAGGCTGAAGTGCGCGGATCATCTGAAGTCAGGAGTTCAAGACCAGCCTGGCCAACATGGTGAAACACCATCTCTACTAAAAATTAAAAAAAGTTTTTTTAAATTAAAAAAAGTTTTTTTAAATTAAAAAAAATTAGCCAGGCATGTTGGCACTTGCCTGTAGTTTCAGCTACCCAGGAGGCTGAGGCATGAGAATTACTTGAACCCAGGAGGCAGAGGCGGAGGCTGCTGTGAGCTGAAATTGCGCCACTGCACTCCAGCCTGGAAGACAGACGGAGACCTTGTCTCTATCAATCAATCAATCAATCAATCAATGGTTACCAGAGGCTGGGAAGGGTTGTGTGCGGGGGCATGGTTAATGGGTACCCCCCCAAAAAAGAATGAATAAAACCTACTCTTTGATAACACAACAGGGTGACTATAGTCAATAATAACTTAATTGTACTTTTTAAAATAACTAAAAGAGTATAACTGGATTGTTTGTAACAGGAAGGATCAATGCTTGAGGGGATGGATACCCCATTCTCCATCATGTGATTTTCACACATTGCATGCCTGTATCAAAACATCTTGTGTACTCCATAAATATATACACCTATGTACCCACAAAATATAAAAATAATTTTTTAATCAAAAAATAAGAATAAAAAGAAATTCCACAACAGAAAAAAGCCAGGTTATACAGCAACTAGAACATTGCCTGGGACATAGTGAGTGCTCAATAAATCTGCATTAAATACATGTAGTACCTTTTACATGCCTCCTTCCCGCTAGTCCTAATAGTTGATGCTAAGTCATCAATAGTCTTTTCTTCCCACTTCATAGAAGAAGCAGAGGCTCAGGGAGACTGAAATTTGCTCAAATCACCCAGTGATTTGAGAAGCGGCAGATCCAGAATTTGAGCCTATTTGTTTAAGCGTGGCACCGGACTGCCAACCCAAGCTCTCTGTCCTCTCTAAGCCTTGGTTTGCTTATCTGAAAACTAAAATAAAATAAACAAACACAATGAGAACCTTAGCCTTGTGGGTCTCAGAGACACCCCACAGAGCAACCATTCCCTGAGAACAGTGGGTGAAGTTCTTCCGAATCCATTTGCCTTCAGCACATGCAGTTGGGAGAACTGTTTACATTTTAAGTGCTCATTTTCACGGCATGAAAATGTAGCTGGGCTCCGTGAGGCTTCCTTTCATGCCTTAAGACCAAATCAAGGCCAATGGGCTGAAAGAAGAGGGAGAAAAGAAAGTCTGATGGGCTCTATCCTTATTTTTAGGTGCAGCCATCTCTTGATTGAGACAAACAATCAGTCTCCCAGCCTGTTTCCTGGAGCAGCTTAACATCTCTTGGTGCTTTAATTTCCCACCACCTTGTTCCTGAAGTACTCGACTTTTCCTTCACAGATGTTAGGTCTGTTCTTTGCACCTGTCAGCAGGTGTGATGCTCTCCTGATTCCCCGAGATCTCTCTGCTTCATTACTCTTCTTTTCTCTGTTAGCATCCCCCAACCAGTGCAAACTTGAAACGTAAATGTTTCCTATCCCAGAATGTAATTAAATCTCTTTAGCCTATATTTTGAAACAACACACATTTGGGGATGTGAGCATGGTAACCAGCTTAATGGGTCCTAGAGTCTGTGTGTCTATTTCTATTTGTGACTGACATTCCCATACCACTATCAAAATTAGTAGCCATCAGTCAAGCAGAAAGTTATTGTCAGTGAGTGCTAAACAAACCCCAACTTCAAGTGGAATTGAGGTTTTTCAATAATGAATGTCTGAGCAATTTAACTAATCGCTATATTCAGCCTAGCTGAGCTTTTTTTCCCCCTCATACATAAGCAAACAGAAATCTGGAAAGTTATGAGTCTGGTGCAAGCAAATTAATCCTTAGCTAGAAATTTAACCTGGGAAGAAATCCTATTTCTTTTAAACTATATGCTTGTTTCTATTTCTTTCAACCTGTGTCATGTAGAGTTCTATACCAGGAATTTAGACTGAAGCTGAAGATGAAAAGAAAGCAGTTAAGGAAAAGAAAGAAGCCACCCATCTATCCTATTTGGCAATTTCTAAAATTATCACCCTTATTCTACTGTCCTAGAAAGTGCTTTTCTCACATTATAATATACCTGTTGGCCTCTGTCCATTTTAACATGTATATTTGCAGCAGACAAAAAGGTAAGGTTTCCCCTTAGATCAGAGAAAGCTATCATTTGGGGAATGCAGTGATTGAAGTTTGAATATTATAAAATGTTCAACACAGCCTGCACTGGGGCAGGTATTCTCCATGGACAATGACGGGTTTTTGCTTATAATTTTACAAATACATCAGCCCTTTTCCTATGAGATTATAAATAGAAAGAAGTTCAAATGAATTGTCCAATAAGGCTGGGAAAACCAGCAGAAAAATATTCTCAGGATTACATGTAAAAAGGAGTACAATATAACAGAAGAACTGGCCCATGATCAGAATTCAAGACTTAATGTTCCTTAAAATATAAGAGAAGCACATGGATTGGGATATATCACAGTGCAGAGATTTCAAACATGAGCTTTGGCACAAGGCAAACCTGAGCTGAGTCCAGACTCTGCCTTTTATTGGTTTTGCTGGAGCAAATTACTTAACGTTTTTTGGCCCTTAGTTTTCACATCTGGGAAATGGGCATAATCACTGTAATTAACTAATAGGATTATTCAGATAATTTAATGAGAGAATGCATGTAAAGTGCTTCACCCAGGACCCAGCCCATACAGCACTCCAATACATGTCACTATTATTATCAATATTAATGTACAGGATAGTTCCACATGTCATTGTTGTCATGATTGTTTTGACTGTATTTATTACCCTTAATGATATAGGTTGGTCTCTGGGGTAAGGATTTTGAAGCCTCATAGCTTTATTAGAATATTGCCAAGACAGTCACTGAAGCAGGGCTATGAGAAAAAGCCTTTTTTTCTTTATTTTTAATATACAGACTCAGCCAAGAAGAAAAAGCCTTTTTTCCCCCACAGAATACCAAACATAATTCTGTGAAATAGATGTGAGATTGTAGAGGAATTTGAAAGGTATTTGTTCAACAGTAATTTTTAAATGACATGTTGTTATTACAAAAATAATGCATTTTCCTCATCTACAAAAATTTAAAGAATGCTAAATGGCATGCTCCACTCACATCCCCTAAAATCCCTTTACCATTTCTTCACATCTCTTCCTCAACATTGGTAAGCTTTTGCTCCCAATGGCCTGCACCTGTGGCTTTGCCTCGAAGGCCTGCCTTCAGGCTACTGGAGCAGCTGCATTCATCATGTCTGGGATTTTTACATCCCCGTCCAGGGTGGCCTTTAACCAATGACTGCTGAGTGAAGGAGTTTGAAAGCCCAGCTTCCTTGCCTTGGGTTAGAATAAACCTAAGGTGTAATTTACACTTAGAATTTCTCTGTGAGATCAGGCTGAAGTTATCCTCTATGGCAGGGGTCCCCACCTTTTTGGCATCAGGGACCACGTTTGTGGAAGACAATTTTTCCATGCATGGTGGGGGCATGGTTTTGGGATGATTCACGTGCATTACATTTATTGTGCACTTTATTTCTATTATTACTACATTGTAATATATAATGAAATAATTGTACAACTCGCCATAATGTAGAATCAGTGGGAGCCCTGAGCTTGTTTGTCCTTCACTAGAAAATCACATCTGGAGGTGATGGGAGGCAGTGACAGATCATCAGGCATTAGATTCTCATAAGGAGCTCACAGCCTAGATCCCTCACATGTGCAGTTCACAGTAGGATTTGTGATCCTATGAGAATCTAATGCTGCCACTGATCCAACGGGAGGTGGAGTTTAAGCAGCAATGTAAGCAATGGGAAGTGGCTGTAAATACAGATGGAGCTTTACTCGTTCACCCACCACTCATCTCCTGCTGTGCAGCCCAGCTCCTAATAGTCCATGGACAGGTATTGGTCCCATAGACCAGTTGGGGACCCCTGCTGTATCGGACTTGGCCTAAAATTGCATGCTGGCTTTGCTTCCTATCCTTTTCTGCCCTGTTTCTCCCACTCCCTTACCAGTTTCTCCTGGAAGCACTCCCTTAATAAATCTGTTGTGGCCGGCGTGGTGGTTCACGCCTGTAATCTCAGCACTTTGGGAGGCCGAAGCAGGTGGATCACAAGGTCAGGAGATTGAGACCATCCTGGCCAATGTGGTGAACCCCGTCTCTACTATCTCTACTAAAAATACAAAAAATTAGCCAGGTATGGTGGTGCGCGCCTGTAATCCCAGGTACTCAGAAGGCTAAGGCAGGAGAATCACTTGAACCCAGGAGGCAGAGGTTGCAGTGAGTTGAGATCGCACCACTGCACTCCAGCCTGGCAACAGAGCAAGACTCCATCTCAAAAAGTAAATTAATTAATTAATTAATAAAAAATAAATCTGTTGCACGTGAATCCTTCTCTTAGGACCTGCTTTTGGAAAGCCAGACCTAATATAACGACGATTAGTAATAGCATCTACCCTTCCAGAGTGTGTGTGGGTGTGTGTGTGTGTGTGTGTGTGTGTGTGTGTTTGGATATTTTATGATCTCCAAATCTGACAATTGTGAAATTGCATAGTACATATAATGGTGTTTTTTTTTTCAAATTTAAATACTTATCATCTTTTCATGTCTACAAATAGGCTTCAACACGTGTTTCTAACAGCCAACGGGTATCCCATTGTATGGTTGCACCATAATTTAGCCAGTGCCACTCAAACTTTTTTTGTTGTTCATTGCTATGCTAACAATGTGGGTTGAACATCTTTGCAGGAAAATTTCTGTGCAAGTCCATTTGTTATTACTCTACCTGAAAACATAATTCCTGGGTCAAACAGTAACCCATATCCAAGTGTTGTGATTCTTATTCCCAAATGCCCTCCAAAAAGGTCGGACCAATTCATACCCTTGCCAGCACTATCCTTGATCTCCATCCCTACCCTTCCTCCATTTGTAATATTAAAGATTGGTGGGCATGAGCTCTGAGGAGGACTGTGGCTTAGATGATGAACTTTGGTCTTCAAAATAGCTTGAGTGCTACTTCCTCTGCGTTAACCAATCTAAGACTTACCCACATTTTAATTTTCATCTCATGTGAATTAAACCAACTTTTCTTGGAAGAAAAGTTTCTTTCTGATTGCAAAACTTACTGCAAAGCTACAGTAATCAAAACAGTGTAGTACTGGTATAAGGACAGACATCTACACCAAAGGAATACAATAAGGACCCTAGAAATAAACTCTTACATATATGGCCTAATGATTTTTAATAGGGGAAAAGGGTCATCTTTTCAGTAAATGGTGCTGGTAAAACTAGATATTCACATACAAAAACATAAAGTTGGCTCCTTTATACTATTTACAAAATGTAGCTCAAAATGGATCAAAGACCTAAATATAAGAGCTAAGACTACAAACCTCTTAGAAGAAAACATATAGGAAAATTTCTATGGCATTGTATTTGGCAATAATGTCTGAAATATGATAGCAAAAGCACAGGCAACAAAGAAAAAATACATGAATTGGACTTCATCAAATTATAATTTTTTTGGATCGAAGGACATTATCAAAAGAGTGAAAAGACAACCCACCAAATGAGAGGAAATATTTGCAAATCATATACCTGATAAGAATTAATATTCAGAATATGTAAAGAACTCCTATAACTTAATAGCAACAAAAAACAAACAGCACAGTTCAAAAATGAACAAAGGACTTGAATAGACATTTCTCCAGAGAAGATACACAAATGGCCAATCAGCTCAACATCATTCATCATTAAGGAAACACAACTCAAAACCACAATGTGGACCAGGCAGGGTGGTTCACACCTGTAATCCCAGCATTTTGGGAGGCTGAGGTGGGTGGATCACAAGGTCAAGAGATCAGGACCATCCTGGTCAACATGGTGAAACCCTGTCTCTACTAAAAATAAAAAATTAGCCAGGTGTGGTGGCAGGCACCTATGATCCCAGCTACTCAGGAGGCTGAGGCAGGAGAATCACTTGAACCTGGGAGGCAGAGGTTGCAGTGAGACAAGGTCGCGCCACTGCACTCTAGCCTGGTGACAGAGTGACACTCCTCTCAAAAAAATAATAATAATTCAAAAAAACAAAAAACAAAACAAAACAAACCACAATGGGACACCACTTCACACCAATTAGGACGGCTACCAAAGAAAGGAACATGCCTTGGAATATCATTCATCATAAAAAGGAATTAAATTCTGATATATGGGGTAAGAAAAATAAACCTGGGACTCGGCCATGGGCCACGGGGTCAGTGCCTGCTTCAAGGGATGGGGCTGCGGGGTGTGTAGGAGCCTCGGGCCTGCCATGTTCCACAACACGGGATGGTGAACCAGGAGGCCACGGTTTAGCACCGATGTCTGCGGAGGAGGTGGGTGCTCGCCCTGGTCTTTGGGCTGTCACTCATCTACTTCCTCAGGAGCACCTTCAAGCAGGAGGAGAGGACAGTGAAAGAGAGGAATCTCCTCTAGGTTCAAGACCATGATCAGCCCATTCCGTGTAAAGTGCAGTTTAACTCGGGCAATGGCAGTCACCCCAGCAATCAGTGCCACCACTCCATTTGAGGGGAGCACCACATCATAGATGAACTATGTTTGTGAGAGGAAGGATTTGCTGGTGGATGGCTGCTGCAACGTCAACGACCCTAGCACAAAGCAATACTGCTGCCATGGCTGCTGGCCCAATGGCTGCTGCAACATCAACATCCCTGGAACAAAGCAATACTGCTGCCATGGCTGCTGGCCCAACTGCTGCTGCAACATCAATGTCCCTAGCACAAAGCAATACTGCTGCTACAGCTGCTGGCCCAACCGCTGCTGGCCCAGCAGCTGCTGCAACATCAACATCCCTGGAACAAAGTAATACTGCTGTGATGGCTGCTGGCCCAGCAGCTGCTGTAACACCAACGGCCCCAGCACAAAGCAATACTGCTGTGATGGCTGCTCGCCCAGGGGCTGCTGCAACATCAACGTCCCTGGAACAAAGCAGTACTGCTGCGATGGCTGCTGGCCCAGCGGCTGCTGTAACATCAATGTCTCTGGCACAAAGCAATACTGCTGTGATGGCTGCTGGTCCCGCGGCTGCTGCCCAACAAGCAGCTTTTCTTGGAGTGCTTCCTCCGTCGGGCAGCTGTGGCTTTCCAGAACCTCTTCATGGCAGTCGAAGAACACTTTGAGTTGTGCCTGGCCACATGCAGGACCTCATCTCAGAGCATGCAACATGAGAACACCTACCAGGACTCCATAGCAAAGTCCTGCTAAGTAGAAAGCCCACCCAAACTCTTCCCTGCATGACAGGTACAGGGTACTTGCTCCAGCTTGGGCAAAGAGGCCCCACCAAAGAACTTGCCTCCTAAGGCCTGGCTTCAGCGCGAGGAAACCTTGGCTTTGACATCTTCTCGTGTTGTCTTCTTTGCCTTCATTCACCACCTGGGCTTACCAGATGCAAATCTTCTGCAAAGCAGCATGGACCCTCTACCTGATCCCATTCGGGAAAGATGAAACCTCAGGCTGGGCTCAGGGAGTGGCTTTCTTGGACCACTCAACCCTGGGACTGCACAAGGACCTGTGACTTGTGTTGTCAGGGGGCTGGTGTCACTTTCAGGTTTTTTTTTTTTTTTCTTTTGGAGACGGAGTCTAGCTCTGTTGCCCAGGCTGGAGTGCAGTGGCGCGATCTGGGCTCACTGCAACCTCTGCCTCCCGGGTTCAACCCATTCTCCTGCCTCAGCCTCCTGAGTAGCTGGGATTACAGGCACCTGCTAATTTTTGTAATTTTAGTAGAGACAGGGTTTCACTGTGTTGGCCAGGCTGGTCTTGAACTCCTGACCTTGTGATCCACCCACCTCAGCCTCCCAGAGTGCTGGGATTACAGGCATGAGCCAACGCACCTGGCCATGACTTCCAGTTTTGATTATAATTTTGTAAAATTATTTATTGGATTCCTTTGGAGTAGCAGGAAAATTACAGTGTTTTATGTTGGAAAATGCCTTGCCATTCTAGTTGAATATGTTCAAGGAGATTATTTCTGTTGTTGTTGTTTTGTGTTCTTGAGTTTCCTGAGTTAAATCATCCCTTCACCCAGAAAACATGGTTTGTCTTTTAGGGCGTGGATGTTCTCTAGGCAGTTATTTTTGTTTTTTATTTCAACAGTAGCAAGAGTAGCCCTGAACATAGCCTCCTAACCATATCCTGGCACCTAAAATTATCTAAAAACTCAGACACTCTTCTATTCTAATCTAACTGCAAGATTTCTAGCAGCTGGCACCCCGTGCCTGCCCTCTGGTTCTTTTCTAGAGGGGACTGAATGTGTTCATATACCCTGTGGGAGAGCACTGTTTTAGCAGAAATGTACTTCTCATCCTGGAGGAATTTGTTCTCATTTCTTTTGCCAATTAAAATTAACTGTGGGCTGCTTAGCCTCAGGTACCATGGGAGCTTCAGAAAAGTCAGAGGCAAACTCCTCCCCTGTTCTGTCAATAGAAACCCAATGTTAAGGCAATTTCTAAACAGAGATGCACTTAGCAGCTTGCTATGTAAAAAAAAAAAAAAAAAAAAGAAGGCCGGGCGGGCGTGGTGGCTCATGCCTGCAACCCCAGCACTTCGGGAGGCGGACACGGGCAGATCACCTGAGGTGAGGAGTTTGAGGCCAGCCTGGCCAACATGGCAAAACCCCACCTCTACTAAAATACAAAAATTAGCCAGGCGTAGTGGTGCACACCTGTAATCCTAGCTACTTGGAAGGCTGAGGCAGGAGCATTGCTTGAACTTGGGAGGCGGAGAGTTGCAGTGAGCCGAGATCGTGACACTGCACCCCAGCCTGGGTGACAAAGCCAGATTCCATCTCAAAAAAGGAAAAAAAAAAAAAAAAGAAATAAAATCCTTTACAGACGAGCAAATGCTGAGAGATTTTGTCACTACCAGGCCTGTCTTACAAGAGCTCCAGAAGGAAGGACTAAACATGGAAAGGAACAACCAGTACGAGCCACTGCAAAAACATACCAAATGGTAAAGACCATTGACACTACGAAGAAACTGAATGAATTAATGGGCAAAATAACCAGCTAGCATCATAATGACAGGATCAAATTCACACATAACGATATTAACCTTAAATGTAAACAGGCTAAATGTCCCAATTAAAAGACATAGACTGGCAAATTGGATGAAGAATCAAGACTGATCAGCGTGCTATATTCAGGAGATTCATCTCACATGCAAAGGCACACATAGGCTCAAAATAAAGGCTCAAAATAAAAGGATAGAGGGATGTTTACCAAGCAAATGGAAAGCAAAAAACAAAAAACAAAAAAGCAGGGGTTGCAATCCTTGTCTCTGATAAAACAGACTTCAAACCAGGAAAGATCAAAAGAGACAAAGAAGGCCATTACATAATGGTAAAGGGACCAATGCAACAAGAAGAGCTAACTATCCTACATATATAAGCACCCAATACAGGAGCACCCAGATTCATAAAGCAAGTTCTTAGAGACCTACATTGAGACTTAGACTCCCACACAGTAATAGTGGGAGACTTTAACACCGCACTGTCAATATTAGACAGATCAATGAGACAGAAAATTAACAAAGATACTCAGGTCTTGAACTCAGCTCTGCACCAAGCAGACCAAATAGACATCTATAGAACTCCCCACCCAAATCAGCAGAACATACATTCTTCTCAGCACCACATCACACTTATTCCAAAACTGACCACATAATTGGAAGTAAAGCACTCCTCAGCAAATGCAAACAAACAGAAATCATAACAAACTCTCTCTCAGACCACAGTGCAATCAAATTACAACTCAGGATTAAGAAACTCATTCAAAACTTCACAACCACATGGAAACTGAACAACCTGCCCCTGAATGACTGATGGGTAAATAATAAAATTAAGGCAGAAATAAATAAGTTCTTTGAAACCAATGAGAACAAAGATATAATGTACCAGAATCTCTGGGACACAGCTAAAGCAGTGTTTAGAGTGAAATTCATAGCACTAAATGCCCATAAGAGAAAGCAGGAAAGATCTAAAATCAACACCCTAACATCACAATTAAAAGAACTATAGAAGCAAGAGCAAACAAATTCAAAAGCTAGCAGAAGACAAGAAATAACTAAGATCAGAGAAGAACTGAAAGAGATAGAGACACAAAAAACCCTTCAAAAAATCAATGAACCCAGGAGTTGTTTTTTTTATAAAAGATCAACAAAATAGATAGACCGCTAGCCAGACTAATAAAGAAGAAAATAGAGAAGAATCAAATAGACACAATAAAAAAGGATAAAGAGGATATCACCACTGATCCCACAGAAATACAAACTACCATCAGAGAATAATATAAACACCTCTACACAAATGAACTAGAAAATCCAGAAGAAGTGGATAAATTCCTAGATACATACACCCTCCCAAGTCTAAACCAGGCAGAAGTCAAATCCCTGAATAGACCAATAACAAGTTCTGAAATCGAGGCAGTAATTAATACTCTACCAGCCAAAAAAAGTCCAGGACCTGACGGATTCACAGCCGAATTCTACCAGAGGTACAAAGAGGAGCTGGTACCATTCCTTCTGAAATTATTCCAATCAATAGAAAAAGAGGGAATCCTCCCTAACTCATTTTATGAGGCCAGCATCATCCTGATACCAAAACCTGGCAGAGACACAACAAAAAAAGAAAATTTCAGGCCAATATCCTTGAAGAACATTGATGCAAAAATCCTCAATAAAAGACTGGCAAACTAAATCCAGCAGCACATCAGAAAGCTTATCCACCACGATCAAGTTGGCTTCATCACTGGGATGCAAGGCTGATTCAACATATGCATTCAATAAACGTAATCCATCACATAAACAGAACCAATGACGAAATCCACATACGTATTTCAATAGATGCAGAAAAGGCCTTCGATAAAATTCAACACCCCTTCATGCTAAAAACCATCAATAAACTATGTATTGATGGAACGTATATCAAAACAATAAGAGCTATTTATGACAAGCCCACAGCCAATATCGTACTGAATGGGAAAAAACTGGAAGCATTCCCTTTGAAAACCAGCACAAGGCAAGGATGCCCTCTCTCATCACTCCTATTCAACATAGTATTGGAAGTTCTGGCCAGGGCAATCAGGCAAGAGAAAGAAATAAAGTGTATTCAAATAGGAAGAGAGGAAGTTAAATTGTCTCTGTTTGCAGATGACATGATTCCATATTTAGAAAACCCCATTGTCTCAGCCCAAAATCTCCTTAAGCTGATAAGCAACTTCAGCAAAGTCTCAGGATACAAAACCAATGTGCAAAAATTACAAGCATTCCTGTACACCAATAAGAGAGCCAAATCATGAGTGAACTCCCATTCACAATTGCTACAAAGAGAATAAAATGCCTAGGAATCCATCTTACAAGGGATGTGAAGAACCTCTTCAAGGAGAACTACAAACCACTGCCCAAGGAAATAAGAGAGGACACAAACAAATTGAGAAACAATCCATGCTAATTGATAGGAAGAATCAATATCGTGAAAATGGCCATACTGCCCAAAGCAATTTATAGATTCAATGCTATCCCCATGAAGCTACCATGGACTTTCTTCACAGAATTTTAAAAAAACTAAATTTCATATGGAACCAAAAAAAGAGGCTGCATAGGCAAGACAATCCTAAGCAAAAAGAACAAACCTGGAGGTATCACGCTACCTGACTTCAAACTATACTACAAGGCTACAGTAACCAAAACAGCATGGTACTGGTACCAAAACAGATATATAGACCAATGGAACAGAGCAGAGGCCTCAGAAATAATACCACACATCTACAACCATTGGATCTTTGACAAACCTGACAAAAACAAGCAATGAGGAAAGGATTCCCTATTTAATAAATGGTGTTGTGAAAACTGGCTAGCCATATGCAGAAAACTGAGACTGGACCCCTTCCTTACACCTTACACAAAAATTAACTCAAGATGGATTAAAGACTTAAACATAAGACCTAAAACCACAAAAACCCTAGAAGAAAACCTAGGCAATATCACTCAGGACATAGTCATGAGCAAAGACTTCATGATAAAAACACCAAAAGCAATGGCAACAAAAGCCAAAATTGACAAATGGGATCTAATTAAACTAAAGAACTTCTGCACAGCAAAAGACACTATCATCAGAGTGAACAGGCAACCTACAGAATGGGAGAAAATTTTTGCAATCTACCCATCTGACGAAGGTCTAATATCCAGAATCTACAAGAACTAAAATTCACAAGAAACAAACAACCCCACCAAAAAGTGAGTGAAGGATATAAACAGACACTTCTCAAAAGAAGATATCTATGTAGCCAACAGACACATGAAAAAATGCTCATCGTCACTGGTCATCAGAGAAATGCAAATCAAAGCCACAATGCGATACCATCTCATGCCAGTTAGAATGGCCATCATTAAAAAGTCAGGAAACAACAGATGCTGGGGAGGATGCGGAGAAATAGGAATGCTTTTACACTGACTGTAAAGTAGTTCAACCATTGTGGAAGGCAGTGTGGTGATTCCTCAAGGATCTAGAACTAGAAATACCATTTGACCCAGCAATCCCATTACTGGGTATATACCCAAAGGATTATAAATCATTCTACTATACAGACACATGCACACACATGTTTATTACAGCACTGTTCACAATAGCAAAGACTTGGAACCAACCCAAATGTCCGTCATTGATAGACCAGATAAAGAAAATGTGACACATATTCACCATGGAATACTATGCAGCCATAAAAAACGATGAGTTCATGTCCTTCGCAGGGACATGGATGAAGCTGTAAACCATCATTCTCAGCAAACTAACACAGGAACAGAAAACCTAACACCGCATGTTCTCACTCATAAGAGGGAGTTGAACAATAAGAACACATGGACACAGGGAGGGGAATATCACACATCGGGGCCTGTCGGGAGGTAGGGGGCTAGGGGAGGGATAGCATTATGAGAAATACCTAATGTAGATGACAGGTTGATGGGTGCAGCAAACCACCATGGCATGTGTATACCTATGTAACAAAACTGTATGTTCTGCACATGGATCCCAGAACTTAAAGTATAATAATAATAATAATAATAATAATAATAATAATAATAATAAAAGGCTGGGCACAGTGGCTCATGTCTGTAATCCCAGCACTTCGGCAGGCCGAGGTGGGCAGATCACCTGAGGTCAGGAGTTCGAGGCCAGCCTGGCCAACATGGCAAAACCCCATCTCTACTAAAAATACAAAATTAGCCGGGCATGGTGCTGTGCACCTGTAATCCCAGCTACTCAGGAGGCTGAGGCAGGAGAATCGCTTGAACCCAGGAGCCGGAGGTTGCAGTGAGCCGAGATGGAGCCATTGCACTCCAGCCTGGGCAACAAGAGTGAAACTCTGTCTCAAAAAAAAAAAAAAAAAATACAAAATTAGCCAGGCGTGGTGGCACATGCCTGTAATCCCAGCTACTTGGGAGGCTGAGGCAGGAGAATTGCTTGAACCTGGGAGGCGGAGGTTGCAGTGAGCTGAGATCGTGCCATTGCACTCCAGCCTGGGAGACAAAGCCAGATTCCATCTCATAAAAAAAAAAAAAAAAAAAAAGGAGGAGGAAGAACCTTGGAGACGTTATGCTAAGAGCAAGAGGTCAGACACAAAAGAACAAATACTGTATGACTCCACTTGTATAAGATACCCAGAATAGGCAAATTCACAGAGACAGAAAATAGAAGTTACCAGGGATTAGGGGAAGAGAGGAATGGAAAGATACTGTTTAATAGGCACAGAATTTCTGTTTAGGAAGATGGAAAGTTCTGGAAATAGTGTGATAATTGCACAACATTGTAATGTACTTAATGCTGACTTGTACACTTAAAAATGGTTAAAATGGTCAATTATGTGTTGTATATATTTTGCCACATTGAAAAAATTGCAAAATAGGCCAGGTGTTGTGGCTCATACTTGTAATCCCAGCACTTTCAGAGGCCAAGGCAGGCAGATCACTTGAGGCCAGGAGTTTGAGACCAGACTGGCCAACATGGTGAAACCTTGTCTCTACTAAAAATACAAAAATTAGCTGGGCATGGTGGCACATGTCTGTAATCCCAGCTACTCAGGTGGCTGAGGCAGGAGAATCGCTTGAACCCGGGGGGCAGAGGTTGCAGTGAGCCAAGTTCGTACCACTGCCCTCCAGCCTGGGATACAGAGCAAGACCTTGTCTCAGAAAAAAAAAAAAAAAAAAAAAAAAAGAAGTTAAAAACAACAGCAAAATGAATGTTCTTTCCCTGATGACTGAGAAAGAAAAGATACACTTCCTCTCCTATACTCAACATGACATTCAGAGTTGACAATAGGAAAAAAAACTTTAAGAGGCATTATAGCATAATAGTTCAGAGGACTGGACTTTGCATTTTGACAGCCTGGGTTCAAATTCCAGCTCCACCCCTCACTTGCTGCATCACTGTGGACAACTGACAAAGCTTTCCAAGCAGGTCACCTGAAGTCATCTGTAAAATGGCAAGAAGAATAGTTTCTACCTCATGGTGTTTTCTAGGTATTAAATGGGACAAGGCTTTTGACATGTTTAGTACAGTGTCTAGTATGAGGTTTAAAAACGCACAAATAATATATAACTCTGGTTATTGCAGTGGTTGAATGTTATTGTCATTATTACCTAAAGTACTTAGGACACTTTGATTTTCTTGATTACTTATCTTGATTGCATTTCATATCATTAAGAGACAGGCTGGAGGAAATTAATCAAGGGGCATTTCCAACTCTGAAATGGGGAAATCCGATCTTTGTCCCTTTAAGAAAATACTTTCTAATTATGGAATTTATGGTGTTCCTGGCGGTTTCTGATCACTTTCAAATGCATTTGGGTGCCATCAATTTGGCCCTCTTTATTCTCATCAATTTAATTAATTTAGAGAAAACAATTCTTTAAAGGAGGGAGAACTCAGCAAAGGCTTGCTCCTGGTGACAAACCCATCTCAAACAGCAGAGGAAGCCAAAATGCTCTGGCCCAAATGTCCTCTCCTCCAGGTTCATGGCGGCTGTAAACCCCATGCTGGGTGAGCGGGCTCATTCTCCGTGGGATCCACTCCAGTATCTACACAAGGGGCTGCCATTGGCTGAATGTCAGCCCCTGGCTGAGTAATGGTGCATTTCTGATGTGCTGACTCCCTGCAAGGCCCTTTCCTTCAGCTAATTGTGCAGCAGGTTTACTCTGAAGGACTCTGAAGGCAGGCTCAGCATTTTCCTTCAGATGAATTAGCTTCTTCTTGGTCATGGCTGAGAGAGTTGACTTGCTCAGAGCTTCTGCAATGGAGTTGGGAACGCTAGAAGACCAAAGACCCTCATGCTAATCTGACCTTGCCATTAATTTCTACGACTTTGGGGAAACCTAATCTTTGTTCCAATAAAACAATACTTACTAATTATAGAATTTAACTCTCAACCTGTAATTTCCTAAAGGGTAAAAGGTCTGTTTTACTGGATGGTAGAAGTCATATATACTTGGGCATCTAGAAAAGCATAAATATATATACACAAATTTAAGTGTTGTGATTTGCCTGCTTTAGGGAGAGAACATTGATGTAATCAAAGATTCATGAGCATATTTGAGTTGTAAGGTTTCTTAGAAATTCAAACAGTTAATTTTACAAGTAGGAAAACTGAGGATCAGAAAGACTGAGTTTTCCAAAGCAGGGACAAAGCTAGGCTTAGACTCCAGCTTCACCACTTGGAGTCAGAGTTCCATAATGTGCTATGTGATGTGCCTCCTCCAATTATCTTTCATAGCTTTGTTGGCTCCCACAGTCACTCTTGCTCACATTGTTCCAAGCACATCATCCTCCTTGCTGTTACTCTACCATGCCTTAGGGCATTGTGCCAAATACTCTACTTGGGACTGTAAACAGGAACACGTGAAAAGCCAAAAGAAGCCCTCAGAAGTTAACGCACATGCGTTAGTAAAAAGGATGGAAGATGAGACTGACAAATTTTTCCAGAAGAGAGCAAAAAGACAAAGGGATGCAAAAGAAGCCCTCAGAAGCTAACGCACAAATGAATGCGTTAGTAAAAAGGTTGGAAGATGAGTAAAAGTAAAAAGGTTGGAAGATGAGACTGACAAATTTTTCCAAAAGAGAGCAAAAAGACAAAGGGATGCAAAATAAGAGAGAAGAATTTTTTTTAAAAAATAGTGAACTGACATCTGAATAACAAGAGTTTTAGAAAGAGAAAACAAGAAAAAAAAATGGAGAGGAGAAAATTATCCATTAGATAACTCAAGAAAATTCTCCAGAATTGAAGAGCGTGTGTTCCCAGGTTCAAAAGACCAGCACCATGACCAAGGTACACTGAGGCACATTGCTGTGGCATTTTCAAAATCCAGGATCAAAGAAATTTTACACATTTACCAAGAGAAAAAGCAGATTATATGCAAAGAGTCAGAATCAGAGTGGCTTTAGACTTCTCAGCAGCAATTCTAAAAGCTAGAAGACAGGGGAGTCACGTCTTCAAAATTTTGAGGAAAGCGATTTCTGTGAAAAGAAAATAAATCTTGAGACTCCAAAATCACTAAGCTAAAGGGAGAAGTCAAGCTTGGACCTGCTTAGGGCAAACCTGCTTCCCATTCTATTCAAAGTCACCCCTCTACTCACTGAGATAAATGCTTATCTGATTGTCTCCTTTGGAAAGGCTAATCAGAAACTCAAAAGAATGCAACCTTTTGTCTGTTATCTACCTATGACCTGGAAGTCCCCTCCCCACTTTGAGTCATCTTGCCTTTCTGGACCCAACCAGCTTTCAACATTTTTTTTTTTTTTGAGATGGTGTTTCGCTCTTGTTGCCCAGGCTGGAGTGCAATGGCACGATCTCGGCTCACTGCAACCTCCGCCTCCCGGATTCAAGTGATTCTCCTACCTCAGCCTCCCCAGTAGCTGGGATTACAGGCATGCACCACCCCGCTCGACTAATTTTTTTTCTTGTATTTAGTAGAGATGGGGTTTCACCATGTTAGTCAAGCTGGTCTTGAACTCCTGACCTCAGGTGATCCACCCGCCTCGGCCTCCTGAAGTGCCGGGATTACAGGCGTGCGCCACCGCGCCTGGCCCACGTTCATCTTACATATATTGATTGATGTCTCACGTCTCCCTAAAATGTACAAAAACCAGGCTGTGCCCTGGGCACCTTGGGCACCTATCATCAGGACCTACTGAGGCTGAGTTGTCATGGGCACACGTCCTTAACCTTTTTTTGCTAAAGTTTATTTTAGCAAAATAAACTTTCTAAATTGACTGGGACCTGTCTCAAATATTTGAGGTTTATATTTCCAACCTAGGATTCTATAGCCAACACCTATATGCAACATCTCCAATAATAATAATAAGTCCTTTTTCAGAAGGCTAGTAAGAGAAGTACTCAACGAAATTGAGGGGATAAACCAAGAACATAGAACATATGGTTCTTTGAGAAATAGGATCTCCACTACAGAGGATGGACAGAGGGGATTGCCCAGAATGAGTTTGCTCCCCTGGTGTAGGGAGCAGAGAGCAGGCTTGAAGCCCCAGGATCTTCATACTCCTGGAAAGTAGAATTAATAGCTTTGTGATACAGAGGGATACAATCAGAGGAGAGTTACAGAACTAGCCAAAAATTGGAGACTGAACCAGGGTTGAGATCATACAAAACGTTAAGCAAATTTTTAAAAGGCAACTATTATTAACTTCATGGAAAACAAAAAGTTGTGCAGTAAAGGAAAAAAATATCACAGAACATGATGCAACTGTGGAAGGCATTTGGCATGGTCATGACACAGGGAAATAACGAATATTAAACTATCAAAAATCATTGCAAAAGACTCAGACAGGAAGTGTGTGCGTTGTGGGTAGAGGTCGTGGAGGCAGGGAGGGAGGGGCAAGAAAGCGAAATTCTCATTTTCCTTGAGGAAAAAAAACAACAGTTAATACCTGAATATGAGAAATCAAGACATCACATTATAAACATGCCATTTAAGTATCCGAAGGTACCAAAAGAATCAGCTACAAGAGACAACAGTGGTTGCCTCCGAAGGGAGAGAAATGGAAGGAAATGAGGAGAAGCAAGTTATTGCTCTTTATAACAAGCTTTTTAGAACCTTGGCTCTTTAAAGTAGATGCATGTATAAATTTTGGTCATATGTATGTTTATGTATGTGAAGATATATAAACATATGCAAAATAATATGTGTGTATATGTATATGCATGTATGTATGTGTGTGTATGCATGTGTATATATATTCAATCAATGGGCGTACATAGTATAGGAAATTTTGGAAGTTCTCTGAGCGACACTGGACATGGTAGCCATCAGAAAAACTAAGCTTGTTGGATAATGAGACATGGTTAGCAAAGCTTGACATTTGAAGGCACAGCCTGTAACATAGACTAGGTAGATGTCGTTTAGTTCTGGATCTTTTGCCCACAAAGCCTTGGTATGCAAAAACCTGCAAGGCACAGCTAAGATGTTAGGGCATGGTATAAATACCCTAGATACTTTAGAGGAGTCTTATGGGTAGAGGTAGTTTGGGCTCCCTCCTCTAAACATCGCTTGTTGTTAAATGTGTATCAAACACTCTGGAGCATGAAAACACAGGTAAACTGAGTCCTAATTGGTACATTTGCCGTCTTGTAATTTTGCTTTCCTTATGAAGGTGTTAACTGGGGAGAGTTGTGAGGCTTCTTAACCAAAGCACTTTAAAAAAAAAAAAAAGAAAGAAAAAAGATGGAAAAACAAAACCCATTATAAAATAGTAATGGTCGTCTTGTTAGGTAGCAGAATCATCAAAGTGTATATTCTTCCTTATTTCCTATAGATGTGTTTTTAAATTGGGGCACACTTTTAAAAAAAATCCTAATATGCTTACTTTATTTTATTTCTGACTAATTCTTTTCTTACTGAAACTAACATATTATTTCAGATAACTCTACGTTCTATCTTCTGTATACATAATCCATACCCTGTGTACAACATGGTTGCCAGGGAGACCTGTCTTTAAATTGATCAGCAAACAAGTTTTAGAGGGTTGGCTTTAAAACACAAACTTACAAAGTGACTCCAAAGCCTCAGTTTAAGAGAAAATGTTCCAAGAAGTCTCACTTCGAGAAACACTTATTCTGCAACACCCAGATAAATGTTAGATAACGGACGACATTTCAGGACTTCTCGAACGTTGCCACAGAATCCCCCTCCCTGGCCGCCATCTTGTAGGACTGTGGGAGTCCTCAGCAGTCACTCAGAAACTACATTCTTTCTTCATATTCAGCACCACAGCAATGAAATTAACGGGTTGAGCATTTTCTCCTTAATAAGTGCTGCAGATATAAATGTCTCAGCCATTTGTCTTTCAGTGGGGGTTAAAAAAACAACAAAACAAACACTCCTACTATAGCATTGCATTCTCCCGTTTTGGTTAACATTATCATTTAAATTGCATCTCCCCATGTTTCTAGATTAAGGAAGAGGGGCTGTTAGAATAGGTTACACTTTGCTTTTTCATTCAGGAGACTGTTTAGAGCCTCAAATCAATTCCAACTGACTTTCTAAAATGCGTTGGGGGAAAAATACATTGTGATAAATAGTATTTGCAATGAAAATACCAAGAAGGAAAAAGAGACGTTTCTGTTCGCTTCAGCAAGAAGCCATTCAATTTGTGGACTATGCCTGTCCCTTGTTTTATTTTCCTTCCACTGGAAGGAATTTTAACCATTTCACTGCTATTAACCCATTCCAAAGTGGGCATGGGAAAATGCTGTATGTCAGAGGCTTGCTGTCTTATCAAAAAATCTGGCTCCTCAGGCTGTGTAACTTGGGGCAAGTCACCGAATGTCTTTCCACATCTCTATTTCCTCAACCGTAAAATGCATGTAATAATGAGACTTACTTTAGGTAGTTAAGAGCAGGACTTTTCAAACTCTTATAATCTGCAATAAGATACACACTTCACATTGAAACCCAGTACTCACACGCACACAAATACATACACACCTATATCCATATGCATATATGGTTTTACATACACGCACATCTGAAATTAAAATTTCACCAAATAGGAGTTATCCATATTAGAGGTGATGCATTCACATAGTTTTTATTCTTTTTCTTTTCTTTTGAGACAGAGCCTCACTTTGTCACCCAGGCTGGAGTGCAGTGGGGCAATCTCGGCTCACTGCAGGCTCGCCTCCTAGGTTCAAGGGATTCCCCTGCCTCAGCCTCCTGAGTAGCTGGGATTACAAGCATATGCCACCATGGCTGGCTAATTTTTTAGTAATTTTAGTAGAGACAGGGTTTCACCATATTGGCCAGGCTGGTCTCAAACTCCTGACCTCAAGTGATCCACCTGCCTTAGCCTCCCAAAGTGCTGGGATTGCAGGTGTGAGCCACCATGCCCAGCCACATAGTTTTTATTCTATTTCATGTTTTTAAAAAATGAGTTTTGCAACCATCTACATTGATTCTGTGACTAAATAAATCACAATATGAAGTCTGAGAAACACTGATTTAAAGTAGGCGTTAGCAAACTATGGCCAACAGCCGAAATCTGGCCAAATGACTGTTATTGTAAATAAAGTTTTATTGGAACAAGTCATACTTAGTTATTTGCCTATAGTCTATGACTGCTTTCTTAATACAATCAAACTTGGGCAGTTTCAACAAAGACCGGTCCCCAGAACTACAATATTATCTAGCCCTTTAAGAAAATGTTTGCCAACTGTGGTGTAGAGGATTCAATGTTATGTGTCCAATGTAAAGTCTTTAACACAATGCCTGGGGTATCAAGAGGCTTTAATAAATACCTTGTCTAGTATTATTGTAGGTGGTGTTATTGCTACTACTACTCTAGCTAAAGCTAAGTAGCTGTGGGAGGAGTTTTCTCATCAAACAAAGATGACAAACAGGATTAGCTCAAAAAATATAAAGCAGATAGAGGATAGTTAGAAAGAATGTATAAGACCTACTATGTGAGCACAAAGGGGTGACAATAGACAATAACTTAATTTTACATTTGAAAATAACTAAAAGAGTATAATTGGGTTGTTTGTAACACAAAGGATAAATGCTTGAGAGGATGGATACCCCATTCTCCATGATTTGATTATTTCACATTGCATGTCTGTATCAAAACATCCCATGTACCCCATAAATGTATACACCTACTATGTACCCACAAAACTTAAAAATAAAGAAAAGAATCAGATAGAGGGATAACAGAAACATTCAACCTCTTTTTTCCCAAGTTTGAGATAGGTGTATCAGACCAGCCAATTCCCCAAATTGGCATTATCAGCCTCCTCACTGCCAGGCAAACCAGCTGAAAAAGAGAGGTTAGAGCACACTGAAGCTTTTAAACCCTTTCTGATCCCTCCTCTGAAGGTGCCCTGTTCTTCTTCCTGTAGTCATTAGAAAATAAATCTCTGATAAGCAAAGTAAATTAGATGGAGTGACATTCTGCTAATTGAGTCATCTCCTCTGCTTGACTGGGCTGGGCTGTTAATTACCAACTAATCTTATCAATATAAGATATTCTAACTGGCAGATCAAGGCTCCTGGAGAGAGGGTCAGGGGCCCCAGTTTGCCCCCAAAGTCTCTCATTGGTCAAAGTGGATATCAAACCTTCCGATCCTACCCGAAACGGTCTGAATGCTGAGGCAAGAGAGTTTAGAAGAAGGACAAGACTGTCGCTCAAGAATCATGTAGGGGAAGCAGAGGGAAATGGCAAACCTCCAAATAAATGTTAAGGCAAAGTAAGAAAGGGCCAAGATTACAGATCGTGAATTATTAAAGCTGCATTCTGACCTCTCTACATCTCGATCAAATTTTCTTTCAATGAAGCACAGGGGCTTACAGAGAGATAAAAAGACTTTAAAATATAAATTAAGTCCTATTTATTTCATCACCCTGAGCCAAGAATGCTGGGTTCTGTCTGAATGTGTTGCCCAGAAAGACTGAATAGGTTGGCTTTCAGCTAGATGAATGTCTGTGATTTGCTGACATCTGGCAGAGGGGGTCCTGGAGCCATTCAAATCAAAGCCCCCCCACCCCCACCAACCCAGAAAACATTAGGTTCTGTGTGGGAATCTCTGCCCCCACTTCTTTTCAGAATTACCCT
This sequence comes from Homo sapiens, assembly GCF_000001405.40. Taxonomy (NCBI): domain Eukaryota; kingdom Metazoa; phylum Chordata; class Mammalia; order Primates; family Hominidae; genus Homo; species Homo sapiens. The sequence continues at coordinate 16,937,630 of NC_000016.10, read as the reverse complement.
GATAACCATTTGTTAATCTTCCAAAGAGCCTAAATCAGTGTGTGGAAAATTAGAGGGTTGGAGTTTTTGCTTCATTTGCCGACAGCCTTCTCAAAGGCTCCTACACACCAATTTTATGACAGGTCCCAGTTGTAAGAATTTCAGTTGTAAAGGAGGATGAGCCCATCAGATTGGCAAAAGGTAAATTAATGGATAGTACCCAGTATTGGCAAGGGTACAGGCAAACAGGGAGTCTCAATGGCTGTTGGTGGGAATGGAAATTGAAAGAGCCTCTCTTCTGGAGGGTTTTGGAGGGTGGGATGAGGGGTTTGTGATATTAAGATCTAAAATGCACATAACTTTTGATTCAGCAATCCTACTTCTAGGATACTAGTAATAACAGCAAATTCTTTTTTAGTATTCCACAATTTATCAATTTTTACACTTGATAGACATTTGGGCTATTTCTGGGTTTTCACTGTTACCATAGTTTCGCCTTTTCCAATATGTCATATAGTTAGAATCATCCCATATGCAGCCTTTTCAGATTGGCTTCTTTCTCTTAGTAATAAGCATTTAAGGTTCCTCCGTATCTTCTCATGGCTCAATGGCTCATTTCTTTTTAAAGCTGAATAATACTCCACTGTCTGGAGGCTTCACAGTTTACCAAACTAAAAGGCATCTTGGCTGCTTCCAAGTTTTGGCAATTACCGATAAAGCTGCTTTAGACATTTATGTGCAGGTTTTTGTGTGGCCCATTTACTTTTTAAAGTAGTGTGTTTTGTGTACATACACATGTGTGTTTAAATCTCAAAAAGATCACACTATGAGCTGTTTGACCTCTGGAGAAAAAAACTGGAATCTAGTACAAAAGGAATGTGAAGAATAACTTACTTTTTATTCTTTATAGCTGTGTGTCATTTTAATGTTTTTATGTTGAACATATATTCATGAAATTATTTAAATAATTAAAGAGTTAAAAACTGGAAAGCCTAAGATAAAATAAAAATAAAAAACATATCATGCAAAGTCCATAGGGTAAGCCATATATATATATATATATATATATTTTTTTTTTTTTTTTTTTTTTTTTTTTGAGATAGACTCTCACTCTGTCACCCAGTCTGGAGTGCAGTGGCACGATCTTGGCTCACTACAACCTCCACCCCCCTGGTTCAAACAATTCTCCTGCCTCAGCCTCCTGAGTAGCTGGGATTACAGATGCCTGCCACCATTGCCCCACTAATTTTTGTATTTTTAGTAGAGACAGGGTTTCACCATATTGGCCAGGCTGGTCTCGAACTCCTGACCTCAGGTGATCCGCCAGCCTCTGCCTCCCAAAGTGCTGGGATTACAGGTGTAAGCCATGCACCCAGCCCAATCCTCATTTTTCTTTGTATTGGTGAACTGGCCTACATACTAAAATTTATCTGTAACCCCAAAATCAACGTTTCTGGCATTTTCACAGTTATTCACAGACATGCATATGTGCAGAGCACAAAAAGTTGAGTCATTTAAGATGCACTTCTAAGCCTGTCAAACAAGGCAACACCCTGACTACTTGTTTTAGCTCGCACACAGTGAACAATCATCCTTTTTTTTTTTTTTTTTTTTAGACAGAGTTTCACTCTTGTCACCCAGGCTGGAGTGCAGTGGCATGACCTCAGCTCAGTGCAACCTCTGCCTCCCGGGTTCAAGCGATTCTCCTGCCTCAGCCTCCAGAGTAGCTGGGATTACAGGTGGCCGCCACCACGCCCAGCTAATTTTTGTATTTTTCATAGAGACGGGGTTTCACCATGTTGGCCAGGTTGGTCTCGAACTCCTGACCTCAGGTGATCTACCCACCTCAGCATCCCAAAGTGCTGGGATTACAGGCGTGAGCCACCGCGCCTGGCCACAAGTGTTCTTTTTATGGGGTCTAGTTAGTGACGCATTTTTGTGCTTTCTTTCTCTTTTTGGTACCTTCAGTGTTTAAAGTGACACTCTCCTCCAACCCCCCAAGCATAGAGTGGAAGTGCTCTTTAGTGTCCCTTAATGCAAAAAGGCTATGAGATGCCTTTCAGAGAAAATATGTATGTTAGATAAGCTTTGTTCAGGTGTGAATTATATTGCTGTTGGCTCTGAGTTCAATGTTTATGAATCAAAAACATGTATATATTAAGTAAGTTGTCTCTAAACAGAAACACACATAAAATGAGGTTATGTATTGATTGGCTGAAAAAATGTTTCAACCAGAGGCTCCCAGGAACCTAACCTTGTATTTCCTCTAAGAGCTGTATTTTGGTATTTGCTATTTCAGTGTTCGTTGTGGCTTTATGGAACATAACTACCATGAATAATAAAAATGGGGCCGGGTGCGGTGGCTCACGCCTGTAATCCCAGCACTTTGGGAGGCCAAGGCGGGCGGATCACAAGGTCAGGAGATCGAGACCATCCTGGCTAACCCGGTGAAAACCCGTCTCTACTAAAAATACAAAAAATTAGCCAGGCGCGGTGGTGGAGGCCTGTAGTCCCAGCTACTCGGGAGGCTGAGGCGGGAGAATGGTGTGAACCCGGGAGGCGGAGCTTGTGGTGTGCCAAGATCGCGCCACTGCATTCTGGGCAACAGAGCGAGACTCCATCTCAAAAAATAAAAATAAAAAAAAAATAAAAAATAAAAACGGACTGAGCTTTGCCAAATTGGTGGGCAGTAAACTTGTACACAAATCCTGGCAATGGTTGTAACAATCATTATAATCACATAAACCAGGGATCAGCAAACCACGACTTCTGGGCCACTTCTTTTTTTTGTCAATAAAGTTTTATTGAAACATACACACGCCTGTGGCTGCTTTCATCCTAAAACCGCAGATTTGAGTAGCTGCAACAGGAACCATATGGGCCTCAAAACTTAAAATATTTCTATCTGGCCCTTTTTAGAAAAACGTTGCCAGTCCCCGAATTATAAACACTCACCATTTACCTAGCATTTATTATGCCAGGTGCAATGCAGGCTACTATGCATGTTGCTACTCTGTGTAATAACTACCTCTAAGTATGTGTCAAGCACTCATATATGATGTTGTATTTAGTCCTCATTTCTGCAACCCTGAAAGGCGGCTATTCCATCCCCATTTTACACTTGAGGAAACTGAGGCTCAGAAAGGTGACAGTCACCTGCTCACATTCACACGAACTAGAGAACTGGAGCCAAGTCTGGCTTGTTCCAAAGCCCACACGCTTGCCCTATGGAAGAAACACAGAAAAGACAGGTGCATGTAATCAAATAACATTTTTTAAGTGAAAGGCTATGACCTTACGTCTTAGAGATTGAAATAGAGCCTGAATGGGACAAGGAGAGAGAGAAAAAGAAAGACCAGGGCTTAATGTGTACAGTGATAAACCCTCTCACCCCATGGAAAAATGGGCACCAACAAAGAAGTGAGGGAGTTCAGTGCTCACACAAAGGAGTGTCCATTTCAGCTAGAGGAAGATCAGACACTGCCCAGGCTCCACCCAGAGCCCCTCATCACTTTCTCTCATCATGCAGTTGGCCAGTTTCTGACTGTCAGCATGCAGACCCTCCCACCAAGGGCTTTCCAACTGTTTAGCCTATACACGCAGGGGGCGCTGATGCCTCTGTAGCAGCCTCCAGCCAAGGATACCAGGGATTGGAACATCAGTACCCCAGCTTTCTCATCCTTCTGGTGGCAAGACCCTGAAGCATGTCTCCAAGTGGCTCCTAGAGGTTCCCAGTGAGACCAAGACCTGGTTATCCACAGGAGTAACCAGCTCAACAACACACCCTGTCCTGGCTGCTATACTTCCTTGCTTCACCCTCCCTGCCTCACACCCTTACTGGTGCTTCCTGGGATCCCTTCCCACATAAAATACTTGTACATAAATCCTTGTCTCAGGTTCTGCTTCTGGGGAAGCAGCCTCTAATCCATCAGCTATCAGTCATGGGTGGCAATGTAATATATGGAGGTATTTATTACATTTCTGTTCACATTCTAATGAACAAGTTGGCCTCGTTAAGACAAATGTAGAACATTACTTTAATCTCTCCTTTCATCCTTCTTTAAGCCTCTTGTCATGTTCAGTTCACATACTGCCATATACAACAATGTGAAGAGGGTAGCAGAGTAGAAAATGGAAAGAATCCACATCCAATCTGGATCTACTAACCACCAGATTTCTCGTTCTTTATCCAGTGTTAGTTGAGTCTTTTACTTGCCACCAAATGTACCCCTACTGACACCAGCTTTAAGATGCTTTATAAAATCAACAGACAATGCCTCAGTGGTATTTCTGCCAAAAATGCATAACTTGCATACAGGATGAAGAAACAGCAGAAAAATCCAAATTCAGAATAATTTAACAAAGTAACTGGCTTGTGCTCTTCAAAAATGCCAAGGCCAAGAAACACAAAGAAAGAATGAAGAACTGTTTCAGAGTAATGGAAATTAAAAAGACAAAACACATAAGTAGCATTTGTGATCCTAGATTGGATCCTGGGCTGGATTAAAAAAAAGAACTTGACATTTGATGAAGTTTGAAAATACACTATGGAATAGATAATAGTAATATATCAATGTTACATTTCCTGACTTTGAAAGCTGAACTGTGGTTATGTAAAAGGATGACCTTGTTCTTAGGAAATACACACTCAAGTATCCAGAAATACATATACAAAGGCACTCTCAAATACTTCAGAAATACACAGAGAGAGGGAGGGAGGGCTAGGAACTGATAGAGTCAATGGAGCAACATAAACCATGGTTGAATCTGGATAAAGGCTATAATCAAAGTTCTTTATATTATTCTTAAAACTGTTCTGTAAATTTGAAATTATATCAAAATTTAAAGTCACCAAAATATAAGGCACCATAAGCATTTATATTTGTTAGGTAAAACCTCACCTTACTTCTGCTCTTTCTCCCTCGCTTCGACTACCAGCAGGAAGGTAGAAAAGAGCAAAACAGAAAAACCAGATTGAGGGGATAGAGGGAACATGGATTGAGGAGAAACTGTTAGGTGAGAAAATGCCACTGTTTTTCCTTGGTCTTACAGTCGTCTCCCCAAAAATGATGTGATTTTGAAGGAGTCACTCCAGAGAGTTCAAATATTATCAAATTAAAAAAATAATTAGTTGAGTGTATATCTGATGTTGAGTCCTGTTGTAACTGCTTCATGTATATTAACGCATTTAATTTAATTTTAACCCATTTCATCAATCAACATATAATTCTTAGTTGTTGCAGATATTTTTAAATGTAATTAAGCTAATCATTTAATGTATATTAATAGATATCAATCTATTAGTGACATGTAATCATTTATTATGCATTAATAAAAGTTAATGTCTTAGACCTCATAATATTTAATCGTTTAATTCCCAAAAGTGAAGCCTCAGGGTTTGGTTTGCTTGTTGTTGTTAAGTTTTGTGAAAGCCAATAGTTGATGAAAATAAAAACTAACATTTAATGAATGCTTAGCATGTGCCAGGACTAATTCCAAGCATTTGGCATGCACTTTCTCGTGATTAGATTAATGCTTCCAGCAACCCTGGAAATCAGTACCATCATTAGCCCCCATTTCACACTTGAAGAGGTGGAGAAATTTGTTCAAGTTCACGGAGAAGCTATGCAACAGAAATGGATTCAAATACAGGCTGCTGTGCTTTAGAACCAGCAAAGGGTTGATATTGAAAATGTCATTCAACGATGAAAGGGACGAGTGGGTTGAGGGTTAATCAGAGCAGGTGTGGTTGACTGCAGGACCCAGCTCTCATTTTGTACCCTTTTTTTGTGCCTTCGGTAAGCAATACTACGTACCCAAAAAGAACCCAAAAAATTTCCAAGAGAGCAAAACAACTGCCTTTTCCTCAAAATCCACCACAAATCACAAAGTAATTCCCATGGGACTAACACAGGGTCGCTGCCAGCAGGTCATTTTAAGAAATGAAGAACCAAAAGACAAGAATAGAATGAGAACAGGTAAAAGTAGACCTCATTCTTCTAAGCTTCATTCTGGAATCTTCTCCAGTTCAGAATCCCAAATTATGAGCCCACACGCCTGAGTGTCAGCAACTCCAAAGAGCAGCTTATTTAAATTCTCTCGTACTTGGCTTGTTACTCTCGTGTTATGTGTATTTAAACCAGCTTCAAAAAACACCTTAATCTTTATGATTCGTAGGAACTTCCCAGGGCTTGCAGCAAGCGGCATCAAACATCCTATCTGCTGAACGAGCGTCTACGTTGGTGGAGTCTTAGCAAACCCCACGGGTTCCCAAGGCCTTTGGATAAAATGTGGCTAAAGATTAAAGCATAGGTTTGTGACCAACGTCTTTCACAAAAGGACCTCAAAAACACTGTAGTGATGCTGAAAAAGCGCAGTGCACATGTTTAGAATGGATATTTCATTTCAAGGTAGCGTTTTGTTTTCTTTCCATTCTGCTGGAATTTGTTTTTATTATGTATCCTTTGGCTTCACACTTGCAAAGGAGTTTCTTATCTCATCCTATGTCATACTTTTCCCCCTCCCTCTCCACTGCTCTCTCTTCTCCCTCTCCCTCTGTTACCTCCCCTGACTCTACTGCCATTTTTTTTGTAAAGAACTATTGAACCTCAAAGAGATTTCCATCCCAGGAAACTTTCCACTCTTTCTGATGTTGAAGATAAAATGAACTGCATGTGATAAGCGCTAACAGTCAAAAACGAACATAAATACCCAAGAAGTGAAAAAGGGATTTTCCATTTCTATGAGTTTCCAGCTTCCTTGATGTGCTTTGTGGGCCTGGCTTATACCACCTTGGCCTAGATTCTTGCAGCAGCAGCCCAAATAGCAGGACTAAGATTTGGATGACGCAATTGGCAACTGGAGCACAAAGTTGAAGGAGAGGGTTACTCTCAGGGCCGTGCAAGTGCAGTGCCCTAGGAACCTCACTTGTCTCACCCTAGTCCCAGCCCTGCCACACACTCCCCCTACCTCCATCCTTAGCACCTTCTCTTCTCTCTCTCCTCAATAGCCAGAGTGAGCACTTTAGAGGATAAATCTGATCTTATCACTCCCTGGGCAAAGCCCTCTGATAACTCACCAGTGCCCTTAGGATGAAAGCTGCACTCCCTGGCAGCCTGGTAGATCTAACTCTTGCTCAACTCACCCCTTCCTGTACCACTGCCCTCATCCACTGCCACCACCACAGTTCTGAACACCTCCCAGCTCCTGAAGCTCTGTCCAATTCGGGTTTCATAACCACCGCCTCCTCTTTCTCGAACAGTCCCCCTCCTGTTTTAAAGCTAATTCCAACTATTTTTCAGACCTCCCAGGGGAAGACTCAGCACAGTAGATTAGGAGAGGGATTGAATTACAGCTACAGCTCAACTTTGAGTCCATCTCTGCCACTTACTGTCCTGACCTTGAGTGAGTTACCTTACATCTCTGGGCTTCAGTTTCCCCATATGAATATGGGTGGTGAGAGGTTTGCTTTAGGAATTGAAAATTGGTATGAGGATTTTAAAAGGTGAGTCATGTAATATTGTAAGATCTGTGCTTGACACATGGCTAGCACTGTATGTATTAGATATTCTGATGCCATCTCCATCAGTGTTTTCTGTAAGCCCCTAGGTACCCTTCTTCAGCACCTCTGTAGCATCCGCTCTTAATTGACATATGCAATTAAGCATATGATCAATTGCTAATATGATCTTCTGCTCAAGTGTGTCTTCCCCTCTGGACTACAAATCTAAAGGCTGGGACTGGGTCTTTCTGTTGACTGCTATCCTGCAACCATACTGCCTAGCATAGAGTAGGTGCTCAATAAATAGTGTTGAATGCATGTGCTAATAATACAAGGGACACAGCCACAGGAACAATACTCAACCTGGCTCCAAGACAAGCAACTAAAGATTTAGAAGAACCCACAATTGCTCTGCAAGCAGAGTTCACTGCTGGATTTAGAAACCTCACCAAATATTAATTCAGCTCAATGTGAACTGATTACATGTCAGGTATTATGCAATGCAATGGAAAAGATAATGATGAATAAATTCGAGTTCTTGCCCTTTTGAGTGAGGTCAAAGAAAGGTTAGGAAGATGACTGAAACTCTTAGTTGCCATCTTTTCCTGCTGAAAGGAAAGGCCTTGCTGGCCTCCAATGCACAGGTTCAAGAGTACAATGTCTTAAATCAGACATACCTGGGCTCAAATCCCACAGCTGCATCACTTGCAAAGCATGTGGCCTCAAGCAAGTTACCTAACTTCCCTGAGCTTCAGGACTGTCATCTAAGAAAGGCAAATGAAAATGGTACTGATCTCAAAGGTTGTTTGTGCAGAGGAAGTGAGAAGAACCACATGTCACCTAGGCACAAAGTCTGGCAAATAGAAAATATGCACCAAATTTTCATTGTTACTATTATTGTCATTTTCAGCCCCACTATTGGACTAGTTTCATGGACCTTATTTTTTCCTAATCTTTTCTATGAGTTTTCTCACTGCTTCAACTTAAAGTTGGAAAAATACACATTTGAGACTTAGCCACTTGGCAGCATGAGGCAAAGCTAATTTTCGTAACTAGAAGAGTGTTGGAACACTTTTATTTCAAACCAATTCCAACATGGCAGAAATCCAGGCCAGGTCCAGGCTATTGTTATTTTCCTTTAGCTGTTTTTGGATGGATTCTAAGACTCCACATCTTAGAATGACCTGTGGCTCATGGCCCTGTGATAGCCCCATGGAAATGACTTTGCTGTTTTTGGTGGATTTTGAGGAAGTTCAAACAGTTGTTTTGCTCTCTCAGAAAGCGTTTTCTTCCTTCTGGGTATGTAGTATTACTTACCTAAGGCACAAAAAAGGGTACAAAAAAAGAATAATATATACGACTCATCTCCTATGCCACCTCTCATTGATTGTTGGTGGGTACCTAAAGCATTGTCTTAAAAATTCTAATGCAGCTTTAGGGTTCAGTGGGAAAGAGTATATTGATTAGTAATGTCTGCCCTGGGCGTGCAGTGGGTGAGTACCATAACAGAACATTCCCAGATTAAAAGCACTTTTTCCTGAGGCCTGAAAGACTATATTTCCTCTCCATATTCCCTATGCTATTTATTTCTCTCTATTTTACCTTACTGTCAGATTCCACTGCAGTATGGTATTTCAGAAATAACGTTGTTATTGGTTCAAATTGATTTATGTCCATTTGAGATGCAGAATACTTCCAGGATGATTCACAGAAGAAGAAAACCCTCTGGGTACAATTTCAATAGGAGTCATACATTTACAGTGACATCAGTAGGCACCTCTCCCATTCAGAGCATCCCTTTTCAAAATTAAGGTACTTAAAGCAAAGAAATTTCTAATTAGAGTAAAAGTAATAATAACAGCTAAATCTGTTGCACAAGTACTATGTGCCAGACATTGTGTTGTCCCAATAACTCTTTCACCTTTAAGAATGATATATTCTACTGGGTGTGGTGGCTTACGCCTATAATCCCAGCACTTTGAGAGGTTGAAGAGTGTGGATAGCTTGAGCCCAAGATTTTGAGATCAGCCTGGGCGACATAGCAAAACCCCATAACTACAAAAAATACCAAAAAAAAAAAAAATTAGCCAGGCATGGTGGTGTACACCTGTAGTCCCAGCTACTAAGGAGGCTGAGGTGAGAGTATTGCTTCAGCTCAGGAGGTTAAGACTGCAGTGAGCTATGTTGTGCCGTTGCATTCCAGCCTGGGCAACAACAGAGTGAGACCCTGTCTCAAAAAAAAAAAAAAAAAAAGGTGATATATTTCAATGTTAAAATCTTGATAAATGTTCAGTCTACATTATGCTTATGTGAGAACTATCTATCACTTGTATGTATCTTTGAAATGTTCTTAAATAGAAACGTTTAAAGACACAAGGCCAGATTTAACTTATCTGTGAGAGTCTAGTCCTCGATAGTCTTAAAAATCTCCCCCATTTGTGGGGATGAGAACCATTGTGCCAAGCACTCAGCATATTTTGTTTCACTTTGTCCTCACAACTACATGATATGTGCATTATTGTCCATCCACATTTTACTGATGAAATTGATGTGAAATGACTAGCCCCAAATCCCACAGCTGGTAAGTGGCTGAGCCATAGTTCAACTCAGACAGTACTGAACCCTGAGCCTGGGCTCTTAACCTCCTGTGCTAAGTTAAGTATAACATTTATTTTAAAATGTGGTAAGATACACATGACATAAAATGTACCATTTTAACCATTTTTAGTATACAGTTCAGGGGCATTAAATACTTTTGCATAGTTGTACAACCATCACAGCCATCCATCTCCAGAACATTTTTATCATCCTCAGCTATAACTGTATGCTTATTAATCAATCATTCCCATACCTCCCTCTCCCTAGGCCCCAGAAACCACCATTCTACTTTCTATCTATGTGGATTTGACTGTAATAGGTACCTCACATAAGTGGAATCACACACAATTTATCATTTTATGTCTGGCTTATTTCACTTAGCATAATGTCCTCAAGGTTCATCCATGCTGTGGCACATGTCAGAATTTCCTCCCTTTTTAAAGTTGAATAATAAATATAATTTTTCCAAGTTTCATGACATGAGGATGTGGCAATAAATAAAACATGATTTCTGCTATTAGCCAATGATATCACAGCCTGCTAGAGTAGACAGACAACAATATGTTAAGGGCCCCAGACAAGGCACAAACACACCTCTGTGGAAGCTTCTGGTAGAAGAGGTCACAAGGTCGCGTCATGTTATCCATGATTATCCATGTGAACCCAGACCCCTAACTGTCTGGGTAAAAATCCCACTCCACCACCTTTTTGCTGTGATCTACTGGGCAACTTATTTTTCTCTTCTGAGGCTCAGCTTCTCCTGTAAAATGGGAGTAAAAGAATAGCTAGCCCTAAGTTATAATCAGGCCTTAAGTGAATTCATTTATGGAAAGCACTTAGAACAGACACATTGTAAGTGGTCAATAAATAATATTAATTAAAGTAATAACTTCTTTCTGGAGCAGTCTATTGGAAATATACTTCAATTTTGGAGGATAAAGAGGATTTCTGTAAAGCAAGGTTGCCAGACCAAATACAGAATGCCTAGTTCAATTTGAATTTCAGATAAACAATGTATGATTTTTTAGTACAAGTATGTCCCAAATATTAGATACTACTAGCCGAATACTAATAAAAGGCAAGGTTCTGGGTGACTATGCATTTGATACCTTAGAACATTTTAGTCAAATTAGTAAGTATAATAAGATTCGCTAGCTGCTCTCAGCTGAGCTGGAGAAAGTGGGGAAAGAAAAGAATAAGCTCAGAGTTTCAAATTCTCAGCTCAAAATACTGCATAAATTACTTGAAAGCTTCTGTGTCTGCCCCGGCGGGGGCAGGGGGGGGAGGAACAAACCCTTATCTCTTGTATCTCCTGCAAGGCTGAGATTGCTGAAAAGTGACCCAGAGTCTCATCTTGAGAATAGCAGAACTACAATGGAAATTGAATTCACAGCCTCACAGGGTATTTGCTGTTAAAGTGAGGGTTTGGATTAGGAGAGAATGAGATCCTGAAATTTTGAATGGGGTCGTATGGGCAGATCCCAATGAAGCTGGGTACACTGAACCCATAAATTGTGCCAAGTCTTTTTGCCAGTAGAAACAGCCCTTCATCCTCCTTTCCTCCTGTATCAGTTCATTCTCAACTGCTATAAAGAACTGCCCAAGACTGGGTAATTTATAAAGAAAAGAGGTTTAATTGACTCACAGTTCTGCATGGCTAGGGAAGCCTCAGGAAACTTACAATCATGGCGGAAGGGGAAGAGACACATCTTACATGGTGGCAGGTGGGAGAGAGTGAGTGAGTGTGTGAAGGAGGAACAGTCAGACACTTATAAAACCATCAGATCTCATGAGAACTCACTCACTGTCATAAGAACAGCATGGGGGACACTGACCCCATGATCCAATCATCTCCCACCAGGTCTCTCCCTCAACACATGGGGATTACAATTCAAGATGAGGTTTGGGTGGGGACACAAAGCCTAAGCATATCGCCTCCCTGCAGTTTGAGGTTAACACTGTTTTGCTTGCAGCATCTGTAATGGCCACCTCTGAGGTAGTTATCTTTTGAGACAGTGCTGATTCTTCTTCGGAACCCACTCCCACCACCCCTCTTTGCTTCTGGACCTATAACTAGTCTCAAGTCCCAGCAGGCCCCAAAGTTTGAAGTACAAAGAATGACCTATGGTTGGCGGCAGGGTGCTACACTCCAAAAGAAATGCATGACTTTTCCAATGTATACGGACATAAATCTAGGGAATATATGTGGGAATGGATATCAAGGGTGTGGGATAATAGTGGAAGGAACATAAAGTTGGATTGGGCTGAATTTACTGATATGGGCCCACTAAGCAGAAATTCTGGATCTCATGTTGCAGCTCCTTGAGTTAAGAGTTTTAACAGTGTGGCTGTTTGGTTGGCTGAAACATGGAGCAAAAGGGGTCCTGCACTAAATGAAGTTGAAATACCAGAACTGCATTGTTATTCTGTAAAGGAAGGTAGAAGAAGGTGCCCAAAGGCTTAGAGAGATTGGAATTGGAATGTTAGAGTGAATTTGTCATGTAAAGCCTGCTCATTCACCCTGGTAGTTTCACTACAACTGTGAGAAATAAATTTGTCAGGGGAGCCCAGCATCTTTGAAGAGTTCTGGGGTCATTTTTATCTGAATGTCAGAAATTACAATGAGAAATGCTGCTACTAAGCTGGGATTCTAAATGCAATGGGAATAATTGGATCCTGGAGCAGGGGACAAATGACAGCACTTAATCACCAAAGGCAACGTGGGTGTGGTTACAGTCACGGACAGGGGGTCAAAACAGGAATCATGAGTCTGAGTCACAGAGATCACAGCATTGGCTGGTTGATCATGCAGCAGCTAAAAAAGAAATAGAGGGGCAATCTACTAAATTCGTATGTGATCTGTATATACAGAAGAGTTCTAGGCTGAGTGAACAGAAGTCTAACTGGAATCACCAAAACAGAGTCCTTGCCCTTCGATTAATTCCTAAACTTGAGTCAGTTTACAGAACCAGAATCCTTTGAATGAAAGGGAGGCTGAGTCCCCTTGAGGAAGGACCATGCTATACTGCCCAAAGTGTATATTGCTAATCTTTCTTCAGCCTTCCCCAAAGGGACCAAGGGGTTCTTATCAGGGTGACTATGCATTAGGAAAAAGGAAATAATCAGAACTTTGAGTGATTACTGGACACTGGCTCTGAATTGACACCAATTCCTGGGAACCCCAAACATCACTGTGGTCCACTAGTCAGAGGAAGAGCTTATGGAGGTCAGTCAAGCAATGGCGTTTTAGCTCAGATCCATCTCACAGTGAGTACAGTGGGTCCCCAAATCCATCCTGTGGTTAGTTCCCTGGTTCCAGGAGGCATCTTAGAACAGACACATTTAACAAGTGGCAGAATCTCTTAAAAATTATTTGTTATTTATATGAAATTCAAATTGAACTGGGCACTCTGTGTTTTGTGCTGTTGTTGTTTTTGCTAAATCTGGCAATCCTACTTCAAGGAAACACCAAGTGGAAAAACCACCATGTGAGCAACAGCTTAGAGGACAGGAGAGTGAGGGTTTATTAAGAAGACTGTGAGTATCCTGAGTTGGATGGTAAAATCCAAGGGCCAGAGGACATGAAATTCAGTGAGCTGAGGGACTTTGCAAGACTCTGGAAATTTTCCTTTTTTAAAAGAGCCAGTTTGTCCCTAGCCAAAACAACCACCCAAAACAAAACAAAAGCTTTTCAGTCCTTCCTCAGCTGATTAATTTGTAGGACATTATTTTTATGAGGTTTGTAATTATAAAACAAATTGTCTGGAAGTGATGACTTAAACTGCCCATTGGCAGAATGGTATATTCACATGAAAGAAGTGTAATTTTTCTTTGAGCTGAGGCAATAGCCTCTCCCTTTATGAATGTGCTGCTTGGACTATGTGCCTGAGGGCAGGAAGAGTTTAAAATGCTTAAAGTAGTCTGAAATTGGTTGTTAAAGAGCTCATTGAAAATGTGTGAAAGGGTTTGGCTTTCCCTAAGGCCCCAGGTTGCATCTTCTCTAACAAGGGTCATTTAATGCCCTGAGGCTGTCCTGCCCAACCTTGGGGGCAATTACAACCACCTGGAAATCACTTTAAAACTCCAAGTCCCCTACCTAATAGCAGGGATTCTAACTTAAATGAACTGGAGTAAGACCTCAGCATCAGAATATATTAAAATCTCTTCCAAGTGATTCTAATTTGCAGTTAGGGGTGAGAACCACCACCCTCAGGACTCTATCTTTAGGTACCAAAAATCGCCCAAAGCAGTCATTGTAAAATGATGGGGGCTCCTGAGCTTCAATCACAGGAGGTTTGGTTTCTCTTTCTTTCTTTCTTTTCCTTCCTTCCATCCTTCCTTCCTTCTTTCCTTTCTTTCTTTTCCTTTTTTATTTATTTGTTTTTTTTTGACAGTCTTGCTCTGTCACCCAGGCTGGAGTGCAATGGCACGATCTTGGCTCACTGCAACCTCTACCTCCCAGGTTCAAGCAATTCTCCTGCCTCAGCCTCCCAAGTAGCTGGGATTACAGGTGCATGTCACCATGCCCGGCTAATTTTTGTGTTTTTAGTAGAGGCAGGGTTTCACTATGTTGGTCAGGCTGCTCTCAAACTCCTGACCTCAGGTCATCCACCCGTCTCAGCCTCCCAAAGTGCTGAGATTACAGGCCTGAGCCACCGCACCTGGCCACAGAGGTTTATTGTTTCTAAAGCTGGGTAACTGGAGGGGGTGTCTTCCTTGCCTTTTTGAAGGACTAGCAGGCACTTAGGACCCGAGAAGGCTGGGAGAGCTTCCCAATCTCTTTTACCCCACCCTGTTCACATCATGAGGGTACAAACGTGGGGTATGGAGATATAGGAGAGAAGATGGGTTTGAACACCTTTGTCCCAGGTAAATCAGCACCTTATAGCAGAGAATTAGACTTCATCCCATCAAGTGGAGAGAACCCTAGAGCAGCATGATCCTTATTTATCTATATAGATAAAGCTGCATTGACTAGTTTAAGAGTAATTCCTCACACACTCACATTACACCACGGGGAGGGCTAATCACAGGGTAGTTTGGTGCTATGAATCAATAGACCTAAAAATGTACACACCTTTTGTTGCAGCCGTTCCACTTGGAGCAATGTTTCCCAAAGCAAAAATCAGCTAACTGCATAAAGATACATGTATGAGGATATTAGAGCAATGAAAATAACTGAAAAACTGAAAATTGTCTATGTGTTTATTACAAGGGAATTAAGTCATGCCGAAATATTCATACAATAAAACATTAGGCAGTCATTTAAAAGGATCATGTGGTTTTTTCTAACATAGAAAAAAATGGTCCCAATTTATCGTTAAATGAAAATGTTCCTAATCTATTGCTAAATGAAAAAAAATTACAAAACCTTCCTAAATGCACACAGCATTTTGTATAGTATGTCTCTCTTTTGCTGTCATTCAGAAGCATATTAGGGGTGAAAAGAATCCATCCTGTTCCCTCAGATTAGATCTAGTATAATCTTTTTGTGTAAGAAGAAAAAGTATTCCAGGAACAGTAGCTCACGCCTGCAATCCCACACTTTGGGAGGCTGAGGGATGCAGATAACTTTAGCCCAGGAGTTGAGACCAGCCTGGGCAACATAGCAAGACCCCCATCTCTACCAAAAAAAAAAAAATACAAAAATAAGCTGGGCATGGTGGCTTGCTCCTGTAGTCCCAGCTACTTGGGAGGCTGAGGTGGGAGGATTGCTTGAGCCTAGGAGGTCAAGGCTGTGGCTAGCCCTGATTGCACCACTGCACTCCAGCCTGGGTGACAAAGCAAACCCACCTCAAAAAAAAAAGAAGAAAAGAAAAAAGAAAAAGTACACTCAGAGCAGAGGAAAGATAATGGGAAAGAAATAGACAAGACAATGGGAAAGAAATAGATCTGGCTTTGGTGGTGGTTTTACATAGGACTGTTGAATTTAGCTTTGGTCTTGTTCTGCTTTTGCTCATCTGCCTTTCTCAAGTTCTTCTATAATAAATATGGTGTTCTTAAATAACCCAGACCACTTTAAAGATAGTGATGTGAAGCTGCCAAAGCTTCATGTGAAGTGTGAAGATAGATCTTGCTTTTCACAGCTCCCCACCCAAGAGCCACACACCCTCAAAAATGCTCCAGGGACTTTGTAAAAGGCTGCAGTGTGGATCCTAAGGAATAACTGCTCTATTAGGGCTGTGCATTTTCCTCCCTTTGCTGTATTTCTAACCTCTTAACCCCACGCTCAATGTTTAGTGAGGAAATGTTGCAATTCCTCCATGGACTATCTTGCTTTGTTTTGATCTTTTCCTGTGCTCTGTCTTCCATCGCCCCTTAGGCGATGGTGATGGTGATGGCTTTGGGATAGTCCATCACGCTTACTACGCAGTTCATCTCTAGTGTTGCTTTTTTGCTTTTTTTTTTTTTTTTTTAATCTCCTGGTTTTTTACGTTTTCACCCAATTTGGGTTATTCTTCTCTTCCTCCCTCTCTGTCACTACTCAAATCATTTCCCAGACCCTTCCCCTTTGCATATTAATAGGGAGAGCTCAGGGTGACTGCATTTTTTGTCATTTCCCCTGCCCCTTCTGAACCCTAAACTTAGCAGTCTCCATCTTGCTGCATCTTAGAATCATCTGGAAGAGCTTCTCAAACATAATGCCAGGGTCTTAGGCCCAGAGATTCTATTCTATTTGATCTACAGTGGAGAGTGTTTTAAGCTCTTTCTCCAAGTGATTCAATGCACAATCAGGGCTGAGAAACCCTACCTTAGCCCCTGTGATCTGCACAGCATCTGCAGCTTTGAAATCAGTAACCTGGGATAAAACTGCCTCTACAGAGGGGCCCCACTAGGCTACTATGCTTCATGCTCAGGTGGTCCTCATTACCAAGCCCACCGCCCCAAATCAACCCTTACAACTAAAAGTGCTGCTCTTACAAAGGCCACTATCCAGATTAGGAGGCCGATGAAATTTCCAACTGACTTGTTCCTGAATTGACTCATGTATTTTCCTTCCTAAATGCACCAAACATTCAGTATGTCTCTCTTGCTGTCATTCAGAAGCATATTGGGGTGACAAGAATCCATCCTGTTCTCCTAGAACACTCACCAAGTTCTTCCAGGTTCATTCACTCTTTCCTCTCCTCTTTTTTTTTTTTTTTTTTTTTTTTTTTGAGACAGAGTCTCGCTGTGTCACCAGGCTGGGTGCAGTGGCACCATCTCAGCTCACTGCAACCTCTGCCTCCCGGGTTCAAGTGATTCTCCTGCCTTAGCCTCCCAAGTAGCTAGGAGTACAGGCACACACCACCATGCCCAGCTAATTTTTGTATTTTTAGTAGAGACAGGGTTTCACCATGCTGGCCAGGATGGTCTCGATCTCTTGACCTCATGATCCACCCGCCTCAGGCTCCCAAAGTGCTGGGATTACAGGCATGAGCCACCATGCCTGGCCCTTTCTTCTCCTCTTCTACTCAGGATCTTATCACCCTATGCCTGGGTGAGTCCCAGAGCCTCCTAACCACCTCTCTTCACTGCTTGCACCATGCAAGCCATCTTGGGTGCCACAGCTATAGGGATCCTTCTAGATTCTTCTTGTCCTGACCATGTCATTCCTCTGTGTCAAAATCTTCAGTAATCCCTGTCTGACTTACAACACTGTCAATAAGTTAATGATTACAAAGTTAATGTTAATGGTTACACATTTTTTTGAGATCTTATTCAGTGCCAGACATGACACTAAGCACAACCTCATTTTTAAATGTTTTATTATGAAGATTTTCAAACATATAAAAAAAGCAGTAAGACTAGTACAGCCTTCGCTTTCTTCTCAATAATTCTAAAATCCACAGATCTCTGAAATCCAGATGTTTTTCATATGTTTGGTGCTAAAACTCATTGGGTGGCAAAATCTGACCAAATTAAGTGTGGAATTATTTAGATTTTTATTTACTCCACTTAGTATAAATATCCAAACATATCATAGCAGACATAATATGTTTGATTATGGGATGCCACCCAGACCCCCACTAAGTGTGTGATGTAATAAATAGTACATGCGCCTGAATGTTTTTCTAAAATCTAGAAACATCTGAATTCAAAAGCATATTTGATTCCCAGGATTTTTGGATAAGGAGTTGTGTGGGTGCACAATTCCTTATTACACAGCTGTAATAAAAGCAATTATTCCTTGGGACACAAGCTACAGCCTTTTAGAGTCTCTGGAGCATCTTTGAGGGTGTGTGGCTCTTGGTTGGGGAGCTGTGAAAAGCAGGAACTATCTTCACGCTTCTCACAAAGCCCTGACAGCTTCACATCATTATCTTTAAAGTGGTCTGGTTATTTAAGAACACCACATTTATTATAGAAGAACTTGAGAATACAGATAAGCAAAGGCAGAACAAATGTCTGTATATATATACACACACACATGGAAAACTTAGATTCAGAAATGGTTAGCATCTTAATATTTTTGCTTTTCCATCAATATATAGGTATAGATGGATAGCAGAGACACGGTTGTGGCCAATTTATATACATGTGCACATCAAATCCCTGGAACATGTGAATGAATGTCACCTTATTTGGAAAAGAGATCTTTGCAGATTTTTTTTTTTTCTTGAGATGGAGTCTTGCTCTGTTGCCCAAGCTGGAGTGCAATGGTGTGATCTCGGCTCACTGCAACCTCCACCTCCCAGTTTCAAGCTATTCTCTTGCTTCAGCCTCCTGAAGTAGCTAGGACTGAGTAGCTAGGACTACAGGCGCACGCCACCACTCCCAGCTAATTTTTGTATTTGAAGTAGAGGCAGGATTTCCCCATGTTGGCCAGGATGGTCTTGATCTTCTGACCTCATAATCCACCCACCTTGGCCTTCCAAAGTGCAGGGCTTACAGGCGTGAGTCACCACACCTAGCCATCTTTGCAGATTTAATTGAGCTAAGAATCTTAAGGTGAGGAGATCATCCTGGATTATCTGGGCAGACTCTAAATCCAATGACAAGTGTCCTCATAAGAGACACAGAGGAGAGACACACAGAAGAAGAGGGTATGTGCAGACAGAGGCAGAAATTAGAATGATGTGGCCACTAGCCAAGGAAGACTAGGAACACCAATAGCCATCAGAAGTGGAAGCAGCAAGGAAAGATTCTCCCCTCAAGCCTCCAGATGGAATGCAGCCCTACTGACACCTGCTTTCAGACTTCTGGCCTCCAGCACTGTGAAAAGAATAAATTTCTGCTGCTTTAAGCCACCGACTTTATGGTAATTTGTTTCGGTAGCCAAAGCAAACTAATATAGATTTAAATATAGGGATAGATGTACATGTAGACATAGATAGAGATAAACATAGACTGAATCGCTTAAAAAGTACTTAAAGTCTGGGCACGGTGGCTCATGCCTACAATTCCGGCACTTTGGGAGGTCGAGGCAGGAGGATCGCTTGAGGCCAGGAGTTCAAGGCCAGCCTGGGCAAAACTCCATCTCTACAAAAATTTATTTTTAAAATAGCCAGGCGTGGTGGTAAAAAGTGAGGCAGGATTGCTTCAGCCCAAAAGTTCGAGGCTGCAGTGAGTCATGATCAAGCCACTGCATTCCAGCCTGGGAGACAGATCCTCTTTCAAAAAAATAAAAATAAAATATAAAGGTACGTAAAGTCCTCACAATACCCTACTCCTAAATCCTTTGGTGTATGCACCTTATTTAACCCTCCCAGAATTCTATGGGGTACTTTATTGTGCCCGTTGCAGAGGCCAGACAATAGAGGCACATAGAAAGCACCTCCAATTCCACTTCTTGCCACTCCCAGAGTCAGATTCAAAGCAAGGGGATTGCCCCTATCCTGCCACAGAATCTGCCAGTGAGCATTCCAGATGGAGAACTTAGGGAAGTCCAAAATCCCAGCAGGAAGAAGGGACCGAGTGTAGGCAGCAGCCCCATCACTTTGAAAGGCAGACGTTATTCCAAGTCTTTTTGGCAGGGAAGCATTTAGTAAACACAGGGAAACTCGGCTTCTGAGCCATGCTGAAGCCGACACGGAGAGGTTCACTGACTATGGGAAGGGAGCCTGCTCTATGATTTCGATGCTTTCAACGGAGTCAGCCAGGGTCAGTCAAAGAGATGACAGAGCTGGGACTGCCTCCTCAGCGGAAACGTCTGTGTTTGTCTGAGCAAGATGACACAGGCAAATACTGCCACCGGGTCAGCAGCACCAAGGTGGGAACTGGCTGGGGAACTAACAAGCTCATAAATTGGAAATGAATTAGACTATCAGATGGCAGAGGCAGGACAAACACAGCCACCCACTGGAGTCTTTGCCATAACTCAGGGAAAGCTTCACATTTTCCCCAGGAAAAGGTCATATGAAGAGCAAACCAAATCAGAATGCTCATTTAGGGGAGAATTTATGGTTTCATTAGACAAGTGCCCTACAAGGCTGAATCAGGGACCTGGGAGGAGAGCACACACCATCAGTCTTTCAACCCACAAAGAAGGGCTTCCTGGGTGAAAAGACCCTTCTGGTTTTCTCAAGATCAGGGCTCAGAAAAGTTTGCCAAGGGGTGGGCTGGGAGATGCCTCTGGAAGCTTCTTGGGAAAAGCAGGGAGAAGTCAGGCCAAGCAGATCCTCCCCAATCACACGTCCTCCCCAGTGTAACCGGAGCCATGTGTTGGTTTATATAAGGGAGTCTGGACCATTTCATTTAATAAAAGGAGTCTTGCTGTTAAATAAAAGAAGGAAGCCTCTGTAGAATGTCTTTCAGTCAAGCCACTGCATTAAGCAGCAAGATTCATTCCATGGTGATAAATGAACACTTACTCTGTGCCAGGCACTGGCAATAAATTATGAGCCAAACATGCATGATGCTTGATTGGACTCTTGGAGTTGACTCTCCAACAGACAGACATTAGAAAGAGTGAATTCACCGATAAATACATGATTATAAGTTGTGATACGTTTAATATCTCATGCCTGTAATCCCAGCACTTTGGGATGCAGAGGCGGGAGGATCACTTGAGGTCAGGAGTTTGAGACTAGCCTGGCCAACATAGTGAAACCCTGTCTCTACTAAAAGTGTTTTAAAAATTAGCCGGGCATGGTGGTAGGCGCCTGAAATCCCAGCTACTTGGGAGGCTGAGGCAGAATTGCTTGAACTCGGGAGGTGGAGGTTTCAGTGAGCCGAGATGGCACCACTGCACTCCAGCCTGGGCGACAGAACAAGACTCTGTTTAAAAAAAAAAAAAAAAAAAAAAAAAAATTCCTGTATGGAAAAGGGGTAATACGAGGCAGAATAGCAGCAGGGAAGGGGCAAAGTGGCAAGAGAAGGTTGCTCAGAATTGTCATTTAAATTGAAACCAGAAGTTCACTGTGAATTAGTGGGAGAAAGAAAATGGATTTGCAAGGAGGCCTGGATATTTTCTAAAATATAAATTACCATTTTCCCTGACCAACTACTCCAGTGTAGAGGGAGAAAGGTAGTGCTTCTGAAATAAACATCCCACATTATTTGAGTTTTTTTTCTACCAGTTGGGCTGATTTTCCATATACCTAGTGCCAACATCCTGGGTAACATCAGATGGCAGCAGATGACTCAGAGATGATGACCCTGAGCATGATACTGGCACAGAGCAGCTTCCAGGAACCTGAAGCCACTCATGCATGCATCCATTCCGTTGTTCAACAGCAGTTGCTATTGACTTACTATGGCCCAGGAGCCAGGCTAGAGCTGGAGGAGTACGAAGAGGGAGAAGTGAACTTAGCTCCTACAACGCTTAATACAAAGTAGACAATGGGTAGTGTAAGAGGGGCCACAGGGTACATGTAAGGAACCCAAGTGAGAGATTACAAGCCACGGATACCTTGTGGCACGTGCTTGAGAAGATGGACTGTGTGTCAGGCTACCTGGGTCTGATGCCCGGCTCTGCTCTTACCAGCTGTTTTACCTTGGATGAGTGGCTTAGCCTCTCTGTGCCTCAGTTTCCTCCCTTCTAAAACAGTACCTCCTGGGGTTATTAGGAAGGTTGTAAAATCTGATACCTAGTAAGAGCTACAGAACTGTTTGATAGATTGTAGCCAAATGAAAATAATGTCTTAATTTAAATGTAGGAAGTAAAAACAACTATGTTTAAATAAATATGTATTTACCAAAGTTGAGAAAAGTTAGAATTTTATCAGATTTGTGTAAGAGTGTGCTTGGGTGTGTATGTATGTGTGTGTAAAGCCACCCAATTTGTGTTCCTCCTCCCCAGAACCCCTTCCCTGCCTATTATCATGAATACATATTTTTCTAATGTCTTTATAATCTATTACCTATATATATATCTATAAACTATATTCAGTTTATTTAGTATATTTAGTATTGATAAGGACAGAATCATGTCATACATATCATTTTGGAACTTGATTTTTTTCAACCAACATTATGTTTCAAGATCCTTCCATGCTGACACACATCTAGTTTATTTTAACAGCTGTCTAGCATACCACTGTGTGAGTCTACAATAATGCCATTATCCATTCTCCTCCTGATAGACATTCAGGTTGTTTCCAGTTTTTCACATTTACAAATGCTACTGCAATAACAGCCTTTGACCATATTCCTCATGAACATGTTTAAGAGCTTCTGAACTCACACTTGGACATGTACTTGCAAGTGGCATTGGCAGGTCAAAGGGTCAGTTCCTTCTTCAATTTGACCCCATAGTGCCAAATTGCTCTCTGCAGTGGTCACACCAATTGCTACTCCCATCAGCAAGCAGTATGTATTAAAGGGTTAAACTTGCATCCTTTCAGCCTGGAATAACTGTGTTCCAAGACTCTTCCAAGGACACATGGATCTGTCTTAGTCTCTGTCTTCATCACACCTTTGCAAGATAGATCCAGGGGGGCTCCAGTTACAGGAGACAACCAAGGCAGAGGGGAGCTTAGAGGATTCCCTACAGTTGCCAGGGGTCTTTGGATGGGAATCAGGGCATCCTGTGCTCTACCAAATATGCTGACCTTTAGACCAGTGGTTTCTCAGCTGTGTTCCTGATAGCAGCAGGGTTCTGTGGTGTTGTCAGGGTTAAAGGGAGGGGGTCATGGAAAATAAGGTGGAAAGAGAGGGGGCTGCAGAACGCCAGGCCGCCTCTCCCCATCTTAGCCCAAGCAGCTCTGCTCTAGCCTGTCTGTCTGCTGAGATTTTATTTAGGGGAAGCAGGGAGATGAGGAAGGGACCACTACTTTTAAAAAATAGGGATGGAACTGTGGTTTTTTAAAGTATGTGGTTCAAGTTCTACTGGTAAGATGATTTTGGGTGGCACATTTTCATTACTTTGTATTTCTTCTAACAGTTGTATATGTATTCATATGCAGGAAAACATATAACTAGGAGAACATCAACCATGTGATTCCTTGGATATGATATTCTTTTTTAATAACAGATTTTTTTTTCCGAGCAATTTTATTTTACAGAAAAACTGGAAAGAACAAAGAATTCCCATATATCCTCTTCTGCTTCCCCTCATAGTTTCCCCTATTATTTATATTTTGCATTAGTGTAGTACTAATTGTTAGTGTAGTAGTAATCGTTATAATCAATGAGCCAATATGGACACATTCGTATTAACTAAAGTGAATAGTTTACATCTCGGTTCGCTCTTGGTGTTGTACATTCTAAGAATTTTGACAAATGTTGACGACATGTATCTACCATTACAGTATTATATAGAGCAGTTTCACTGCCCGAAACATCCTCTGTGCTCCACCTACTCATCCCTCCATCCACCCACGCCCAGCAACCACTAATCTTTTACCTGCCCCCATAGTTTTGCCTTTTCCAGAATGTGCTATAGCCGGAATCATACTAGACATACCTTTTTCAGATTGGCTTCTTTCACCTATCAATATGCATTTATGATTCCTCCATGTCTTTTCACAGCTTGTTAGCTCATTTCTTTTATTGCTGGATAATATTCCATTGTCTGGGTGTACCATAGGCATGCATTCACCTATTACTGAAGGGGACATCTTGGTTTGTTCCAAGTATCTTAGTCTGCTTTGGCTGCTATAACAAAAATACCATAAACTGGGTGGCTTATAAGCAACAAATATTGATTTCCCACAGTTGTAGAGACTGGGAGGTGCAAGATCAAAGCACTGGCTTCAGTGTCTGATAAGTGCCCATTCCTCAAAGACAGCACCTTCTGGCTGCATCCTCACTTGGTGTAAGGGACAAACAAGCTCCCTTGGGCCTTTCTATAAGAGCACTAATCCCACTCATGAGGGCTCCGCCCTCATGATCTAGTCACCTCCCCAAAGCTCCACCCCTTTCACTTTGGGGAACTAGGATTTCAACATATGAAATTTCGGGGATAAAAAACATTTATATCATAGCACCAAGTTTTGGCAGTTATGAATAAAGCTGCTATAAACATTTATATGCAGGTTTTTGTTTGGACATAACTTTTCAACTCACGTGGGTAAATACCAAGGAGTGAGATTGCTGAATCATATGGTAAGAGTATGTTAGTTTTGTAAGAAAGTGTCAAACTGTCTTGCAAAGTGGCTGTACCATTTTGCACTCCCACCAGCAGTAAATGAGAGTTCCTGTTGCTCCAAATTCTCTTCGGCATTTGGCATTGTCCATGTTTTGGATTATAGCCATTCTAATAGGTGTGACGTGGTATCTCACTGTTATTGTAATTTGCAATTCTCCAATGATATATGATGTTGAGTATCTTTTCATATGCTAATTTGCCATCTGTATATCTTTGGTGAGGTGTCTGTTCAGGTATTTTTCCTATTTTTAATTTGGGTTCTTTGTTTTCTTATAACTGGATTTTAAGAGTTCTTTGTATATATTTTAGATACCAGACCTTTCTTAGATGTGTGTTTTCAATTATTGCCTCCAAGTCTGTGGCTTGTTGGATAGTCTTTTCAGGTTGAAGCTACGTTTACAAAAAATGGGTCAATTTAAAGAAAACATGAAAATGTATCCCTGTAAGAAAGTAAGTACAGATGGTAGTTGAATATAGCAAAAATCTTAAAGGCAGTGAACAAATGAATACAATTCAGGAAACACTCCTTTGGGCTAAGGTCTCTCCCTCTCTCTTCCTCACTGCCCCCCCCCCCACATACACACATACACAGACACACACACACACTCACACACACACACCACCCCTTGCACACACAGAACACATCCAATCACACCTCCCAGGAATATTTTTGTCTCAACAGGTAACATTTCAGACACAGTTTACCTAGCACAGGTAGATTACTATTTCCAAAGCTTGCACATTCAGGGAGCTCATTATTCCAAGCCTGTAAGAAATTATTTTCACCAAAAACCACATACAAAACACACAAACACATACAGAGACGTAAATCAGAACTTAAGTTTTAAGCCCAGGAACTGATAGCTCCATTCAAAAATGGAATGCTTTAGATGAACTGGACTCTCACTCATATGCAAAGTGCATTCCTCAGGACTGTAAACTCTTGGGTTTTACACCGTCTTTCCCTTTGCTAATTCAGA
The DNA here is from genome assembly GCF_000001405.40 of Homo sapiens. Classification (NCBI taxonomy): domain Eukaryota; kingdom Metazoa; phylum Chordata; class Mammalia; order Primates; family Hominidae; genus Homo; species Homo sapiens. The sequence goes on along the minus strand of NC_000016.10, from coordinate 16,912,060 downwards.
GGCCAGAAAAGTGCATTCCCTTGTGTGTTAGTCCATTTTCATATGCTACGAAGAAATACTTAAGACAGGGTAATTTATAAAGAAAAAGAGGTTTAATGGATTCACAATTCCACATGACTGGGGAGGCCTCACAATCATGGCAGAAGGTGAAGGAGGAGCAAAGGCACATCTTACATGGCAGCAGGCAAGAGCCTGTGTGAAGGAGAACTGCTCTTTATAAAACCATCAGATCTCATGAGACTTATTCACTATCACAAGAACAGCATGGGACAAACCCGCTTTCATGATTGAATTACCTCCCACTGGGTCCCTCCCATGACATGTGGGGATTATGGAAACTACAATTCAAGATGAGATTTGGGCGAGGACACAGCAAAACCATATCATCCTGACATCTTTCAGAAAACCTTAAAGCTTCTGAACCACAGCAGAACAAATGGCACGTGCTAAAGCCAGAGGCAGAAAGAAGATGGGTGTGCTCAATGGCCTGTGAGAAGGCAGGTGGCTGGACCATCTTGGGGCTTAATGAGGAGTGGGATGAGGCCAGGGAGGTGGGCAAGGACCAGTCATAAGGAACCTTGAAAGCTACCTTAAGGATTTTTGAAACCAATGAGAAGGTCAAGGTGTAGTGCCAGGGGGTGACATAATGACATTTGGCTTTTAGATTAAAAATGGAGGTAGTTTCCCTTCACCATGTATTCCTAGAGTTGCATAATATCCTTAGGTGATTTCAGTGTTAGAAGATTGGGTCACTTGAGGTTGCTATAGTTGTTTGTCAGAGAACTGAGAGTGAGGGAGGTATGTAGTAGGCTATCAAGAAAAAAGTAAGCCTCTAGTGCCAGAGTTGGGCTAGTTGGAGCCTTTTGTTTCTCAAAAACACAATGCCTACCTCTCTTTCTTATGTGTGAGGTGTATGTGTAGATTGTTGTATTATCTTGGCCATTTTCTAGTGCCTACAGTGGGAACATAGCCCTGCCAACACTTTGATCTTGGATTTTGAGCCTCCAGAACTCAAAGTACCTTTCTGTTTGTACTTGAATACAATTGAGGAAACATCCTTTAGGTTAAAAGCAAGACCCTAGTAACAGAGTTGGGCTAGTCTCACAAACTGGGAGGCTTAAACCACAGAAATGTACTGTCTTACATTTCTGTTGAAATGTAATCCTATCTTCCATCTGGCTGCTTTCTTGAAGGTATCACTTTGCCAAGACACACACACACACACCAGTACATTTCTGCTGTTTAAGTCCCCCAGTTTGTGGGACTTTGTAATGGCAGACCTAGCAGATTTATACAGTGACAACAAACCACATTACTATTTGCAGTACCTAGGACTTTGTCACCAATAGAAATCAGGGATATTTTCATAACACGTTGCAGGTGTTACAGATATTTCAAAATATCATTTATGCTCATCAGTACTTTGAAATCACAGTTGTTATGAAACCCACTGCTAAATCATGTTCTTTAATGTGTTAATAAAAGGGCACAAAAGTTATAATACCACAACTTTTAAAAAGATTTTCAGAACTGCATTTCAAAATATTGGTTTTCTTCATAACCTTACATATTTTGTTATTCATTTAAAAAGAGTATTCTGAGGAGGGGTCCATAGGACCACCAAAGGAGTCCAGAGCACAGAATGGGTTAAAAAGCCCTGAGTTAAGCAAAAGGAAAATGCATAAAAGCATATTGCCATGCCTGACATCCCTTCACAATCCAGGACAGAGATTCAGGATAAAGTGGTGGGAGGTGTGTATTGAGGGGATTGCTTTTCCAGTTAGAGATTATCATGGAATTAAAAGTGCTGTGAAAATTTGTTATAATCCATGAAAACGCAAGTGCAAAGACCTACCTCCCTCCATCCACTCACCCACCCTCTCACACTAAAATATAAGCACCCAAGGGCAGGAGATTTGTATATTTCACTTCTGTGTTCCCAGGGTAAATTTAAGCCATACTTAGCACATCACTGGTGCTCAATAGGTATTTGTGGAATGAAGGAATGAGTGAATGAACAAATAAAGAAAAGGCATGCTAGAAATATACAAATAGGGCCAACAGGGAAGTAGAGAAACAGCCGGAGATCTAAATTGGCCTCTGTGGGTACCACGTCTGGCTTCCTGAGGATAAGGTCAATGAATGAAAGGCTTCTCTTCAGGGTGATCCTATCTTCCATTTGGCTACTTTCCTGAAGGTATCACTTTGCCCAGCCACACACGCGCACACACACACACACACACACACACACACATGCACATGCATGCATGAATGCACGCATGCACACACACACATATGCATGCACATATACAAACACACAAAATTATTATCCTCCCAAGGGAGGAACCGGAACTTTGTTGAATTCTGTGTGCACATCTTTGACAGATGCCCCGAGAAGCCACAGGGACTGCTCAAGGCTGTGTCTGTCCACTAGCAAGTTTGGTAAACTGCAGCAGAGCAACTGAGCTGGAAAGCAAACTTTGCACAAAGCTGGCCATGGACACATCACTGGGCAAACTGAAGACCCTAGCAGGAAATCCAGGTGTTCAGGGCAGATTCCAGAGGATTTATGATGCTTGGGACCACCCAAGACAGACTCCAAGGTGGAGGACCTGAGTTGTGCCAGGAGACTTGAACAGATCTCTGCTCCGAATGTCCCCTTTCTCATCCACAAACACTGCCTCCCACGTCTTCAAGGCCCAGGGGACACTGAAGATGGCTTTCAGGCAGATGACTCAGTGAGTCATGTGCCCCTTCGAATAGCAAAAATTCACATTGCTTTCACATTACTGCCTCCTCTTCCCATGACAAACTTCCACTTCTGACACATCTGAGGGGTCTCTAGGTGGGTAGCTGTGAATGGCCCAGACACCAAAGCCCAAGAGGCACAATAGATAAAATCTGCCTTCAAAACCTGGAGGAGAGAGAATCAAGAGGATTTGAAGTCTGCAGAGTATTATTCCCATCTGCTGGGTAGGCAGGAGGAGCCAGTTGAAAACTGCCAAGGGCTGCACAGTCACTAGAATGTGGGTTGGCCTGAGACAGAAAATCCAAGTGTGACCCATTGGTCAATGAGTGAATGGCTTCCCTCTTCAGGGTGATCCTATCTTCCATTTGGCTACTTTCTTGAAGGTACCACTTTGCCCAGACACACGCACACACACACACACACGTGTGCACGTACATGCACATGCATGCATGCAGGTACGCACACACACATACACACACACACACACACAATTATTAGCAAAAAACTCCTCTTTGGGGATTTACACAGCAGCTGAAGCACAACAGAGCTGTCCTAGAAATGAGGAGAGAAGAACATGAGCTGACCCTCGCACCCCCTGGGTTATCTCTTCCCAGCCAGTGGTTGCCATAGCAAAACTTGTTCTGCAAAGTGGTAAAGAAAGAGAGAACTGAATGTAGACCAGCACCTTTCTGCAGCAGCACCTCAGAGCTGAGATAAAGAACAGGAAAATATGGATGCTGCCACAACTGAGATGACAGCAAATCTATTCAATTGAGGACCCTTCGTTGGAGGATAAACTTCAGCAGAAATTTGTACAGTCTTGGGATTTCCTCACTGTTTGTTTATATCCACTACCCAAATAGACGATTTGGGAATTACTGTGGGCTGAATTTTGTTTCCCACTTCTGCCAAAATTCCCCTAGCACCTCACATGTGACTGTATTTGAGATGAGTTCTTTAAAGAGGTAAATAAGTAAAAATGAGGTCACTAGGGTGGACACTATGACTAGTGTCCTTATAATAAGAGGAACTTAGGACACAGATGTACTCAGAGGGAACACCATGTGAGAACACAGCGAGATGACAGCTAAGTAGGGCAGCCTCAGAAGGAACCGATCCTGCTACTACCTTGATCTCAGACGTCACAGAGAGACGCCTCCAGAATGAGAAATACATTTTTGTTGTTTCAGCTACCCAGTCTGTGTCAATTTGTTAAGAAGCCCTAGGAGACTCACACAGGTACTCCACAGCCAAGAGTGTGAACACTGTCCAATCAGTGGAATCATCCCTTCAAAAGAGTCCCAAGCCAGAGGGCTTCCTACCCTTGCCTGGGAGTCTCCAGCCAATTTTGTAATTTCTCAGTTATAGTGTCTAGAGGTAAGACCTCAATTCCCCTACTCTAATTTCAACTTTGAGATTGAGTGGAAATCTAATCTAAACCTGACTTTCTTAAGATCTGCTGTCATCCAGAATGTCTTATTCCATATGCAGTTCCCAGAGATGCTTCAGATGCTGGGGATTGAAGGACTGGATGAAATGAAAAGGGACCAGGAATAAACAGCCCTTTGCACTTATCCACACTGAGCTGTAAAGGCTTTCACCACATGACATTTCCACTCTCTGAGCAATCCTGGGAGACACCGAGGGACAGTTGCAGCTGTTCCCATTCTACAGATGAGAAAATTAAGGCATTAGGAAATGGAGCAGCCTAAGACATTGTTTTCCAGCCCCAGTGGTGGGCATACTTTGGTGCTGCTTGCATATATCTTTGGTGTGTGTGTGTGTGTGTGTGTGTGTGTGTGTGTGTGTATGAGTGTGTGTGTGTGAGAGAGAAAGAGAGACAGAAGGAGAGAGGGAGAGGGAGAGAGAGGGAGAGAGGAAGAGAGAGGGAGAGAGAGGGAGAGAGGGAGAGAGAAGGAAAGAGGCAGAGAGAGGGAGAGAGGGAGAGAGGGAGAGAGAGGGAGAGAGGGAGGGAGGGAGGGAGAGAGGGAGGGAGGGAGAGAGAGCAAGAGAGTGAGTACATATGCTTGGGCCCTAGTGAGTGCATGTGCTTATGTTAAAATAGCCACCAAACTGGTGTCCTCATTTCCAACCTTGACCCCCTCCAATCTCCCTTCCACACTGCCCCAGAGGAAGTTTCTATAGGTTATATCTATATTATTAATCCCATATTAAACTTCCTATATTAAATTCCCATATTAAAACTTTCTATATTATTCCTATATCCCTATATCCTATATCCCTATATTATTCCCATATTAAAACTTCCCAGTGACTCCAGCACACACTGCTCTTAGGATGTCTGAAATGCTAAGCATGACCTAGAAGGCCCTAAAATGCTTGACCCCAGCTTTTCACTCTGGTGCCATCACCCTCCAATCACCACTCCCATTTTCCTCCTGAAACATTCCTCTCCTTTGTAACCGTTTCACCTGGCTGGTGCTTTTCCATGTGCTTAGCTTAAGCAAAACTTCTTCCAGGAAGTGCTCCTCAATCCCACCAGCTGACTTCAATGTTCCTATGTGGGTCCCTACTGCAACCTCTGCCTCTCTGCATCTTGTGCTGTATTATCATCACTGGCTTGTCATCCCCCACTAGATTATAAACTAGGTAAGAATAGAGGCTGTGTCTTATTCTTCATTCTGTCCCCAAGGCTGAGTCCAGTGCATGGCACATAGTAGATGCTCATTGAATCACAGTTTAAATGAATGTTGAATAGAGGTCAGATATATGTACATGTGGAGCAAGAGAACAAGGTGTCATCTTTCTCTTATGTTTAGGCATTTTCATGAGTGTAGCCCATAATGATGTTAAAAAATAATACACCATGACCTTAAGTCAAGCAGAGGTTGACCTTAAGTCAAGCAGAGGTTGACCTTAAATCAACCATCAGACAGAGGAACTAGAATTCCAGACTTTAGCAAAGTGATTAATTTCCTTCCCTGGCCTCTAGATGGGAGACAGGATTTGCCTTGACATTATACGATTCGCCTCGACATTATCCCTTTCTGTTCTGAGTTTTCATGGTCTGTCAGTGAAATTCAGTGAAAGACAGAGAAGGAGAGTTTGCATAAAAGAAGCTCAACTTTAACTGAGTCACTCTGGGAAACTGTGTTCTTAACTATAATACTCAGCCCAAAGATATAAACTGAGAGTTACCAACCAACCATCCATCCATCCATCCCACATATATTTGTAACGTATCTTTCATGTCCCAGGCATTGTGCTGTGCTGTGGGGAGATAATGGTGGCCAAGCCATTATCATCCTTGTCCTCGTGGAGTTGACCTGACAGGGGAGATTGACAGCAAACAAATGCAAACCCACCATTTTGTTCTGCACTTGGATGGCCTTGTCCTAGTCCTTAGCCAGAAAGAGCATAATCTGATCACCACACTTAAAACGTCCAGGTTTCTTTACTTTCCCCCATTGGATTCCCTCAAATGGGTACCTGGGATTGTGCCTTCTTCTGGCTGCCTGCCATCTTCTCTTAGTTGCCTCTCTGCTGTCTCCTCAAGGCCTTGACTCCATCCTTTCAGCTCCCTACATGGTCAAAAGCATGGTTTTGTTATTCCTGCCTTCATCCTGAAAGAAAAATGGCAGATACCTTTCTTCTTGGTAATTCTCTTAACTTCATCAGAATGAACTAGACACTAGATAAGCAAACTTCTTGCTGATACTGATTGGCTCTCATAGCATAATTGCAATGATGTATTATGCTAAAGACTCCCTTTCCTATAAGAGATGAGAATGAAAAGGAGCTATGGGAATATCAAGGAGGGCTCTTTGCCCAGAACTGGGGACATCAGGGAAGGATCACAGAGGAAATATCTCTGATTCAATCTGTAACTCTATCTTCCTTCAGAAGAGCTAACAAAGTACTTTCCTCTTTTTGTTGTTGTTGGTTCTATATGTGGTAGAAGGTGAAGGGACATGTATTAGTTCATTTCCACACTGCTATAAAGAACTATCTGAGACTGGGTAATTTATAAAGAAAAGAGGTTTAATTGACTCACAGTTCCTCATGGTGTGGAGAGGCCTCAGGAAACTTTCAATTATGGCGGAAGATGAAGGGGAAACAAGGCATGTCTTACATAGTGGCAGGAGGAAGAGAGTGAAGAGGGAAGTGCCACACTTTTAAACCATCAGATGATCTCGTGAGCACTCACTATCACAAGAACAACATGTGGGAAACCGTACCCATAATCCAATCACCTCCCCACTTTGACACATGGGGACTACAATTGGAGATGAGATTTTCGTGGGGACACAGAACCAAAACACATCAGGACATCTCTATCAATTAGGATATAATTGGCTGCAAATAAGAAAATCCATCCCAAACCTGACTTAGAATATAAGGGCCAAAAAGTAATAGCAAACAATATAGGCAACATATTGGTTCACAAATATGAAGAACACAGAAGGTAACAGATTTTAGGCATAATTTGATCAAGACTCTCGTTCTGTTTGTCTATCATTGTACCTTTTTTTTTTTACTTCCTTATGTCAGCTTCATTCTCAGCCAGGTTTCCTTCATCACAGCAAGATGATATTCACAGTTCCAAGTTTCACATGCACATGCTATACTTTCCATAGCAAAAGAGCATGTCTTTGACTCAGCAATCTCTGCAAGTATCCTAAGATTCCTTCTGACTGGGCAAGCTTAGGTCACAAACCTGTCCCAGAAACACTCACTGTAGCAGAGGGAATAAAATGTTATGATTGGTTTATCCTAGGTCATATGCTCCACCCTGTGAAGACTTTCTAGAACTGCATGAAACCACTAATAGAAATTGGGGCTACTGCCCTGCCCAGTCAGCCAGCCTACTCCCAGACCAAGAGCTGGCTCAGAGGTGGTCCCATCGCACAAAGAAAGCCCCACACAGCCACCTGGCATGCTACACCCATACCTACCCTGAGAGCCAGCCCAGTGGTAGGCCCACTCTCCAAGAGAGCCCACTACACAGCCTGTCAACCCACCACACCTGCAGATACCTGGCCCGACAACCACCTCTATGCCCTAGGCCCCAGAAACATTATGTTACCATTGTCACAAACTCCCATAGCCAAGGCCCCTGACACAATTGCAGACATTGCAGACAAAGATTATAGCTAAATAATCTGTATGGAGATCATATGACTCAGTCCACTTAGAACCAAAACCAGTGCACCATTCCCAACTGATACCCTAGGGCCCTTCTACAGGGAAAAGCCTCATTCTATAAAAGTTATTCCATAAAATTGAAAAAAGTAACTGTTCCACAAAGTGTGTAGATATCAACATAGGGACACAAGAAAAAGGAAATAAACGTGACACCCTCAAAGAAACAATAAGCCTCCAGTAACAGACGCCAAAGAAAAGGATATTTATGAAATGCCTGAAAAGGAATTCAAAATAATAATCTTAAAGAAATTCAAGAATATACCAAATAATACAAATAATTCAATAAAACAAAAAAATTATGATCTGAATGAGGAATTTAACAAAGAAATAGATGTTTTAAAAGAACCAGGGCTGGGTGCAGTGGCTTATGCCTGTAATCCCAACACATTGAGAGGCTGAGGCAGGAGGACCACATGTGGTCAGGAGTTCAAGACCAAATTGGGCAACAGAGTGAAACAATATCTCTATTAAAAAAAATTTTAATTAATTGGGTGTAGTGATGCACACCTGTAGTCCCAGCTACTCAGGATGCTGAGGTGGGAGGATCGCTTGAGCCCTAAAGATTGAGGTTGCAGTGAGCCATGATTGCACCACTGCATTCAAGCCTGGGCAACAAAGTGAGACCCTGTCTCAAAAAAGAAAGAACGAAACAGAAATCTTGGAGCTGAAACAAATAATCCCATTTAAAAATGAGCAAAAAGATCTGAATAGACATTTCCTAAAAGAAGACATACAAATGGCCAATGGGTATAGGAAAAAATGTTCAGCATCACTAATCATCAGGGAAATGCAAATCAAAACCACAGTGAGGTATCATCTTACCCCAGTTAGTATTGCTTTTATCAAAAAGACAAAAAAAGACAACAAATGCTGGTACAGAGACAGAGAAAAGGAAATTTACTCTGTGGGTGAGAATGTAAATTAACATATTCATTATGGAAAACTGTATGGATGTTTCTCAAAAAATGAATAGAACTACCATTTGATCCAGCAGTCCCACTACTGGGTATTTATCCAAATAAAAGAAAATCAGTATATCAAAGGGTTACCTCCACCCTCATGTTTATTGCAGCACCATTTATAATAGTCAAGATATGGAATCAACCAAAGTGTTGAACAATGGATGATTAGGTAAAGAAAATGTGGTATGTATACACAATGGAATACTATTCAGCCATAAAAAGAATGAAATTCTATTATTTACAGCAACATGGATGAAACCAATGGTCATTATGTTAAGTGAATTAAGCTAGGTACAGAAAAACAAATATCACATTTTCTCACTATATGTGAGAGCTTGAAATGTTAATTTTGTGGAGGGAGAGAGTAGAATGATAGTTACCAGAGGCCAGAAAGGGTGGGAGGTAGGTGAAGAAAGGTTGGTTAATGGGTACAAAAATACAGTTACATAGAAGAAATAAGTTCTAGTGTTTGATAGAACAGTAGAGTGACTATAGTTAACAATATATTGTATATTCAAAATATTGTATATATATTATATATTTAAAAGTAGCTAGAAGATTTGAAATGTCCCCAACACAAAGAGATAAGAAGTGTTTAAGGTGATGGATATCCTAAATACCTTGAATTGATCACTACACATTGTATGAATTTATCAAAATACTGCATATCCCGTAAATATTTACAAATGGTATTAATCGATAAAAAAAGAGGGAACAGAATCTTGGAGCTGAAGAATTTGAAATGTTCCCAATACAAAGAAATAATAAATGTTTAAGGTAATGGGTATATTAAATATCCTGAATTGGTTATTACACACTGTATTCAATTATCAAAATACCACACATACCCTATAAATATGTAAATATTGTGTATCAATAAAAATAGAGGAAAAAAATCTTGGAACTGAAGAATTCAATGAATGAAATAAAAATAACTGAAGGCTTCAACAACACACTAGATCAAGCAGAAGAAAGAATTTCTAAACTTGAAGACAGGTGTTTAGAAATAACCCAGTCAGAGAAAAAAAAGTTAAAAAGAATGAAGAAGCCTACAAGACTTATGAGACACCATTAAGTGAAGTATATCCTGCAAAGCTCTCCTTTAGAAATAAATGAGAAGTAGAGACCTTCCCAGATAAGCAAAAACTGAGAGAATTCATCACAAATAGACAGGTGTTACAAAAAAAATGCTTAAGAGAGTACTACAATTGGAAACAAAAGGATGATAATTACTATTATGAAAACATATGAAAGTATAAAACTCACCAGTATAGGTAAACCCATACTCATACTCAGAATACCCCAATGCTGTAATGGTGCTGTGTAAATCTTTAAATCCTCTAGTATGATGGTTTAAAGTCAAAAAGGTCAAAAACGTGAACAACTACAATTAGTGGCTAAGGAACACACAAAAGACCAACATGTACATTAAGGCTAACAACATACAAATTGTGTGTGTGTGTGTGTGTGTGTGTGTGTGTGTGTGTGTGTGTGGGTGTATGAAGTCTGGAGGATTCTTTTTTTTTTTTGGAGACAGGGTCTCACTCTGTCACCCAGGACAGAGTACAGTGGTGCAATCTTGGCTCACTGCAACATCCACCTCCCAGGTTCAAGTGATTCTCCTGCCTCAGCCTCCTGAGTAGCTGGGATTACAGGTGTACACCACCATGCCCAGCTAATTTTTTTATTTTTAGTAGAGATGGGGTTTTACCATATTGGTCAGGCTGCTCTCAATCTGCCCACATTGGCCTCCCAAAGTGCTGGAATTACAGGTGTAAGCCACCGTGCCTGGCCCTCTGGAGGATTTTTATGTGACCAAAATTAAGTTGTTATCAGCTTAAAATAGCCTATTATAACTATAAGACTCTTTATTTTAGCCCCATGGTAACCACAAAGAAACACATTACAGTAGATACACAAATGAGAAAGAAAAAGAAAACAAAGCTTAGTGCCACAGAAAATCACCACACCACAGAGGAAAACAAGAGAGAAATAAAAGCACAAAAGATCCATAAAACAACCAGAAAATTATCAACAAAATGGCAGGAGTAAGTCCTTACTTATCAATAACAATCTTTAATGTAAATGAATTAAATGCTGCAATTAAAAGATATACAGTGGCTGAATAGATTTTAAAAAACAAGAACTAATTATATGTTGCCTGCAAGAGACCTACCCCAACATTACAGACAGACTGAAAGTGAGGGATAGAAAAAATGCAAACAGAAACCAAAAGTGAGCAGGAGTGACTATACTTTTATCAGATAAAATAGACTTTAAGTCAAAAACAATAAAAAGAAATAAAGAAGGCCATTATATAATGATAGACAGATTAATTCAACAAGATGATATCACAAGTATAAATATATATGCACCCAACAGTGAAGCACCCAAATATGTAAAGCAAATATTATTAGATCTAAAGAGAGACAGACTGCAATACAATAATAGTAGGGGACTTTACACCTCAGTTTTAATAATGAAGAGATTACCCAGACAGAAAATCAACAAAGAAACTTTGGACTTAAACAACACTATAGACCAAATGGACCTAACAGACATTTACAGAATATTCCATTAAACAGTTACAGTATACTCATTCTTCCCAATTGCACATGGAACATTCTCCAGAATAAATCATATGTTAGACCACAAAACAGGTCTTAACAAATTTAAGAAGACAGAGATTATATCATGTATCATTTTGGACCATGATAGTATAAAACTAGAAATCAACAACAAGAGTACCTTGGAAACCTTACAAATACGTGAAAAATTAAACAACGTGCTCCTAAATAACCAATACATCAATGAAGAAACTAAAAGGAAAATTTAAAAATTATTTGAGATAAATAAAAATGGAAACACATCATACCAAAACTTTTGGAATACAGCAAAAGCAGTCCTGAGATGGAATTTCATAGCAATAAACACCTAATATATCTATCTATCTATCTAATAAATCCTTATTAGATTTCTAATAAAGAATGTAACCATGCACTTCCAGGATCTAAAAAACTAAGAACTAAACCCAAAATGGTAGAAGGAAGGAAATAATAAGTCTCAGAGCAAAAATAAATGAAGTGGAGAACAAAAGAAAACTCAAAAAAATTAACAAAAGAAGAGTTGGCTTTTTGAAAAGATAATCAAAATCAACAAATCCTTAGTGAGACTAACTTAAAAAAAAAAGAGAAAATATCCAAATAAATAAAATCAGAGATGGAAATGGAGACATTACAACTAATATTACAGAAATACAAAGGATCATAGAGGCTATTATGAACAACTATATATCAAAGAAGTTGAGGGCATAGAAGAAATAGATAAATTCCTGGACACATACAACCTACCAAGATTAAATTATAAAGAAATAGAAAATCTAAACAGATCAATACTGAGTGAGGAAATGGAATCAATAATAAAATGTCTGCCATTGGAAAAAAGCCCAGGACCTATTGAGGCTAGCATTACCCTGGTTGCAATATAAGGTAGACACAAGAACAAAAAGGAAAACTACAGGCCAGTATCCTTGGTAAATACAGATGCAAAAATTCTCAACAAGATGTTATCAAACCAAATTCAACAGAAAATTAAAAAGATCATTCACTGTGACTAAGTGGGATTTATCCCAGGGATGTAAGAATGATTCAGCATATGCAAGTTAATAAACATGATATGCCATATTAACAAAAAGACAGAAACCATATGATCACTTCAGCAGATGCAGAAAGAGCATTTGACAACTTTCAACATTTCTTTATGGTAACAACTGCCAACACATTTGTTACAGAAGGTATGTACCTCCACACCATAAAGGCCAGATATTACAAACTCACAGCTAAGAACATATTGAACAGGAAAAGCTGAAAACTTTTTATCTAAGATCAGGAACAAGACAAAGATATTCCTTTCATCAATCCTATTCAATATAGTACTAGAAGTCCTAGCCAGAGCAATTAGGCAAGAAAAAAAAATAGAAATCATGCAAATTGAAAAACATGAAGTCAAATTGTTCCTGTTTGCAGACAACATGATCTTATATACAGAAAACCCTAAAGACTCCACCAAAAAATTATTATAGCTGATCAATGAATTCAGCAAATTTGCAAGATACAAAATCAATACATAAAAATTAGTAGCATTTCTATATGCTAACAGCAAACTATCTGAAAAAGAAATAAAAAAACTCACATATCATAGCTACAAAAATGTAAGATACCTAGGAATAAACTTAACCAAGGAGATGAAAGATCTCCACACTGAAACTATAAAATATTGATGAAAAAATCAATTAAGGCACAAATAAATGGAAAGACATCCCATGTCCAAGTATTGGGTTTTTTAATTTTTAAAACAATTTTTCTTAAATTCCTGCACAAAAAGTACAATGTCCAAGTATTGGAAGAATTAATATTGTTAAAATCACCATACTACCTAAAGTGATCTACAGATTTAATATAATCCCTATCAAAAGAACAGTGACATTTTTCACAAACATAGAAAAATCAATCCTAAAATTCATATGGAACCACAAAAGACTACAAATAGCCAAAGCAATCCTGAGCAAAAAGAACAAAGCTGGAGACATCACACTACTCAACTTCAAAATACACTACAAAGCTATAGTAACCAAAACAGCCTGTTACAGGCACAAAAACAGATGCATAGACCAATGAAACAGAACAGAGAACTCAGAAACAAATTCGTGCGCCTACAGCCAACTGATTTTCAGCAAAGTTACCAAGAACACACACTGGGAAAAAGACCATCTCTTCAACAAATGTTGCAAGGAAAATTGGATATTCACATGTAAAATAATGAGACTAGACCCCTTCCTCACACCATATACAAAAATGAATTCAAAATGGATTAAAGGCCTAAATGTAAAACCCAAACCTATGAAACTACCAGAAGAAAACATACGGGGAAATGCTTTATGACATTGGGCTGGGCAAATAATTTTTAATAAGACCTCAAAAGCACAGGCAACAAAAGGAAAAGTAGACAGATGGGATTACATCAAAATAAAAAGCTTCAGCACATCAAAGGAAACAATAAACAGAGTGAAGAAACAACCTACAGAATGGGAGAAAATATTTGCAAATTAGACATCTGACACTAATATCCAGAATACATAAGGAACTTAAACAACTCAACAACAACAATAACAAAAAACTTTATTTTAAAATGGGCAGAAGACCTTATGAGACATTTCTCCAAAGGAAACATGGAAATGACTAGCAGTTACATGAAAAGATGCTCAACATCACTAATAATTGGGGAAATGGCAATCAAAACTGCAGTGAGATATCACCTCACTCCAGTTAGACTAGATATTATCAAAAAGACAGATAAAAACAAATGTTGGTGAGATGCACAGAAAAAGGAACGTCTACACATTGTTGGTGGGAATGTAAAGTAGTACAGCCACTATGGAAAACAGTATGGATGTTCCTTCAGAAAATTAAAAACAGAACTACTATATGATTCAGCCATCCTACTATGGAGTATCTATCCAAAGGAAATGAAATTAGCATGTTGAAAAGATACCTACACTCCCATATTTATTGCAGCACTATTACAATAACCAATATATGAAATCCACCCAAGTGTCCTACAGTAGATGAATGGATAAAGAAAATCTGATATATATACACTATTTAATACTATTGAACCATAAAAAAGAATGAAATTTTGTAATTTTTTGACAACATGGATCTGGAGAACATCATGTTAAGTGAAATAAGCCAGCCATGAAAAAACAAATACCATATGATCTCACTCATATGTGGAATCTAAAAAAAAAACAGAGACGCTATTATAGAAGCAAAGAATAGAACAATGGTTAATAGAGACTGGGGAGGGAATGCGAGAGGGGATGATAGGGCGAGGTTGATCAACTGGTACAAAGTTACATTAGATAGGAGAAATGAGTCTGGTGTTCCTTTGCACAGTTGGGCAAGGATAATTAAAAGTAAGGTATTTTGTAGATTACCAAATAGCTGGAAGAGAGGCTTGTAATTGTCCTCACCACAAAGAAATGATAAATGCACAAGGTGATTGACACACTAAATACCCTGATTTCATCATTATACAATACATATGCATCAAAATATCAAATTATACCCCACAAATATGTACAATACAATGTGTCAATTTTAAAAGGCATCTAATTTGGTGACAGAATTCCCCCAAAAAGAAATTGGGGGCCACTGAAAGGGAGGATAGGGTAATGAATGGCAGGGTAGCATCTGTGTTTGTTAGAATTAGGTTCAACTGTAAGTGACAGAGACTCAAATTAGCAATCGCTTAAACTTAGAAAATTTTTTCTCCCTGTCACGAAAAGTCTAGTAAGGTAGTTGAAAGCTGGTATGGTTTATGACAGCATCATAGACCCGAGCTCCTTCTGTCTGTTTCTTCTACTGCAAATTCCATGTCCATCTCATTGCCAAGACAGCTGCCCCAGCCATTACATCTGCAATCCAACCAGCAGAAAGGGAAAAGCAAAGAAGAGCATACCCATTCCTTTTAAAGAAACAAACCCAAAGTTGTACATAATACTTCCTACTTATATCTCATTGGCCAAAACTTAGACACATGGCCACACTTTGCTGCAAGCAAGGATGGGAAGCATAGTCTTGATTCTAGGCAACAATTAATATATGCTCCATGAAAAATCATTTTACTTTGGAAGAAGGAAGATTGGATATAGAGGGACAACTGATAGTCCCTTGCTCAGCATCCTTGGGTACTGGAGGTAACCCCTCCCCAGATTTCACAGAACTCCCTGGCATGAGTGACTGCAGCAAGAGGTTACCATACTTCATTCCAAGACTTTGAGGACTCATTGGGGAATTAAATGAGTCGTCAAATGTGAAAATTGGAGAACTGCTGACCCTTCTTTAAAGCCCCAATACCCTTTTGTTATCTCCCTTCTTCCTCCTTTTTTTTTTTTTTTTTTTTTTTTTTTTTTTTTTTTTTTGAGATGGAGTCTCACTCTGTCGCCCAGGCTGGAGTGCAGTGGTGTGATCTCGGCTCACTGCTACCTCCGCCTCCCAGGTTGAAACTGGGATTCTCCTGCCTCAGCCTCCTGAGTAGCTGCGATTACAGGTGCCTGCCACTATGCCCGGCTAGTTTTTGTATTTTTAGTAGAGACAGGGTTTCACCATGTTGGCCAGAGGGTCTCGAATTCCTGACCTCAAGTGATCCGCCCACCTCGGCCTCCCAAAGTGCTGAGATTACAGGCATGAGCCACCATGCCAAGCCCACCCCCCCGCGCCCCACCCCCCGCTTTTTTTTTTTTTTACACCATATTATTTGTAGCTTGAGCAGCAACTAGTCTAATGAAAAGCTCACTAACTTTGGTTCAGAAAACCTGGGTCTGAATCTTGACTAAGCCACTTACTAGCTATTTAAAGCATTTAAGCTATCTGTGCCTCATTTTCTCATCTGTGGAATGGCGGCGGGGCCGGGGGAGGGGGGCGGGGTGGGGGGGCGGGAATTATACGGTCTCATGGGATTGTGTTAGACTAAGTGGTAGCTCATAGTAAGGGCTCAATAAATGGTAGCTACTATTATCATCAGGCTTCTCTGTCCTGGAGGTCATTGCAGCTGCCTTCTGCATAATCACCCAATAAGTGGAGTTTATTAAATGAGCCTCCATTCTAGGGCTAAGCCACACGGTTTTCAAATAATCAATATGTTAAGCCACCCAGCATAAGCAGACAGGCTATAAATCAAATTGGATTCAAAGTCTGTTACAGATAAAAGGGACCTTCATATACGTTGATTTGTCATTTTTCTGTTTATTGCTGTTATCATTATTGCTAATAACAATGGCAAGAGCTGTCATTTATTAAATGTCCTTGCGGCCGGGCGCGGTGGCTCACGCCTGTAATCCCAGCACTTTGGGAGGCCGAGGCGGGCGGATCCCGAGGTCAGGAAATCGAGACAATCCTGGGTAACATGGTGAAACCCCGTCTCTACTAAAAATACAAAAAATTAGCTGGGCGCGGTGGCGGGCACCTGTAGTCCCAGCTACTCGGGAGGCTGAGACAGGAGAATGGCGTGAACCCGGGAGGCGGAGCTTGCAGTGAGCCAAGATCATGCCACTGCACTCCAGCCTGGGCGACAGAGCGAGACTCCTTCTCAAAAAATAAATAAATAAATAATAAATAAAAATGTCCTTGCTGTGCCAGGCACTGTGCTTTTTAAACTTCACAGTGGTCCCATGATGTAAGTTTTTTTCATTCTCCTTTAACAGATGAAGAAACTGAGTACAGAAGGGATAAGTGATTTGCCACAAGTCACCCAGAGCCAGCCTGGTACTCAGATCCGAGTCTAAAGCATTTGTGTTTGTTAGAATTAGGTTCCGCTGTAAGTAACAGAGACCCAAACTAGCAATGGCTTAAACTGAGATAGAAATTTCATATGAATCATATAGTAGTTCTGTTTTTAATTTTCTGAGGAACATCCATACTGTTTTCCATGGTGGCTGTGCTATTTTACATTCCCACCAACAATGTGTAGACATTCCTTTTCTCTGCTTCTTATTGTTTATTTACTTTTTTATAATTTTTATGTTTAAAAATCCCCAAAAACCATAAAAGAAAAACAACACCCATTTTTACACCACTTTTCTTCTTTTGAAGTCTCTAATGAAAGAAAAAGTGAAAACACCCCCCAGCTCTTCTTAACTCTTCCCCAGAGATAACCACTGTTAGCAGATTGTTTTTCATGCTTATGCAGTTTAATATTCTTTAAATTGTCATTTTTACTCTTTTGCAAACAAGTCATTTCAAACAGGAGGAATTAAAATGACTATGTTAAAACTTCCAGGGAAAAACGACTTTCATTCTATATATGCTGGCTTCTGTAGCTTTCATTTACTCGTTCATTCATTCGTTCACTCATTCAACAAATATTAACCAAGTACCCCATACTTGCCAAGAACGAGTTAGGCACTGAGAATACAAAAATTAAGAAAATTCAGTTCCTCTGTTAGAGAAGTCACCAGTCTAAAGAGTGGTGACTTCACCCATCATTGCACAAAATGAAAAGACCTACAATCAAGATCAAGGGCAAAAATGAGAGAAAGGTCCAGGCAAGGAGATGCTTGAGTTCAGAATTAGGGGAGGCATTCACTGCACAGACAAGAAGCCATGCTATTTTGACCAGAGGCCAGTAGGGGAGACCCCAGAGGTGTCTTGTGTGGCTAGAACGTCATGGAAGGAAGTGCAAAATTGACGGAGATGAGGCTGGAAAGGTCACTTGGGCCTTGAATAAGATTCTTAAGTCTTTGCAGTGCATCTGACATTCCTATCTGCTACAAAGCCTCTTGTTCTAGAAGGAAAATAGATGTTCCACTTGTGAAAATGTTATTCTAGAGGAAAGATAGCTGTTCAACTTGTGAAAAGAGAGAAGTTCCATTTTAAAATCCATCATCAGGAATACTACTTGGTAACTTACAAAATGAAATAGTGATATGATACATGCTATAGCATGAATGAACCTTGAAAACATGCTAGGCAAAAGAACCCACTCACGAAAGAACCTGTGTCATTTTCTTTCATTTATATGAAATGTCCAGAATAGGCAAATCTAGAGAGACAGAAAGTAGATTAGTGGTTGCCTAGGGGTGGAGGGGGTCGGAGGAAATGGGGAGTGACTGCTAATGGGAGTAGGACTTGGGGAGGGAGGAGAAAATGTTCTAAAATTGATGATGATGGTTACACAACTCTGAATATACTGGAACCACTGAATTGTACACTTTAAATGGTTGAATTGTATGGTATGTGAAATATATCTCAAGAGAGTGACTCAAAAGAAGGCTTAGCAGAATTTTAAAAAATCCCTCCATCACTAGAAAATAATACGCTTCTGAAAACTGCCACAAATAAGTATGTGTTCAAGACAGGCTTTTGTTGTCATTGTTTCTTTTCCATTACCATCCTTTGAAAAATACAGAATATTTTGAATGCGGGTTACCTTGAAAGTTCATTGGTCAGTCAACAGCCCAGGTCTATTTGTTTTCTCCCATGTTTAATCCAGAGGTTGCTAGAGGACAGGGACTCTCAAACTCTCGTCCTTGAACCACCTCCATCAGAATCACCTGCATTGTGGGTTATCAATGCAGATTCCCAGACACCCCCAAGGCCTAGTAAATCAGAATCTCTGGATGTGGATCCCAGGGATTGGCACTTTAATTTTGATACATACCAATGTTTGAAGACCTCTGCTCCAGACTATGATGCCTGGCTTATAATTTCTTCCATTTCGTGATGTTGGCCCCACCCCGGTTTCCGAGTCTGAGCTGATCCTAAATAGACCCAGATCATCGAACACATCAAGACACCCCGTGCAGAAGAAGCTTTGCAAAGAGATATGAAAATAAATGCAATCTGTGTATGACTGTAGCAGTGACTGAGTGTTCACAGAACATGTTAAGGACAGAAGGAAGTGGATGGCCAGGAAATTTAGGGCCAAAATCTGACTAGCTGAAGGACCTCAAATCTAACTTCTCTGACCTCAGCACATGGGCTAGATTGTCTAAGAGCATGTCACTCCACCCATCTCCCACCTTCTGGATTTTTCCAATCTATGGCGCATCCTTCTGACTGCTGTGACTATGACCTTGCTGTCTCTCCTGAAACTCAGTCACCTCCTGTATAAAATGATGTGTTTGATCCCAATTGTCTTGGGATTCTCTCCAGGCTCTGACATTATATAATACAGGATCCAATGACTCTTGAGCAAAATTAGAAAGGCTTCTACCATGGCTTTGACACCCAGAATTTAAAAAAAGAGGGGCTGTGCATGGTGGCTCATGCCTGTAATCCCAGCACTTTGGGAAACCAAGCTGGGAGGATTGCTTGAGTCCAGGAGTATGAGACCAGCCTGGGAAACATAGCAAGACCTTGTCTCTACAAAAAATTAAAAAGCAATTAGCTGAGCATGGTGGTATGCATCCATAGCCCCAACTATTTGGGAGGCTAAGGTAAGAGGATCGCTTGAGCCCCGGAGGTCAAGGCTGCAGTGAGCCAAGATAACAGAGCAAGACCTTCTTTTGAAATAACAAAAACAAGCAAACAAAACAAAACAAAAACAAAGAGGGCTATCACCAGCATCTTCAAAATTCACTTTATTGAGATATCACTTACATATGATAAAAGGCACCCATTTAAGTGTATGTTTTGGTGAGTTTTGACACCAAACTCTGAGATCCGTTCACAGTATTACATGGGTGTGGATGGGAAGCCTTATATTTTTATTTTTTGACAGCTTTGTCTTCATGGACCTGGGAAACAGAGCACAAGCGTCGCTTCCCAGGAAATCCCTTTCCCCACCCTGACCAGGTCCAGCCTATCATTTACCCTCAAACACCACGTACTCCTTGCCTTTGTAGCCTCTCACCACTGGTTGTGACTTCCCCAACGCTGCTCAAGAGTCCCCCCAGATAATCTCAGGTTTGTGAGTGTTTCCCACTTCCCTGGATGCTGCTGAACCATTTATAACTTCCTGGCCCCCTTGGTTTTTATAGGGTGGTCAGTTTATCAGTACCTCATAATGGCTCCTTGCTGAGGCACTCTCATGGCTATATTCACATTCCAAGTTCTGGCTTTGACGATTTACGTAGCAGCTGAGATTCACCTGCTAAATGGAAGGCCCGTCACTCAGGCTTATTCTCCAACTGTTACGGGATGGAAATGCTTGACTGTGAGTTGTCCAGGTTCTTGGTGCACTGAACAAAGAATCAAACAAAACATACAAACAAAGCAACAACAACAAAAAAAAACAAAACAATGAAAGCACAGATTTATTGAAGCAAAAGTATACTCTACAGAGTGGGAGCAGGCTTGAACAAGCAGCTCAAACGCTCCCATTATAATGTTGTTTAGGGTTCTTATTAAGCTAAAAGAGTTTGGTAACACCCACTTGGCGCCCTTTAGAGGCCTCCAGTTGGTTATATCCTATGAAGGATTGGCCCAAGAACCAATCAGAGGCTAAAGTGGAGATGGCTCATGACCAATCAGAGGCTGAAGTGGAGACTTGGCCTGTGGTCAATCAGAGGCTGAAATGGAAATTTCCATGTTGTTATTTCAGAGTGAGGATGTGGCCTGTATGCTGCCCAGTCTTGCCTAGAACTGGCTGCACCTGCTGTTGTTTTGCTTATGACTTAACCTTTGGTTATCCTCATTCCCTATTCTCCTACTTCTCAAGCAGAGGGTTTCAAATACATGGACCCAAGTAAATCAATGACCTTCTATCTCTCCTCTTCCTGTATCTTGTGGACTAGAAGATGTTGATGCTTACAGAGTGGAAATACACAGTCTATGGCTGGAGACTGGTCTTTACGGCCTTAGAATTGTTCCCCTGGAAGGTCAGTTCAAGCTGTTACCCTGCATATTCAGAAGGGATCCCCTTCCAATTGTTCCGGTTGTCATTTGACATGTATTTATGTGACTGTTTGGCTGCTGTCTCTTTCCCCCATAACTCGTGAGTCTCAGAGACAGGAACTGTGTCTGTTTGGTCTCTGCACTCCATCCCTGATGTCTAGAACTCTGCCTAATATGCAGGAGATGACCAATTAGTATGAGTTGACAAAACTACAGAAAGGGAAGAAAGAAGTCAAGAAGTAGGCCAGATGCGGTGGCTCACGCCTGTAATCCCAACAATGTAGAGGCCGAGGCAGGTGGATCACCTGAGGTCAGGAGTTCGAGACCAGCCTGACCAACATGGTAAAACCCCATCTCTACTAAAAACACAAAAAATTAGTTGAGTGTGGTAGTGCACGCCTGTAATCCCAGCTACTCGGGAGGCTGAGGCAGGAGACTCACTTGAACCCAGGAGGCAGAGGTTACAGTGAGCTGAGATTGCACCATTGCACTCCAGCCTGGGCAACAAGAGCAAAACTCCATCTCAAAAAAAAAAAAAAAAATCAAGAAGTAAAGGAAGGGAGGCAAAATAAAAAAAGAAAAAAAAAGGAAAAAGGAAAAGGGAGAGAGAGAACTGCAGATCACATCATAGGGATTGCTCCCATAACACTTGTAACAAGGTAAAATCTGATTCGACAGGACATCAGGCACGCTTGTACTCACATTGTTGTGGGCTGAATTGTGTCCCCCGACTCCTAAAAAATATGTTCAAGTCCTAGCCTCTGGTATCTTTAAATGTGACCTTCATTGGAAATAGGGTATTTGCAAATGTAACTGAGCTAAGATGAGGTTATACCCTAAATCCAATATCATTGCCATCCTTACAAGAAGAGAAGAAACACAGAGACACATAGGGAGAATTCCATGTGATGACAGAGGCGAGCCCTGGAGTGATGCTTTTACCAGCCAAGAACCACCAGGGATAACCAGCAATACCAGAAACTATGAAGAGGCAAAAAATGATGAATCTCTAGATCCACCAGAGAGAGCCTAGCCTTGCTGGCACCTTTATTTTGAACTGCTAGCCTCCAGAAATATGAGATACGAAATTTCTGTGGTTGTGTTAAACTTGCACCACCATGCAAGTTTGTGGTGATTTGTTATGGCAACCCTAGGAAATAAATACGGACTCCCATCCTATGGGATTGTGATTGCCTGTTTGCTGGTCTGTTTCCCTTGCAAAAGGCAGGGGCTGTGACTCGTGCATCTCGGTAACCTCAGTACTAGCATACTGTGGTGCATGGCAGAGAGTTGTTGCTTGGTCTCCATCCACTGAGTAGATGGAAGAGAAAGAGGTGGCGGTGGCTCTGAGTGACCTCCTGGGCCTTGTTAACACCAGTGGTTGCATCTTGTCCACAGGAAACTGCAGCCTCAACAATGCTCTGGCTGCCCATAACCAGGTGCAATTCCAGTTTCCCAGAAAATGAGACTGGAGAAATGACCCTAAGTAGTTGTACCCCAGGGAGGATTGTGAGTTTAAAAACAAACTCACTTCCTTTCTGCTAAATTATTGCCCACCTCCCACCACCCCAACTACTCCTTAGCTACAGAAAGCCTCACCACCAATCTACTCCTCTGTCCAATCAAATTCTTCATGTTGACAACGACCAGAATAGCTTATTAAGGACCAGCTTTGCAGGTGACTGCGCCATGCTGAGAATCGCTGTTCATTTTTAGAAAATAAACTCCAATTAGCAATCTCAGTTGTTTATTTCATTTCCTGGCTATGCATTTCCACTTGTAGGGCTGTTGCTGCTGCTCCTGACACCATCTCTGGGAACCTCAAACCTGGAGACCCTGGGAAAATGTCCATGTGGGCTTTCTTCATAACCTATAGAGGGAACTTTGCATGCTATAGAGGAGATCTGAGCCTGAAGGACACATTGACGCACTGATTACCCCTTATGTATCAGGCACTAGGCTACTCCCTTTACATACTTGTGAGATGTGGGCTACTGGTCCCATTTTATGGATGAAGAAACTGAGGCTCAAAGAGTTTAAGGATTTTTCATCTCAGAAAATGTCACCATTTTCCCTTCAGTTGCTCAAGCCAGAACACTGAGAATCCTTCTTAACTCCCTTCTACTCATCACTGATTATTTTCCCTTGGCCCACAAATTAGGTCTCAAATCCACATGAATCCCTTTATCCCTACAGCCACTGCCCTGGTCTAGGCCACGGTCACTCAACAAGCAATTACTGATTGTCTGGTATGTACCAATCTCTGTTCCAAGAAACTGGGATGCTGAAAGAAACAAAACTGACGAAGATCTCAGCCTTCAAGAAGCCTTCTTTCTGGCCATCGCTTTAGGTCACTGCTCTATCCTCCAACTTCTTCTCCTCCCACACAAACCATTCTCCAAAATTTAGTTGATTTTTCCAAAATAAAAACTCAATCATGTAATTCCCTCTTTAAAATTGTCTATGAGGCTCCCATTACTTTGAGGATACAGGTCTATTCTCCTTAATACGGTTCTGAACCCCTTTCATAACCCGGCCCTCACTAGCTCTCCAGTTGCTCTCCAGTCCCAGCTCTCACCATTTCCCTCTCTACCCCACACTCCACTAAAAGAAAAAATTAAAAAAACAAAAACAAAAAAAACAGCCGGGCGCAGTGGCTCACGCCTGTAATCCCACCACTTTGGGAGGCCGAGGCGGGTGGATCATGAGGTCAGGAGTTTGAGAACAGCCTGGCCAACATAGTGAAACCCTGTCTCTACTAAAAATACAAAAAATTAGCCGGGTGTGGTGGTGGGCACCTGTAGTCCTAGCTACTCAGGAGGCTGAGGTAGGAGAATCGCTTGAACTCAGGGGTGGAGGTTGCAGCAGGCCGAGATCGCGCCACTGCACACCAGCCAGGACAAGAGTGAGAGACTCCGTCTCCAAAAAAAAAAAAAAAGGAAAGAAGGAAACTACACGCAGACACACACAGAGTAGAAACTTCCAGATGAACTTTTCTCAATTTATTTAGAGTTTAAGGCACTCCACTGTCTCTAGCTCTCTGGCCTCCATATATGAGGTTCTCTCCGCCCAGCAAAGGTTCCCTTCCTCCATCTCCTATTCAGCCTTCATTTTCAGCTTAGGCTTAGCGCCACTGGGAAGCCTTCCCTGACTTCTACCCTGTCCAGACCACAGTAGTGGCTTCTGCAAATGATCTCATAAAAATGGGTCTTCCCATATCCTCGCTTGGGTCACACTTTGTCAGGGCTGTCTTTGCCAGTAGATTGTACACTTTGAAGGCAGGGAGGGGATAGTGTATGCCCTGTTCATCACTGTATCCACGGCACCAAAGGAATATCGCTGTACTAGCTTTTGAAATGAATAAATGAATGTTGAAGAAAGAACAGGTCTCAGTTTCATAGCTAGCAAGTAGCCAGAATGGGATTTGACTTCAAATGCCTGCTCTTAACCATGTCATAAGCCACTGTAGGGTAAATGCACCTGACAGCAATAACTAAAGCACACCCTTAGAATGACTCTGTATGGCAGATGCACCTGAATGTGCGTTCTGAGCTAGGGAATCAGGAGTGGCCAACCTGGAGATTTTTTCCTGGTCTATGAAGAGCATCTGAGTTCCTGGCCTGTCCCATGAAACATATGTTGTACAGGGGATTGAAACTCTAAGTTTTGGATTAAATGAAAGTTGCCAGGTGGAGGTCATTAAGGGGAGGCTGCTAAGTGAAAATGCTATATAAACTGCATGCTGTTTTTTTGTTTTTGTTTTGAGATAGAGTCTCACTGTGTCACCCAGGCGGGATTGCAGTGGTGTGATTTCAGCTCACTGCAACCTCTGCCTCTCGGGTTCAAGCAAATCTCGTGCCTCAGCCTCCCAAGTAACTAGGATTACAGGCATGTGCCCCCACACCTGGCTAATTTTTGTATTTTTTATGGAGACAGGGTTTCACCATGTTGGTCAGGCTGGTCTCAAACTCCTGACCTCAGGTGATCCACCTACCTTGGCCTTCCAGAGTGCTGGGATTACAGGTATAAGCCACCGCACCCGGCCAAAACTACATGCTGTTTGTAAGCAGTTGAGGTTTTCTTGCCCAGCCCACCACCACCGCATTCTCTCCCATGTATGTTGCCCCTAATCAAACCCCATGTCTTTCTTTTCTTTTCTTTTCTTTTTTTTTTTTTTTGTAAGACTGAGTCTCACTCTGTCACCCAGGCTGGAGTGCAGTGGCGTGATCTCAGCTCACTGCAACCTCCACCTCCCGGGTTCAAGTGATTCTCCTGCCTCAGCCTCCCGAGTGGCTGGGATTATAAGCATGCGCCACCACACTGGACTAATTTTTGTATTTTTAGTAGAGACAATGTTTCACCACGTTGTCCAGGCTGGTCTCGAACTCCTGACCTCAGGTGATCCACCCGCCTCAGCTTCCCAAAGTGCTGGGATTACAGGCGTGAGCCACCGCAGCCAGCTACCCCATGTCTTATTTACTGGCTCCGGGTCTCTTCTTCAGCCTCTTGAACCTGGTGCCTCCCTAATGAGGTTAATAGGGGTTTAGCACAACACCCACTGTGAAGGATGTTGTTAGCCGTGGGTCAAGCGAGCTTTGGGAATAATTTACCACTACTTGTCACAAATCTTCCTGATGAGAAGCAGAGCTTACGCTAAGCAGACAGGAAAGAGGATGAAATATAAGATGTAGTGTGAGTGCTTCATCATCTTAGTTCTTAGGACTGATCGACTTCTGCGTTGGTTATCAAGGGAATGACAAAAACGCAGAATATCCAAACTGCGATAAATTTTAGACATTGCCTTGCCTTTCAGCCCCATTAGAAAAATAAAAATTGAGGTTAGAATCCGAGTTTCCTGGACACCACATTCCATGTTTATGCCATGGGCATTACTGTAACGGGGTTGTGGGGAGGGAGGTCTAAGGGCCTAGTTATCATTAAATGGTTCAAAAGTCAAAAGAAAATCTAAATCTGCTTCTATCCATCAGGGCTGTAGCTACGGAGGAGAGATTCTTCCAACTAGATGGAAAATCCCTTTCCAATAAGGCGAGATGAATATTGCCTTATTGGAAAAGAATCATTGAGCACAGGAACCAACGTGGGTCATTCCAGGAAAACTATCCAAGTAGCTGGGATTACAGGCATGTGCCCCCACACCCGGCTAATTTTTGTATTTTTAATGGAGACAGGGTTTCACCATGTTTGTCAGGCTGGTCTCAAACTCATGACCTCAGGTGATCCACCTACCTTGGCCTTCCAGAGTGCTGGGATTACAGGCGTGAGCCATCATGCCCAGCTAAAACTACATGCTGTTTGCAAGCAGTTGAGGTTTTCCTGCACAGCCCACCACCACTGCATTCTCTCCCTTGTGTAGCCCCTAATCAAACCCAATATCTTTTTTTCACCCAGGCTGGAGTGCAGTGGCGCGATCTCAGCTCACTGCAACCTTAGCCATCCTCCAGTGAAGGAATGAGAGAAGTAAAAGGGAAACTTAACCAACTTGCAGAGCTCCTTACGTCCATCTGCACTGGGAGGAAATGGGGAGAAAGGGGCTGGTGGGAAGATTGTGTCAGCTCCATCATACTGTGTGCCAGTGTGCTGAGCATATCACATGCCTTATCCCATTGAATTCTCACAACTGTCCAATGGGACACATGCTAGTAGGTGCTGAGCTGGGACTTGATCTGACTTCAAGGCTGGCGTTCATAAACAACAGATTCTGTGGACTCTTGGTCATTAGAGTAGTTGGCCAAGAACTGAGTGAACACTCATTAAATACTGCCTGGTTCAGAACTACGTTATCTTTCCTACCCAAGGGAAGCCCCAGCCAAACTAAGAATGACCTCTAAGGTCCTTCAGAGGACCCCATGACATGGACAAGGATCGTGAAAGAAAGTGCTTAGGCACAGACCTTATACATTCTAGAAAGTTCTTGTCCATTGGGAACAGCAAAGACAGCTGCTAAGCATTGATCATATATATGCCAAGCACTGTGCTTTCCATAGATCCCCTCAAATTGTATGGGGTTGACCCCTGCAGATCATTATGATCTCCATCTTCATTTTCTCTACACCATTTTCAAAGAGATAAGTTAATGTGTCCAATGTCAGACAGATGGTTCGGGTCAGAGGCAGGATTCAAACCTAGGTCTGTCTGCCTCTAATTCTGCTGCCCTTACCTGTGATGGATGCCAAGTGGCTACAGCATTACTGCCAGCCAAATGGCACCACCTGGGAAAAATGCAGTGGGTTGAGGTCAAGAGTCCTCACTTCTATGTCTTGACTTCATCTGTCAGAAAGCACTTGCCTCCCATGATGACTTGAAGGTAAAATCAGGTAATCTCAAAAAACATTGGAAATGTGCACTGTGTAAATGCAGGCTCTTTGCTCTACTTTGAATTATGATTATTCATTGTCCTTGGAAGGAAACGAAGGAGGAAGATACAATTTGTTGCTAAGCCCCCAGCTGGAGAAAGACATCTTGGACTAGAATTGTAGGGCAGAGGAGGGATGTTCATTCCCCTTCCTTAGTTGGAGACCTCTTGCTTTCATTTGCATAAAAGCAGATCCCTGAAAAGCAAATTGCAGCCACTAATAGCATTGGCTGACTCTTGACCTGGAGTGAACTCACCTGGAGTGACCTGGAGTTGAATGGGCTCTTCTCTTTCTGAGCCCTCACCCCCATGCACCCTCAGAATCCTTGGTTGGATTAAAATTGTAGACAGTAAAATTCAGTAGCTGTTTCTGTGATATCTAAAGACCAAATATCAGCTCATTTCTCACAGCAAGAGTTCCCCACCCAGAGATTTAAAAGAGCTGATGTACTTTTCTTCGGGGGGTGGGGATGGGGGTGTTGAGATGGAATCTAGCTCTGTTGCCCAGGCTGGAGTGCAGCAATGAGATCTCAGCTCACTGCACCCTCCGCCTTCTGGGTTCAAGCAATTCTCCTGCCTCAGCCTCCTGAGTAGCTGGGACTACAGGTGTGCATCACCATGCCTGGCTAATTCTTGTATTTTTAGTAGAGACGAGGTTTCACCATATTGGAAAGGCTGGTCTCAAACTCTTGGTCTCAAGTGATCCTCCCATCTTGGTCTCCCAAAGTGCAAGAGCTAATTTATTTAAATCCCTGACATAGAGACTTGTACAATGTCAACATTCTAGAAATGGTGATGTGGGGATAGAGACAGCCCACATTGAGATGGTGGTTAAGGACCTCATTTTTTTGAAGATGGACAGGCCCAGCAGTACATTTCCTATTTGTGTGGACGCTGGACATGTTTTTAACCTTTCTGAGCTTGTTTCCTCTTCTGTAAAACCTACCTCAAAGTGTCATTATGAGAACGAAATGAGTGACCACGCCGAGCACCTGGTAAGCACTTATATTGGTCTGCTCAGATCTCTATAGCAAAATACCACAGGATGGGCCTTAAACAACAGACATTTGTTTTCTCCAGTTATGGTGGCTAGAAGTTCAAGATCAAGGTGCCAGCAAATTCAACTTCTGGTGAGATCACTCTTCCTGGCTTGCAGATGGCTGCTTTCTTGTTCCATCCTCACACAGCCTTTCCTCTGCATAAGGAGAAAAACAGAGTGCTGGTGCCTTTCTCTTCTTACAAGGGCATCAGCTCTATTGGATTAGGGCCTCACCTTAATTGCCTTCTTAAGGTTCCTATCTCCAAATAGGGCTTCAACATTTGAATTTTGAGGAGACACAACTCAGGCCATGATAGAGTTCAAACAGTGGTTACTATTAGGTGCAGTCCATCAAGTGGTAGAAGTCGCTAGAACTAAAGCATAGATGGAGAAAGTTGATTGCATCTGTTGCTCTTCGCCACCTGCCCCTTTCCCTGTTCCCACTCCAGCATGCACACAAGACCTCCAGGCCCCAGGGAGCAACTGCGGTTACCTCTTCTGGGCATCCTGCTTTCTCCCCAAAGGATGAGGAAGCTTTGGTTGACTTCTAATTACTCAGATCCTCAGTGTTGCTGTCCCTACTGCTATGGATATGATCTCTCCTTTCCTGATCCTTTCTGAACTTTTTTTTTAAGTTCTGGGGTACATGTGCAGGATGTGTATGTTTGTTACATAGGTAGAAGTGTGCCTGTGTGGTTTGCTGCACCTATCAACTCATCACCTAGGTATTAAACCCAGGTGCATTAGCTATTTCCCTGGGACTAAAGTGAGAGGACACCCTTCATTCACAGAACCACTTGGAAATTGACTTGCCTGCTCCTAGCACTGGATGGTTTTGCCAAAAACAAAACATTTGACAAGTGGCAGGTGGGGCAACTGAGGTTTCCTAGCCAATATCAGGGAAATTGGGACACTAAAGATCCAGAGATTCTATAAGATTCTTCAAGAGAAAAAAAATGATTGTGTTGAGTTTCTATTGACAGTTTTATTAATACAGTAACAAGTAATAGTTATTTATTCATTTTTCAAACTTTTATTTTAGATTCAGATGTACATGTGCAGGTTGGTTCTATAGGTAAACTTGTGCCACTAGGGTTTGTGATTTCATCACCCAGGTACTAAGCCTAGTACCCAATAGTTATTTTTTCTGCTCCTCTCCCTCCTCTCATCCTCCACCCTCAAATAGGCCCCAGTGTCTGTGCGCCTGTTGTTACCCTCTTGGTGTCTGAGTAACAACTAATTCGTATTGAGCATTTACTATGTACTGTCTACTAAACAGTGCTGAGAGCATTGTATGGATTATTTCATTTCATTCTCACAATAGCTCCATGGCAGCGGCTTTCGGTGAGGGGAGGGAGGAGGGATTGCGCCTCCCAGGGGACACTGGCAGTGTCTGGAGACGATTTTTGTTGTCATAATGGGGTGGGGGGAGAGTGCTACTGGCATCTAGTGGGTAGAAGCTAACGATGCTGCTAAACACCCTACAATGCCCAGGGCAGCCCCTCACCATGAAGAATGTCCTGGCCCCAAATGTTGATAATGCCAAGATTAAGAAACCCTGCTATACCAGACAGCTACTTTGATATTGGCACCATTTTACAGGTAAAGACACTGAGTATCAGAGAAATTAAGCTATCAGCTTCACATTGCAGACCAAACAGCATTTTCACCGAAGTGCGATGGATTTCAGAGCCCATTCTTCACCACACAGCTATAAACAATCATGATTCTGCATCAAAGTTAAGGTCCTCTCTTCATTAGAGTCACCGGTGTCCCTGACACTGAAACTATGTATGGATGTCCACGCTTCATTACAGCCAGCCTGGCTGGAACAACTAGGCAATGTGCTGACACTAGGAACCAACCCACGCTTCATTCCAAATCACCCTTAAGCTGTCGGAAGTTACCTTTCACAAGCGAAAAAGAAAAGAAGCCCTGATTCATGAATTTGCCAACTGCTTTTTCCCCCAGCTGCAGCTAACATAGGTATTTCCAGCTATAGATTATATTGAATTGCTGGGACTGGAAAAAAAAAAAAAAGAAAAGAAAATCAGCTTCAGGTGCAGGTCTAAAGAGAGAATGAGCTTGAGAAGAAGGAGAATGATTCGCCCTTCCTTTCCATATTCATCCTCACACTTTGGATCAAAAAGTAATTGCCAATTGTTGTCATGTTAAGAGAGAGGTAACTGTGTAGGTCAAGCTCTCTGATTTCTTATTCAGGGAAATTTTCCATTCCCCAAACTCTCATCTAAAAGCCCAAGCCTCGGAAAGCTGTGCTGCCTGAAGGGGCCCAGAGAACACAAATGATTTTCTTTAAAGACTCCTTTGTCCATCAGAAAGCAAGCGATTCGATCAGACTAATTATTTCCCAACAAAGACATAAGGTTTCCTTTTAGCCCCTGCTCACTTCTTGTTATCAAAGGAGTATTTTTTTTAAAATGTATCTTGGACAAGGAAGATCAAAAGAGAAGCATGTGTCCGGAGCGAATAATATTTTTTCACATTATTTCCAGTTGAATTTGCTTAAATCTCTCATATTTTACTACTTGTCATTACTGAAAACTTTCACCTTGAGTTATGGAGGGTGAGGGAAAAGAAGGCACTCCAATGAATAATGCTGGGTAGCAGAGGATGAAAAAAGACAAAGACAGGCCTGGGGTGACTGATGAATAAAGGGAATAAGAAAGAGGCGACTGTTTTATCTCAATAATGTTATCAATACCCACGTCTGTATTAGAGGCGTGGTGGGACTGTGAGCAAGGGGAAAGGGATTGTTCCAAAGGAAAATCAATGTTTAGATTAAAATGGGTTTATGAAGTTATGTCAAGCGAGCTTCTTTTATCTCTCACCCCAGGATTACACTAAGATGCCCCCGCACGTTGTGAGCTACCCAGCCTTTTTTTCCAGCACACTTGAGTGTGGCAGCTTAGCCGTGGGAAAGCGAGAAGTGCCCTTTTGAAGAGGGTGATGCAAAAATTAAAATAGCCCCGATGAAAGCCAACATTGATGGAGTTTTCTTTGCCAGTCTGTTAAGCTCCTAGTATGCAGCGGTTCATTTTGTTCTCACAATAACCTTGTGAGGTGCCTTATTACTGTCTTCATTTTACAGAGGGAGAAACTGAGGCAGAGTTGTAGGTGGAGATATAAGCTTGGGCACATCGAAAGTGCGGGCTGCCTGGGTTCAGGTTCTGACCCAGAATTGCTAGCTTTGTAATCTTGACACAGGTTGAGTTTCTGAGCTCCAATTTTCATCATTCAAGAACAATGATGAGGATGAGGATGAGGATAACGATGATATGATGATGATGATGATGATGATGATGCCTGGCTAAACGTCATAGGTTGTCTGGGGGATAAGTTGAGATAATCCAAGTAAAGTCGTTAGCACCTTGCAGGGCACAGAGTAGCTATAATATCTGTAAATGTGAGCTATCTTTACGA
Organism: Homo sapiens; assembly: GCF_000001405.40. Classification (NCBI taxonomy): domain Eukaryota; kingdom Metazoa; phylum Chordata; class Mammalia; order Primates; family Hominidae; genus Homo; species Homo sapiens. The sequence continues at coordinate 16,879,935 of NC_000016.10, read as the reverse complement.
CACATATTTAGTGCTGATGATCAAGTCACTATCTTAGTACTCTGGGAAATGTAGACTCTGGCACCATGAAAAGACCTTTATGTTTGAGCAGATACAGCTTCATACCCAGGCACAGCTCCTGTGTTACCCTGAACAACTCACTTGACCTCTCTGAGCTTCATGTATGGGAAGAGCCTAGTCTAATCGTGGCCATGTGTTAGGTATTTCGTAATCACTGTTTAATAAATAAAAGGCATCTTTTCTTCCTCTCTTTTTAAATCTTAGGATTCCACAAGACTCTCTTTTTTCTCTGTCAGCCTCATACTCCCCTCAGATTCTCCTATCCCAAGCCAACTCTGAACAAGCTCTGGCAGGGAATTCATTTGGAGTTCTGTGTTTGTTCTTTGCCACAAGCCCCCAGAAGTATGTTGACTGGTCACAACAACCCTCCCAACTAATGCTCCCTGTGTTGGCTCCAGTCCCAGGATCCTGCCTCAGTTTCCCTATCAAATCTACTCTCCCATTGGGATCAGGGTCTGCCCCTGGAATGTTGAATCTCTGACCAAAACCTTAGTTTTGGTAGCCTTCTAACTTTGGAAGCTGGACTCTGTCCCCTCTTCCATGTGCCCCAGTCATTAGCCAAAGTTGTTTCAAGTCTACAAACCAATGTTACCACCCACTAGATGCTTTCGAGTCATACAGACATGAGCTGAAATCCTAGCCATGGCAGACCAAGTCACTCCAGCTTTCTAAGCCTCAGCTCCCTTACATGTAAAATGGATATAATAAGATACAGAACTCATCAGGTTGTTGAGAGAATTAAATACAACAGTGTAGGTAAGTCATTTAGTACAGTATCTGGTTCACAACAAATTTTTTGTTATACTTTAAGTTTTAGGGTACATGTGCACAAATGTGCAGGTTAGTTACATATGTATACATGTGCCATGCTGGTGTGCTGCACCCATTAACTCGTCATTTAGCATTAGGTATATCTCCTAATGCTATCCCTCCCCCCTCCCCACAACAGTCCCCAGAGTGTGATGTTCCCCTTCCTGTGTCCATGTGTTCTCATTGTTCAATTCCCAACTATGAGTGAGGACAGGTTCACAACAAATTTTTAATAAAAGATAGTGACTTCCTATAGATACTTGTCATAATTCTGCCCCCAAACCCCTACTTTGATCAGAGCCCTCCAACATCATCTCGAGTAGGGTAGAATCCAAATTCACCAGATCCCTTTTGTACTAGTTAGTTCCCCCACACCTAGTTCTTTACACACCTAACGTACACCCTTCCTATCAACCCTTTTCAGAGGTTCTTGCATAACCTAGTGAAGTTCCACATTTTATATCACAATGTCACCCAGGTTCTTAGGAGTTCCTCTAGTATGATTGTGTGACTTAAAGGCTACTTGGAACTTCTCAGTTACCAAACTATTGCTTGATTAGGAAGACAAGTGAGTTTGGCATGCAAGACACCCTCAGATGCACATTCTCCCAGATGTGGTCAACACCACATTATTCCCTTCTAATTTACAGAATATCCTGGCTTTTTACAGTTCCCTACTGAAACACGGCACCTCTCTGAACTCTTTAAATTACAAATGACTTAATTTAGTTTAAACAAACAAATAAAGGAAATACATTGGTTTACATCAAAGATGCAGAGTGCAGACTGGCTTTAAACAAAAATTGATCCAGGGTCCAGGAGTTGTCATCAAGAGTCTGCCTCCATCTCTCAGTTCTGTTTTCTTTCATATTGGCTTCTGATATGGTTTGGCTGTGTCCCCACCTAAATCTCATCTCGAATTGTAGCTCCCTTAATTCCCATGTGTCATGGGAGGGACCCAGTGGGAGGTAAATGAATCATGGGGGCGGGTCTTTCCTGTGTTGTTCTCGTAAGTCTCACGAGATCTGATAGTTTTATGAAGGGGAGTTTCCCTGCACACGCTCTCCTGCCTTCCACCATGTACGACGTGACTTTGCTCCTCGTTTGCCTTCTGCCATGATTGTGAGGCCTCCCCAGACATGTGGAACTTTGAGTCCATTAAACCTCTTTCCTTTATAAATTACCCCATCTCAGGTATGTCTTTATTAGCAGCATGAGAACAGACTATAATACAGCTTCATTCTTTGGCAAGCTCTCCCCTTTTCATAGTAAAGATGGTCACAGGCAGCTCTGGGTAATATTCCTGCCAGGTCAGCATCCCAGTAGAAAGAGAACCCTCTTTCCCAGTGGTTCTATCTAAAGCCTCAAAACTGAGTCTCTTGGCTCTGATTGGGTCACATGGCTATCCCTTGCCCAATCACTGTGGCCAGAAAGATAATAGATATTGATTGGTCAGTTCTATATCACATGCCCACCCTAGAGCTGGAGGGAGAGGCAAAAAACTTAGGTTGAGTGTGTAAAGGGTCATTCCCTCAGAGGTGCATGGGGCATCTTATTTGAAGGAAAGAGAATGGATGATGAATAAAAACATCATCCATTTTCCATCATCTGTGCTTATAGTAGTAGCCTTACTAAGAAAGACTCCAAGCATGGAATCTAGCTAGATTCAGCTCTACTCAAGGAATGTTTCCATGGATCAATCAGAGACAAAGCCTATGACTTCACTTGGCATTATTCTCACCAGCAAAATCCCCTTCTTCTTCCAGCTGTCAATCCTCCACCTCCACTGCAACACACACCTTGCTGCTGTTGACACCCTGTGACTTGCTTCCCACAGATGGGTGTCTGCGTTTAAGAGCATGCATTATTGTCATTGAAATAACAGGATGCTAAAACCTTTATAAATTGATATGCCAGAAAAGAGGGAGGCAAAAATGAATGCTAAGTTTCTTCGCATAATACTCTGTGGGATGTGTTTTTCCCCCTAAGAATATTTTAGCATTAATTAAGATAAACAATGATATATGCTGAAAGACAATTGAATCTGTTCTCGGTTAAAAATGGCTTCGTTGTGTAAAAATAGTACCCAAATTATAGCATATAAAGATGCAGGGGGAAAAATACTGTAAACCTATAACATGATTAAAATAGAAATGCAAACCAGTAATGATGAGACCTTGAACAAATCTGGGGGAAGAAGAGAAAGATGGGGAAGTAGCAAGGCACGTCATCATGCTTAATTTATTCACCTCCCTCTGGGAACTTCTTTACTGTGTTTCTCTTTAATAATAACTATTATTTATCATGGCATCGTTAGCATACGTTTTCAATGAAATTGGTTTTGTTATTACCATTTTATAAGTGAGGAACTGAGCTTTGGAGAGTTTAAGTCAAGGTCACACTGGTAGAAATAGCAGAACCAGGTTTTGAACCAGGTTAGGTTAAGCCTCCAGCATAACACTTTCCACCCGTCTAGGCTGCCCCACTGTTCCCTGGGTCTCCCCTCTAAAAATCCTCTTCAAGTCAGAATGAGAATCAAGGAAGGAGCTCACACATATCACACTTAAGACGTGCCAAGCACTGTTCCAAGCTTTTCCTAAGTATTAGCTTATTTCATCCTCACAATATTGGGGGATTGTTATATTATTATCCCCATTTGACAGATGTGGAGAGTTAAGTAGTTTGTCCAAGGCCAGACAGCTGGTGGAAGCTGTAATTCAAGGCAGGCAGGTGGGCCGGCTTCAGAATTCATGCTGCGATGTTGTTCTATTTCCTTTGGAGAGCCATTTGTGACATCCAAGGGTGACTCCTCCTGCCCCATTTTCCCCAGAGTTCCTGCAGGGGTGAATACCTACAGCACATATCTGGCGTGGTCTTTATTTTAGCAGGGGATGTTTTTATGTCTTTGTGTGGCAACTGTCTGATAACCCTGCAAATTCCTTGAGAGTTAGGAGTTTCCAGAATTCTTCCCATCTCCCACAGTTCCTAGTCAATATTTTGCACATGATGGGTGCTCAGCAAATGTTTGATGGGGAGGCTGATGGAGACCAGTTAATTTTGCTTCCCTCCATGGCTGCAGGATGCATGGTGAAAGCTGAGAAGTCATTGTCCTTGGGCAGGCAAGGATGATGGACAGCTCTCCACAAAGCCCCTCGCATCTGGAGGAGTAATTCAAAGCTGTGTCAGAGCTTCTTCTGGGGTGCAAATTTATTCATTCATCCATTGTCTCACCCATTCACTCACTCACTCACATACTCAACCCTTCATTTACTCATTCCCTTACTTATTTATGCATTCACCCAGCACTTACTGAGTGGCTGGCTGTTCCATGCCAGATGCTCCACTTGATCCTGGGGATAAAACCGTTCATGCAGCCCATCTCTACTCATCTGAATGGACAGAAGAATGATCGAAGAGTGGCTCCCGGTATAGTCAGGACATTAGGACAGCAGCACCACTCACTGCTACAGCCTCCAAGCCCTGCAAACTCAAAGAAGTAGCAGGAAGGACCATCCATGTCTCTGAGTTTGCTCATGATCAGATGCTAAATTCTCAGTATATTCCACGTATGTGGCTTGCAGCCCTTGCTGCAATGTTTTGGTTGAAAAGCAGCAGGTTGAAAATCTTTCTCTCTCTCTCTCTTCCTCTCTATCATTTTTGGACCTCTTAAATCTGTGTTGGCTTTTCTTTCAAGGAGAAGACAGAGTGAGCATCTTCTCAGCTATCTCTGGCTTCTCTCCAAGCGTGGTTCTTTTTGTCTCCACAATGACAAGATCTTTATTGAATTTTGAGAATTATACTTATTTTCTTTAAACTATTTATTAGGTGCCTACTGTGTGTCAGTAAATTTAAATGTGTTATCTTTAAGATAGTTTCTGTTATTGCCTGCTTAAAAGTGGGAAAATACATGAAGCTTGAGAAAATAATTTGAACAATTTAGATAACTATAAGGAAACTCAATAATCAAAATGTTACTATTATTTATCTTGAGTTTCTTCATACATATCTGTACCATTTGAGTTGGTGGTAATCTTTTCATACACACATACGCATTCACACACGTATGTATACATATGAATATCACATAAATGGAATTGCCACAAATGCTTTTTTATTGTGCATACTTTTTAAGTTTCTATTCCTCCCACTTATTTTCTCTCCCCAGGTAAATAGTGTTAGGAAGCAAAGTGTATCTTTTCATACTTTTTGCCCATGCTCATGCAACTGTATGCAAACATGCAAATGTCTATGTTAATAATGGGGGCTGGGCATCATTTGTTCTACAAAAAGGAATTTTGTAGCATCTTTGTCTACATCTCGCTGGTGTTGTAAACCAGAAGCCCCCTCCAAATGAACTGGCATAGATTTAATGCATTCGTTTTAAAGGCTACATAATAATTCATGCATAGGACACTTCCATCATTTACCCATTCACCTGCCATGGGGAATTCTTATTTTGTCATTGGAAAGCTTCAGGCATAGAACTTCTGGCTCTCTCTGTTCTCCCAGTCTAGGGAATCTTTTTACTAGTCTGGTGGTGGGGAAGACTTAATAACTCTCTCTTTTCTGTGCCCCTTAGAAGATTCTTTGTTCTTTCTCCTGCTGTCATAGTCTTCCTCCTGATAGAATGAATATAGATTGGCTTAGCTGAGTGAGGAGAAAACAAAGGCAGTAAGAATGGGAAAAAAAGCTGAGGGGAAAATCATGTTAATATTTCAAAAATATTCTTCCACCACATACTTACAATACTTTTATGGCACTTTACAGTTTACAAAGCCCTTCTCATATTGTATTCAAAATGCAGGTCAGGTGTGGTGGCTCATAATTATAATCCTAGAACTTTGGGAGGCAGAGGTGGGAGGATCACCTGAGGTCAGGAGTTCTGGTCTCAAGACCAGCCTGGACAACATAGCAAGACCCCATCTCTACAAAAAATAAAAAATTAGCCAGGTGGTGTGGTGTGCCTATAGTCCCAGCTACTAGAATGGCTGAGGTGGGAAGATGGCTTGACCCTAGGAAGTCAAGGCTGCAGTAAGCTGTGATTGTGCCACTGCACTCCAGCCTGGGTGACAGAGTGAGATCCCATCTCTTAAAAAAAAAATGCACTCACTTGGCTGTTACTACTTCCCACATCCTGAGCTGTCACTTGGCCAGGAAGCCTTCTCTAGTCTAACAAGCAGGCCTGAGCACCCCTTCTCTGACAACCTACCTCCCATATAAAAAAAAGTGTTTTGGAAAACAAATGAGTAAAATTGATATTCTTTAGGGGATACCTTTTTTGTTGTGAAAATTTTCAAAGTTTTACACAAATAGAGCCAACCGTATTAAAATGCTCACATATCCATCACTGAAAGCTTTACCAGGATAACTCTGAATCCACTCTAACTTATTTTTAAAAATAAAAACTCGTTACAAATTCCAGCTAATTTTAGGTATTTGCAACATACCTCTTATTGGAACTTGCAGCAGTGTTTTGTAAAATTCCTGCTACTGAGGAACGCTTGAGCTATGTTTTGGGAGCTGAGGGAGAGTAGGTAGTTATGGTTGGGTCACCCACATCTATCCAGTCCCTCTTCTTGCAACAGTACTACCTCCTTTTCACCTGAGATTAACCCTTCCCCTACTTTTAACCCAAGTGATTCGAGTGGGGCTTCCTCTCCTGCAGAGGTGGGGCGGGGGTACTTTTTTTTGGAGACAGAGTCTCGCCGTGTCACCCAGACTGGAGTACAGTGGCGTGATCTCAGCTCACTGAAACATCCTCCTCCCAAGTTCAAGCGATTCTCCTGCCTCAGCCTCCCAAGTACCTGGAATTACAGGTGCCCACCACTATGCCCGGCTAATTTTTGTATTTTTAGTAGAGATAGGTTATCACCATGTTGGCCAGGCTGGTCTCAAACTCCTGACCTCAAGTGACCTGTCTGCCTCGGCCTCCAAAAGTGCTGGGTTTACAGGCATGAGCCACCACACCTCGCTGGGGGGAACATTTGATCTAGTCCCAAATCAGGAGAATCACCCTTCCAAAGCTAGTGACACACACTACTGACATTGCTGAAACAGAAGTTGGCTCTCTGTTTTACTGAAGTTGAAGCTTTAGAGGATATAAGCTTAGCATCTCTGGCAACTATTTCATCATCAGGAGGAAAGACCCTGCTAAAAAGTGGAGTCAAGGAAAAGGAACTCAGAACTGAGAGATGGCAAGAAACTGAGTCCCAATCAAATCAAAGGAGTCCTTATACCCAGCAATGCCTACAATTAGATAAGCCAACGGATACCCTTTTTGGCCTGAGTCAGTCTGAGCTGGGTTTTCTATTTCTTGCTGCTCATGAGTCCTGATACTCATAAGTCAGGGTGGCAAAGAAAACATTAACCAGGAATCAGAGAGGGTGAAGAGAAGGCCATCTAAACATGCACTGGGAATGTGGATCCCATGCTAATGGCTGCGGTTTTGCCAGGACTTAGTAGTTTGCAGGTTGGGTCTGGGTTCTACGAATTAGGTGGATGTAAATAGCAAAGCAGAGACCGCCTGACTCCTAGTCTGTTGCTTTTTCTGCCAAACCCTATTACAAAAGACATCTCTGTAGATCCAAGGTGGGAAAGCATTCTTCATGGGGAAGATTCCAACACAGCAGCATTACATATTTCCCTCCAATTTCATCATCACTAAGGCAACTCTTCCATGCAATAGTCTTTCCTTATCTTCTTCTATCTCTACTAATCTGTATTCCCTGGAAAGTCCTGGGAGAGCAACTGACAGAACCCAGCTATGATGGTTAATATTGAGTGTCAACTTGATTGGATTGAAGGATGCGAAGTACTGTTCCTGGATGTGTCTGTGAGGGTGTTGCCAAAGGAGATTAACATTTGAGTCAGTGGACTGGGAGAGGCAGACCCACCCTCAATCTGGATGGGCACCATCTAATCAGCTGTGAGTGTGGCCAGAATAAAAGCAGGCAGAACATGGAGAGAATAGACGGGTTTAGTCTTCTGGCCTCCATCTTTCTCCCGAGCTGGATGTTTCCTGCCCTTGAACATCAGACTCCACGTCCTTCAGCTTTGGGACTCAAGACTGGCTTCCTTGCTCCTCAGCTTGCAGACAACATACTGTAAGACCTCACTTTGTGATTGTGTGAGTAAATACTCCTTAATAAACTCCCCTTTATATATACATCTCTCCTATTAGTTCTGTCCCTCTCGAGAACCCTAATACACCAGCACTACACACACCTCTGCCAAGCCAAGAAAAAAATGATACAGGGATGTATTCTGCTATTTGGGCTCCCTTGTTGTCATCCTGTATGGCAATTAAGGTAGAGTTCCCACGGTAGCTGAATTCCAATTACCCCTCCACAGTGGGGTCCAAGACATTTGTTATCTGACGAGAGAGATGTAACTGACTATATGATGTCTGAGTTCAGCTGCAAACTGCCGGGTGGTCATTTTGGTGTATTATAGCACGGCATGGAGGATGAGGAGCAAACCCTTTAATTCCTTTCAGAAACTGACAGCCAAAGCCAAACTCTAATTTCCCTCCATGAAACAGGTCAGTTGGGTGTATCCCTAGAATGCAGGAATATGCGTCTCAAATGGGACGTGGGGCTGAAGAACTAAGGTCGGTATAGCGACTGACTTGGCATTTCTCACATCCAGCAAAAGTCATGTTGCCCCCCGGCTGTCATCCTCTGCTCTGCACCTCTTCACCTTCCTTCTGTTAGATAAGAGCACAACCTTCCAGGTAAGGGAGTCACTGTCCTTTCTCTGCCAAGCAAGAGGGGCAAGCCAGTGCCGTGACTGAAATGTGAACTGTGCTGTCTGCCCGTCGGTGAAGACTTGACAGAGGGCTGTGGGAAAACAGGAACCGTGGTCATCTTAAGAACCCACTCAGTGACAGGACTGGGCTCTGTCACTCCCGCTCCCAGGAATTTCCAGGGAATCCAGATGCATGCAACCACTCTGGCACTAGTGCCTAATGGCACTGCTTTTTTTGTTTTGTTTTGTTTTGTTTTTTTTGGGGGGGGGGGGCGGAGTCTCTCTCTGTTGCCCAGGCTGGAGTGTAATGGCGCGATCTTGGCTCACTGCAATCTCTGCCTCCTGGGTTCAAGTGATTCTCCTGCCTCAGCCTCCCAAGTAGGTGGGACTACAGGTGGGTGCCACCATGCCCAGCTAATTTTTGTATTTTTAGTAGAGACGGGGTTTCACCATGTTGGCCAGGATGGTCTCGATCTCTTGACCTCATGATCCACCTGCCTCAGCCTCTCAAAGTGCTGGGGTTACAGGTGTGAGCCACCACGCCTGGCTATGGCACTGCTGTATTTCTACAGGTAAACCCTGTAGATCACTTTTCCTGTAGAGTAGTTAGAAAGCAGTATTAATTAGAGTCACCACAGCTTACCACTACTAAGGTATATTTTGCTCTAATATGGGTTTTTCTATATAAAATAAAACAGAAAAGTTAAATATAATCCTCAATGAGTGTTCTTAACCAAGGAGCACATGCAATTGAAGGCATGATTCAAAGAAATATACTCTGTCACTATTTTTTCACTTTCTGCTTGTTTTTGGTTTTTTTTTTGAGACAGGATCTGTCACCCAGGCTGGAGTGCAGTGGTGTGATCGTAGCTCTCTGCAGCCTCAACCCCCCCCCGCACTCAAGTGATCCTCCTGCCTCAGCCTCCCAGGTAACTGGAACTAAAGGCACATGCCACCGTTCCCAGCTAATTTTTTAAAACATTTTTTGTAGAGATGGAGGTCTCACTATGTTGCCCAGGCTGATCTGGAACTCCTGGGCTTAAGTGATCCTCCTGCCTCGGCCTCCCAAAGTGCTGGAATTACAAGTGTGAGTCACTGCAACCAGCCTGTTTTGTAACTGGTCCTTAAATACCATCAGTCCTCTTCTGACTGGTCCTTAAATACTATCAATCCCTCTTATTCCAATGCAGCTCGTACCAGTTGCCTGTTAAAATTCCATCTTAGTGATTAATGCATGTGAATACGCTTTATAAATTCTAATGCATCACATAAATGTAAAATGTAAATATGCAACCGACTCGTCTCTTGGTCCTGTTGAACATAGAGTTTCACACTTCCAGGAATGGCCCCCTTGTGTCTTTTTGCATTTCTCATCAGATGGAAGCTTGGCTCCTTGCGATGCCTTTAAATCACCTTTTACCCAGATACACAACAGTGAGATCATGCTTAACAGTGTGGAACTGCAAAATCCACACTTCTCAGAACTGTAACTACCAAAAAACACATTGAAACCAGCATAATAAGGTTTTTAAATAGACAAAAAGCACTTCTAGTTTTCATCTAGTTCTCAAAGTAGTACCAGACGGGTGTCACGAAAGATAGAAATGGATTGCTCCAGCCTGGGTGACAGAGCGAGACTCCATCTCAAAAAAAAAAAAAAAAAAAAAAAAGAAGAAGAAGAAATGGATCACTCCAGCTAGCTACGTTGTGCAAGGGTCAGAAGGAAGAGAGACCCCCTGGTTATTTACAGGGATGGAGAGTTATCATAATGGTATGTGGGAAGGAAAGCTGGCGTAAGAATATGCACATAAGTGACATTCCTATCTTGGGTTCCAGAACTCTCCATAAAATAAGGCGTGTAGAGTTTTTTAAATAAAGGGTAATGTTGCCCAGAGATGTTCAGCAGAATGCCTGTTCCTCTCTTTATTTATATCACAAGTTTATGTGGAAAGACATTTACCTTTGAAATCATTGACTGCACTCTCTCCTCCATATCACTCTCATTACTCCTCACTCTCTTTCCTTTCCCTGACTCCAGCAGCAACTCGATTTAACAGCATTTATTTGCTTAATAAAGGGGCTGCAGAAAAGCAAAGGAAAAGGCTTTAAATTTCAAATGCCTCATATTGTGAGTTTCCAAACGTGAGCTTTTGAGCTTCAAAAGCCCACGGCTAAAAGGAATTAGGGCATAAATTCTGCAAAATATAGAAAAATTGCTATTGGGTAGAGACAAGTTCCCACCTCCCTGAACTTTTCCCAGACTGAAAGCATTTCTTGTGTCTGGGAGAAGGGAAGGGGGAAAGAGCAAAGGACTATGGAAGGGAAAAAAGTCAGCTGGGCCTGGAATGAAGGAAGTACACACACCTGCAGTGAATCTTAGAGAGGTATGGAGACTTCGCAGTGGCTTGATCACAGCTCACTGCAGCCTCAACCTCCCAGACTCAAGGGATCCTCCTGCCTCAGCATGCCCCAAATGTCTCCTGGAACAAAAGCTCTTGTGACTTAGCCCAGGAACTTCCTGGAAGCCCAGCTAGCTCCCATTAACATTGAACTCCTTCCCTCCTTATTAACGAGTTAAGGATGCCAGGGAATAAAAACACAAGTTGGGATCATTTTTCTTAAAAGACTCATTCCCGAACCTCAGCATGTACCAGAAGGCTCGTTAAAACACAGATTTCTAGGAGACACCCCCAGAGTTTCTAGTTTCATGGGTCTGCGGTGTGGCCCAAGAATCTGCATTTCTAACATGTTCCCAAGTGATACTGATGCTTTTCCTCTAGGGACCCCATGTTGAGACCCACAACTTTAAATAGAAAGTTTTTTTTAAAAAAAAGACAGGGTTCTTCAGAAAGGTGATGTAACTTAATCAAGGTCACACAGCTCAAAAAGGGTGGAGGCAAAAACAAAATCTGAGTCCTCTCAGTGTCCATGCAGTTCTTTCTCCAGTCCATCTTACTGCTGAGGTTAGACCTCAGATGTCTGCTGCCAGATAGGGTGGGCTGCATGTGCCCAGGTGGCAGCAGAAACCCTGATCCAACCAGCAGTTAACCCTGAGGCTGTGGTGACCAGTCCTAAGCACATGGGGAATTATGGATGCTGGGCAGAGGCTGTGCTCCACGGGAGTGCAAACCGCTCTTCCAAGGGATAACGGACCCCTGCTGCTCCGGTTATTTAAGTTATGTGTTATAGCTCTCAAGGGACGGATTTGTCTTGGTTTTACTCACTTCTCTAGCACCAGTTTTGCCCACTTAGTGCTTTTAAGCTTTATATATCATTATCACATTCTCTGTTCTCCGATCACAGACAGTTTAGCTCTTATTGCTTTAATTTCGCTCCTGGAGGTCTTGTCAGGGGACGACAGGAAAAGTGAATGGTCCTTTGTAAGAGAGAGAATGGGGACTGGGACCCCTAGCATTAGAGAAGAGAATGTTAGGAGCAAACTCCTAGCAAAGGTGAGAGGTGCCCTCCTTTTTCTTCATCTTTTCTTTTTTTTTTTTTTTTTTTGAGACGGAGTCTCGCTCTGTCGCCCAGGCTGGAGTGCAGTGACGCAGTCTTGGCTCACTGCAAGCTCCGCCTCCCGGGTTCAAGCCATTCTCCTGCCTCAGCCTCCCAAGTAGCTGGGACTACAGGCGCCCGCCACCACGCCTGGCTAATTTTTTGTATTTTTAGTAGAGATGGAGTTTCACCGTGTTAGCCAGGACGGTCTCGATCTCCTGACCTCATGATCCGTCCGCCTCGGCCTCCCAAAGTGCTGGGATTACAGGCGTGAGCCACTGCGCCTGGCCTCTTCATCTCCTTTTTTGCACAAAGCAGCACAGTGAGGCAGAAGAACAAGGGCTTTGCAACTCTGATCCCAGCTATCGACTTCTGAGCTGACAACAAGAATATTAATAGTACCAACAGCTAATACTTTTTTTGGGCGGATGAGGTCTTACTCTGTTACCCAAGCTGGAGTTATCCAGTGGTGCAATCATAGCTCACTGCAGCCTCTAACTCCGGGATTCAAGCTATCCTCCTACCTCAGCATCCCAAGTAGTTGGCACTACCAGTGGGAGCCACCATGCCCGGCTACTTTATTTTTTGTAGAGACAGGGTCTTGCTATGTTGCCCAGGCTGGTCTCAAATTCCTGGGCTCAAATTATCCTCCCACCTCTGCCTCCTGAGTAGCTGGGACTACAGGTACCTGCCACAATAGGCAGCTAATTTTTTTTATTTTTTAGAGATGGGGTCTGGCTATGTTGCCCAGACTGGTCTCAAACTCCTAGCCTCAAGCAATCCTCCTGCCTTGGCCTCCCAAAGTGCTTGGATTATAGGTGTGAGCCACCACACCTGGCTGCTGCTTTCACCCTCCATTCATGTACACTCTCCACCTGAGCAATTTTTCTATATTTTGTAGAATTTACCCACTCTCCAAGGTTCACTCTCCAAGCACCTCCCATTCGTCATTACACTGAAATTCTCTCAGCAGCTCTAGGAAGTAGATACTGTTGCTTCTCCATTTTGCAGTTGAGAAAACTGAGACTCAGAGCCATAAAGAGACTATCCAGCTAACACGTGGCAGGACTGGGGGGACTACAGCCTGAGACTGTTCGTCTTCAACATTCCAGACTCTTAAGCTCTCTGCTGGGCTACCTCCCTAGGGAACACCCTCATCTTTGGTAAAAATGCCAAATGAAATCCATTTCCATCCCCCCAAAAAAAGTATTAGCTGTTGGTACTATTAATATTCTTGTTGTCAGCTCAGAAGTCGATAGCTGGGATCAGAGTTGCAAAGCCCTTGTTCTTCTGCCTCACTGTGCTGCTTTGTGCAAAAAAGGAGATGAAGAGGCCAGGCGCAGTGGCTCACGCCTGTAATCCCAGCACTTTGGGAGGCCGAGGCGGACGGATCATGAGGTCAGGAGATCGAGACCGTCCTGGCTAACACGGTGAAACCCCATCTCTACTAAAAATATAAAAAATTAGCCAGGCGTGGTGGCAGGCGCCTGTAGTCCCAGCTACTTGGGAGGCTGAGGCAGGAGAATGGCTTGGTCCAGCATCTGCCATCCCCCTGGCTTTCTCCACCAGGTCTATCTTCTGTATCTCAGCACTGATGAAGACCATTTCCTCAAATCTACACACAGAGAATTGTACTCAAAGCTTGGAAAGGCCTCAATGTCACTGGTCCCATGGTCTTCACAAGTGGTCCTCAAAACCAAGAGGGTCCTAGAGATGTCTTCAGAGCCACTTTGGAGAAGAGGGGGAGGCCAAATATGAGTAGGGCTCCAACCTGCTCCCCCTGCTCCCCACTGCGCCCCAAAACACACACAACAACTGCTTCTATGAAAATGACTCACATTTATCAGTTATATGTGCTGAACTTCAACATAAGATTTTACTTGAAGGGTTCAAGAAAATTAAAAGAAAAAAATAGTTGTAAACCTCAGATTGTGTACAGCCCTCCTAATTTACAGGTGGGAAGTAGGTAATTCATGTGTCTCTACAGCTGGGACACTTTGGGGATCTTTGGGTGACTTACAGAAGGCAGAAACTTAATGTCTGGACCCGAGACTTTTAGGACCCCCCGCTGACCCTTGCCATCTCCTTGGAATAAGTGGCAGAAAATGTTCTGGTCCAAATCTGACTCAAACAACTGTCACACTTTTGACCCCAGCTATCAACTTGCAAGCTGACAACAAGAATAGAAATAGCACTAAGAGATAACACTTATTTAGAAACAGGATGTCTCTCTGTTGCCCAGGCTGGAGTACGGTAAATACATAGTGCTTCAAAAGTCAGATCAAGACTGGGTGCAGTGGCCAAGGCTGTAGGATCATTTGAACCTAGGAGTCTGAGACCAGCCTGGGCAACACAGCGAGGCCCTATCTTTACAAAGTAAAAAATAAAATTATCCAGGTGGGGTGGTCCATGCCTGTAGCCTGAGCTACTCAGGAGGCTGAGCCAGGAGGATTGCTTGAGCCCAGGAGTTCAAGGCTGCAGTGAGCCATGATCATGCTACTGCACTCCAACCTGGGAGAGAGAGCAAAGCAAGACCCTGTCTCAGAAGAAGAAGGAGAAGAAGAAGGATTATCTCCCTTCTCACTCCCCCTTCCACATCCCAAACCATTACCACAAATGCTGACACTGACATGACAAGTGAAGGGTGACTGGAGGAGAGTCGTATGAGAGTCAACAGCACTGTTACATTTGATTTTTAATTTCTGACGGAGGCTTTCCATTTTCCAGCTAGGCTATGATGAGCCATCTTAGAGGTCCAGACCACACACCAAAAATTCTAAACATACTTCCTAATTCTACCTTTCCCAATCTGTAGGGTTGTGGGTGGCAGGGGAAGGGGTAGGGAGGAGGGAGGCAGACGGCACCTTCTGTTTCTGTCTGATTGCCCTTTTCCACTCTACGTGGGAATGGCAGAGGTGCCAATCAAACGATACCACCTATTAGCAGAGCAGGTGACATAAGGAAAGCCAATGAGGTTCTTCCACCCTGGTCTTCAAATCTGGAGCACAAATTACATGAGGATGAAAGGTGCTTAGGCCTCTGTCACCCTTGACAGCATTCTGGAAGGAGAGCCACAAATCCCTCCTGCCAAGATCCCTGGAGCAGCTCTGACTCCCGATGTTGCTGAAGGCTGTGTATTCATCAGCTTCCTGGTGTCCTCACCAATGCCCTTTCGCTATTGTTTAAGTCAGAGTTGATTGCTGCAACTTGTCCTGATAAAAGTGAATAAAATTAACCTTTAGCAAACTTGTCTCCAGATAGAACTTGCCCAGCTCCATTAATTGGGTATCAAAGGATGCAGTTATGCACATCTTGATTCATTTAAAGCTATCGGACTTAGGAAAATGTCAGCTATTAACAAAGGAAGCAAATCTTGAGATGTTTCCCATTCCCCTTGGAATTCACCGTTGAGTCTTAATTTCAAGACCTTGCATATTAGCTAGCTATTGTTGCATAATGAACCACCCTGAAATTCAGTGGGTTAAACAGTAAGAATCTGGAGCTAGGCATGGTGGCTCACGCCTGTAATTCCAGCCCTTAGGGAGGCCAAGGTGGGCGGATCACGAAGTCAGGGGTTCAAGTGAAAGCCTGTCTCTACTAAAAATACAAAAATTAGCTGGGCATGGTGGTGGGTGCCTGTAATCTCAGCTACTCAGGAGGCAGGTTGCAGTGAGCCAAGATCGTGCCACTGTACTCCAGCCTGGGTAAAAGAGCGAAACTCCATCTCAAAGGAAAAAAAAAAAAAAAAAAAGTACGAATCTGTTATCTCCCAGGAAACTATGGATTACCTGGGTGGGTTTTCTTATCTCAGCTAGGGTCTGCAGTCCATGGTCCTCGGTCAGTAGATAGTTTTACTCTAGGCTGGACTGTATCTTGCAATTTTTAGCAATTGTATTTTTAGCATAGACAGGGTAGGGCAGTTTGCCTGTTGTACACGTGGTGTCTCATCCTCCAGCAGATTAGCCCAGGCTCACGCACACAGGAGAGCAGGGCTCGGAAGGAGACAACAGAACTGTGCAAAGCCTCTGAGGCCTAGACTTGGTGCTACCAATTCTGCAGATTCTGCTGAACAAAGCAAGACACAGGCTAGCCGTGATTCAAAGAGTGAGGAACAGACTCCATGTCTTGATAGCAGGAGCTGCAAAGTGATATTGCAATGGCCAGGGGGGACATGGAGGAGAATTTGGGCTATTTTTGCCAGCAATCTACCATACCATGTAAAATTTGTCACGTAGATTGATAAAATAGTCACCCGGAGGTGTTTAGTTACTTGTGCAAAGTCACACATTGTTTTAGAGCCGGGCTTCCTCACCTCAGGACTATTGACATGTTAGACGGGATCATTATGTGCTTGGTGGGAGGGGGTGGCCCTGTGCATTGTAGGATGTTTTGCCACATCCCTGGCCTTTACCCAGGAGATGCTAATATAACCCGCCCCCAACTTATGACAACCAAATATGTCTCCAGACATTACCTAATGTCCCCTGGGGTGCAACCTCCTCTACCCCCAGACTGGTCTAGAGCCAGGAATTCTACATTCCCCTCCACCCAATACTGGACTCTTCTTGAGAAAATAATTCTCAACAGAATTCAAACTGAGAAGGGGGTACAATTATCACTACAGTTTAGAGGAGACAAGACCAGCTCCCTCTCTCTCCTCTCTATCCTTCTTTATTTGTTCTGTCTGGTTCTCCATGCATCTGAACCTAAACTGTCTTAAAAGGTTCCCCCCAACCTCTACACTTCACACGTGGTACCCCAAGCTTCCCTCCCTCCCTGTCTCCACCACTCACTCACATTGCCAATCCGAACTAGTTCCCGGCAACAGGAAACATTCACCCTACAAGATATTAGTAGGCCCGTTTTCAATCTCAGTTAACTTTTACAGCAGTTTCTCCCATTTGCCAGGTGCCCTGGCTGAATGTGAAAGCATTTGCTGTTTCCTTCACTGGATATTTTTCATCCCATGTCAATTAGCATGATGAAGGGAATCTAATAATGATGTATGGGCTGTGCTGGTGCGGCCGGCGCCAATGGCCCTGCAAGGAGGGTGGATTGTTAAGTGCAGCTCAGCCTCAGGCCTGACCTGCCCTGGATGCCCCAGGACCTGAGTTCCCCAGGTTTCTTGACGGTGCCCAATGATTCACTTCTAGATGCAATTTGACATCCTCCCATCCCAAAAACAAACAAAAAACAACAACAAAAGACAAGAAGAACTTTTGTATCCAAGGAGGTCAGAGCTAATAGAGGTTGAGAGATCATTCTATCCAACCTCCTATACATAAACCAACTTGACCCCAGAAAGGTCAATAGGCTTGTCCAAAGTCAGCCAGTGAATTAAGACCTAATCCAAATGTAAAATTTGGATTTTCTGACTCCCAGCTCAATAATTTTTTATACTTTGTTTTCTGCTTTCAAAACACCTACTTTTTTTTTTCTTTCTAGCCTCTATTTTCCTAGCCACCATCTCTTTTTTCTTTTTTTTTTTTTTTTTTTTTTTGGTTGAGATGTAATCTCACTCTGTTGCCCAGGCTGGAGTGCAGTGGTGTGATCTCAGCTCACTGCAGCCTCCACCTCCTGGGTTCAAGCAATTCTCCTGCCTCAGCCTCCCGAGTAGCTGGGATTACAGGTATGCCCCACCACGCCTGTCTAATTTTTGTATTTTTAGTAGAGACAGAGTTTCACCATGTTGGCCAGGCTGGTCTCGAACTCCTGGCCTCAAGTGATCCACCCAACTGGGCCTCCCCAAAGTGCTGGGATTACAGGTGTGAGCTACCATGCCAGGTCCCCAAGCTACCTTATTCTTAATTGAGACTTAACAGGTATTGAGGGCTTTACAGAAAGAGAACTCTGGGTTACAGGACTCAGTCTCTTCCTGCAGGGATCTCACGATCTAATTTGGGGACGGGGGAGGAGGAGAAAACAGGTGCAAACATAACCAACACACATGTCAGAACTTGTTCAGTCCAAGAGCCACTACAGGTTCACTCCATGTCACAGTGTGGGCATGACTTTTGCCCTCTGCAGGTGTCACTGAAAACAAAATCAATTCATCTTCAGCCCTAGGCCAGAGGGATGGTACGAACCAGGGCCCAGGATTGGAACATTGAGCATTAATTTCTGCAGCCTGCCCTGGGGACAGGAAATTCTGATAAATTCAGAAGCAGCGACATCTGGTGGTCCTGTGGGAGAGCAAGCGCGCCTCCCCAGACGAAATTTTCCCAGAGCCTCCTCAGATAGTTTCTGGCTAAAAAGTGAGCTGGCTCCATAGAATGACCCTATTCATGTAACATGGAAATACTAGATAGAGTTGCAGAGAAATGTATAATGATATTTCAAGGAAAAGGTTCAGCAACATGTTAAAAGAGGTATCTCTGAGTGATTTATTTCAACTGATAAAGTATTTTGTACTTTGTACCGCTTTGTATCATTTCATTTTTTAAAGCAATGAACATACATCTTTTTAACCAATAAAAACAATAAAAAATTATAGTCATTTTGGAAGGGAAGAAATTAATGGACAGACCCTAAGGGCGTCTCAATCCAGAATAAATTATTAAGCTACTCTTTTGTGCTGGCTAACTTTTGCACAGGAATAAAAGCAGGTCAAAATGAAACTTACAGGGTAGCCTTGAAGAGGATAAACAAGACAGAGATATCACACGAGGACAAGAATAATAGCCAGATCAGTAAATATAAAAACACCTTATTGATGGATACCCCATTTACCTTGATGTGTTTATTCCACATTACATGCCTGTATCAAAATATCTCACTTACCCCATATATATATACACCTACTATGTACTCACAAAAATTAAAAAATAAAAATAAACGCCTTATGAAATGCCAAGTAATTTACAAAGTACTTTAATGATCCTGTAACTTGTAAGACGCTTATACCCATGGCGTGGAGAGATGCCCACAAATCATGTTCTCGTCTCTGTTTGAGCCAGGCTTAAGCTATATCAACTACTGCAATAGTAATAAAACTAAAATTGATTGAATAGTTTCAATGTCAGGCACCGTGCCAAGAGCACTCTGTGCGTTATCCCATTTCATCTTCACAACAACCCCATGGAGTCAGTAATATTATGATCCATTAATAGATGGTGTTACTGAAACTCAGACAGCTGACATCTCACCCATTAACTCATAAGACCCATGAGACTAAACACAATATCATATTTGGCTGTACATCCCCAGTACCCATATGGTGATTCCTGGGTGGATGAATGGATGTATACACGGTGTGTTGGGAAAGGCACAAAACCATGAGGGTAAAAAAATGAAATTTCTGTTGAAATGAGCCTTTACTGAGCACCTACAATGTACCACACAGGCTGGTAGGTGCAGAGTTAAAAGATGTGTAAGAACAAGTCCCATGGTGTTGCATTCATTGAGAAAGAGACCCTAGACAAGGGTCACTTTTATGCCGGGGATCTGAATTCTATTATTATTATTGTCATTATATCATTAGGATCACAATAGAAAACAGAGGAAATGTTCATTTGGCACAATTGGAAGAGTTTGTTACTAATTTCAAAGCTGGAAAGGTGAAGTTTGGTGATGCTCAAACATGAGCGTGCTTCAGAATCACCTAGACCTAGAGATCTGGTCAAAATGCAGACTGCGGAATCAACCCAAATGTCCATCAATGATAGACTGGATCAAGAAATTGTGGTACATATACACCATGGAATACTATGCAGCCATAAAAAGGAATGAGATTATATCCTTTGCAGGGACTTGGATGGAGCTGGAAGCCATTATCCTCAGCAAACTAATGCAGGAACAGAAAACCAAACACTGTATGTTCTCAGCTAGAAGTGGGAGCTGGACAATGAGAACACATGGACACAGGGAGGGGAACAACACACACTGGGGCCTGTCAGGGGTGGGCTAGGGGAAGGGAGAGCATTAGGAAAAATAGCGAATGCATGCTAGGCTTAATACCTAGGTGATGGGTTGACAGGTGCAGCAAACCACCATGGTACATGTATACCAATGTAACAAAAACTGCATATCCTGCACATGTACCCCAGAACTTAAAATAAAAATAAAAATTAAAAACAGATGCAGACTGCTGGGCCCCACCCCTAATTTCAAGCTCAGAAGGGCTGGGAGGTAGCCCCAAGTCTGCAATTTTAATGTGTTTCCAGGTGATGCCAATCTCCCGCAAGGGAACCACTGCAAGGGTGAGAGCAGTCACCCGAGGCCAGCAGCAGTGGAGGAGCTGCCACTGCCTCCAAGCTTGGGGGAACAAGGACAGGGAATAGTTGCCAAGACCTGGAAAGAGGGAGTCGTGTAGGTACAGAAGGCCACTAGAAAGGAGCAGGCTTTTGGTGGAGGAACACAATCCGGCGGAGACCACCTTTAGGGGATGAACACTGCAGCCTCCCACTCCTGCCTCACTCCTCCCTCCTCTCTCCTTTCTCCTCCTAATTGGTCAAACCCAGCCAGAGGTGATGACGTTCCAATGACTCCATCTGCCATGGAAGGAACAAGGTGGAGGTGGGTGAAGAGCACATCCAGGGGATGGATGGAACATAATTGACCCACATGTGTTGAATTTAAAGTATCAGTAGGGGTTGGGCACAGTGACTCACACCTGTAATCCCAGTGCTTTGGAGTGGGGTCCCTCTTTGGCGGGCCGACGCAGGATGATTGCTTGAGGCCAGAAGTTGCAGACCAGCCTGGGCAACATAGTGAGACCTCGTCTCTAATTTACAACGTAGCTGGGTATGTTGCTAAGTGTTCCAAGCACTAATAATAGTATGCCTGCAGTTCCAGCTCCTCGGGAGGCTGAAGCAGGAGGGTCACTTGAGCCCAGGACTTCGAGGCTGCAGTGAGCTATGACCACACCACTGGACTCCAGCCTGAGTGACAGAGTGAGACCTCATCTCAAAAAAATAAATAATCAGGGCCAGGCAAGGTGGCTCACACCCGTAAGCCCAGCACTTTGGGAGGCCAATGTGGGCGTACTACCTGAGGTCAGGAGTTCGGGACTAGCCTGGCCAACATGCCAAAACCCCATCTCTACTAAAAATACTAAAATTAGCCGGGCATGGTGGTGGGCTCCTGTAATCCCAGCTACTTAGGAGGCTGAGGCAGGAGAATTGCTTGAGCCTGTGAGGCGGAGGTTTCATTGAGCCACAATCATGCCACTGCACTCCAGCCTGGGTGACAGAGTGAGACTTCATCTCAACAACAACAAAAAATTAAAATAAATAACTAAATAAATAATCCGTGGGATACTCAAGAGGAGATGCTGAAAAGGAAGCAGCATAAGCTGGAGCTCAGAGAAGAAATCCCAGTGACCAAGAATGCAGCCTGTCAGGTCTGCACTGCTGGGGACCCGGCCAAGATGCCCAAAGATTCAGTGGTGGGTGCAAGGAGAGAAGAGAGATTCCAAGTCTTGCTCACAGTATTTGAGAAGCCTGGCCAAAGAGGCACTTTGTAGAGGGCAGGACAAGCAGGGAGAAGAACTGAGATGATGATGAGGTTCAGGGAAGAAACTGGGAGGGTGGGATAGAAAGATAACTTGATACAGCTCAACCACCAGCCCCAACCAAAAAAAAGGTCAAGAAGCAGCAGGAAACTGCTAAGTCAATATCAAATGTGGCTCAACACAGGCAGCTGCCCCAGGGAAGTTCCATCCACATGCTCAGACAGCCTGACTCACCCACTCAACAGACAACTCCCTCTGGAATTGAGACACCCTCTTCTTGTGCCTTTGATTTCACGATTCCCCCTCCCACTCCCGTTCAGTTCCACAAAGCTTCATCCAGAATCTGTCTGCCAACTGCCAATTGTGAAGTGCAGTACGGCATGACGTTTTTAAATTTGGGAGAATTTGGAGAACTTTATGAGAATGCCTCAGAAAATTGGGATCACCAAGGAGGTCCTCCCCCTCTTCAATATTGTTTTTCATAAGCCTTCTGGTGCCTCAAATTTCACCATTAAAGATTCATTCCTTTGGCTTAAGGCTTTAATCCTCTATTAAATGTAAATCTCACTGACAAGCCGATAGTGTTTGGGGAATGAGGTCATACATTAAGCCTTATCTATCACTGACACCTCAATGAGAGCAAGTTGACAGTCTTTTCAAGAGCCAGGTTTAATAGGGGAGAAGGGAGATAAATGTAAAGGTATGGAGAAACTTAGCAGCAAAGGGAGAGATACTCAAGGGGATAGGATCAGAAACCAATGTTTATTGAGGCATTATGCTACTAAGAAAAAGAAGAATAGCTACCTTTTACTGACTGCTTAAATGTGTCAGGTTCCATGCTGTGTTTTTTACATATGGGGGCATCATTTACTGAGATACCTGTTTGTGTTTGTTCTTGTTGCTGAAGGATGCTCAAAAGATCAAGAGGGATTTTCCCTGCCTCATCTGAAAAACAAGTAAACAACCCTTGTGCTCTGAGACTGTTCTTCTTTATATCCCATTGGTTAGGGTGCTCTTAGGCAATAAAATATCCAAAGAAAAGTGGCTTAAACAGTGGGGAAAATGTCTCATCTCATCTCCCATCAGAAGGAGTCTGGAGGGAGGAGGCTCCTGGGTAAGTGATGTCATTAAGGACGTGGGCTCTCTTGGGTTTGGTCATGCTCAGCAGGTAACCTTGGTCCTTGAGATTCTTCCCTTTGATGCTCAATTGTCATGACATTGGACCAAACAAAAGGGGTTTTCCCCACTCTGTGTCTTGTCTTATAAACAAAGACTCAGTCTCCTACCAACTCACCATTCTGATATCTTTTAGGATATGACCATCATGTGCTTGGTCCAAGATGGCAGCAGCTGCATAGGAGACAGCAAGATGGAAGAAGAAAAGAACATCAAAGGGCAGGTATGTCCCTTAAAGAAGGCTCCCAGAAGCTGCCACCCACACTTTCTACCTAAATCTCTTTGTCCAGAACTCAACCACATGGCTATCCCTAGCTATGAGGCAGGCTGCAAAATGTCAGCCTTATTCTAGGCATTTCCTGTGTAGCTAAACATTCTGTTGGTGTGAGTGAAGAAGAAACTGGCTACTGAGGACAACTAGAGTCAATATTAACTCAGTAGAAACTATGAGACTTCCAGGACATAAGACTCATCCCAGCTTTGTTTAGGAAACATAAGCTCATTCATGAGGAAGGAAAATAGATCGGGGAGACAGTTGGGGTTTGGGGTGCCTGGAGGCAGGTAAAGCCTTGGCCTCCCATAACATTGAAGAGTGTGGAGGTTTGGGGTTTTCACAGGTGATTAGAACTGGGCTGTCTTTGAACACAGATCTCAGGGATACCAGGGTGGTTGGATACAGTGCCAAGACTTGGACAGCACTGGCAAAATTCCATGTGGTCAAACTTCTGGCTAGAAGAAAATACAATGGTCTTGAGGAACAGCCCTGGGTCTGTCGAGAGAACAAAGGCTGAGAAAGCAAGCAGGACAAACTCAGGAGCATCATGGAGCAGAAAGAGCAGCAGGAACTCTGGTGACTCCAAGGACTGAGGTCCAGGCCCCTCCCTCATGTTTTTTCCTTTTTTTTTTTTTTTTTTTTTTTTTTTGAGACACCGTCTTGCTCTGTCACCCAGACTGCAGTCTAGTGGCACAATCTCAGCTCACTGCAGCCTCCACCTCCGGGGTTCAAGCAATTCTCATGCCTCAGCCTCCCGAGCAGTTGCAACTACAGGCTCGCACCACCACACCCGGCTAATTTTTGTATTTTTAGTAGAGATGGGGTTTCACCATGTTAGCCAGGCTGGTCTTGAACTCCTGACCTCAAGCGATCCGCTCACCTTGGCTTCCCAAAGTACTGGGATTATAGGCATGAGCCACTGCACCTGGCCCCCTCCCTAATTTTTAAATCCCAAATAAGGGATTTAAAAGACCATTTATATCTTTGGGGATTGGTAGGGAATGCTCCTAAAGAAATCTGTGATTTATTTTCTCAACACTGTAGTTCTTGAGAGCCTACAGCCAGATTTACTCTGATTAAAACAAGTAAAGTGGATGAGCATGGTGGCTCACACCTGTAATCCCAGCACTTTGGGAAGCTGAAGTGGGAGGATCACTTGAGATCAGGAGTTTGAGACTAGCCTGATCAACAAAGCAAGACCTGGTCTCTACTAAAAATAAAAAATTAGCTGGGCATGGTGGTGCGAACCTATAGTCCTAGCTACTTGGGAGGCTAAAGTGAGAGGACTGCTCGAGCCCAAGAGTTTGGGGTTGTAGTGAGCTAGGATCACACCACTGCACTCCAGCCTGGGTGTCCCTAAAATGTATGTATGTAAAAATACGTAAATAAATAAATCAATAAAATGAGTGAAGTATTTTGGGCCTTTCTTGCATCAGGACGCTGTGAAGAAATTCACAGCCACTCATTTCCATTGTGATTGCAGTCAGGGCAGTCCTGTGAGGCTGCTGTTATCTTCCGCACATTACAGATGAGGAAGCTGAGATTCCAAGGAGTTAAATTACTTGTACCAGGCTTGGCTGGCCAGAGAGAGTCATATCTCTACTCCAAAGCCAATCCCATCACTCTGGTACACATTGAAAGAAAAGGAAGAGTAAACTCGCACAGAGGAAACTTACCAACTCCACAATACTGCCCACAGCCAGCCAGATCCTGTCTAGAAGGAGGCATGCATGGAGTGGAGACACCATCTTAGACATACTTGCATGTTCTCATTCACAAGTGGGAGCTGAACGCTGGATACTCGTGGACATAAAGGTGGAAATAATAGACACTGGGGGACTACTAGAGGGGAAGGGGAGGAGGGTAAGGGTTGAAAAACTAACCACTGGGTATGATGCTGAGTACCTGGGTGACTGGATCATGTGTATCGCACCCAGCATCAGGCAATATATCCATGTAGCAAACCTGCGTGTGTGCCACCTAAATCTAAAATAAAAGTTGAAATTATAAAAGCAAAAAAGATCAGCAAGTCAGGCCCCAACCAGTCCTGGACCCATCAAGGTGTAGTATTATTAGCGCCAAGAGCTGTTGTATAGAGCTCACCTCTCTCTATATAGTCCTTCTAAAGGTCCTTTCTCCATAGAGAAAGGTGCCCCATAGGCAGGAACATAAACCTGTTGAACCTCACTCAACACTTGGCAAGAGGGAAACACTCTGGGAAAGACAGCTTGGGAACAACCATTCCCTTTTCCAACCTAAGGTTATCAAACTGGCTATTTGGGCATATTCCAAAGGTGTGATCATGAAGGGATCATTGAAATGTGCCTAGATGGGGATACATTCACTTTAGATTCTGTAGCAGAAAGGGTTCCCTTGTTCTGAACAATCTAACACCTTGGAAATGACAGTAATGAGACTTAAGCTGCCAGACTGCTTATGTAACCTGTGTATTCACATAGCAAAAACAGCAATATTATGTAAATCAGTCAAGTGGCACCACAGAAGGCATATGACACATCCATGTCATTTTCCCAAATCAATGGATTTTTACACTGTTGCATGGAAGTACAGACAGTCCATCTTCCCAGTCTCTGAACCCAAGCGCCAGATTCCACCCTACCCTAAGGTGAGGCAGGAGATGCTCCACACTTTTTAAACTTTCCACACCTTTCTCTCTGAGGAGTCTCCAAATATGCAATCTGAGCCTCTCCCAGTATTCCTGGTGCCTCTCACGCCCAGAAGCCAACAGCCAGATTTTCATTGTTTTAGAATTTTCAGACTCCAGGTCCTTGGAAGAGGTGAGAAACATTGACCAAAATGACAAGTGTGAATAATGTCATGTGTTGGCCTAAAGCAAAATGTACAGTCCATCTCTGACAAGTGTTAAGAATCCCTGGATGAGGATTTGTGTGCTAACCTCGCTCTTGGCTTCATTTTGTCTTTCCAGTTTTCAAGCACAGCCAGCTTCGCTTTCCCCATTTACTTCTATTTATTATGGCATGATCAGTTTTTGTATAAGCCAACTTCAGTTCTTTCTAGAATACAGTGGCATGCAAATAAACTCTATAGTTGCTTTCTATTGGCAGTGCCATTGTATACTCAGATACCTAAACTAGAAAGATAGAAATCATCCATCTCTACTCCCTTTCATCACCCCAATTCTATCACCCAATATTATTATTCTCATACCTAGATATTTATCAAACCCATCCCTAATTCTCCATCCCTGCTGCTACTGAATGAAAAAGCATTTTTTTTTTTTTTTGAGATGGAGTCTCATACTGTCGCCTGGGCTGGAGTGCAGTGGTGTGATCTTAGCTCACTACAACCTCCTTTCTCCTGGGTTCAAGTGATTTCTCCAGCCTCAGCCTCCCAAGTAACTGGGATTACAGGTGCCCACCACCATGCCCAGCTAATTATTATTTTTTTTTTTTGTATTTTTAGTAGAGATGGACTTTCACTATGTTGGCCAGGCTGGTCTCAAACTCCTGACTTCGTGATCCGCCTACCTCGACCTCCCCAAGTGCTAGGATTGCAAGCGTGAGCCACCATGCCCAGCCGAAAAAGCATTTTAATAGTTCTCCATCTCCTGTCTTGCCCTATTTCAATCCATCTTCACTTTTGATGTTGGTGTGATCCACCCAAAATTCAGATCCATCACGTCCTTCTCTGCTTTGAATTCCCCTGTGGCCCCTTCTCCCCTACAGCAATGTTTTTCAGTCTTCTAGTAAGCTGTGATGGGCAGCACAAGTAATACGTGACCAAAAAAACACAAAATACCAATGTTCGTGAGTGGTTCTCCTTTGTATGTATAAATTTGAAGAGGCTGGAGTGGAATGGGACAGGCATTGTTTGTCTAAGTGATCTCCCCTTCCAAGGTGCATTAGGGCTGCCAAAACAAAATATCACAGACTATGTGACTTGAATAACAGAAATTAATTTTCTTGCAGTTGAAGAACCTGGACATCTGAGATCAACGTGTCAGTAGGGTTGCTTTCTTCTGAGGCCTCTTTCCTTGGTTTGGAGATGACCAACTTCTGGTATTGTCATGTCATCCTCTCTCTGTATGTGTCTGTGTCCAAATATCCTCTTCTTATAAGGACACCAGTCATGTTGGATTAGGGCCCACCCCAGTGACTTCATTTTAACTTAACTATCTCTGTAAAAACCCTATCTCCAAATATCATCACATTCTGAAATTCTGGTGAGTAGGACTTCAACACATAAAATTTTGGGGGGCATAGGGACACAATTCATTCCATAACACAGAGAGTATCTTATGATTAACAATGTAAATCCTGCAAGGCATGCTGGCATAGCCTGTAGTCCAAGTTACTTGGGAGGCTAAGGTGGGAGGATCACTTAAGCCCTGGAATTCAAGTCCAGCTGGGGCAACAATAGCGATAGTGAGACCCTGGCTGTTAAAAAAAAAAAAAAAAAGAAAAAGAAAATGCAATTTTTGCCCACCCACTCATAGTCCCTCAGAAATAATAATGATTCCTGTTGGCTGGAGACAAGCTCCGATCATCTTATGTAATAGAAGAATGTAGGCTGGGCACAGTGGCTCGCACCCATAGTCCCAGTACTTTGGGAAGCCAAGGTTAGGAGGATCACTTGAGCCCAGGAGTTCAAGACCAGCCTGGGCAACATAATAGGACCCTATCTCTACAAAAAATTTAAAATTAGCTGAGTGTGGTGCTGCACTCCTATAGTCTCAGATACTCAAGAGGTTAAGGAGGGGAGATTGCTTGAGTCCAGAAATTCGAGGCTGCAGTGAGCCATGATTGTGCCACTGCACTTCAGCCTGGGTGATAGAGTGAGACCCTATTCCAAAGTGAATAAGTTAATAAAATAAAAATAAATAAAAGGATACAGAGTAGAGGAAGAGATAGGAGAGCTTCACAGGGCTGTGCGGAGGGAGGAATGCCCTGGAGAAATATAAGAATAGTGAGAGGATGGGAAATAAAAGAGGAGCTTCATGAGGTTGCTGTGAACTTAGGTTTTTGTCTCCTTCATCGTCTTTGAGAAACATAAACAAAGTAATTTTGCTTCCCATTTGGGTGTTATGTTTTAAAAAACTCAGCAAGGCAAGTAGAGAGTATATAATCAAAATAACTCTTGAATCCCTTCCAGTGCCCATTAAATACAATACAGACACTCCTTGGTATTCATGGGGAATTGGTTTCAGGACTCCCCATAGATACCAGAACTGGTGGATGCTCAAGTTCCCGATATAAAACAGTGTCGTATTTGCATACAATCTACACACATCCGCCCATATACTTTAAGTCATGTCTGATTACTTATAATACCTAATAGAATGTCACTGCTATGAAATAGTTGTTATGTTGCATTGCTTAGGAAATGACAAGAAACAAAGTCTGTACATGTTCAGTACACAATTTTTTTCCATGTAGTTTTGATCCACAGTTGGTTGAATCCATGGATGTGGAACCCACAGATACAGAGAGTCAACTGCATATGCTGGGTTTTTCATATGGCCAGCCAGGCCAGTCTGTCTCCCAGCAAAAATTGATCACTCACTGGTTCTTTGGTGAACCGTTTATCTTGTGTTTAGCACCCAGGTTGTATGAAAAACACATATTTCTAAACACTAGACTCCCATTTGGCTCCAAGAGATACTCAGGTTATGAAAGCCACATGGGAGACCAAGGCTGATGATGGGGCATGAACGTCAGTCCTCCTGTCTCATGCTCTCTTATACCATGAGTAGAGGACAGAATTGGCTGGGCCAGTTACACTGTCCCCACTTTCTCCCTTGCATGTCCCATCTCCTGCTTTTTCCATTCTTTAATCAGCATAAAGAATTGAATTAGGGCCGGGTACAGTGGCTCATGCCTGTAATCCCAGCACTTTGGGAGGCCGAGGCAGGTGGATCACCTGAGGTTAGGAGTTTGAGACCAGCCTGGCTAACATGGCAAAACCCTGTCTCTACTAAAAATACAAAAATTAGTCAGGCATGGTGGCGCACACCTGTAGTCCCAGCTACTTGGGAGGCAGAGGAAGGAAAATCGCTTGAGCCTGGGAGGTGGAGGTTGCAGTGAGCTGAGATTGTGCCACTGCACTGCAGCCTGGGTGACAGAGGGAGATTCCATCTCAAAAAAAAAAAAGAAAAGAAAAGAAATTGAATTAGGTTAAACCAAAATGTATAAATGATTCAACTCTACAGTAAAAAGTTTGATACTTTTTACAGTAAAAAGTAAGATACTTAAACATTATATCTGTTGGTAGATTGCATTTCTTTTACCTCAACTCCTCTCCAAGCTCCAATGCTGATGGATCCAGGCTTTTTAAGGACCGTAGAAACCTCATCTCTTTCACACTCACTGGATAGAAAAAACGGGTTGCTGATACAGCCAATGAGCTGGTAATCATGCAGAAGCCTAGGCACACCCAAGAGAAGTTATTACAGGGTGAAATGCTATCTGTGGGTGTCTGGCCATGGGAAAAACCAGTTAATCTACGGGATAAATTACAAGTCTTTTAGAGAACAAACAGGTTTCACCAGGTTCTGTCTACTTCTTCAACCACTAACGCATGACATAATTTCTGCTCCAGAAACACCACTTATCATGGCACACATACGTACCTTTTTATTTCACATCTCTATTTATTTGATCACATGGTCTGGCCACCTTATCTAATACCAATTCATACTAATGTTTTTACCGAGGTTTATCTCCTCCAGGAACCCTTCCTCTATGAGTTAGATTGGAAAGATTTCTTTTATCATGGTACTTACTACATTGTATTATAAATATCTGCTTATAGGTGGGACCTGCTTTGATGTGGGAGTGACTTTGGACCAGGGGCTGCTTTTTTTTTTTTCTTTTTGAGACAGAGTCTCGTTCTGTCACCTAGGCTGGAGTGCAGTGGTGCAATCTCAGCTCACTGCTACCTCCACCTCCCGGGTTCAAGCAATTCTCTTGTCTCAGTCTCCTGAGTAGCTAGGATTACAAGTGCACGCCACCATGCCCAGCTAATTTTTGTATTTTTAGTAGAGACGGGGTTTCACCGTGTTGGTCAGGCTGGTCTCAAACTCCCAACCTCGTGATCCGCCCACCTTGGCCTCCCAAAGTGCTGGGATTATAGGTGTGAGCCACCGCACCTGGCCAGGGCTGCATTTTATTAATTCATTTTAGTATCCCTAACACAGAATCCAGTGTGTGGAAAATGCTGGAATCTAGCCAATTGCCCAAACTTCCTTCCTCTGGGATTTTAACCGGTTGGTCCCAGACATAAAGATCACATGAAAATCTAAGTAAAGTGTCATCTTTATCCCTAGTTGGGCAGGGGCCAGTAACAATGCAAAGTTTCTGATTAACTGCATTGACAAGTGTGGCTTAGGCTTAGAGTCAAGCCTGGGCTTCCCACCTCCTCTCCATCAAAACCTTAACAGTCAGGCTGAAAGAGGTGCTGAGAGAAAGAAGTTTTGTTACCAGCATTATCAGCAGAAAGAGCTGATGCTGATAAACGATGAAACCAGCCAATGTTTGACTTTTTCTAGAAAGACCATGAGTTGTTTTTTCTTATGATAAAACCCATAAGGATTACAAAATGTACTGCAGAGAAATAGGCTTCAGCAAAAATGAAGTGCAGTCATTTCCTGAGACACTTGGACAAAATTGCAGGGTGGAGTCAAAGTAAAGCTTTGATGGTCCATATTATCCACCAAATGTATTTCTAGCAAATACCAACAAATTCTGTGGCTACTGGAGGTCACTGTGTTAGCTGTCCCGCTTCACTCCACCTAAAGATACAACTAAGAAAACCATAAAGGGATAGAGTGATAGAATGAGGATCCCACCATCTGCCTAAGGGCTTACATGTGACTTCGGAAACTGGCATAAAGAGGAAGGCGAGGGCCAGACGTGGTGACTCATGCCTGTAATCCCAGCACTTTGGGAGGCCGAGATGGGAGGATCATTTGAGGTCAAGAGTTCAAGACCAGCCTGGCTAACATGGCAAAACCCTGTCTCCACCCAAAACACAAAAATTAGCCAGGTATGGTGGTGCACACCTGTAATCCAAGGTACTCAAGAGGCTGAGACAGGAGAATCAGTTCACTGATTCTCCAGGAAACGGAGGTTGCAGTTAGCTGAGATCGTGCCACTGCATTCCAGCCCGAGCGACCAAGTGAGACTCCATCTCAAAAAAAAAAAAAAAAAAAAGAGGAAGGCAAGGTGATGTCATGGAGTGGATTCACTAGAAAAATATAAAAACATCTATTAAAAATGTTTTAAGTTACACTAAAAGCAATGGCAACAAAAGCCAAAATTGACAAATGGGATCTAATTAAACTAAAGAGCTTCTGCACAGCAAAAGAAACTACCATCAGAGTGAACAGGCAACATACAAAAATGGGAGAAAATTTTTGCAATCTATCCATCTGACAAAGGTCTAATATCCAGAATCTACAGAGAACTCAAACAAATTTGCAAGAAAAAAATCAACCCCATCAAAAAGTGGGCAAAGGA
Organism: Homo sapiens; assembly: GCF_000001405.40. Lineage (NCBI taxonomy): Eukaryota > Metazoa > Chordata > Mammalia > Primates > Hominidae > Homo > Homo sapiens. The sequence goes on along the minus strand of NC_000016.10, from coordinate 16,848,425 downwards.
TATGAACAGACACTTTTCAAAAGAAGACATTTATGCAGCCAACAGACACATGAAAAAATGCTCATCATCACTGGCCATCAGAGAAATGCAAATTAAAACCACAATGAGATACCATCTCACACCAGTTAGAATGGCCATCATTAAAAAGTCAGGAAACAACAGATGCTGGAGAGGATGTGGAGAAATAGGAATACTTTTACACTGTTGGGAGTGTAAACTAGTTCAACCATTGTGGAAGACAGTGTGGTGATTCCTCAAGGATCTAGAACTAGAAATACCACTTGACCCAGCCATCCCATTACTGGGTATATACCTAAAGGATTATAAATCATGCTACTATAAACACACATGCACACGTATGTTTATTGCGGCACTATTCACAATAGCAAAGACTTGGAACCAACCCAAATGTCCATCAATAATAGACTGTATTAAGAAAATGTGGCATATAAACACCATGGAATACTATGCAGCCATAAAAAAGGATGAGTTCATGTCCTTTGTAGGGACATGGATGAAGCTGGAAACCATCATTCTGAGCAAACTATCACAAGGACAGAAAACCAAACACTGCATGTTCTCACTCATAGGTGGGAATTGAACAATGAGAACACTTGAACACAGGGCGGGGAACACCACACACTGGGGCCTGTCATGGGGTGGGGGGATGGGGGAGGGATAGCATTAGGAGAAATACCTAATGTAAATGACGAATTAATGGGTGCAGCAAACCAACATGGCACATGTATTACCTATGTAACAAACCTGCACATTGTGCACATATACCCTAGAACTTAAAGTATAATAATTAAAAATAAATAAATAAAAATGTTTTAAGTTATGCCCTTTCACAGTCTATAAGGATACTTTTCTGAGAGAAAGAAATACGAAAGACTCTTCTATATAAGAAAAGATGCTAGCTTACTCACAAAGGAGAAATGCCACTTAAAACCATAATGAGGCCATTTCTGCCTTATCAGAGTGCCAAGAATTGTAAAGTTTGATCATACCCTGTGTAGGAGGACAAAGCTCTTTTATACATTATTGATTGAGGAACAAATTGGTATGATCTCTGTGATGAGAAATTTGTCGATAGCTATCAGAATTATAAAAGCACATAACTTTTGACCCAGCAAATTCCCTTCTAGAAATTTATTCTACAGTATAACTGCATAGGAGCAAAATGACTGTATTGCTCAAGGTTCTCCAGAGGAAGAGAATCAATACAGTATATATAGGCAAAGATTTATTATGGGAATTAGCTTACATGATTGTGGTGGCCCAGAGGTCCCATGATCTGCCATCTGCAAGCTGAAGAACCCAGGAAGCCAGTGATGTCATTCAGTCCAAGTCCAAAGACCAAGAACTGGGGAGGCCACTGGTGTAAGTCCCAGAGCCTGTAGCCCTGAGAACCAGGAGCTCCAGTCTCCAAGGGTGGGAGATGAATGTAGCAGCTCAACAAGACAGAGAACTCACCCTTTTTCCGCCTTTTTCTTCTATCTGGGCCTTCAGCGGATTACGCCATGCCCACCCACATTGCTGAGGGCCATCTTCTTTACTCAGTCTGCTGATGCAAACACTAATCTCTTTTGGAAATGTTTTAGCAGATATACTGCAAAACAATGTTTGACCAGCTATCTAGGCATCCCTTAGCCCAGTTAACAAATAAAATTAACCATCACAATGACGTATGCACAGTGCTATTCATTGCAGCATTGCTAATATTGAAGCATTGCTAATATAAAAGCAAAAGAAATAAAGTAACTTAAATTTACATCAAAATGGTCTACACTTAAATAATCCCTATAGCGGATTTTAAGTTATCCGTGCAGTGGACTATTATGTAGCAGTGGAAAAGAATTAAGCTTGAAGATGGCCGAATAGGAACAGCTCCGGTCTACAGCTCCCAGCGTGAGCGACGCAGAAGACGGGTGATTTCTGCATTTCCATCTGAGGTACCGGGTTCATCTCACTAGGGAGTGCCAGACAGTGGGCGCAGGCCAGTGTGTGTGCGCACCGTGCGCGAGCCGAAGCAGGGCGAGGCATTGCCTCACCTGGGAAGCGCAAGGGGTCAGGGAGTTCCCTTTCCGAGTCAAAGAAAGGGGTGATGGATGCACCTGGAAAATCGGGTCACTCCCACCCGAATATTGCGCTTTTCAGACCGGCTTAAGAAACGGCGCACCACGAGACTATATCCCACACCTGGCTCAGAGGGTCCTACGCCCACGGAATCTCGCTGATTGCTAGCACAGCAGTCTGAGATCAAACTGCAAGGCGGCAACGAGGCTGGGGGAGGGGCGCCCGCCATTGCCCAGGCTTGCTTAGGTAAACAAAGCAGCCGGGAAGCTCGAACTGGGTGGAGCCCACCACAGCTCAAGGAGGCCTGCCTGCCTCTGTAGGCTCCACCTCTGGGGGCAGGGCACAGACAAACAAAAAGGCAGCAGTAACCTCTGCAGACTTAAGTGTCCCTGTCTGACAGCTTTGAAGAGAGCAGTGGTTCTCCCAGCACGCAGCTGGAGATCTGAGAACGGGCAGACTGCCTCCTCAAGTGGGTCCCTGACCCCTGACCCCCGAGCAGCCTAACTGGGAGGCACCCCCCAGCAGGGGCACACTGACACCTCACATGGCAGGGTATTCCAACAGACCTGCAGCTGAGGGTCCTGTCTGTTAGAAGGAAAACTAACAACCAGAAAGGACATCTACACCGAAAACCCATCTGTACATCACCATCATCAAAGACCAAAAGTAGATAAAACCACAAAGATGGGGAAAAAACAGAACAGAAAAACTGGAAACTCTAAAACGCAGAGCGCCTCTCCTCCTCCAAAGGAACGCAGTTCCTCACCAGCAACAGAACAAAGCTGGATGGAGAATGATTTTGACGAGCTGAGAGAAGAAGGCTTCAGACGATCAAATTACTCTGAGCTACGGGAGGACATTCAAACCAAAGGCAAAGAAGTTGAAAACTTTGAAAAAAATCTAGAAGAATGTATAACTAGAATAACCAATACAGAGAAGTGCTTAAAGGAGCTGATGGAGCTGAAAACCAAGGCTCGAGAACTACGTGAAGAATGCAGAAGCCTCAGGAGCCGATGCGATCAACTGGAAGAAAGGGTATCAGCAATGGAAGATGAAATGAATGAAATGAAGCGAGAAGGGAAGTTTAGAGAAAAAAGAATAAAAAGAAATGAGCAAAGCCTCCAAGAAATATGGGACTATGTGAAAAGACCAAATCTACGTCTGATTGGTGTACCTGAAAGTGATGTGGAGAATGGAACCAAGTTGGAAAACACTCTGCAGGATATTATCCAGGAGAACTTCCCCAATCTAGCAAGGCAGGCCGACATTCAGATTCAGGAAATACAGAGAACGCCACAAAGATACTCCTCGAGAAGAGCAACTCCAAGACACATAATTGTCAGATTCACCAAAGTTGAAATGAAGGAAAAAATGTTAAGGGCAGCCAGAGAGAAAGGTCGGGTTACCCTCAAAGGGAAGCCTATCAGACTAACAGCAGATCTCTCGGCAGAAACCCTACAAGCCAGAAGAGAGTGGGGGCCAATATTCAACATTCTTAAAGAAAAGAATTTTCAACCCAGAATTTCATATCCAGCCAAACTAAGCTTCATAAGTGAAGGAGAAAGAAAATACTTTACAGACAAGCAAATGCTGAGAGATTTTGTCACCACCAGGCCTACCCTAAAAGAGCTCCTGAAGGAAGCACTAAACATGGAAAGGAACAACCGGTACCAGCCGCTGCAAAATCATGCCAAAATGTAAAGACCATCGAGACTAGGAAGAAACTGCATCAACTAATGAGCAAAATCACCAGCTAACATCATAATGACAGGATCAAATTCACACATAACAATATTAACTTTAAATATAAATGGACTAAATTCTGCAATTAAAAGACACAGACTGGCAAGTTGGATAAAGAGTCAAGACCCATCAGTGTGCTGTATTCAGGAAACCCATCTCACGTGCAGAGACACACATAGGCTCAAAATAAAAGGATGGAGGAAGATCTACCAAGCAAATGGAAAACAAAAAAAGGCAGGGGTTGCAATCCTAGTCTCTGATAAAACAGACTTTAAACCAACAAAGATCAAAAGAGACAAAGAAGGCCATTACATAATGGTAAAGGGATCAATTCAACAAGAGGAGCTAACTATCCTAAATATTTATGCACCCAATACAGGAGCACCCAGATTCATAAAGCAAGTCCTGAGTGACCTACAAAGAGACTTAGACTCCCACACATTAATAATGGGAGACTTTAACACCCCACTGTCAATATTAGACAGATCAACGAGACAGAAAGTCAACAAGGATACCCAGGAATTGAACTCAGCTCTGCACCAAGCAGACCTAATAGACATCTACAGAACTCTCCACCCCAAATCAACAGAATATACATTTTTTTCAGCACCACACCACACCTATTCCAAAATTGACCACATAGTTGGAAGTAAAGCTCTCCTCAGCAAATGTAAAAGAACAGAAATTATAACAAACTATCTCTCAGACCACAGTGCAATCAAACTAGAACTCAGGATTAAGAATCTCACTCAAAGCCGCTCAACTACATGGAAACTGAACAACCTGCTCCTGAATGACTACTGGGTACATAACGAAATGAAGGCAGAAATAAAGATGTTCTTTGAAACCAACGAGAACAAAGACACCACATACCAGAATCTCTGGGACGCATTCAAAGCAGTGTGTAGAGGGAAATTTATAGCACTAAATGCCTACAAGAGAAAGCAGGAAAGATCCAAAATTGACACCCTAACATCACAATTAAAAGAACTAGAAAAGCAAGAGCAAACACATTCAAAAGCTAGCAGAAGGCAAGAAATAACTAAAATCAGAGCAGAACTGAAGGAAATAGAGACACAAAAAACCCTTCAAAAAATCAATGAATCCAGGAGCTGGTTTTTTGAAAGGATCAACAAAATTGATAGACCGCTAGCAAGACTAATAAAGAAAAAAAGAGAGAAGAATCAAATAGACACAATAAAAAATGATAAAGGGGATATCACCACCGATCCCACAGAAATACAAACTACCATCAGAGAATACTACAAACACCTCTACGCAAATAAACTAGAAAATCTAGAAGAAATGGATACATTCCTCGACACATACACTCTCCCAAGACTAAACCAGGAAGAAGTTGAATCTCTGAATAGACCAATAACAGGCTCTGAAATTGTGGCAATAATCAATAGTTTACCAACCAAAAAGAGTCCAGGACCAGATGGATTCACAGCCGAATTCTACCAGAGGTACAAGGAGGAACTGGTACCATTCCTTCTGAAACTATTCCAATCAATAGAAAAAGAGGGAATCCTCCCTAACTCATTTTATGAGGCCAGCATCATTCTGATACCAAAGCCGGGCAGAGACACAACCAAAAAAGAGAATTTTAGACCAATATCCTTGATGAACATTGATGCAAAAATCCTCAATAAAATACTGGCAAACCGAATCCAGCAGCACATCAAAAAGCTTATCCACCATGATCAAGTGGGCTTCATCCCTGGGATGCAAGGCTGGTTCAATATACGCAAATCAATAAATGTAATCCAGCATATAAACAGAGCCAAAGACAAAAACCACATGATTATCTCAATAGATGCAGAAAAAGCCTTTGACAAAATTCAACAACCCTTCATGCTAAAAACTCTCAATAAATTAGGTATTGATGGGACGTATTTCAAAATAATAAGAGCTATCTATGACAAACCCACAGCCAATATCATACTGAATGGGCAAAAACTGGAAGCATTCCCTTTGAAAACTGGCACAAGACAGGGATGCCCTCTCTCACCGCTCCTATTCAACATAGTGTTGGAAGTTCTGGCCAGGGCAATCAGGCAGGAGAAGGAAATAAAGGGTATTCAATTAGGAAAAGAGGAAGTCAAATTGTCCCTGTTTGCAGACGACATGATTGTTTATCTAGAAAACCCCATCACCTCAGCCCAAAATCTCCTTAAGCTGATAAGCAACTTCAGCAAAGTCTCAGGATACAAAATCAATGTACAAAAATCACAAGCATTCTTATACACCAACAACAGACAAACAGAGAGCCAAATCATGGGTGAACTCCCATTCACAATTGCTTCAAAGAGAATAAAATACCTAGGAATCCAACTTACAAGGGATGTGAAGGACCTCTTCAAGGAGAACTACAAACCACTGCTCAAGGAAATAAAAGAGGACACAAACAAATGGAAGAACATTCCATGCTCATGGGTAGGAAGAATCAATATCGTGAAAATGGCCATACTGCCCAAGGTAATTTACAGATTCAATGCCATCCCCATCAAGCTACCAATGACTTTCTTCACAGAATTGGAAAAAACTACTTTAAAGTTCATATGGAACCAAAAAAGAGCCCGCATTGCCAAGTCAATCCTAAGCCAAAAGAACAAAGCTGGAGGCATCACACTACCTGACTTCAAACTATACTACAAGGCTACAGTAACCAAAACAGCATGGTACTGGTACCAAAACAGAGATATAGATCAATGGAACAGAACAGAGCCCTCAGAAATAATGCCACATATCTACAACTATCTGATCTTTGACAAACCTGAGAAAAACAAGCAATGGGGAAAGGATTCCCTATTTAATAAATGGTGCTGGGAAAACTGGCTAGCCATATGTAGAAAGCTGAAACTGGATCTCTTCCTTACACCTTATACAAAAATCAATTCAAGATGGATTAAAGATTTAAACGTTAAACCTAAAACCATAAAAACCCTAGAAGAAAACCTAGGCATTACCATTCAGGACATAGGCGTGGGCAAGGACTTCATGTCCAAAACACCAAAAGCAATGGCAACAAAAGCCAAAATTGACAAATGGGATCTAATTAAACTAAAGAGCTTCTGCACAGCAAAAGAAACTACCATCAGAGTGAACAGGCAACCTACAAAATGGGAGAAAATTTTCGCAACCTACTCATCTGACAAAGGGCTAATATCCAGAATCTACAATGAACTCAAACAAATTTACAAGAAAAAAACAAACAACCCCATCAAAAAGTGGGCGAAGGACATGAACAGACACTTCTCAAAAGAAGACATTTATGCAGCCAAAAAACACATGAAGAAATGCTCATCATCACTGGCCATCAGAGAAATGCAAATCAAAACCACTATGAGATATCATCTCACACCAGTTAGAATGGCAATCATTAAAAAGTCAGGAAACAACAGGTGCTGGAGAGGATGCGGAGAAATAGGAACACTTTTACACTGTTGGTGGGACTGTAAACTAGTTCAACCATTGTGGAAGTCAGTGTGGCGATTCCTCAGGGATCTAGAACTAGAAATACCATTTGACCCAGCCATCCCATTACTGGGTATATACCCAAAGGACTATAAATCATGCTGCTATAAAGACACATGCACACGTATGTTTATTGCGGCACTATTCACAATAGCAAAGACTTGGAACCAACCCAAATGTCCAACAATGATAGACTGGATTAAGAAAATGTGGCACATATACACCATGGAATATTATGCAGCCATAAAAAATGATGAGTTCATATCCTTTGTAGGGACATGGATGAAATTGGAAACCATCATTCTCAGTAAACTATCGCAAGAACAAAAAACCAAACACCGCATATTCTCACTCATAGGTGGGAATTGAACAATGAGATCACATGGACACAGGAAGGGGAATATCACACTCTGGGGACTGTGGTGGGGTCGGGGGAGGGGGGAGGGATAGCATTGGGAGATATACCTAATGCTAGATGACACATTAGTGGGTGCAGCGCACCAGCATGGCACATGTATACATATGTAACTAACCTGCACAATGTGCACATGTACCCTAAAACTTAGAGTATAATAAAAAAAAAAAAAAAAAAAAAAAAAAAAAAAAGAATTAAGCTTAATTATAGGTACTGAGATGGAAGCTTTTCAGCATGTATTATAGTGGTAGGGGAAAAAAGGAAATTACAAAAGAAAATGTATACTACCACTTATGTAAAAATGCATGTACATATTTAAGTAAATGCAGAGTAAAAGGTATGGTTACCAGAAGTGCCACAGTATTTCTTGAAGGCAAGCTATTCAATGAATATGATTCATATCAATGAATATGATTCATGTCAATGAATATGATTATTACATGGGTGCTCCCTCTGGGTATTGATGTTAGAAAATCGCCCTTGGCAAATATTCCTATAATCACAGACAATTTAGGACCTGGTAGAGGTTTTGGAAAATATCAAGTCCAACCCCTTACTCTACAGATGAGTAAACTGAGGCCCAGGTTGTTTAATCCTAGAGTCTGAATAGGAGTCCACATCCTTCCCAACATGACAAAAATCACAAACTAACAAGGCTTCAGTCTTCATTTAAAATGTAACCTTTGTGAGCTGAGATCATGCCACTGCACTCCTGCCTGGGTGACAGAATGAGATCCTGTCTCCAAAAAAAAAAAAAAAAAGCAAGAAAAAAAACAAATTTACCTTTATTACAATTGCTACATGTTCTTAGATGTCTTCCCATCTGTCCCAACTCCACCACAACCCTAAGGAAACATTTTCCTGTGCTAAATACAAGTGAGAGAAGGAAATTCATTTTACAAAGGTAAAGGCTGCTTGAGAAATCAAGTGTGGTCTTTTTAATAGTGGAGGGTGATGCACCATCAGCTTAGTTCCTATTCATTTGTGGTGCTTATTAGAGTGTCTGAAAATATAAGCTGAGTAATTGGAGCATTAGAATTGATTAATTGAAGTAGGCTTTTGGTGTAAATACACCTGGTGAAATTTTTCAAGGCGGGATTGAATTATCTGCTAAAGGCTTGGAAAAATTCACATCTCTGAACGTGGGAATAGAAATGAGGTGCAGTTTTCAAATATGGCTGCAAATTCTTTGATGCTCCTGCCATCAAAAGGTGGGGTCTGTGTCTCCTCCCCTCGAATATGGGTGGATTTATGACTGCCTCAATTTATAAAGTTTGGCAGAAGGAGTGCTATGTGACTTCTAAGGGTAAGTCATAAAAAGTCAAGGTCATGGAGGGGCAGGATCCCTCACAAATGGCTTGGTACCCTCCCCACAGTAATGAATGAGTTCTCACTCTATTAGTTCACACAAGAGCTGGCTGTTTAAAAAGAGAGTGGCACCTCCTCCTCTCTCACTATGGGACACACCTGCTCCCCTTCTTCTTCCACCATGACTGGAAGCTCCCTAAAGCCCTCACTACAAGCAGATGCCAGCACCATGCTTCCTGTGCTGCCTACAGAACCAAGAGCCAAATAAACCTCTTTTCTTCATAAATTGCCCAGTTTCAGGTATTCCTGCAACACAAAATGAACTGAGAGAAGGGTGTTGGTCTTAGAGAGGCCGTTGGACTAGAGCCTTTCTCAACTGGGAGATTTTGCCCCAGGGGACATTTGGCCGTGTCTCAGGACACTTGTTTGTCACAACTGGGGACTGCTACTGACATATAGTATGTAGAGAACAGGCAGGCTGCCAAACATTCTAAAATGCACCGGACATTCTCCCTACAACAAACTGTCAAACCCAAAATGTTGGCAGTGCCAAGGTTGAGCCACCCTGGACCAGGGGAAGCACAGCTGTGGGACACTCTGCAAATTCCCAGGAGCAAATAACCAGACTAAAGGACCTATCCCAATGCCAAAGTCCAGAAGTGGCTCCTAGGGAAGCCCGTCCAGCCTTGTGTTGGGTCTTCACTCTGTCTGTGCTCTAAGCCATTACCTGGTAATTGACTGGTCCCCAAATGAGGACGGCCTCCAGGACATGGGCAAGCTGCAGAAGGCAGGGGTAGGGACAGACCAAGACACATTAATACATTCTGAACCAAGAACACAGGCTTCTCTATTACAAGAGAAAACAAAGGTGTTATAGAAAAGTTTTCTGAGCAAGGTTTGTGGAGAGAGGGGTGGTAGAAGACAGCAGTAATGATGGGACTAAGCCCATGTATCCATCACCCTTGAAAAGCATTAAAGCAAAAGCAACTCCAACCACTTGCTAATGATTGCGATTATTTGGCTGCCTGTGAGACGGTTTAAGACATGATTTGTGAATTTAAATTTTAATTAAGGCAGAAGCCCTTGGGGGCCTCTGGAGTTCAAACATTAAAAAGAAAAATCTACCGCTGGGGAAGAAGAAGGCTCACAGGGCCCCACAGCCTGGAGGATGAAAGAAAGCCTGAAAGAAAGCCCAAGTCTGAGGCCACTGATGGGCATTGAGATCAAGGGTCAGGGCTGGACAACTCAATGGAACTATTCACTTTAGTGCTGTAGAAAGTTCCTTACATAGAATAATAAAAATAAGAAAAGCATCCAAGTTTCTCAACATTTTCTTCAGTTCCAAGTCTTAAAAATGTGCCACTCCTCCCACTTCACTAACTCTGGACCCAGCATCGGAATTCCTGGGATATTGTCTCACCCCACCCTCCATCACCAATACCCTCAGGTGACCCTGAACACTCCAGTGGTCATGCTGAGTCTTGGTTTCCCCATGTAGGACTGATAATGCCACCCCTGGTTACTTCATAACTCCATCTCCATTCTAAGGGAGATGAATGAATGCACCTTGGAAGAGGTGGACTCTCTGGTAGGTTTACCTCACTTACCTGATTCCCCCTGAGGTGTAGCAAAAGCACCCATTTACTTCTCAAAGTTGCTATGGCAAAGAAAATAACACACAACCTAAGAGAGAAGCATAGCCCTGGACCAAAAAGAAAAAAAAAAAGAAAGCAACATTCATTTTTAGGCAGCTCAAACTTCACTGGATCCTGGTGACATGGGGTCAAGTGCTAAATCCACCGCAGTGTTTTCAAAATTCTTTGTAGTAAAAAACAAATAACATTAAATTTGCCATCTTCCACCATTTTTTAATGTACCGTTCAGTAGTGTTAAGTGTAAGTCGCTTTGTCATGCAACAGATCTATAAAACTTTTTCATCTGGCCAGGCACAGTGGCTCATGCCTGTAACCCCAGCACTTTGGGAGGCCGGCGGATCACTTGAGGTCAGAAGTTCGAGACCAGTCTGGCCAACATGGCAAAACCTCATCTCTGCTAAAATCACAAAAACTAGACGGGCCTGGGGGCATACATCTGTAATCCCAGCTACTCAGGAGGCTGAGGCAGGAGAATCCCTTGAACCCAGGAGGTGGAGGTTGCAATGAGGTGAGATTGTTCCACTGCATTCCAGCTTGGGTTACAAAGCAAGACTCCGTCTCAAAAAACAAACAAAAAAGAACACCACAGACTTGCATCTTATAAAACAGAAACTCTATACCCATTAAACACTAATTCCCCCTCCCCTCTCCTTTCCCCCAGCCCTTACCAACCATCTTTCTACTTCCTATGATTTTGACTACTTGAGATACTTCTTTGATCAGAATCATAGAGTATTTGTCCTTTTGTGACTGGCTTATTTCACTTAGTGGAGTGTCCTTGAGTTTCACCCAAGTTGCAGCATATAGCAAGATTTCCTTCTTTTTTAAGGCTGAGTGATATTCATTGTATGTATAGACCACATTTTCTGCATCCATTCATCCATCAGTGGACATTTGACTTCACATCTTGGCTATTACAAATAGTTGGGTAATGGCCGGGCGCGGTGGCTCACGCCTGTAATCCCAGCACTTTGGGAGGCCGAGGCGGGTGGATCATGAGGTCAGGAGATCGAGACCATCCTGGCTAACAAGGTGAAACCCCGTCTCTACTAAAAATACAAAAAATTAGCCGGGCGCGGTGGCGGGCGCCTGTAGTCCCAGCTACTCGGGAGGCTGAGGCAGGAGAATGGCGTGAACCCGGGAAGCGGAGCTTGCAGTGAGCCGAGATTGCGCCACTGCAGTCCGCAGTCCGGCCTGGGCGACAGAGCGAGACTCCGTCTCAAAAAAAAAAAAAAAAAAAAAAAAAAAAAAATAGTTGGGTAATGTACACTGGAGTGCTAAGATTTCTTTGAGATCCTGCTTATTTTTTTTTTTTTGCATGTATATCCAAAAGTGGGGTTGTGAGATAATATTGTAATTCCATTTTTTTTGAGAAAATTCCATACAATTTTCCATAATGCCTATGCCATTTTACAGTCCCATTTATAGTACACGAAGATTCTAACTTCTTGGCCTCCTCACCAACACTTGTTATTTTCTTTTCTTTTGATGGTGACTATCCTAATGAGCATGATGTCATGTGGACAATTTTGAGAAATTCACACATCCCCCTTGGGTCAAGACAAGGGAAATCATTTGAATTAGTTTAGACAACCTTCCATAGTGTTTCCAGCTCTTAAAAAAATTCAGCAAATCAGTCTCTGTGTTCCCACACCAAATAAGATCACGAATGTGAACAAAGAATCTTCGTCAATTGGGAAGGGCGAGACAGCTGAAAAAGAGCACATCATGTAAAGGCTAAAGGAGGGGACTTGGTTGGTCAGGCTGCCTAGATTTGATGCTCATACCCGCCCACTGCAAGCTATGTGAGACACCATCCATTTTCTTACCTAATGCGGGTGATAATTGTCACTCACTCCCCCCACCCCCAGAGGGTTAATGAGAAGACCAAAACAGATCACATGAGTTAAGAAATCTGAACGAAGTGGAAGGGTGTTTGTTCCTTGCTAACAGGCAAAGCCACTGCTATTTTTTCCACTAACAAGTGAGGCCATAGGAGTTTCTCAACAAGGGCCAACTCCTTACGGTCTAAGGGAGACACCGAATCACAGAAAAGGGACAGATGTTGGCATCAGACAAACTTGGGTGTGTTTGAATCTTGATTCAGCCTCCTAGTAACTGTGGAATTTTAACAAGTTCTTCAGTCTCAATGAGCTTCATTCAGTTTACTCGGCTGGAACATAAAGATATTTTAAAATGACTTTTCAGGATTGTTGCATTGCATAGAATGTACCCACCTGCCATGTAACAGGTGTTCAATGAATGATAACTATTCTTTCTGTGTTGCTATCCTTTTCGAAGAAACACTGTTCCTTTCTGAAGGTAATAACATAGGCCAAGGGCCACCCAAATTAGGGGGAAGAGGAAGAGGTGGGAGAAAGGGGGAAGACGACTGAGTTTTCTATTCACAAATACTCCTTTTCCAGAAACAAGCCATTTATCGAAGTATTGGAGTCTCATTTACTGTCAAAATGCAAGGGCTAATTACACTTGAAGAACAATTGACTACAAGAGCAAAAAAGACAGGGCCTGTTCAATTAATGGGAAAAGAAAGGGGGTCTCTAGCACACAATATTTTGGACATCAGATTGGAATGGTTTAATTAGCCATTGCTAGGGACTCTGATTGTCCGTTGTCATAGAAGCCATTAGTCATCTGTAGCTTTTAAGCATCTCATTTCAATTCTCTCATTCAACACTTTCTTAGTACCTGTTACATGTCAAGCACTGTGCTCAACATTAGTGATACAGCAAAGTCTAGTGGAAGACAGATGGCTTGAGCCTCTGCATTAGTCAGGGTTTTTTAGAAAAACAAAACAAATAGGATATATAGAGATACACAGGAAGATTTATTATGGCCTCCAGCTCCATCCATGTCCCTGCAAAGGACATGATCTCATTCTTTTTTATGGCTGCATAGTATTCCATGGTATATATGTACCACATTTTCTTTATCCAGTCTATCATTGATGGGCATTTAGGTTGATTTCATGTCTTTGCTATTGTAAATAGTGCTGCAATAAACACGTGTGTGGAAGTGTTTTTTTGTTTTTTTTTTTTTATACTTTAAGTTTTAGGGTACATGTGCATTGTGCAGGTTAAGGAAGTGTTTTTATAATAGAATGGTTTATATTCCTTTGGGTACATACCCAGTAATGGGATTCCTGGGTCAAATAGTATTTCTGTCTTTAGGTCTTGGAGGAATCACCATACTGTCTTCCACAATGGCTAGACTAATTTATGCTCCCACCAACAGTGTATAAGTGTTCCTTTTTTTTTTTTTTTTTTTTTTTTTTGAGATGGAGTCTCACACTGTCACCCAGGCTGGAGTGCAGTGGCGTGATCTTGGCTCACTGCAAGCTCCGCCTCCCAGGTTCATGCCATTCTCCTGCCTCAGCCTCCCAAGTAGCTGGGACTACAGGCTCCCGCCACCATGCCTGGCTAATTTTTTGTATTTTTAGTAGAGACGGAGTTTCACTGTGTTAGCCAGGATGGTCTCGATCTCCTGACCTCATGATCCTACCACCTCGGCCTCCCAAAGTGCTGGGATTACAGGCATGAGCCATTGCGCCAGACCATTCCTTTTTCTCCACAACCTTGCCAGCATTTATTATTTTCTTACCTTTTAATAATAGCCATTCTGACTGGTTTAGATGGTATCTCATTGCAGTTTTGATTTGCATTTCTCTAATGATCAGTGAGTGCCATTACCCTTAGCAAACTAACTCAGGAACAGAAAATTAAATACCGCATGCTCTCACTTATAAGTGGGAGCTAAATAATGAGAACACATAGGTACATAGAAGGGAACAACACACACTGGGGCCTTTTGGAGGGCGGAGGGTGGGAGGAGGGAGAGGATCATGAAAAATAATTAATGGATACTAGGCTTCATTCCTGGGTGATGAAATGATTTGTATAGCAAACCCCCATGACACACATGTACCGATGTAACAAACCCGCACTTGTATTCCTGAGCTTAAAATAAAAGTTAAAAAAAGAAAGATATGAGACATTGGTTTACCTCATTATGGAGTCTGAGAAGTCCCACAATCTACCATCTTCAAACTGTAGAATCAGGAAAGCTGGGGTGTAATTCCAGTGCAAGTCCAAAGTCCTGAGAACCAGGAGAACAATGATGTGCATCCCAGTTTGAGTCTGAAGGCTCAAGAACCTGGAACTCTGATGTCTCAAGGGCAGGAGAGGATGGATGTCTCAGCTCAAGCAGAGAAAACAAACTCACCCTTTCTCTGCCTTTGGTTTTTATTCAGGTTCTCAGTGGACTGAATGATACCAACCCACATTCAGTAGAGTGATCATCTTTACTCAGTCTACTGACTCAAATAGTAACCTCTTCCAGAAACACTCTCACAGACACACCCAGAAATAATGTTTTACCAGCTATCTCGGCACCACTTAGCCCCGTCAAGTTGACATATAAAATTAGTCATCACGCCCCCTTATGGGCATCTCAGATTTGTTATGTCTTCAAAGAGCTCTCATTTTATCCAACCTCATGCTCCTCTGCCAGTTTTCATATTTCAGTAAAAGGCCTCTGCATCTGCCCAGTTGCTCATGGCAAAAACCATCCTTGCTTTCAAAGTCATCCTTGATTTATCTCTGCTAGAACTCATCTTCGATAGATCAACAAGTCCCGTTTGTTTTATCACCAAAGTAGGTCTTGACTTCCACTCTTCTGTAAGCACATGGCCATTACCCTAGTCTAAGGCACCTGCTTTTGTCTGGGTTACTGCAAAAGCCTCCTTACAAAAAAAAAAAAAAAAAAAAAAAGTGAACTTTTTGTGTCTATCCCTGCTTCCCATTTTAATACACACAACATCTAGGGTTGTCTTTTGAAATGGTAAATCATGTTGTGCTATTCCTCTGCTTAAAATCCTTTAATATATTTTCATTTTCTTAGATACAGCCTAGAGTTACTAAAATAGCCTACAAGTTTTCACATGTTCTATCCACACCCACTCCTATAACCTCATCTCAGACCACACTCCTGATTGTTGGCTAAGACTTAGGCCCCTCAAGCACTTTCTTGCCTCCAAGCCTGTGCCCTTGTTCTCATTGCACTTACTCTTTCCCTCATCCATTCCCAAGCCTAGTTCTTTCTCATCTTTCAGGCCTCAATTGAAACATCACTTCTTCAAAGAGGTGGTCCTGACCTCACGATCCAAGTGACCTCTCCCAGTTACTCTCCAGCCCATCACCTTATTTATTTCTTCCACAGCACTCACCCCATTGGTAACCGCCTGACTCATGTGAGTTTGTTGGATGCCATAATCCCCCCTAGTCAATTGGTATCATGACGGCAGGGGCTTTGTCACTCTTGTTCACAGTTGCATTCCCAGTGCCTTGCATGGTGCCTGGCACATAGTAAACTGTCAACCAATATTAATTAACTAAGTGAATGAAGGGGATAATGTGCAGGACAGCATAGGAGCTAAAAAAAAAAATGTAAAAAAAGATACATGTGCACGTATGTTCATTGCAGCACTATTCACAGTAGCAAAGACATGGAATCAACCCAAATGCCCGTCAATGATAGACTGGATCAAGAAAACGTGGTACATATACACCATGGAATACTATGCAGCCATAAAAAAGAATGAGATCATGTCCTTTGCAGGGATATGGATGGAACTGGAAGGCTTTATCCTCAGCAAGCTAACTCAGGAACAGAAAACCAAACACTGCATGTTCTCACTTATAAGTGGGAGCTGAACAATGAGAACACATGGACACAGGGAGGGTAACAACACACACTGGGGCCTGTTGGGGGGGTGGGGTGGGGGGAGGGAGAGCATTAGGAAAAAGAGCTAATGCATGCTGGGCTTAATACCTAGGTGATGGATTGATAGGTGCAACAAACCACCATGGCACATGTTTATCTATGTAACAAACCTGCACAACCTGCACACATACCCCAGAACTTAAAATAAAAATAAAAATAAATTTTTTAAAAAAGATAATGTAAAAAACTCCAACTTCCTTCCTCTAAAGAACATTGTACAATGGTGTTTTTAGGAAAAATAAAATAGCTTCACCAGAAACACACATATCAGATAGGAGATGATACTCACACAAGAACAGAGGCAGGGAGCCCTCACTGCAGAAGCAAGACTCTGAAACCCAAAGAGGAGGAGAGAGAGAGGCTTGAGAACCTAGAGAAAATGTAGCAGAGGGAAAAACCAAAGAAAATGAAAACAGTCTTCATGCCAGTAGTGTGTAAACTCCAGAAAGAGAGCTTTCAATGAAGAGATGCTGTGAGCCAGGCTCATGATATTGAATAGCAGTTTTCTAGATTAACAAGAGGAGTAAATCAAAATCAGGATGAGGGGTAAAGGACTTATGGATTGGAGCATAAAATGCATTATAGCCACAAAGAATGGTTGAACATGCCACAAAAGCACACAGCCACTGATAAACAATGTGGAATATCCAGCTAATTCCAGCATAGTCCAGTGACTCATTAATAGAGGATGGAGGAAAGACGGCCAGGATGATCCCAAATCTCAGTGAAATCAAAGCAAGAGTCAACTCTCCAATACCTGGGAGTGGGTGATTCATAGTTAAATCATCACAGAATCCTGGGATACTCAATGGGGCTTACATTGTAGGAGGTGACGAGTAATATTTTCTGGACCCTAGTGTTGGGAAAAAAGAAGTCCATTATTCTGCTGAGCCCTCAGAGAAAATGAAGGATCACCTCCTCTATAAACAAAGAATTGATTATAGAAGCTTGGCTTTCCTCCTCCCATCCTTCTGAGACTTATAATCAATTCTTATTTAGTTCTCACCTACTTAGCAAATCCCAGCAGAGACTGGAGCATGTCCCAAGTCCTGCTTCCATACTGACCTGGTTAATATTCAAACTGGCTGCTCTTAGATGAGTAAATATTGAACCCAGGGCCAGCTGTAGGTGGGGAGGGAGTAGCAGGAACTGAATGTTTAAGGCGACATTAGAAGAATGGCATTTTATCCTTATAAGTGTGGAAGGACTTTACCCAAGAAAGTGGCCTAGATAGGATGAGAGGAAGTGGCTCTGGCCATGGTGCAGTGCATGGATTGGAGGGAAAGAGCCTGTAGGCAAAATACCTGGGAAATGAAGTGTGAAAAGAAGGGGGAAATTTGAGGCATGTTTGGTAAGTACTGATAAGGAAAGAGTTTGGTTGATTATTGGATGTAACAAGCAGAGATGAGGGAGGATCTGGAATGACACCCACATATTAAGCTTACATCACTGGGTGAATGTGGTTATTCATTAACATCAGTAACACTAAAAGAATAAGTGGATTCAGGAAACATCAAAGACTTTCTCAGTTTTCACATTTCTTCTTGGACGTTCATCACTGCAAGAGTTTCTCCACTCTCCAGTGGTGGACTGTATCACTTGCTCACAATGACTTGCACCCTATCCACTCTAGCCATGCTTCCCATCCCTGCCCTATTGCCATTGGGCTTGGCAGCCAAGGGACGTGTTTTGACTGATGGAATGTGAACAGATATGACAATCACCATATCCAATCAGTAGCTATAAATGAACTCCTGAAATTTGGTTCTGTGCTCTTCAGCCTCTGTCATCTATCATGAGAGTAGCATGCCGCCAAGAGTGGCTGCTCCTTGAGAATACAAGAGGAGAGAGCTCAGCCCAGCCCAGGAGAGCCATGGGTGACCTTTGGCACAGATATAATATAAGCTAGAAACCTACAGCTCTTGGATTTAGGAATTGTTTTTTGCTGCAGCAAAAGCTGATTATGATACTTCCAAAATCTTAGTTAACCCAGAAAGTGACTTACCATCTCTGAATTCCTTATTCCATCATTGGGGAAGTTGAACTAAATGACTCCAAACTCCTTCTTGGTTCAAAAGTGTTTGTTTTTTTAAAGACTGTGTTGCTGTTCTATGATATAATGTTGTTTGGGTGTTCAAGCAATTTTTTTTTCTTTCCAAAGATACAGATAAATAAGACAACTTCAACTTAGCCAGACTCTAGCCTGGCAGTTAACAGTACCAAACTAGGACAAGGCCAAAGTGCAAAGACCTGAGGTGGTTTAAGCTGCTGCAGCAGAACTTGTATTCTGAAGACCCTGAGATTAAAAAAAAAAAAAAAAAAAAAAAAAATCTATAAAGCACAAACGCGCCGCATTCAGCTGCTCCGGTTATTTATATGAGCATTTCCCGATTCAAATTGCATGCTCAAATCAAATTTCCCTGGTTTATGCCTTCTTCAGCAATTACTTAAGGGCAGTTTACCTCTCTCTGGAGGAACACAGCAGAAAGGCCTATAGACAAAATCTCTTTGACTCAGGGAGAGATAAACGCACTCTAGGCTTGGTGTTGCAGAAGTCACTTTGCCTACGGAGGCGAACGCAGATGAGCCTCCTGGCTGTTTTTCAGCTCGGCTGATAGGAACACATTCTCCAAGGAGGAGGGGGAGGCCTACAGAAATTGTAGGAGAGAGGTTAAGGCTTGGGGATGGGGAGGAAGAAACTACCTTCCCTTTATGGAGTTTCTTTTGTGGGGCTGCTGTGGTTTGGATGTGGTTAGTCTCCCTCAACTCACATTGAAATTTGATCCCCCGTGGGGCAGTATCAGGAAGTGGGGCCTAATGGGAGGTGTTTGTTCACGGGGATGGATCTCCTGTGAATAGATTAATGTCTCTCTCAAGAATGAGTAAGCTCCTACTCTCTCAGGAATGGATTAGCTCATCTGAGAGTGGGTTGTTAAAAAGAGCCTGGCCTCCTTGGTTTCTCTCTCTTGCTCTCTCTCTCACCATGTAATCTCTTTGCATACACCCACTCCCCCTCCACTTTCCACCATGAGTTGAAGCAGTCTGAAGCCCTCACCAGATGCAGATGCCTAATTTTAGACTTTCCAGCCACCAGGATCATAAGCCAAATAATCATCTTTTCTTTATAAATTGCCCAATCTCAGATATTCCATTATAGCAACACAAGGTGGACTAAGACAGAGGGTAGCAGGTCAACAGCTGAAAGCTGCTCCCACTCCAGTGAGATTGAGAAAAGTCAAAGGTGCACAGGGAACACATAATCATTTTTGTACCAAAAAGTTTCTGGACCCTCCAAGATTCACCTTAACCAAGATGAACCTACCACAAAACAATGCAACATTCAAAACCTATGTTCAGTGTGGCATCAGCTTGCCTTTAATTCACTTTTCCCCATTTGGGAGGATTCCCTCATCTGCCATCAAAGAAGCATCATTTGTTCATTTATTTTCTCATTGATTAATTTCCTTAGTCACTAATTCTCCTTTATATTTCCTTCTTCATTCAGTTGTTCAACTTGATAGTCCTTCTCTTGATTTGACTGCCTGACATCTGCTACTTTTTCTTTTAATAACAGCATCCTGGCTTTATTTTGGGAGACAGCTCTCCACTGTTCCCACCACATATGGTAGAGGTGAAGGTGCCCCATAATCCATTTCCTCCTCTCTAGAATCAGATGCACAACACTGACCTGACCAAACAGAATGCCATATTGTCATGGCCAGAGTGATTGGTTTGAGGATAGATGGACATATGGCCCAAGCCTACCCAAGGGAACCCTCCCTGGAACTTTTGGCAGAATTATTAGAAAAGAAAAAAAGAAAAAAAATCCAATAACTCATTGTGAATTAAATAAATCAAGCCAGGAAGGATTAACACAGATAAAATATCCCTAGTTACTAAAACTTATCATGGAAAAAAGAGTCAAGGTAGTTACTTCTGAATCTACCACTTACTAACTTGGAAGACCTTGGACAAATCATCTCAATGAATATGTCTTTGTAGTCATGATAATGACTGTTCTTTGTGGGTAAGCGTCTGTGAATAGGTCCCACCCACTCTCCTATCCAGGTGGCTGGAAGCAAGGAACTTTAAGATGATGGAGTTGCTGCTGGGTGTGGTGGGTCACACCTGTAATCCCAGCACACTGGAAGGCCAAGGTGAGTGGATCACCTGAGGTCAGAAGTTCAAGACCAGGCTGGCCAACATGGCAAAACCCTGTCTCTACTAAAAATAAAAAAAAATAAAAAAACACCTAGCTGGGCGTGGTGGTGGGCGCCTGTAATCCCAGCTACTTGGGAGGCTGAGGCAGGAGAATTTCTTGAACCCAAGAGGCAGAGCTTGCAGTGAGCCGAGATCACGCCACTGCACTCCAGCCTGGGCAATGGAGCGAGACTCTATCTCAAAAAAAAAAAAAAAAAAGACGGAGTTACACAATGGAAACATCCCAGATCCCTGAGTCGAGTCACTGTTCAAGGAGAAAAGCCAAGGAGACTCCTAAACCACCTCTGACTTTGAGGTGAAAGAGACATATGTCTTTGTTACATTAAATTAGAAATGTGGCAATTTGGTTTACTGCTGCACAGCAAGTCTAACTAATATAACAAACATAGGTTCAATTATTCACGGATACCCGAAAGGTAACACAGATACCATGGCTTTATGACATGAAGCCATTTTGTCAAGACATGACTTTGAATGGTGCCTTCTGCCAAGACATGACTTTGAATGGGCAGGTGTCTAGCAACAGAGGAAGCAGATGCTCTTTCTGCTGACCAGCATCTTATTTCCAGGATGCTTCAGTGGTTTGTGAGGACAAGAATATTTGAAATTGGGATTGGTCCTATAGTCCACCATGAGTATGTGGTGATTATAAAATAATCTCAATGTGCCATTGGGAAAAGATAAGGACCAACAATTCAACCATGGAAATGGGTAAATGTGGACAAACCACCTAAGATAATGGCATGCTGAAAAGAGGGCAGCAGAGATGAGTCAGATTTAAGACGCTGTAAAAATCGAGAAAGAGAAGATGAATTCAATAACAGGAATGGCAGTATCTGCTGCAATGGAGGAAATAAAGGCATAGTGACTGAAATCATAAGCTTTGGAATCAGTTTAATGCAACAAGGATTAATGCAAAAATTTAATGCAATAGTGTTTGAATTCCATTTCTGCTACTGACTAGCTGTGTAATCTTGAGCAAGTCACTTTATCTCTCAGCCTGAATTTTCTCATCTGAAATATAAGGATTAAGAGAGTCCTTACCCTGCCTCATGGAGTACTGAAAGGATGAAACTAAATGATCCATGTAAAGTGCTTAGTACACAGTAAGAGCTCAATAAATTATCATAATGATATTGGCATTGTAAAAGAAAGCATGAACAAAGAGGTATATCTGGAAGAGATGAAGAAATTAAAAGGAGAAAGAGGGTGGTAAGGTCGTTAGGGTGGGAGCCAAGCGCCACCACCAATGAATGAAAGGGCAGAAACAAAGAATCAGCACCACCATTTAGCACTTTATTTTATTGTCTTTGAATTATGATAGCTTTGATTTGGCTAACTGCAAAAAGTACAGGTTTAAACTGGACTTGCCTTTAGTTAAAATAAAGGCAAATAAATTTTTAAAACATAAATGCTATATTTCACAAGAAATCAGTTGTTATTATCAATTACATATTCAGTTTTTTAAAGGAAGATGACTGTTAAACCACATAGCATTTGGGGGACATTAAAGGAAATTTTCTTCCTCTATAGAGCATTGTACAATGATGTTTTTATGAAAAATAAAATATCTTCACCAGAAATAAAAGGGTATATCAAATGGGAGATGATACTTAGACAAGAACAGAGGCAGGGAGCCCTCACTGCACAAGCAAGACTCTGAAATCCACAGAGGAGGAGAGAGAGAGGCATGAGAATCTAGAGACAATGTAGCAGAGGGAAAAAACAAAGAAAATGAAAACAGTCTTCATGCCAGTAGTGTGTGAACTCCCGAAGGAGAAGAAGTCCAGAAGGGGGTAAAGAATAGAGACAGAGATGAGAGGGGTAAGTAAAACACAGGAAGTCAAAGGAGGAGAGCTGAGTCCAAAGAAAGCTTTGAAAGGTTGACTGAAACACAGAGATGTAGGAGAAGCACAGCTTAAAGCAGAAACAAGCACTAGAAATAGCTTAAATACACAGAACAGGAGAATTTTTAATGACTGCATGGGTTTCTGAATTCCCAAAAGCTCTGGAAACCAAATTTTTTAAAATTAAGGTTGGCACAAATTC
Source organism: Homo sapiens (assembly GCF_000001405.40). Lineage (NCBI taxonomy): Eukaryota > Metazoa > Chordata > Mammalia > Primates > Hominidae > Homo > Homo sapiens. The sequence goes on along the minus strand of NC_000016.10, from coordinate 16,825,673 downwards.
ATTTGGCAACAAAACTTGACCAGAACTGAAATGAGGCTATTTATGTCCTTTATTTATCTCACATCCCACCTAGCATGAACATCCACATATTTAACGGCAGTAATGAGCTGACCAGGAAGTGCTACTGCAGACCCCACTGAAAGTGGGATGTTGTGGAATGTATAGTTTATGCTCCACATTACCTTTCTAATTTCCATAACATTCTGAATTTTAAAACATGTGTCCCCAAGGGTTTCCAATCAAGGATTGCGAGCTTCTATTAGAAGATACAAAGCTGGGTACAGTGGCTCATCTTCGTAATCCCAGCTCTTCAGGAGACTGGAGGATTGCCTGAGGTCAGACTTTCAAGACCAGCCTGCACAACTAAGACCTCATCTCTAAAAAATAAAAACTTAGCTAGGCATGAAGGTGCACATCTGCAGTCCCAGCACCTCAAGGGCTGAGAGTCCTGAACCCTCAAGGGCTGATGCAGGAGGATTCGCTTGAGCCCAGGAGTTCGAGGCTGCAATGAGTTATGATCACAGCACTGCACTTCAGCCTGGGAGACAGAGAAAGAGATCCGATCTCTAAAAAACAAAGATGACAATGATGATGATGATGATGAAGACAATGATGACACAGGACTGGACTGAAAAGAGATACTTGTTTCTAATGAAGTTAACAAAACGTGCCATTTCTTGAGTATATAGCACTTACAATACCAAGTGCTATAGACTCAATATTTCATTTAATCCTCACACTGTATCAGATTTCATTTTATTTATTTATTTATTTATTTTGTAGACACTGCAAGTGAGGTTTGAGAACTGAAGTAATTTGCACCCCCACATCCTGTTTATACAAAGCTGGCAAGAGGCAGAGTTTAGGATTTGAACCCAGCTATGTGACTTTAGAGCATGAACACCTACTAGGTCATGCTGCTGAAACCATGCCCCACAGGGTTAAAGAAACCGGTGACTAACAGAAATCTTGAGCTTATCTTGCAGGAATAAGATACAGTTTGCTGGCCGGGCGTGGTGGCTCACACCTGTAATCCCAGTACTGTGGGAGGCCAAGGCAGGAGGATCAGGAAGTCAGATCGAGACCATCCTGGCTAACACGGTGAAACCCCGTCTCTACTAAAAATACAAAAAATTAGCCAGGCGTGGTGGCAGGCGCCTGTAGTTCCAGCTACTCGGGAGGCTGAGGCAGGAGAATGGCCTGAACCCGGGAGGTGGAGCTTGCAGTGAGCCAAGATGGCGCCACTGCACTCCAGCCTGGGCAGGCGACAGAGCAAAACTCCGTCTCAAAAAAAAAAAAAAAAAAAAAAAAGATACAGTTTGCTACAGTCCCCCCTAGCTTACAAAACTGACCGAAACAGATTGGAACCAATATGGCTGACTGGAGCCTGCACAGAACAAACTTGCTCACCCAATGAGTAATCTTTCGATGTCACAGCCCGAATTTTCACATGTTTCATACCAACTCCCTCCGAATTTGCACATGCAACTCATGAAGAAGTGTCAAGAGACGATGGCATGTCCAAGGGACTTTCTAAACATCCCTCCCTTTCAGCCAATCACTGCCCAGCCCTAAAACCCCACCCCTAACATCGCTCCCCTAAATCTGCAGCTGTAAGGCCAGTACAGGGAGACAGACTTGAGCATGACTTTGTCTCTCTGCTTGGCCACCTGGCAATAAACCTTTCTTGCTACAAAAATCTGGTGCTTTGGTGTTTGGCTTTCAGTTGCATAGGCAAAGGGACCTACTTTAGTTCAGTGACACTACCTCCCCATTAGCTGCAAGGAAAGAACAGACGTAAGGGTTCTCACCCCATATGCCCTCACCCCATAAGCCATTCCCAGATATGATTTTATATAATCTTCATAGTAATTCAATGAAGTCATATGATTATTGTCCATCTAAGGAGCTGAACAATTTGTCCAGAGTCTCATTATTAACTGGTCAGACATCAAACAATTTTTCTCCCTGATTGTAGTGATTTCAAAAGAGATTGTATGAGAGTCTTGTTTAAAAGAAGACAAAGTAGAAAGTTGAGGAAATCATTGCCTTTAGAATAAACATTCTGGCCGGGCGCAGTGGCTCACGCCTGTAATCCAAGCTCTTTGGGAAGCCAAGGCAGGCAGATCACGAGGTCAAGAGATCAAGACCATCCTGGCCAACATGGTGAAACCCTGTCTCTACTAAAAATACAAAAATTAGCTGGGTGTGGTCGAGTGCACCTATAGTCCCAGCTACTTGGGAGGCTGAGGCAGGAGAATTGCTTGAACCCGGGAGGCAGAAGTTGCAGTAAGCTGAGATCACGCCACTGCACACCAGCCTGACAACAAAGCGAAACTATCTCAAAAAAAAAAAAAAAGAAGAAGAAGAAGAAGAATAAACATTCCACACAATGGGCCCAGCACAATGGCTCAGGCCTGTAATCCCAGCACTTTGGGAAGCCAAGGTGGGCAGATCACTTGAGGTCAGGTGTTTGAGACAGCCTGGCCTACATGGTGAAAACCCATCTCTATTAAAAATACAAAAACTAGCTGGGTGTGCTGGCAGACACCTGTAATCCCAGCTACTCAGGAGGCTGAGGCAGTAGAATCCCTTGAACCTGGGAGGAGGGAGGTGGAAGTTGCAGTGAGCCAAGATCATCCCACTGCACTCCAGTCTGAGCAGCAGAGCAAGACCTTGTCTCAAAAAAAAAAAAAAAAAAAAGAAGTTTATGGCAGTTGTGGTGCCAAGGTTGGTTCTGGAGTGGGAAATAGTTTGTTCCCCCATAATCTCCATTAGCAAATCTCCCATCCCTTGATATGGACAACTGATGTTTTCTCATTCTTAGGTAAGGAAATGTCCCTTTAGCCCAAACCTCCCTTCCAACTCAACTCCTAAGTTCATCCTTTTTAGAGATTCTGAAATTAGGTAACAAAAATACAAAAGCTAAAAATTGTATCATAATTAGGAGAAACTGTTCAGAAGGGTAAAATATATAACCAAAGAGAATGAGGGAATAAAACAGATGATAGTAAAACAGTGAAAATTCAACAAGGAATTGATACACGAAATCTGTGAACATTCTATCAAATGTGATGAAGGAAGAGAATCTGAAAACACTTTATAATTTTGCAAAACCATGCGAGACTCAAATGAACAGGAGATGATACGGAGTCACAAGAGCTAGGTGTGTGTCTTGCCTTCATCCTGCCATAGTTTGATCTCTAACTTCTGTGAATTTAATTAAATACTTACTGTTTCTAGCAACCAAACAGCCCTTAGCTCTACAGTATATGGTATCGGTGTATAGGTGTGTGTATACAACATGTAGAAGGAAATACTGTGAACTTTTATGCTGTATTGGTATTTCTAACCAGGCAATAGGTGGAACATTTTGAACATGTTTTTGAACATGTTTATCTGCCTGAATACTCCAAAACAACACATTTGCTTTGTGCTCTAAATATAGCAACATCCACTTCCTTCTCCACATGTTTGCTAAGGCAAAATATTTTGTCTGTAAAGATATGCCATTTCCAATGTTTTGAACACTTCCTTTGGTTTCAACAGTTTGGCGACAGTGTTTTTAAGGATTTAATGTAGGTATCGCTCAGGATAAGGTTGTTGAGGGTAGGACAACAAACACACCTAATGTCACTCATTTAAAACAACAAATTTCAGCCATTCTTGTGAGATTAAAAAAAAAATAAAACAAAAGTTTATTTCTTGCTCAAGGTTCATCCTATAGTTTGGTCGGGGAGGCTGAAGTAATCAACACATACAACTGGATGTCACAGTAAACAAGCAGGTATATGAGCAATTCAAAAGTGTGGTCTCAGAAGGGAACTCACTTCCAATACCTGAAAGGTTAGAAAGGGCAGGGTGAGGGGGGAAAGACACAGGGACAAGAACGACTGGAACGTGTCTAAATGGTAACCTTACCAGTAACTAGAGTCTCTCAAATTACAGTGAGCAAGGATGAACTTGGAAATATTTATTTTGTGTATAATTCTAAAGTCCAAACTCAAGGTGAAAGAAATATCACTTTCTTTATAAAACCAGCCCAATTATCCCATAGAACTGATATTTATGGTTCTTTAAATAAATGTAGAAATTGACATACCCAGTCTTAAAACTTGAGAAACTTCCATTTACCTTATCTGAGTTCCTTTCTCAGGAAACTGACCATGAGGTAGTATCAAGAAACTGAAACTTACCAGGTCACTGCAATGAGACACCAGACCACTCATCTGTCATGATTGCCTAACCAACCAACTGCTATCAATTCCTCCCTAATTCATATTTTCCTACACTAGTTCCTGTTGACTATGACTCTTCCTTACCCCCTCCCTAGTTCCTATTTTCCCACATGTAGTTACATTTATTCCCTGCTGTATAAACCCCAAATTTTAGTCAGATGGGGTGATGGATTTGGGATTTCTCTCCTGTCTCCTGGGTGACATCACCCATGTTAAAAAATCTTCCCTTGTAATGCTTATTGTCTCTATGATTGGCTTTCTGTGCAGCAAACAACTGGATCTTGGGCAAACATCTGGTGTTTGATAACATAATTCTGGTGCTATGACTCAGATTGCATTAGTCAAAGTCCCTCTGGCTTTGAGCCACCATCCCTATGAACTTGCATGAAGTTTAGCCTCAGTTACTCTGTCAGATGCAGAGTAAATAGAGTTTCATGTCACAGTAGGAAATAGAAAGTGTCTACCCAAACCTCAGTCCACTTGGCTGTCACCAGTGTACACTCTGCTTCAGTCTACATGGTGACTTCAATCCAAGTGGTTCTGCAGTGTATAGGTCATGCTTGGGGCCTGGAGATCCTTGGCGGACCCAGGTCCCCCAGTCTTCCTGGGGGCAGCTTTCCCTTGAGATCTTGCCACCTTCCAGGAACATTCCCAGAGAGCAAGGCTCAGTCTCCATCACTCTCTGAACATACAGACTCCTTTCCCTCTCAGTCTCAAGGAACCTCTCCTCCTCCCTCTCTGCTCCTACAAAGCTCCTCTTCCCTCTGAGATAGCTAGCATCAATGGACAGAGATTTCTACCAAAGATAGGAAACCCCATCACCTTTAGACTGCTTCTGTTTATGACAGCTAAAAATACTGAACAACGAGATGAAAGAGCAAGACACAAGTATATTGGGAGGAAAGCACTTCAAAAGGAGGAAACAGAAGGACAGACACCCTGAGGTGGGGGTAGAGGCCAGTGTGCCTTCAATGGTGTGAGTAAAGAAAGGATTGGTAGAAGACAAGAACCAATTAGTGACTGAGTCCAAACAACGCAAAAAAGAGATAATCCCAAAAATAATGACTACCATTTATACAGTGCTTACTAACTACACGTTGGGACCATTCTAACTTCTCATAACAACTCTATAGGGTGGCAGTAATATTCTCTCCATTTCACAGATGAGAAAATTGAGAATCAGATGGTATGATCAATTGCTTAACAAGTGGCAAAATCAGGACTCACACTCAGGCAGATGGCTCCAGAATCTGAACACTTAAATACTGTACCATACTGCCCATCTTTTTTGCCCAGGCAAAAAGTCAGAAAAATGCAGAGAGAATCAAGAGTGAGAAGATAAGCCACAGAATGAGAGAAAAGATTTGCAAAAGACATATCTCATAAAGGTCTAGCATCTAAAATATGCAAAAAATCCTTAAAACTCAAAAATAAGACAACAAACAACCCAATTTAAAATGAGCAAAAGACCTGAACAGGCACCTCACAAAGATATACAGATAGCAAATAAGCATAAGAAAAGATGCTCACCATCATATGTTATTAGGAAGCTGCAAATTCAGACAATCATGACACATCACTACACACCTATTAGAATGGCCAAAATCCAAAACACTGAAAACACCAAATGCTGGTGAGGATGCGGAGCAACAGGAATTTTCATTCATTGCTAACAGGAATGCAAAATGGTACAGGCACTTTGGAAGACACTTTGGAGGTTTCTTACAAAACTACACATACCCTTACAATATGATCCAGAAATTGCACTCTTTGGTATATTTACTCAAATGGATTGAAAACTTAACATCCACACAAAAACCCACACAGAGATGTTTATAGCCTCTTCCTTCATAATTGCCAAAACTTGGAAGCAACCAAGACACCCTTCAGTAGGTGAATGGATAATCTATGTACATCCAGAGAATTCAATGTTATTCAGTATTAAAAAGAAATGAGCTATCAAGTCATAAAAAGCATGGAGGAATGTTAAATGCATATTACTAAGCAAAACAAGCCAACCTGAAAAGGCTGTGTTCTATATGACTCCAGCTCTATGACATTCTGGAAAAATCAAAATGATGGAGACAGTGAAAGGATCAGGGATTGCCAGAGGTTGAGGGGAGGGAGGGAGAGAGGAACAGTTGGATCCCAGAGGATTTTTAGGCCAGTGAAACTACTCTGTATGTTGTTATAATGGTAGATACATGTCATTAAGCATTTGTCAAAACCCATTGAATGAACAACAGCAAGAGTGAACCCTAATGTAAACTTGGTCTTTGGATGATAATGATGTGTCAATGTAGATTTATCAATTATAACAAATGTACCATTCTGTGGGGATGTTGATAATAAGGGAGGCTATGCATGTGAGGCAGCAGGGGATATGTGAGAAGTCTCTATTATCTTCCACTCAGTTCTGCTGCAAACCTAAAGGTGCCTTAAAAAATAAAGTGTGTTTAAAAGAATAATAACAATTTAAAAGAGGAGATAAGGAAGAACCTGGCTGCCTGGTGGCAGGAGAAAAAGGTAAAATATGGGGAGAGAGATGTTGATTCATTTTTTAAAAATCTTTCTACATAAGGGTGCGTGCATTTATTTATCAAATATTTATTGTGTGCCATGCTGGGTACTACTTTATTATTATTATTATTATTTTTTTTTTTGAGACAGAGTCTCGCTCTGTTGCCCAGGCTGGAGTACAGTGGTGCGATCTTGGCTCACTGCAACCTCCACCTCCCAGGTTCAAGTGATTCTCCTGCCTCAGCCTCCCAAGTAGCTGGGATTATAGGCACGTGCCACCGTGCCTGGCTAATTTTTGTATTTTTAGTAGAGACAGGGTTTCGCCATGTTGCCAGGCTAGTCATGAACTCCTGACCTTGTGATCTGCCTGCCTCAGCCTCCCAAAGTCCTGGGATTACAGGCATGCGCCACCATGCCCAGCCAAGTGCTGGGTACTATTATCAATAATGGTGATAAATTAGGAAAGAAAACAGACAAGATTCCTACTAGAATGAACATATATCCCACTCACTCTGAGCAACGTCTCATTCAAAACTTTCAGAAGGAGAACGTAATGGGTCTAATTAATCATAGTCCTATGTAGAGATGGACTCTTACATGAGGCTAACTCATTGGCTACTTTCAGCTCAAGTGCCAGTCCCTGTCCAATCACCTATGGCCAGGTGGAAGGCTCACATAACACCAAATATGAAACAAATATGAGGTTCACATGAAACCTCAACAGGAGGATCCAGGGGGATATGTGGACACAGAGGCACTTCAAGTCTTAGAGACGCCACTCCTGGAACATTGTAATCTTAAAATTCAGTCTCAGTTTAAAATAATCAACGGTTACTCTACTCAGATTCCTAAAGGAGCTATCTGACAGGAGCTCAAGGAGAAACATTAAATTTGAGGAGGAAAAAACCCCAGACAAAGAAACCTATAGTTACACAGAATTGGAACAACCAACCCTGCAATTAGATTCAAGTTTCCTTACATCCAAGAGAAGGCTCTGTTAGCACTGGTTACGAGAGAGGCAATTAGGCCCAATCTCCAGCTTTCGGTATCATCTGCTGCCTTTGTGTGAAGTATTGTGATTTTGTACAAGTGAAAAGTATAAACAGACCTCTAAAAAGGTTCCATTAATAAAGGAAATCAAAAGGCAAAGGAAATTTGTATCTGATTCCCTGGTTCTGATTTACTGGGCATCAGTGAACAAACAAGGCTCTTTGATGGTGAGCAGAGGGTGATACTTTGAAATTGCTTTGCCCCTCCGCCCCATCAGATCCCAAAAGGACTGTTTTTCTGGACAGGGGATTTGAGTGGCTCATGTTTCTGGCTGAATGATAATATTTTTGTTATTTTTTGGCTAGTGGAATTGGGTTTGGTTTGACCAGCTAAGACTCCAAACAGTTTGTGTCACTAACAGTTTCTTAGCATAACTGGAATTCTTCCCTTCCATCTGTTGCTGGTTGACTATTTTATTATTGTCCATGATGTCATTATTTTTGCTGCTGTTGATTTGGCATAAACTAACACCATTCCCTCCACACCACGTGTGGCTTATGCAACACACTAAAAAACACAGCTTGGAGAGCTTGACTGATGGACATGCCTGAGTGTGAACCACTAAGTCTGCTTTTCAGCAGTGGCTTCATGGCACATCCTCTCCTTGTGCCTCCCCTTCCTAAATGTAACGCAGGGCCTTCTGAGCTTTGAGCACAAGGCAGAAAAATCCAGAGGTCCACTGATCCTTTTTGTAAATTTCTCATGAGCTTTGAGACATGAGAAGCTATACTGGTCTATGTTGGCTTGAGTCTTCACGGGAGAAGAGAAACTGGCACTTGGCTGAGAGGTTCTGGGCACAAGAAGAACTGCTTTGGGAGCCTGGCACCCAAGTTCCATGTACGCAAGGCAAAGGGACTTCCTTGCCGTTGCAGCAGAGGGGCACAACAGCAGCACAATGCACGGACCACGGCACATTTGTAAAAGAGCCCATGCGCCCATCAGAGTGGCAGGGAATCAGGGATGTTGTGGAAGACTGCAGCAGAAGTACAGCAGAGAGTTGTCATCCTTAAGTGGTTTGCAGGAGACACATTTCAAAAACAAACAAACAAAAAAGTCTTGAGTGAAAAAAACCTAAGAGTTAGCACATATTCTAGCACACGTGAGACATCTCTGCAGGACTCCTGAAAACACTGGGGTCCACCAGGAAGAGGCAAAAGCTATGAGCCTGTATGGTCTAAACATTTGTCTCAAAATGACCCCATTTATACCAAGAAGCTGGTGAGATCTGGGATATTTGGCATACCTAAAGGGATTTGGGTTACTCCCAATAAATAATCAATATTTGTTACAAAGAATAGGGGTAAGAAAATACAGAAGACAAAACCTGTTTCATCATATCACTATTCTTCCAAGATCCAGCCCTACTAAGGTGCCTTGGGTCCTCCTATCCCTATGTTTCTATTTTACAACAAAAATTGTCCTCTGTCCAGAAAGGAGTGTGAAAATCCAATCATAAACATTTGCCATCTCAGTGCTGAAAAGTTAACTTGCTCCAAGTATAGAATTTCTGGCACAATCTTGGAAGAAGAAGGCTGGAAAACTTGACTTCAAGACCTCATATCAGGCTGCCTGGGCAAAATTAAGCAGACCCTGAATTATCCAACCTGCTTTTAGCATCCTCCAGCTATCCCAGCCCGGGCCCTGGGACTCCTGGGTTGAATGAAGCAAGTCCTATGGCTGACAGTCTTGCTATGGGCCACAACTGGGTCCCTGAATGCCAACACTGTCCTGGAGTAGGTGAAGGACTCTGTTTCAGGAGGACTGGGAACAGCAGGAGTATGCATCACTGTTGACAGCCCAAATGCAATGTACAAAGGTTTGACATTAATGAAACTAAATTCTTCAGGATAAGAAAATCAGCCAGATGCCAACTAGTAGGTGGGAAACATAAGTTCTCACCACCCTAGAAGCATTAAATTAAGGTTGAGAGGCTGAACTTGGAATGCCAGCCAAGGCACCATCCTAGGAGGCTGAATTTGGAAATCAATTAAGGGGAAGGAAAGGATGGGAGCCCAGCCATATCCTTGCTGCAGCAGGGAGAGAGCAGGGTTTGACTGACGGTGCTATATTGAGCCCCCGTAGCATATGTGTCTCCATGTCTGTTTTCACTTCATGGAGGAAAATTGCTAGAGAGGAAAGAAAGTCCTAGACTAAGCAGAAAAAAAACTAACTGTTCACAAGGAAACTTCAGAGGGTTTGAGAAGCATGAATGGCAGTCTGGCCAACAGCAGAAGGATTGCTCTTGTTCAGGAGGGGCTGTGACTATGTATTGATCCACCTACACTCTTGGGACACTTCCTTGGTGTCTAATACTTTGAGATCGGGTGACATAACAAGAGGAATTCCTTGTAGAGCAGAGAAGAAATGGTTCTGCTATTTGGAGATCAGCTTCAGAACATTTTCAGATCTGTGCTCCTAACAACTGGGCTAGCAGGCCTTAAGTAAGAAAAATTTGGAGTACAGGAATTCTCTTCTGGACTCCGGGAAGCTGGCAAGGCATCATGGCTATGGTCAAGAATCCAGGGTGCTCAAAGGCTCTGCTGTGCTGCCACCCCATCTGAGCAAAGCCCCAGGCCATTCCTGCACATGGTTTCCATGTTCCATGTCATAGGACCTGAAACCAGTGTTGCATCTGATTGCACCAGGAATTAGCAACAGAGGCAAATACAGACATCCATTGGATGGAGCAGGGAAGACCAAGAGCCATGGAGGTGGTCCCATGGGCTGCTGTATTCTGAAAAGGGATTATTCCATCAGCAGAGGATGTTGTGGGGTACCACCCAGACCTCCCCTCAGGACTGAGGCTCACATTCCCCTAGCTGGTGGGAGTACTGGTAGCCAACAGATGTCAGCTCAGTCCATCTCTGAAAATCACCCTCAGTGAAAGAAAGCCACCTCACCTGCAGTCATACCCCCCACTAAGGGCAGCTCATATCTAATAACAGACCAGTGTCAGAAATATTAAGACCTGAACCTCTTGCTTGAAGGGGATAAATCTGAACACAATTCCAGCTCCAAAGCATCCCCATGGTATTGGCTGAGGCCTCTGTTGAGACTGCGTCAAAGTCCAACATCTCTGCCTCCCAGTACCATTGTCTGCACTCCACCCATAATGCTGATCCCAAAAGCTCTCCCTCAAAAAAGTCCCTGCAGGCAAATCTACACCTGAGAGCCTGTTTCCAGGAAACCCAACCTAAGATGCCATTCAATCTGATCTTTTCTCCTAGGACGGTTGACTTGATGAAGATATTCGGTTGGTGCAAAATTAATCGCGGTTTCTGCCATTAGGTTGGTGCAAAATTAATCGCGGTTTCTGCCATTACTTTTAATGGCAGAAACCGCGATTAATTTTGCACCATCTAAGAGAGAGAGAGAGAGAGAGAATGTTGGAAGTAGTGAGGCACTCAGAGAAAGCAGGAAACAGAAGGCCACAATACAACAGAAGACCCAAGGAAACAGAAGCTGTGAATCTGCAGGAACGAAGATCTGGAGGTAAAGGGAGGTCAGTGCAGCAAGTAGGCAAAGCTGCATCATGAAAATAGCATGACGACTAGATGAGAATGGATTAACCATACTCCACAGACAGCGACAATTGGAGGTTTACAAAAATTTTTCAAACCTCAGCAGACCCACACACACAATTTTTTTAACCTCCAATTATGGTAAGATACCTGTAACATAAAATTCACTACTGCAACAATTTTTAAGTGTGTAGTTCTGTTGGAGCTTTTGCTCTCTTTACTTCATGAGGCACAACAAACCGGTGCCTGAAGCACCTGGAGGGAGTACCTATTTCTGAAAATCCCCAAGCCAATGCATAGGGGATAAGAGCAGACGCACTGAAATTAAGCAGACCTACTGAGGTCTAATTCCCTACTGGGTTTAAATCCTCATTCTGCACCTTTCTACCCACGTGACTTTGGGCAAATGATTAGAACTGACAAGCCTCACTATTCACAATAGCAAAGACATGGAATTGACCTAAGTGCCCATCAATGACAGACTGGATAAAGAAAATGTGGTACCCATACACCATGGAATACTATGCAGCCATAAAAAGGAACGGTATCATGTCCTTTGCAGGGACACAGATGCAGCTGGAGGCCATTATCCTTAGCAAACTAACACAGGAACAGAAAGCCAAATCCTGCATATTCTTACTTATCAAATGGCAGCTCAATTATGAGAACACATAACACATAGAGGGAAATCACACACACTGGGGCCTTTTGGAGGATGAGGAATGGGAGGAGGGGGAGGATGAGGAATGGGAGGAGGGAGAGGATCAGGAAAAATAGCTAATGGGTACCAGACATAATACCTGGGTGGTGAATAACCAGTACAAGAAACACCCATGACACAAGTTCACCTATGTAACAAACCTGCACTTGTACTCCCAAACTTAAACATAAAAGTTAAAAGACAAACAAAAAGAACCAGCCAGGTATGGTAGCTCACACCTGTAAACATAGCCCTTTGGGAGGCTGAGGCGGGAGGATTGCGTGAGGCCAAGAGCTCAAGACCAACCTGGCAAACACAGTAAGACTCCATATCTAATTTTAAAAAATAATAAAATTATTGTATTAAAAAAAATTGACAAGCCCCGATGTCTTCATCTGTATAATGGTGGTGGGAGGCGGGGGCAGGATGGCACAGTGACTAAGAAACACAGCCAGACAGGTCAGACTCTGGTATATACAGAAACAGAATCCTGGGCAAGTTTCTTCACCTCCCTGAGCCTGTTAGATCACCTGCAAAAGTGGAAGATAATAGAACCTTCCTCATAGCATTATACAGGGATAAATGAGATCATCCTTACAACATTCCTAGCATGGTAGCTACTGTATTTTCAGTAGCTTCAACTCTGGTTAAAATGCCCAGAGTGGTATTAGGAAATTGGCTTTGGATTTTTAAATTGTTTCTTTAGTGGAAAGGAATAAGGTCAAGACTTACATCCCTAGGGACAGCACAGAATCTTCTTACCGCTTCCAGAAAAAAGACACCACCCTCCATGTGTGAAAAAGCCATGGTACAAATCAAGCTCTGTCCTCCCACTGTCCCTCCTGTTCAGCTGCAGTGGCTGGAAGCCGAGTCCAGGATTTAGATGGAAGCTTCCGCCTGAGCTTCCCAGCAGGGACTCCCCATGGTCCCAGATTTTGGAGCAATAAATAAGGCTCAGAGGCAACAGACCTAGAAGGGGCGGCCGTCTGGCAGAGCGGCGGGGCAGTGGGGACTAATGGGCCGCCGTGGGTGTCTGAGTCTGTATTTCTGCCCCTGTCATAACAAACAGAGCCACGAATGCCACGAAAAGTCTTCTCTGTGTCCTAGTCCTCCTCCCTTCCACCTGCCCCAATGGCCTTTCTCCTAATTTTTCTTTCTTCTTCACAAGCCCTTTGCGGTTCTACTCCCCATATCACTGGCTACATCACCTGCCAGCCTCTCCTGTACCCCTATACCCCTGTATCAGTCATTCTGTCTCTCCTTTCCTCTTTCTCTCTCCCCTCTTCCTCTCCCCTCTTCTCTACCTCCTCCCTCTCCCTTTATCTTCTCTTGCTTCTCTCTTCATCTCTCTCTCTTCTTTCTCTCCTTCTCTTCCTCTATCCTCCTCCTCTCCCTCTCCGTCTCTCTACCCCTCTCTCCCCCTCTCTCTGCTTCTCTTCCTCCCTCTCTTTCTCCCCCTCTACCCCCTCTCTCCCCTCCTCCTCTCTCTCTTCCTCTCTTTCTCTCCCTCCACCCCTCCATCTTTTTTTTTTTTTTTTTTGAGACAGAGTCTCACTCTGTTGCCCAGGCTGGAGTGCAGTGGCGTGATCTCGGCTCACCACAACCTCCGCCTCCTGGGTTCAAGCGATTCTCCTGCCTCAGCCTCCCGAGTAGCTGAGACTACAGGCATCTGCCACCATGCCCAGCTAATTTTTGTATTTTTAATAGAGATGGGGTTTCCCTATGTTGGCCAGGCTGATCTCGAACTCCTGACCTCGTGATCCACCCGTCTCATCCTCCCAAAGTGCTGGGATTACAGGTGTGAGCCACAGCACCCCGCCAACACCCCTCCCTCTCTTACTGTTCCTGTTTCTTTCACTCTGCCTTTCTTTGCTTTTCCCTGTCATCCTCGCTGGTGTTTTTCTGTTGTTCCTTCTTCATCTCTCTTGAGCTCCATCTGACTATCTGTCTTAACTCTGCATCTCTGGGTCTTTCTGCCTCTGGCTCTGTTGCTCAGTTCTCTATGTAGCTCTTTGTCTCTTTGGCTTTACCTCTTGGTCTTTCTCTCATTTGCCTCTGTGTGTCTCTCTTTCAGGTCAGGAAAGAGGACAGGTGAGTGCTCTGGTCTGGTACATCCCCATGTGCCTCTGAGTCTTTCACCACATCCAGGGCCGACTCAGCTACCTGGCATCTGGGCCTGCTGGAGTGCTCAGTGAGGGAAAAGGCACCTGAAGATCTGCCTGCTGAGTGGGCTCAACCCCCAGGCCAGTCTGTCCCAGACAGTGGCCACTTCCCTCTGCCATCATTGTCAGAATAGACAGCATAAGAGTTTGAGAGGTGGCCAAGCCCTCAGTCTACCCACCCCAGCCAGGTGAGCAAAAGAGGGAGACAGAGCCCTGCAGCATTGGGATCCTACTGGGATCCCAGTTTGCCGTTCTCCATGAGCTGGGCTGCTGCTTCTTGACTAGCAGTGAGAGGTGCAGGAAAAAGGAACTTAATTTACACAGAGACCTAGGAATCAGGAGTCAGGCTACTTCACCAACCTGCTCGCTGCGTGACCTCATGAAAGTCTCTTGCCTTCTCTGGTTCTCAATCTCTTGTCTGTAAAATGAGGCTCTCTAGCCTTATCGCTAGCAAATATTTAAGAACATGGATCTGGGACAGTCACCCCCAGGTCCCTCCAGGGCAGACAATGAACCAGGATGCCTCTGTACAGTCTCGTCAGCTATTAACATGTTGAAATAATTCTACTGGTTAGAGTTATTTCCCTGAACTCCCAGAGTCACTCCCATCACTCTGGGCCCTCCTTCTAATCCCTACGGATTAGGAACTAACTCTTAATATCTGGCAGGGCCAAGGGTGTCCTAGACCTTTCATTGCCATTGCTTCTCAGTTTGTTAAAAAAATAAAATAAAATAAGACCGAGTTTCACTCTGTTACCCAGACTGGAGTGCAGTGGTGCAATCTCGGCTCACTGCAACCTCCACCTCCTGGGTTCAAGCAATTCTCCTGCCTCAGCCTCCCAAGTAGCTGGAATCACAGGCATGCACCACCATGTCCATCGAATTTTTGTATTTTTGTAGAGATGGGGTTTCACCACGTTGGCCAGACTGGTCTCGAACTCCTTGCCTCAAGAGATCCACCTGCCTCAGCCTCCCAAAGTGCTGGGATTACTACAGGCATGACCCACCATGCCTGGTCTAAAAAAAATTTTTTTTTTTAGTATCATCCCTGTTTCTACCACTCTATACCTTCAGGATAACAACAGATTTGATCTCTTAGCATTGCTGTCATATTAAATGAAGTGATACATATAAAGCCTTTAGCACAGTGCTGGGCACACAGCAAGTACTGAGTAAGCAGCAGCTAATATTATTAGGAGACAAATAAAGAAAGATTGTCCAGCCTAATAGAAGTGATCATGATTTGAAAAAGTAATGACAACAAGTACTTCCAGTAATGCTAATACTTAGTGGGTACTTGCTCTGTGCCAGGTGCTATTTTAAGTACTTCAAATGTAGTAACTCTTTTAATCTTCATATCAAACCTTGAAGTAGATACTATTATTATGCCTATTTTACTCAAAAGCAAGAGAACAATTCTGAAGAGATGAGACCCCAGAAGAGAAGCAGACTGTGACCCTAAACACTATAGGTCAATGCAACATCCTGGAATTTGACTAGTTGTTATGGAATGACTTGTGTCTAACCCTCAAAAGATTCATATGTTGAATTCTTAATCCTTAGTACCTCAGAATGTAACCATATTTAGAGATAGGCTCTTTACAGGGTTATTTTTATGATGTCATTAGGATGGGCCCTAATCTGATATGACTAGTGTTTTTTTGTTTGTTTTTGTTGTTGTTGTTGTTGTTTTTGAGACAGAGTCTTGCCCTGTTGCCCAGGCTGGAGTTCAGTGTCACAATCTCAGCTCACTGCAACCTCTGCATCCCAGGCTCGAGCAATTCTCCTGCCTCAGCCTCCCAAGTAGCTGGGATTATAGGCACACAGCACTATACCTGGTGTTTTTTTGTTGTTGTTGTTTTTTGTTTCTTAGTAGAGACAGGGTTTCACCGTGTTGGCCAGGTGGCCTCAAATTCCTGACCTCAAGTGATCCACCTGCCTCAGCCTCCCAAAGTGCTGGGATTACAGGCATGAGCCACCACACCCGGCCGACTGGTGTCTTGATAACAAGAGGAAATTTGGACACAAACAAACAGAGAGATGATGACGTGAGGGCATGGGGGAAGACGGCCACCTACAAGTCAAAGAGGGAAGCTGGGAACAGACCTTTCCCTCATGGCCCTCAGAAGGAACCAACCCTGCTGACGCCTTGACCTTGGACTTCTGGCCTCCAAAATTGTGAAGAAATAACTTTATTTGGCTTACCCAAGGTTGTGGTACTAGGATACTAACATGCCAGCCAAAAGCACATCTCATCCATCTCCAAGGAACAGGAGGAAAGAAGAAAGAACCTTTGTCTTCTTTCTCTAAGGGACCAACCCCTGGTATGCTCTTTGGCCTCTTCAGTTTGGCACTGAGACCCTTCACCTTAGCCCGTAAACCATCCAAGCAGAAAGACCTCCTGGCACAGTCTAGCATTGTAAATTTTGACCATGAATATTACTTCCACCCGTAGCCACTTCGTTTAAGTCTGTTAGCATTTAGTATGTAGAATACTCAAGCCTGTATTTCATCAACAAGTATTTATAGAACCTCTACCCTGGCCCAGGCACTGCATTTTAAAGAAAAGTGTATGCTTAGCTTCATTTAACAGCCTACAGTAGACATTACTAATGTTGACTGATATCCAATTCTTTTCTTTTTCTTTTTTTTTCTTTTTTTTTTGAGACAGTGTCTTACTCTGTCATCCAGGCTGGAATACAGGGATATGATATGATCATAGCTCATTGCAGCCTCAAACTTCTGGGCTCAAGCAGTCCTCCCACCTCAACCTCCAGAGTAGCTGGAACTACAAGTACATGTCACTGTGCCCAGCTTCTTTTTTTTTTTTCTTTTTTTTTTTTTTTTTTGTAGAGACAGGGTCTTGCTTTGTCACTCAGGCTGGTCTTGAACTCCTGGGCTCAAGTGATTTCCCACCTTGGCCTCCCAAAGCACTGGGATTACAGGCATAAGATACTGTGCCTGGCCCCTCTCCTTTTAGACACACAGGAGACTAGCCTGACTTGTATCTAGAAGAGGTCATATGACTAATTCTGACCAATGGGCTTTGAGTAGAAATGACCTGTATCACTTCCAAATTCAAGCACTTAATTGCTGATGGGAGACCCTTCAGGCCCACTTAGCTTATTAGGAGAGTCATAGGGCCACCATGAACCTGACTTTCATCAGATTGCCACATGAGCAAGAAATAAACTTATTTTAAATTACTAAAATCAGCTGTGGTTTGATTCAAGAGCATAACTTACTCTGAAAAGTCAGCATCTTAATGAAGACAACAACCTATAAATATTTTATTTCTTATATGACATGTGGTTTGATTGTTGAGGGTGTTTGGGATTTTGTTGTTTGGATTTTTTTTTTTTTTTTTTGCAGTTTTTCTTTGGGGGAGACTACATTTACTCAGTTGTTACTATGTACCAGCCACTGTACTTTATATTCATTGTCTCAGTGAATCCCCTATGGGAAAGAATTTTTCCATTTATTCAGTCATTCCATAAATATTTATTGAGTGCCAACCAGGAGCTAGGCACTGAGAATAAATGGGGAAGGAGATAGATATGGTTGTCCCTAACCTCACGGTGCTTACAGCGCAGTGTGATACAGGGAGCTGGGGAAGACGTAATCAAATAATCTAATAAAAAAGTGTACCCATGCAAGCTGTAACCGGGTCTCTGGGAGAATAAACACAGTCCTGTGAGCATGCATAACAAGAGTCCAACCTGGGCTGAGGTTGAGGGTGACATATTAAGGAAAGCATCCCAGAATAAAGGTCTGAAGAATGAAGTAGGATAAGCCTAGGCTAATAGCATTGTTATTCCCTTTACTGTTGAGAAAACTAATTTCCCTACAATGCAGTCTATAACAAGCAGAGCTAGGGTTTAAACCAAGGTCTATCTAAATCCAAAGTCAATTCCCTAAACCACTGTACTATAGATGTATCTTTGTACTCAGAGGTAACTGAATTGTTCAGTATTTAAGATAATTATTCAGATATTCAAGCACTACCCTCATCAGAGGATACTTTAGTCTCAGTATTTTAAGTATATCTGGAATTGTTGGGTTTGAGTTGTCTTCTAAATTGCCCAGCCACATGAGTATGTAGATATATTTTCAATGTTTGAATAAATATATTTGGGGTGGAGTCAAATATGCCATTGCCTAAGTCATTTTAAAAAGACATAGAGCCAGTTGTGGTAGCTCACACCTTTAATCCCAGCACTTTGGGAGGATAAGGCAGGCTAATCGCTTGAGCCCAACAGTTTGAAACCAGTCTGGGCAACTCAGTAGGTCCCCGTCTCTATAAAAAATGCAAAAATTAGCCGGGTGTGGTGGCACGCACCTGTAGTCCCAGTTACTCAGGAGGCTGAGGTGGGAGGATCTCTTGAGCCCAGGAGGTCAAGGCTGCAGTGAGCTGTGATCACACCACTGCATTCCAGCTGGGGCAACACTGCGAGACCCTGTCTAAAAAATAAAAATAAAAAAAGACAGAAAATGTAAATAACTGAAAGTAGCATCAGCTAAACCAGCAATAAAAACAGCAATTAGAATCAATTTTCAAGCCACAATCAAAAAACTCCGCCCCACATCCCACACATCTCTTCAAAACAGATGATAAGTTAATTCCCAGCTCCTTTCAATTCATATTGTGTGTTCTCCAAAGGAATTCTACAGCACAGCATATAAGTATGGATAATTTCACCATGCTTATGAAGCATTTTGGAAGTTAAAAATTGCGGTTGGAGGAACAGGACAGTTGCTAGAAAAGATACGAAGGCAGAAGTTGTAAAATGGAAGAAAAAGATGAAAACTGGAAATCAAGATTCTCCCCGTTGCCAATCCCAGTTTTTTTAGACTCTGATTAAGCTAGTAGACATTTTCATTGAATTCTTTTTAAAAAAAAAAAAAAAAAAAAAAAAAAAAAAAAAGCACAAAGTCAAAAACCTTGAGCATAAATGTTTATCAGTTAGGGGTCTTTGGTTGCAATCAACAGCAACTGACTAAAACAGAAAAGGAATTTATTAAAAGGAGCTCATTAGTGGGGAGACTGAAGAACTAGGATTTAAACAGACAGATGCTCCTGGTAGAAGAAATTGTTCATTATTATCACCTAAGTTCTCCCCCATCCCTCAACAACTGGATTGAATCATCAGCCATGGAATCTTGTAACTGTATCCTTCTATGCAAAATTCCATATCCTAGATCGCATGCCTGTCCCTGGTCTAGTCCAGAAGGTTGATAGGAACCATGGATTATTAATCCACTAAGACTGCATTTTAGGGAGAGATAATTCCCCCAAAAGGCAGATTGGGTTTCTTAGGAAGGGGGAATAGAAAACAGGCAGCTGAGAGTGAGAGGGAGGGGAAGGGGAAGGGGAAGGGGAAGGGGAAGGGGGAGAGGAAGGGGGAAGGGGAAGGGGAAGGAGAAGGGGGAAGGGGAAGGGAGAAGGGGGAAGCAGGAAGGGAAGATAAATGCCTCTACTTCCATCTGCTACTACATTTTACACTGAGTCTGATGAAATGGAGACTCAGAGGTTCAGCAGGTCTCCTGCAGAACCAGAATTCAACCCCAGGTAAATACAGAGCACTTCCCACTACTCCGCACTGACACTCATACGATATGCTCCTAGAAAACCGTTGCGCTCTCTCTTTCTCTAAAACTCAAATGTAAATACAGGACATCTGTTTTATTATATATGCCAAGTGGCAGAAACACAGCAGTAGGCAAGGTATTCATAGGCTTCCCCATAGAACTCACAGTGTGACATTTTGGCCAGGAAGCCTCTTATAGGAAACACACAAGACCTCTCCAACATATGGATGGCATGAGGAGGTTATAAGGTGGAGCTTTCCCTCTGCTATGTCCACGTCATCCATGACCCTCTCTCTCCCAAACTAACCATCTCAGTCAAACTAAGCTCATATAGAAATCATTCCACATTGTACCCATAATCATTCTGTCTTCCCTTTCCCACCAGCTTGTGTCATGAATTCCACCTGTCCTCTGCATTGCACAGCATGACCTCTTATATATCCGGAACACAGAAGCACCTCATATGAGTAAGGAAAGCAAGCACTTTGTATTCCATAAGGAATGGGGGGCATGGTGAATTGGTCTTGCCTTTCAGGAAGGCAATTTGCAACCTTGTATCAAGAATGTTAATGTTCACATCCTCTTGCCCCACCATTCTAATTCCAAACATCTGTCCTAAGGAAACAATGAATTATGTCAATGCTCAAAGCAGCATTATTTATCAAACTACAAATCAGCAACACCCTAAATGTAGAAGTATGTAAGGAAATCATAACTGTCGCTAACATGGAGACTTACAGGTATTGTGCTGATCCTATTTGTGATGACCAGAAAAATGCGTCTCATAGACTTCCAGCTACAGAGAGTATAATTGACCAAAATCCCAAGAGCTTCCTGAAAATCTATTATTGCATTTGCACAGAGGCCATGCTTCCCATGGACTGCATCCAACTAACGTCTGAGAACAGCAGGAATACCAAGACAAGCCCCTTTCCTGGGAAGTGAGAGACTCCTCTAACAGCCAAGTTTGGTTCAAGAACTCCCTGGTGGTCTTGTGAACCTTCCTTACACAGCATGACAGTCTAGGACACTTCCACCCAACATTTGTCCCTCTCTCCTTCACTTGGGGGTCAGACTTGCACTGTGGTCTGATGTCTCCTCCAACCTTCTCTAGCTCCCTCACCATTTTCTTTCAAAGGCATTTTCCATAATGAAATCCATGCATATTTGACCTTGTCTTGCTGTCTGCTTCTCAGAGGACTGGGACTAATACAAGCGAGGCCAGCAGTGGTGCAAGAAAACAAGCGGTAACATGGGAATTTAAGACTGGCTCACCCACTGCCCAGCAGGTGAAGATGGTGTCCTGACTGGTAGATGGAACATGGTTAGTCCTTGACCAAAGGTGGTGGCTCGGTTGCTAAAAATTTTGCTGGGACATAGAAGAATATCCCAGTGGGAGGAAATGCTGTATCAAATGTAGTGATATAAGCAATTGGAAAATATGGAGCCAACCATGCTTCAAAGTCAGGAGAGTTGGCTGGTTACTACCTAGTGGTATTGATGCCCTGCAGAAAAATACTGACAGACTGAAGGCTATTATCAAACAATTAATGGTAAAGCGAGGCCCAGAGAGCCTCTGTGGTAGCTAGCAAAAAAAAAAAAAAAAAAAAGAAAGAAAGAAAAAGAAAAAAAAACAAACTGTGTTCTCTAATGGAAGGGCAGAGTGAGCTGAAAGGCAGACTGATGACCTGATTGTTATAGTTGCAGCACTTCAGAGATGTTTGAGTGCTCAACCAAGGTAGGCCTGTTATTTAAAGGTCAGGGTTCTAGTGGGAAAAACTTGAGATTTTAAAATATGAGACAGAGACAGCTGGATGGATGCTGCTGAGAATACAGATTCTGCAACACTGCCCTGCCTGCTCTGCCTCCATACTCTCTGGGTTTGTACAGGTAGCTGGCTCTTCCCTAGTAGGAGCTCCACTGTGCTGAAAGATGCTTTAGAAGCCTCTACCTGGCAAGGCAACAGCTAACCCCTTCAAAAGCCTCCCTTAACTTCTCTCCTGGATACCAGGCCGATAACCATGGCTAAATCCCAGGAAAACCCAGCTGGAGACATGCTGGCCTGGTAAAAGAGAAAAGAGTCTATACATCTAAAGAATGTAAATAGTTATGTAGCATGTGCAGGACCATGTTGTTTCCCCAAGATCGCCCCCAGTCAATGTCCAAGCACGGCAGGGATCCCAAGACAGACTGGTTTCCTAGAAGACATTTAATTACTGTGATTAATAAGAATATAGAGATTGAGATGCAGATAGGGATAGAGATGGAGATGGAGAGACATAATGTAAATTCAACCTTCTGTATAATTCACATTTACATGCACACATACGAAAAAGTACAGGAATCCAAAAGAAATTACTGAAAATCCACAAAAGACATTTTTAAGAATGTTTGTTTTTTATTCATAATAGCTAAAAACTGAAAACAACTCAACAGTCATCAATGGATAAGTAATAGTATAAAAGATAATGAAATACTATACATCAATGAAAAAGACTATAGCTATATGAAGCAAGCTAGGTGAATCTTGCAAATATAATATTGAGTGAGAGAAGCCAGACCTACAGAGGATATTCTGTAGGAGTCCATTTATATTAAGTTTAAAAATCATCAAATCTATTGTGAGAAGAACCAGAATAATAGTACCTTGTACTACGAGGGAGGCAGAGAGGTGAGTACTGACTAGAAAACAGCATGAAGGAAGGAAATTTACTGGAAATGTTCGTTATCTTCATCTAGGTGGTGGTTACATGGAGATATAGATAGAAATTCATTTTAAGTTGGATACTTAAATTTTGTGTACTTTATCACATTATTATACTTCAGAAGTTTAAAACGAAATAAAAAGAAGAAAATACACCAAAATGTTAACTGGCTATCTCTTGTTGATGGAATTAAGGAGAACTTAAAATTTCTTCATTGCAATTTTCTGCATTTTCCTAATTTTCTGCAAAGAGGATATTTGTCAGAAAGCAGAAACAATAAAAGTTACTCTTTAGAAGGGACATACATCATGAAGTGATGTGCAAACTTCACTTGCTGCCAGCTGCCAGGTACTTTGCATGCAAAGCCAGTATCATAAAACGTCTGGGCCACAGAAATATTATTCTTTGTCCTGGTTTTGACCACTTCATCACAATCCTAAAGCAATAACAGCATTGACAATATCATTGAGTAACTCTCCCTACAGTAATATTCTCTAGAAATTAAAACTCGAGTCTGTAATTTGGAATCCAAAAGCCACGGTACTTTAAGTATTTAGCCCTACTCTGTATTGTTTCTTGAAAATTCCCAACAATGTCTCAGATCAAACCACAATTATAGACCTTTAAACGTAAAGCCATTATTATGTCTGGGCAAATGCCTTGATTCCACTTGCATTTCAATAGTTGTTTTCTGATATTGAAGTTACTAATGCTTTTGTCGATCCTTAATGACTATTCTTAGCAAACAAATTTTGTGCCTTACAATTAGTGATTTTCTTCATAATTATAGCTTTTTACAATTTTCACATGAGATGACAAAAAATTCATGTTTTGCCCAAGAACCAGCTTATTAGTTAATGAAAATGTGTCTAATAGCAGCCTTTTAGATACCCTGTCAGAATCAAAAGCAGCATTCAGAGAAGAGAGAGGTTGCTTTCATATTAACATTCAAAATTAATTTCTGGGTAGGGGTTGGAAATGAGACGTAGGAGGCATAATTTCTTCCAAAAAGATTAAAATATATATTCTTTCTGAAGTCCATGGAACTTGTTAAATCAATCAATCTCTCTTTTTCTCTCTCTCTCTCTCTCTCTCTCTCTCTGTTTTTCCTTGTTGTGTGTCCTTTCCTTTGCCTCTGCTCTGTACCCATCCCCTGGGATTTAAACTGAAGAATAAGAAAGGACTAATCTCTGGAGTTAGTATCTCGTGATTTCAATATTTCTCTAAAATCAACCCTCAGGGTACCTAACTCTTCAGGTAGAGTTCGACTATTTAAATTCACTTCTACTCTCCACCACTCCTCCAAACTGTCCTCCCAAGTGTATTTGGTAAGCTACTTTCACTGGCAAGGACACGCTGACCTAAGACAACTCTCCTACCTGTTCTTTGATTTTTGAACCATAAATACGGCATGCTGGGAACATAATCTAATATCATCCCGCAAACAAGCATCCCTATTTTCTCTGGCAGATGCAGTCTGGTTCACTTGGCTGGGTTTGCTAATAATATGAAAGGAAAGTGAACTTCATCAAAAAGTAGTAACTCATTTTTCTCATCCAGTAAAACCCATAAAAGATTTAGGCACAGCCCAAACAATTTACATCTTAAATATTCATGCCCTAGTCCCAGCCCCCAAAATGACATTTAAATTGTGTCTGGGGAATTTGTTGTGAGCTAACTGCCATGGCCCACTTTGGAGGGCTTCAAAGACTAGGGGAGAGAGAGAGACAGAGGAATATTCAGACCTGTTTTCCATTTCAGAGATTTACGAGGTAGCAAATGAAATTCGCTCCTGCTCTCAGATGCTCCCCTGGGAAAGGATACATTCTCTGAATCTAGTAAATAAGGAGCTCAATATCAGCAAAGACTATGGTGGATGAAATTAATGTTCAAGTGATCCTGGAGTTTCTCAGACAGGTTCTTTTGCGGCCAAGTTTCTCAATCTCAGTACTATTGGCATTTGGGGCTGCATAATTCTTTATTGTAGGGACTATTCTGTGCACTGTAGGATGTTTAGCAGCATCACTGACCTCTACAAACTAGATGCCAGGAGTACCTTCTCCCTAGTTGCGACAACCAAAAATGTCTCCAGAAATTGCCACATGCCCCCTTGGTGGGGAGGGACAGGGATGAGGATCTCCTTTGGTTGAGAACTAGTATTTCAAAGGCAAATAAGTCTTATCCCTGTTTCATCCTAAACTTTAATGAGTTTATCTGTTTTTTTTTTTTGCCTTTGGACTTATTGACAAATAACATGCACACAGAAAAGTGCATGAATTATAAGTACTCAGCTCAAGGAATTGTAATCTGGATATTCTTATACTACCAGAACCCAACTCAAGAAACAGAACATCGCCAGCTCTCCAGACACTCACTGTGAACCTCCTTCCCTCCTTCCACCTATGGGCACAGGTGAGAGGTTGGAGTGGGTGAGTACAGATGCCAGAATGTGGGGAGATGAGATTATGGGAGTCAGTGTGAATTCCCTTCTGGTTCCTTTATTTCTCTGAAAGAGCAAAGAAACATGGTCATCAGCTGAGAGTAAGAATGGGAAGGAGATGGGGTTTGAGAAGAAAAGAGACATGTAAAATAGGTGTTGAAGAAAGTGAGAGATGCTATAGAAAACATTATGGAGATTCCTTCTCCCTCAAAAAATTTGAGCTACCATACAATCCAGTAATCCCACTATTGAGTATTTATCCAAAAGAATTGAAATCAGGATCTCAAAGAGATATTAACACTCCAATGTATACTGCAGCCCTACTCGCAATAGCCAAGATGTGGAGACAACCTAAATGTCCCCTGATGTATGAATGGATAAAGAAAATGTGGTATATACATACACTTAAAAACAAATGGCCAGGTGCAGTGGCTCAAGCTTGTAATCCCCGCACTTTGGGAGGCCGAGGTGGATGGATCACAAGGTCAGGAGATCGAGACCATCCTGGCTAGCACAGTGAAACCCCATCTCTACTAAAAATATAAAAAATTAACTTTGGGAGGCCGAGGCGGGCGGATCACGAGGTCAGGAGATCGAGACCATCCTGGCTAACACGGTGAAACCCCGTCTCTACTAAAAATACAAAAAATTAGCCGGGCGTGGTAGCTGGCGCCTGTAGTCCCAGCTACTCGGGAGGCTGAGGCAGGAGAATGGCGTGAACCCGGGAGGCGGAGCTTGCAGTGAGCCGAGATCGCGCCACTGCACTCCAGCCTGGGCGACAGAGCGAGACTCCGTCTCAAAAAAAAAAAATTAGCTGGGCATAGTGGTGGGCACCTGTAGTCCCAGCTACTCAGGAGGCTGAGGCAGGAGAATGGCGTGAACCCGGGAGGCGGAGGTTGCAGTGAGCTGAGATCGCGCCACTGCACTCCAGCCTGGGCGACAGAGTGAGACTCCATCTCAAAAAATAAATAAATAAATAAAAACAAGGAAATTCTGCAATATCCAATATGGATGAATCATAAGGATATTTTGCTTAGTGAAATAAGCCAGTCACAAAAAGACAAATATTGCATGAGTGTAGGTGCAGATATATCATATTGTTTATGGCAGGAAATTAGAGTAGTCAAATGCATAGAGACATTAAGTAGAATGGTAGTTGCCAGGGGCTGGAGGAAGGGGGAAAGAGGAAGCTGCTAACCAATAAAGTCTCAATCATGCAGGACAAATACGTTCTAGAGATCTGCTGAACTTTGTGCCAATCATTAACAATGCTGTATTGTACACCTAGACAGTTCCTAAGAGGGTAGATCTTGGGTTAAACATTCTCACCACAATAAAATAAATTTTTAAAGAAACGAAAAAGCAAGATGCAGAATGAATGGGCTAGGAAAGTGCAGTGTGATCTCCTGGCAGTGTTAACGGGTCATTCGAGGTTCCTGGCAAGGTCGGAGTAGTTTTGTATGTTTCTCCAGCCGTGTTCAGTTTCTCAAGGGCAGGTACAGAGTAGGCAGAGAGATGAATTTAACCGGGATTGTGACCATGCCAAGCAAACAACGCAAGAGAGGGACACAGGAATCACGAGTGTGGACAAGGGGATGGTGATAGTAATTGGCAATGGCTTAGAGTCGGGAAAGGTGGTGAGAGAAGACATCAAGGGGGTGGATACAGGAGATCAATGGTTTAGAACTCCACATAAATAATCACAGGTGGAAAGAAGAGCATAAATCTTTAACTCTTGGTTCCACCACTTCCAAGCTGCGGGGCTTTGGGAAAGCTACTAAACCTCCCTAATCCCTCACTTATTAAAGCACCATCATAAAAGAACCTGCCTCCTAGAGTGATCTGGTAAGGACCAAATGAGATCACATTGTTCAGATGCTTAGAACAGTAGTTCTCCAAGCATGGTGCCTGGACCACCAGCATCAGCATCACCCCAAAATGTGTTAGAAAGACACATCCTCAGGCTCTTCCCCAGACACATTCTAAATCAGAAACTGTGGGGGTCTTATTAATTATCATTTTCATTATAATCATAATTATTGTGCAATAGCTCTCTAGTACAACTGTTGATTACAATAATAAATATTTATTATACTTAATAAGTTTTCAGGCAATAAACTAAGCATTTTGCATGCATTATTTCAGCTAATCCTATCAATAATCTCTGAGGCAGATTTTGCTATTATTCCCAATATACAGATGATTAAACTGAGGTTCTATAAATTGAGCACTTTGCTGAAGGTCACACAAGCAGTAAGTGGCAAGATTAGGATTCAAATTCAAGGTTTGCAGCAGCCCTGAAAATTAACATTTCTCTTTCAAACTTGAGTGTTAGTCTTTTCAATCACGGGAAAAAAGTAAACTGTTAACAATAACAAGAATGTCATTGAAAATTTTTTGAAAAAAATTTAAATGGCATTGAGCTTGATAACCAAGTACAGTGGCATTTAGACAGCCCTATTATCTATTATAATAATATTAAGGCCTCCAATAAATCACCCAAGAACTTAATTACAAGGTAACTTTCACAGTATCTTACCTGGATACCAAAATCATACAATTTACAATTTTTTAAATAAAGTAACCAATCAAATTTAATATATATGAAAAGCCACTCAACTTCTGCAACAAATTAAAGCAATAAAGTTCAAAGCAACACATATCATTTTTCACTTAACAAAGATAAAATGCCAAAAGAGCAGGGGTGGAGTTGTAGAAAACATTTCATTGGTTAGCAATTAGGCAACATCTATCAAAATCCCTTGTCATGGTAATTTCAGTTCAAGACCAAAATTACAGAATTCTAGAACCTAAAGGGACTTCATTATCAATGTACAGATTAATTCTATCATTTTCTAAATGACAAAAACAATGAGGCACAAGAAGCTACCCAAGATCACACAACCAAACATTGATAAATACCTTTTATTTTTTCTCTAGATTTTCCCTATAATATATGGTTCAGGAGCTCTAGTCCTGCATTTAAAATATCCTATCTTCAGGAAGAGTCCAATATTCTTAATTCCTAAATTTTTATGTAACATGTTTGCCAACTCTTCATTATCCCAGGACTATTGAAGGAAATACTGATTCACCAATTGGGTTGACCAAGAGTATAATGTCAGAATTGAACAAGTTACCTTTAAAACCCATGACTTGTGCTCATTACTTTTAGGTAAAAAGTCATTTTCATATATAACAGGCTAAACTTACATGGTAAAATGTACATGGTACTTTGTTGTTCTCTAAAATATAAGCTTCTGAGATACAGTAATCCTATCTTTGTCTCTTCCTTCAGCACCTCGGACAGTGCTCACCACCTAGTAAGGGCTCAATGAATTCAATCATTAACTGAAAAGAAATAAACTAGCCACCCATAATACCTATTGTTTCAAGAAGAGTTAGGAATTTGAAATATTTTTTAAAAATTTATGAGTTACTCCATACATCAAAAGTATTCACGAAAGACTGGGCATGGTGGCTCACACCTGTAATCTCAGCACTTTGGGAGGCCAAGGTGGGCAGATCACTTGAGGCCAGGAGTTCGAGACCAGCCTGGCCAACACAGTAAAACCCAGTCTGTACTAAAAATACAAAAAAAAAAAAAAATAGCTGGCCATGGTGGTGCATGCCTGTAGTCCCAGATGCTCAGCAGACTGAGGCACAAGAATCCCTTGAGCCCAGGAGGCAGAGGTTGTAGTGAGTGGAGACAGCACCACCACACTCCAGCCTGAGTGACAGAAAGAGACTCTGTGTCAAAAAAATTAAAAGAAAAAAATAAAAATTTTAAAAGTATTCATGAAAAATAGGATGTAAGACAACACAGTTCACCTAAAGTGAATGTCAAGTGGCTCTAATCCCTGGGCTCTGGAAATTCACAACCTGGCTCACAGCATCTATTCCCTGAGCCACTCACTCTTTCCACATATACCAGCCAGTTTTGCCTCCCTGTGGGGATGTCTTTGGGCTCAGTCCAGCTGCCCACCAAATCCCATGGCTCAAATTGAGGAGCCTATATATTTTGTCCTTTAGTAAGAAAGTCAACTTTTACCAAGGAAAGTTCATTCTACTCATGTGGGAAGTACCACTGGAAATCCACTTTGTTGTCTCCTAGGTATTAGGAGGAAGAAAATGGAAATAGATGTCTTTTTGATATTTTAGGGGATGGCCATACCCCGCAGTCAGATTTTCCTTCTTAAGACAGGAAAGAACCAAGTCTCTGTTTCTAAGAGATCATAAGAACATAAATGAGCATAGCTCAATGCACTGTTAGTAAAGGCACAACCATTATCCCTTTGTTTCCAATCTGCTAGACCTCTCTCTTTATGATGCCCCTAGCACCAAAAATCTACTTCAGTCACATGCAAGCCATATAAGCACCATCTAAGAGAAGTTAAGGGCAGTCTAATGGAAACTCCCTTGAGCTGAGTCCCAGATATGCCTCTTACTAGCTGTGTGACCTTTAGCATATCACTTCACTTCTGTAAGCCTTCACTTCCTCTGTGGCAAAACAAAGATAATATGAGTACCCACCTTATAGGACTACGGTAAGCCCTACGTGAGATGACATGTGCAAATGCTCAATAAATTGCCATTCTTATTGACACTACTCTAGTCAGTCAACTATGAACATTGTCCTCACTGCTCTTGTTCAACCCCATGCTGATGTATTTGATCACATTTTCCTCTTTTTCCTTGAGGGCCTTCTTCTCCATAGCAACACACTGTTGGTAAAGGCACAACCATCACCCCTTTATTTCTAATCCGCTGGTCCTATCTCCTTATGATGCTTCCAGCACCAAAAAACTATTTCAGTCACATGCAATCTATCCAAGCACCATCTAAGAGAAGTTAAGGGCAGTCTAGTAGAAATTCCCTTGAGTTCAGTCCATGGCACATCACTAACTCCATGGTTTCAAGCTTTACAGAATCCTTCTCTAACCACCTCAATGAATAATAAGAATGTCAGCTCATATTTACTGAGGGCTTACTATGTACATGGCACTTGCTAAACATGTGCTGTCTTAAATCCTCACACACCCCTGCAATGTACCTTCCATTGTGAACTCCATTTTATAGATGTAAACACTGATCCTCAGACGGTGAAGTGGTTTTCCCAAGATCACACCAGTAATAAGTAATGGAGCTACGATTCATACCCAGGCAGTCTGCCTCCAGAGCCTTATATCCAATCCAGTCCTCTACAACCTTCTCTCTTCTTTCAGATATCTATATATAACACACCTGAGCCTCACTGTTTTCTAAGTTTCCATACAGGCCAATATTCAATCTTGAACTGAACTACTTGGTCCTTGAATGCAGTCATCTTTCCTGTCCTGGGGTCTAGCCTAGCACTAGTCTGATCCCACATACCTAGTAAGTCCTTCTTAAACAACTCAAACTACTTCATCCTGTCTAGCCAGCAGCCACAAGTTAAGCAAACTACAATCATTGAAGACGACCTCATTTCTCACCACTCTCCCGTACTCGCTCTCTCTCTCTAGTCCCACCACACTTGGCCTTGTTGCTCTTCCTAAAACATACTGGGAATTCTCCACTTGCTGAGTTTGCTTCCCGTAATGTTCTTCCCACAGATATCTACATGGTTCACTCTCTTGCCTCTTCAAGTCTTTGCTCAAAATTCTTCTGTTGCAGAAAGCCTTCTCTGACCTCCCTGTTTTAAATAGAAACCTCCTCCATTTCTTCTCTGCTTTTGCTATCTATTTCCTTTGCTTAATTTACTTCATTAAACTTATCACCTTCCAATATACTATATACGTTCCTCTTTTTGTTGTTTCTTAAGTCTATTTCTCCCCACTAGACTATAAACTAGTAAAAAGGCCAGGTTTGGGACTTTTATTCCCGTACTTTTTCTACAGACCATATTAAACACCTATTCCTTGTTCCTCATGGCAGGGATTTTTGTCTGTTTTGTTCAGATATCTCCCCAGCACCCAGAATATGACCTGCAATATAGTAGATATTCAATACATATGTGTCAAGGATCTCTGTCTCTTGATTGACTTTGCCTCTTTCCACAGCAGAAATTCTGCAAAGAAAGACATGATTTTTCTTTTGCTTTCTGGGTCCTTCAAGTAGCCCAAAGAAATAGCCCTTTCCTTCCACCAACCCAGAAGGTGTCATTTCATCTTGCCCAAAGCCTGGGCAAAATTCAGGCTTTCCACTGCTTACATAGGCCAAGAATAATATCTAACAGGGAGGCGGAGGCCAAGTGGTCTTCACCAAGGAAGATAGAGATCAGTGGGAAAAAAAAGAGCCAGGTTCAACCTGAATTACATAATTGGCTCTTCCAAGGTAGGAGCCCATTTCTCCAAAAGAAAAAGTCTGGAAAATGGCAGGACTATGGTCTGAGAAATATTATCCCAACAGGAGCAAGTCTCCATCAGCGATTACCTCTCCCAGCTTTACCAGCTGTTGAACAGGGACAAAAGACCAAAGCCTGCAGACCACACCTGACTGTAGCTTGCACTTGGGCTTTCTAAGTTTAAAGCAGTGTGCTGTATTTTTTTCAGACAACCATAAAAGTGCCTTTCATTTGCAGCATGGTGCCTATTTCACCTCTGAGTTGTCTAAAGCTTTAGAAAACTCTCCCTGCCATCAATGTCCCCAAGGTTCATGAAGGGTGAATATAGTCTAACTCAAAAGGACATCTTTATCCTCATGAGAAAAGAGACTCTGATACCCAGTGACCTGCTGTAATTGATGACTCCAGAGACTCCCCTTCACTCTCCACCCTGGCAGAATCAGGGCTTGGCATTTAACAGGGTATAGAAAAAAAGGAAAACTGGAATGGGAGCCCCAGCCCTGGTTCTTTTACTACCTCATCATTAGACCTTCGGCAAATCAACTCCTGAGCACTTATTATTGTGTAAGGAGAAAGAAATAGTGTCAGATAAAGACAGAACCAGAAGTCAAGCCCTGCACTACAAGCCTGTGATCTTAACCTCTACATTACATTGCTTCCCCAATTCATCTTTATAGCCCATTTCTCCGTTTCCCCTCTAAAATGTTAGTTTTTCTTCTCTCAGAAACTTTTCTTTCCAAGTTACATGAATGATTTTGGCAAAACAGCACATTTTCTTCTTTCATATCATCTGAAATACTCACAGTTTGCTACTGTGCATTATGCTTCTGATTAAAAAAAAAGACAAGTGTAAACATTATGTCTTCCAGGACTCAATTTATACAAATTACCTAGTAGATGAAGGCAATGCCCAAGAAGCCATTGTGTCTGGAGAAGCGTAAGACGATGTAAACATAAGAAAATAGCCCAAGCACAGCTCAAAAAGCTCTAAAAACTGGGATGTAGCGACAAGGGGGTGGGTGGTGCACACTGTGAAACATTCTCCTCTTGTACAATGTCACTATTTTCTGGTTTAATTAGAATCAGATAGTGTGCAATATAGTCACCTGATAACAAAATTCCGTCAAACATGGAAGAGTAATATTCAAGTGACTGAAGCATGAACATAATTCACCTCAAGCAAGGGAGAGGAATTGTATTAGCAAATGCCGCCAGATCCACTAATTAATTTGCTATATTACGCATGACAGGAAACAGTGTAGAACAGAAAAAAGCTTGATTTTTCTGAGTTAGGGAGGTAGTGATGGACGTGCTTCCCCTTTATTTCTGCAATAGGTTCATTATTTGATCAAGGATTGGCTAAAAGGGATTCCACAGGGTAGAATGAAAGCACAGCAATGAGCTGGTGGAGTCGGTGTACTTATCTAGTTAGCAGATGTCAGAATCACTCTGCTTCACCACTTGCTATCTTCATTTAGAGAGCTTCTTTCTCCACTGAAGCGATCGTCTGTACCCTGCTTTTCTACAAACCCAAGAAATGGGCAAATTAGCAGAAATGTCCCTTGGCCAATTCATCAGTACAAATTGATTGAGTCTTCAACTCGATTATGTTTCCTTGTCTCCCAGTAATTACTGGATTTCTAATAAAGGCAAATAATACCAGTTTTTTTAATTTTAATTAGTTAACTTTTCATTGACAAATAAAACTGTATACATTTATGATGTACAAGATGATGTTCTGAAATATGTACACACTGGAATGGCTAAATTGAGCTAATTATCATATGCATTACCTCACATACTTATTATTTTCTGTAGTGAGAACACTTAAAATCTAATCTCTTAGCAATTTTTAAGAATAGAATATATTGTTATTAACTACAGTCACCATATTGTATAATATATCTCTTTAACTCATTCCTCTTGAGACTTTGTTTCCTTTGGCCAACATCTCCCCAACAGTCATCCCCGTGTAACTACCATTCTACTTTCTGCTTCTATAAATTCTACTTTTTAAGATTCCATATATAAGTAAGATCATGTTTTATTTGACTTTCTGTGCCTGGCTTCTATCACTTAACATAATGTCCTCCAGATTCACCTATGTTGTTCCAAATGGCAGCATTTTCTTCTTTAAGGTTGAGTAGTATTCCATTGTGTATACATAACCACCTTTCCTTTATCTAGTTATCTGTTAATGGATACTTAGGTTGATTCTGTATCTTGGCTGTTGTGAATAATGCTGCAATGAACATGAGAGTGCAGATATCTCTTCAACATACTGATTTCATTTCCTTTGGGTATATACCCAGTAGGGAGATTGCTAGATCATATGGTAGTTCCATTTTTAATTTTTCTGTGGAAACTCCATTCTGGTTTCTATAATGGCTGTACTAATTTATATTCCCACCAACAGCATACAAGGGTCTCAATGTCTCCACATCCTCACTAGCATGTGTTATCTTTCATCTTTTTAAAAATAGCCACTTTAAATAGATAATATCCAACAGGTAACAGGTTTGTGTTATCTTACCTTGAAGGCACAAACCCCTCACGAGGTTGAAAATGTAATTACATCCTTCAACTTACATATTGATAACAATTTGGATTAAGATCATTAACGTATGCCTTCAAATTATGTATCTATAGCCTGTCCACATAGTGAATAAGATGTTAAACTTCAAATTCAGATGGACCTGGGCTCAAATCTTAGCTCTGCCACTGCATAATCTTGGTCAGATCACTTAGTCTCTCTGAGCTTCAATTTTCTCATCTGTACACTGGTGGTATAATGATTGTATCTACCATGTTAATGAGACAGTACTCATCAAGGGATTTGTTGAATAACTGGCCATTTTGTCAGTCTGCCACATTGCTGTTTCTGCTGCTTGAGATCTAGGTGGCAGTGCCATAGGCTGGGCATAGCTGACCTCTACTAGAGACCCCACTGGCACTGGCACTCTTCAGAATGGAATAACCTCTTCCCCTCTGTTTGCCACAGCTCAGCAGAGACCATTTGGAGAATCACAGAAGATTCAGATGTAACAAAAAGAAAGCACATCAATAATAATTCCCAACTAATAAGATGTTGTATTTTAACCCAACATTAATAATGATAATAAATGTAAATGGTCTAAATACACATTAAAAGACAGAGATTGACAGATTGAATTTTAAAAAGCAAGACCCAACTATAGGCTGCCTACACGGAACCTACTTTAAATATAAAGATATAAATACATTAAAAGTAAAAGAATGAAACTACAAATACCATGGAAATGCTATCCAAAACCATGTATTTATTTAAAATAATAGTTTTAAAACACAACAAAATGAAATCTGGAGTGGTTATATTAGTATCAAAGTAGACATCAGAACAAGAAATATTACCAAAGGGACTTTATATAATGATAAAGGAATCAATTCACCAAAAAGACATAACCATTGAAAATACATATGTACTTAATACAAGAGCTTCAAGACACATGAGGCAAAAAAGTTATGGAACTAAAAAAATAGACATTTGCACTTGGAGACTTCACAGTTTGTCTCTTAGTAATTGACAGAAGAAATAGAAAATCAGCAAGGATATACAACACTATGAACCAACTTTATCTAATTGACATTTACAGAATGTTCCACTCAACAACAACAGAATACACATTCTATTCAAGTTCACATGAACCATTCAGCAAGATATTCTGGGCCATAAAACAACTTTAACAAATTTAAAATACTGAAATAATACAAAGTATATTCTGCAACCATGTGAGATTAAATTACAAACCAATAATATAAACATATCTAGAAAATATCAAAATACTTGCAAATTAAGTAACATAGTTCTAAACAACCCGTGGATTAAATAGGGAGGTACAATGAAAATTAGGAAATATTTTGAATTTAATAAAAAAGAAATTTTGACATATCAAGGTTTGTGGAACACAGATAAACAATGTTTACAGGGAATTCTGTATCATTAAATACTTATGTCTGAAAATAAGAAAGGTCTCAAATCGTAGCCTAAGCCTCCACCTTAAAAAACTAGAAAAAAAAAGTAAAAGAAATAAAATCCAAGTCAGGCGAAAGAAAGTAAATAATAAAGATAAGAGTAGAACAATAAAGTTGAAAAGAGAAAAACACTTGAGAAAAAAAATGGTGCATTAAAAGATCAATTTTCCAGCTTCATCCATGTCCCTGCAAAGGACATGAACTCATCCTTTTTTACAGCTACATAGTATTCCATGGTGTATATGTGCCACATTTTCTTTATCTAGTTTATCATTGATGGGCATTTGGGTTGGTTCCAAGTCTTTGCTATTGTGAATTGTGCTGCAATAAACATATGTGTGCATGTGTCTTTACAGAATGATTTATAATCCTTTGGGTATATACCCAGTAATGGAAACCATCATTGTCAGTAAACTAACACAGGAACAGAAAACCAAACACTGCATGTTCTCACTTGTAAGTGGGAGTTGAACAAGGGGAACACATGGACACAGGGAGGGGAACATCACACAATGGGGCCTGTCAGGGGTTGGGGGGCTGGGGGAGGGATAGCATTAGGAGAAATACCTAATGTAGATGATGGGTTGATGGGTGCAGCAAACCACCATGGCATGTGTATACCTTTGTAACAAACCTGCACATTCTGCACTTGTATCCCAGAACTTAAAGTATAATTTAAAAAATCAATAATTTTAATAAGCCGTTAGCCAGACTGATTAATGAGAGGAAACAGATTATCAAAAGCAAGAATTTAAGAGATGACACCACTATAGATAATGCAGACATTAAGATAGAACAAGAGAATATTATGAACGACTTTATGCCAATAAATTCAACCACTTAGACAAATCACTTGAAAAACATAAGCTTCCAAAGCACACTCAAGAAGAAATAGAAAATCAATACACAAAAATCAATTGTATTCTATATATCAGTAATGAACAATCTGAAAATGAAATTAAGAAGACAATTCTGTTCACAACAGCATCAAAAGGAATAAAATAGGAATAAATTTAACAAAAGAAGTGCAAGACTTGTACACTGAAAACTACAAAAATTACTGACAAAAATGTAAAAGGACCTAAATAAATTGATAGATATCCCATGTTCATGGATTGAAAGACTCAATATTATTTTTAGCAATTCTTCTCAAGTTGATCTATAGATTCAAGACCACTCCTATAAAAATCTCAGCAGGCTTTTTCCAGAAAGCTAATACTAAAATGTATGTAAAAAAGCAAAGAATCCAGAAACAGACAAAACGGCTTTGAAAAAAAGAAAGCTGGAGGACCTATATTTCTAATTTTGAATTTACATTTACCATAGCATCAAAAGACATGAAACGTTTAGAAAAAAATATGTGCAAGATCTGTGTGGTGAAAACTACAAAGACTGATAAAAGAAATTAAAGATGACCTAAATAGAAACCTATTATGTGTTCATGGACTGAAATATTCAATATTGTTAAGTTGCCAATTCTCCCTAATTCAATGCAATTCCATCAAACCCTCAGTAAGTTTTTTTTTGTAGAAACCAACAATCTGATTCTAAATTTTAAATAGAAAGGCAACAGAAATAGAATTCAAAAATAATTCTGAAAAAGATGAACAACGTTGAAGAACTCATACTACATGATTTCAGGATTGGCTATAAAGCTACCGTAATTAGGACTACATAGTATAGATGAAGAAAAAAACCCATAGATCAATGGAACAGAATAGAGTTCAGAAATAGACCCACACAAATATGGTCAGCTTATTTTTCACAAAGGTGCAAAAGCAATTCAATTATACTGAAATAATTATTGAACATCTTTCATAGTCTGTTTTATGCTGCTGTAACAGAATACCTGAGACTGAGTAGTTTATTTAAAAACAAGGCTTATTTCTCACAGTTCTGGAAGCTGGGAAGTCTAAGATGAAGGGGCCTACATCTGGCAGTGCCTTCCTGCTGCATCATCCTGTGGCCGAAGGCAGAAGGACAAAAGAGCAGGCACAAAAAGGGGAGGAAAGGGGGCTAAACCCACCCTTTTATCAGGAACCCACTCCCACAATAACAAACCCACTCTCACAATGACAGCATTAGTCCATTCATGAGAGCAGAGCCCACATGACCTGATCACGTTTTTTGTTTTTTTTTTTTTCTTTAGAGACAGGGTCTCACTCTGTCACCCAGTTTGGAGTGTGGTGATGCAATTGCAGCTCCCTGCAGCCTAAAATTCCTGGGCTCAAGAGATCCTCTTACTTCAGCTTCCTGAATAGCTAAGACTGCAGGAGTATACCACCCTGCCTGGCAATTTTTGTTTTGTTTTGTTTTGCTTTGCTTTGTCGAGATGGGATCTTGAACTTCCAGCCTCAAGCTATTCACCACCTGGGCTTCTCAAAGCACTGGGATTACAGGTGTGAGCCACTACACCTAGCCTCTTAATGATCTTTTAAGTTCCCATCTCTCAACACTGTTGCATTAGGGATTTAGCTTTCAACACATGAACTCTGGGGGACACATTCAAATCACAGCAGCATCCATAAGCAAAATAATGAGCTTCAACCTATACATCACATAATCTGCAATAATTACATCAAAAGGGATCATAGACCCAAATATAGACCTAAAATTATAACATTTCTAGAAAAAAGTGGAGAAAATCTCTCTAATCTTGGATTAAGCAAAGGTGTTTTAGATACGACACATAATTCATGAATTTTTAAAAATTGATCAATTTGACTAGGCCAAAATGTAAAATTTCTGCTCTTCAAAAGACATTGTTAACAGAATGAAAAGGCAAGCCACAGACTGGGAAAAAATGTATTCAAAATACATACCTGATATCTGGACTTATATACAGAATATACAAAGGACACTTAAATTTCAATAATAAGAAACAAGCAACTCAAAAAATGGACACACAATTTGAACACACACATTACCGAAGAAAGCAGATGAATTGCAAATTAGCACCCAAAAAGAAGCTCAGCACCATTAGTTATTAATAAAACCAGAATGAAACACCACTACTCACCTATCAGAATGCCCTCCTTAAAAACTGACAATATCGTATGTTGTTAAGAAGGTAAAGTAACCATAACTCTCATGCATGTGAATGGGAATGCAAAATGTCACAGCCACTTTAACATTTTGGCAATTTCTTATAGAGCCTAGCATACACTTACCATATGATTCAGCATCCTCACTCCCAGACATTTACCAAATGACATTAAAATGTATGTTTACACAAAATTTTGTATGCAAGTCTTCTGGCAGCTTTTTCACAATCACTCCAAACTTGGAAACAACCTAAATATCCTTTAGCTGGTGAATGGATAAACAAACAGCAGCATACCTATACCATGGACTACTACTCAGTAATAAAAAGGAAGAAGCTATCCATATACACAACGATTTGTATGAATCTCAAATGCTAAGTGAAAGGAGGCCACATGCTGTATGATTCCTTTTAAATGACATTCTGCAAAAGGCAAACTAGAGTGGCAAAAAAACAGATCAATGGTTGCCATAGGCAGGGAGAAGACAAAGGGGTGGACTTCAAAGACACACAAGACAATTTAAGGGATAATTGAAATATTCTATATCTTAATTGTGGTAGTGAAACATGATTATTTGTCAAATTTTACAAAAAAAAAAAAAAAAAGAAAGTTGAAGGCCTAACACTTCCCAATTCCAAAATTTACTACCTCTACTATAGCACCAAAAAGGATAAAATATTACATGTCTTTAAAAGGTCGAATTTTACTGTATGTGAATTATATCTCAAAAAATGGGTGAAGTTTACTGTACGAAACTATACTTCGGTATTTTTTTAATGGAATGTCCATTTCTCATCTTATAAAGTAGTATATAGAACCATGTCTGGCTCCTGTTAGATGCTTAATAAATATTTGTGGAAGGGATAGTCATTCTTATTAGAACTGGTTTTTCATCATTGTAGCGGTTGTTATTTTTGTCTTCTAGGCACCTCACTTTTCCTCCCTCTGGGAGAAGATCCCACCTCCATAGCCACAGTGGACAGATCACTAATGAGTATATGACTCAATTCTGGACAATCTTTCCTCAGGTCTTTTTCCCCAGCAGAACCTGGTGAGAAAATCCCTTTTTCCTTTCTGGACATAAAATGTGTGCCAGGTCAGTCTGATATAATGCCTCTTCTTCCTATGCAGAAAAGCTGGTCCCCAAGCCTGAAGCTAACATGAGAGAAGGAAGCAAAATGAGAAACAGCAAGAAACAATGGATGGTTTTGAGTCCATGGACCCAGTTGTCCTGAGACCAGATCTACCCTTACCCCTTCGTAGATTTGTTTACATGAATCAGTAAATAGCCCCCTCCTTTTTTTAAATAAAACTAGTTTCTAGTTTACTAGTTTCTGGTTTATCATCTAACAGGTGATAGTAACAATAGCAGTAATAATAATAGCCAACATTTATCAAATGTGTATTCTCTGCCAGGCACATTAATTACTTCATTTAATAACCCTCACCACAAACTTATGAATTAGGCATTTCTTTTACCAAAATTGTATAGGCGAGAAAATTGAGGAAACATAAAGAGGTCAAGTAATTTGTCAAAAGTCACACAGTACATTTATCTACACAGCACAGACACTGTCTTAATTCATGTTTTGTTGCTGTAACAGAATACCTGAAGCTGGGGAATTTATAAAGTAAAAAGGTTGTTTTGGCTCACAGCTCTGCAGGCTGGGAAGTTAAAGAAGCATGGTGCCGGCATCTGTTTCTGGTGAGGGCTTTTGCACCACAACACAATATGGCAGAAGGTGAAAAAGGAAACAGACACGTGCAAAGAGGGAAAACATGAGGGGTGTCCTTGCTTTATAACAATCCACACTCAAGGGAACTAATCCAGTCTCACCAAAGCCAGCCCCCACCCACTATCGCAGTACCAGCACCAAGCCATGCATGAAGGATCCACCCCATGACCCAAATGCTTTCCACTAGGCCCCACCTCCCAATACCTCTACACTGGGAATCAAATTTCAACATGAGTTTCAGGGGGAAAAAAAATACACCCAGGCTAGGTGCAGTGGCTTACCGCTGTAATCCCAGCACTTTAGGAGGCCGAGGAAGATG
Source organism: Homo sapiens (assembly GCF_000001405.40). Taxonomy (NCBI): domain Eukaryota; kingdom Metazoa; phylum Chordata; class Mammalia; order Primates; family Hominidae; genus Homo; species Homo sapiens. Next base: position 16,785,313 of record NC_000016.10, on the reverse strand, counting down.
GATCACATGAGGTCAGGAGTTCGAGACTAGCCTGGCCAACATGGTGAAACTCTGTCTCTACTAAAATTACAAAAATTGTCCAGGTGTGTGTTGCATGCCTGTAATCCCAGCTACTCAGGAGGCTGAGGCTGGAGAATCACTTGAACCCGGCAGGCCGAAGTTGCAGTGAGCCGAGATCGCGCCATTGCACTCCAGCCTAGGTGACAGATGGAGACCCCGTCTCAAAAAACAAACAAACAACAACAACAAACACATCCAAACCATAGCATATACCATTTACTTCCTATACTTTAAGCTGTTTATGGGGAAAATGCTGAACTCTAAAACTGGTTTAAAGAAGTGGATCTCCAGTACGGCTGCACATCAGAATAACCCAGGACACTTTAAATAAAATCCCATTGGTCAGCCTGCACCCCAGGACCAAGAAAATCAAAATATCTCGGTTAGGACCCAAGCATCAGTACTTTTCTAATGCTCCCAAGTTGATTCCGATGTATGACCAGTGTTGACAACCCCTGATTCAAAGATGTAGATGTCATAACCACTGATGGCACCTCCTGCATCCTCCTATCCTCATCATAACAGAGAGTATAATAATGCACTTGGCCCTCCACAGACAATTTCCAGAATTAAATTGGCGTTTAAGTTAAAAACACTTTCAAGGCAGAAAAATAAGGCTTTTGTGCAGGCGTTTCTTAGGAGAAAAAAAAGGAAGGTTTCCCATGTTGATTTTTATAGTGTTATTTGGGCCACAAAGGGAGTTAGTCAGAACAGGACAGCCCTAAACCTTATTGAGCCCCAGTGGTATATGCCTCTTGCCAATATAGCCAGCTATCAAAACAAGAGAGACACAGGAAGCATATTGTGCTGAGCCTCAGTGGTACCGTAATTACCGCACACTTGGGTTTTAACACCTAAACCCTGGCTCTTACTTAACAGCAATAATAATAACAAATGTCACCCAGACAGTGGGGCATTCTGCTATGTTTTAATCCCATTTTCAGAGAGTGTCTATAAGGATAAGGGCTTTTTATTTGGGGCAGACTTGCAGAAAGATAAAATTTGGGGTCTGTCACTGCATTTATCCACCAGTCTGTCATTGGGTTGTAAGGAACTAATTCATCACTCTAATATTTTTCCTTTGTCCTGCAAGGAGAGTTGCTTCTGAGGCTCTCAATGTGGCCCTTTAACAGAAATAAAGCTATCCTTTTCCCAGCAAAGAGTTTCATTGTACTCTCTTGATGAGGCTGAGCTGTTTTATATTCTAGCCCATACGACAGAAAGGATGGCAGAGCTGAAAACATTAGTTTGCACCTGCTGAAAGGTTTGGATTCATTCTGCCAAGTAGATATGACTTTGCACTTATCCTTCTAGCTTTAGGACTCCAGGACCAATTCTAGCCCTTTTGAAGAAGCAGCCCCACCCCCAGGCCACGCTCTGTAAAGATCTTTTCATATGTTAAATTTTTGTGCATGGGTAGGTGGATGTTAGCAATCCCATGTGGTGGTTAAGAAGATGAGATTTGAACCCAGGTAGGCTTGGGTTCTGTGTTAGTCTACTTGGAATGCCATAATAAAATTCCACAACTTGAGTGGCTTAAACAACAGAAATTAATTTTTTCACAGTTCTAGAGGCAAGAAGTGCAAGATCAAGGTGCTGGAAAATTAAGTTTCTAATGTGATCTCTCTTCCTCCCTTGCGGATGTCTGCCTTCTTGCTGAGTGTATGACCTTTTCTTTGTGTGTGCAAGGAAAGAGAGAGAACTCGGGTGTCTCCTCCTCTTCTTGGAAAGTCACCAGTCCTACTGGATTAGGGCCCCACCATAATGGCATCATTTAACGTTGATTAAGTCTATGAAGGTAATCTCTTCAAATACAGTTACATTGGGGGTTAGGGTTTTAACATATGAATTTTGGGGGAACACGACTCAGTCCTAAACAGTTTCATCCCAGCTCCGCCACTGACTGTCTGTGTAACTCTGGCAAAGTCATTCAAAAAGAGATAATGGTATCTCTTTCCTAGGGTGATTTGGATGACTGAACGAGATGATGTTTGCAAAGATATTAGTACAGTGCTTCCCATCTGGTAAGCACTAAAAAACAGCAATTTTTAGTTAGTTTAGCAACAGAAGTTCAAGCAACACTCAACTAAGTAAAGTGGTGAAGTGAATTAGGTTGTATTTCAAAGGCCGTCTCTTTCCTTTCCAGGTAACCTAGCTGCCCCGAGCCCACTACCAAACCCCTTGCAAGCCCAGGTGTATTAGTCCATTTTCATGCGGCTGATAAAGACATACCCAAGACTGGTAAGAAAAAAAGGTTTAACTGGACTTACAGTGGCACCTGGCTGGGAAGGCCTCAGAATCATGGCAGGAGGTGAAAGGTACTTCTTATATGATGGTGGCAAGAGAAAATGGGGAAGATGCAAAAGCAGAAACCCCTGATAAAACCATCAGATCTTGTGAGACTTATTCCCTATCATGAGAATAGCAAGGGAAAGATGGGTCCCCATGATTCAATTACCTTTCCCTGGGTCCCTCCCACAACACATAGGAATTCTGGGAGATACAGTTCAAGTTGAGATTTGGGTGGGGGCACAGCCAAACCATATCACCAGGTTTTCTTCTCCAGGCTGAAACTAATGTTGGCATCTGCTCCATCCGTTCTTTTGCCACCAGAGCTCATATTTCCGTGGAGACTTCATGGACTTGGAAGTCAGCAACACCTGAGTTCAAATCCCAGCTCTGCTGCTTATTAGTTGTGTGACATTACACGAGGCACTTATCCTCTCTTAGTCAATTCAAGATGCCATAACAAAATACCATAAACTGTATGGCTTAAACATTAGACACTGATTTCTCAGTTATGGAGGCTGACAATCTGAGATCAAGGTGCCAAAGTGAGCCTAGTGAGGGCTCTCTTCCTGTCTTACAGACAGCTGCCTTATCACTGTGTCCTCACGTGGTGTAGAGAGAAAGCTCTGGTCTCTTCCTCTTCCTATAAGGACACTAATCTCATTGTTTGGGCCTTACCCTCATGATATCATCTTAACCTAATTACTGCTGAAAAGCCCCACCTCCAAAAACCATCACACTGGGGGCTAGGGCTTCAACGTATGAGTTTTTCAGGGACACTAACATTGATTCCTTAACACTCCGAGTCTGTCTTCATGAAGATTCTTTCAGTTACAAGTGACAGAATACCCAGATCAAAGATTGGATTAAGCATGAAACAGGATGTGTGGATCAACAAACCGAAAAGCCCAGGAATATTCTAGCGTTGGGCACGTCTGGATTCAGATGTTCATGTTGTAACAACTGAAACCACGCTTTCTTTTTCCACCTCTGTTTCCTTGGTGTTGGTTTTATTCTCACGTAGGCAAAGACTGCCCCTGTCTCCTCTAGGCTCATTCTGCTTTCTTAGCCCCACTAAGTCAGAAAAGGCACATTCCTACATCTCCTACAAAAGTCCCAAGTCTGGCTCTCAGTGGCCTCATATGTCTACTCCTGAACCAATCCCAGTGGCCAGTGGTGTAGATTATTTAGATTAGTCAGTTCTCAGACACAAGAGCAGGGAGGATCGGTCCCACATCAGCTGTATTAGTCCATCCTCACATTGCTATATTTAAAAAAAAATACCTGAGACTGTGTAATTTATAAGAATAGAAGTTTAATTGGCTCACAGTTCTCCAGGTAGTACAGGAAGCATAACACCAGCATCTACTTCTGGAGAGGCCTCAGGAAACTTCCAATCATGGCGGAGGGCAGAGAGGGATCTTGAAGGTCACATGGGGAAAGGAGGAGCAAGAGAAGAAGGGGGAGGTACTACACACTTAAACAACTAAATCTCACAAGAACTCACTATTGTGAGGACAGCACCAACGCGATGGTGCTAAACCATCATGTGACACCTGCCCTCATGTTCCAATCACCTCCCACCAGGTCCCACCTCCAACATCGGGGATTACGTTTCAATATGAGATTTGGGCAGGAACACAAATCCCAACTATACTGTGAGCTATATGCTAATAACAAAAGAAGGGGGAAGGAGAATGTTGGATGAGGGAAAACAGCAGAGCCCCAATACCCACTAAAGGGCCTCAATTTCTTCATCTGCAAAGTGGGGAAATAATACGGAACTTTTAGGACTGCTGTGAAAACAGAAATAAATAATATGTGTTAATATACTGAATGGCACTACCTGGGACTAAATTATTTATTACACACACACACATACACAAATACCCCTATATTGCAATATTCCAATTCCATAAGGATCTGCCCTTGACGATGGTTCCCCCTACTGTGGCAATCATACAGTGCCTGTGGTAACCCACTATAGAACTGATCAGTAGAAAGCATTGTTCAGGCACACTGGCCCTCCTGAGGCAAGATGTTAATTAGTGAGACCTCAGCACGGATGAGTAACTCTTCCAAAGAGACATCTTCACGGTCTCCCTAGAGGAGAAAGCAATGCCCCCTAAATGCTTTGAATGAGGGAGCCACTAGGTTCTCAGGAATTTCCCCACTGAAATGCAAATGGTTTAGGAAAGGCTTTATCTTAAACACCAGCTAATAGCTCAGTTATCACTTAGCAGAGCAGCAGGGATTATCTGGAATGGGGCCTGATAGGGACTCTGGAAGGGGGAGGAAAAGGAAGACATATGAGGCGATAGCAGAGGAAGGGGAGACTGACTAACTGATCTGAGTTTTTCCTGCGGCATTGTTTCTACACACCTCCCTCCCAAATGTGGGCTAATGAGCCGCTTAAAAGAATAACAGCAGCTGCAATTTAAAGATCATTCTAGACCAGGCACGGTGGCTCACACCTGTACTCCCAACACTTTGGGAGGCTGAGGTGGGCAGATCACGAGGTCAGGAGTTCGAGACCAGCCTGGCCAACATAGTGAAACCCCGTCTCTACTAAAAATACAAAAAATTAGCCGGGCGTGGTGGCGGGCACCTGTAATCCCAGCCACTCAGGAAGCTGAGGCAGGAGAATGGCTCCGGGAGGCAGAGGTTGCAGTGAGCCGAGATCGCGCCACTGCACTCCAGCCTGGGTGACAGAGCAAGACTCGGTCTCAAAAAATAAAATAAAATACAATAAAATAAATAAAGAATAGAATGCTATATGTGCCAGGCTCAGTGCTGGGCACTTCACAAGCATTATTTTATTTAATACCAGCTCCCATTGTATCATAGCTGTTTGCTTTTTTTGTTGTTGTTTTTTGAGACAATCTCGCTCTGTCACCCAGACTGGAATACAGTGACGTGATCTCAGCTCTCTGCAACCTCCGCTTCCTGGGTTCAAGCAATTCTCCTGCCGTAGCCTCAGGAGTAGCTGGGATTATAGGTGCACACCACCACGCCTGGCTAATTTTTGTGTTTTTAGTAGAGGCAGGGTTTCACCATGTTGGCCAGGCTGTTCTCAAAATCCTCACCTCAAGTGATCCACCCACCTTGGCCTCCCAAAGTGCTGGGATTACAGGCGTGAGCCATCACACCTGGCCAGCTGTTTTCTCTTAAGCAAGTTATATCAGCTCAATGAAACCACATTTCTTTTTTAGCCAAAACATGTAACAATCAGGGCCTGACATGTATTGAGTATTTACCATACACCAAATGTGGTTATATATAATATATATTATATATAACCACAATATATATCTTATTAATATAATATATAATATATATAATATATAATATATATGTTATATAACATATATTATATATTATATAACATATATTATATAACATATATTATATATTATATAATATATATAATTTATATATTATATAATATATAATATATAAATTATATATATTATATAATATATATTATATATTATATATATTATATATTATATATTATGGTGTATGGTAAATACACATTTAGTGTATGGTGTATGTATTACCATACACATTTGGTATGGTATTATATTATATATTATATATTATTATATATTATATATTATTATATATTATATATTATATTATATATTGTTATATATTATATATTATATATTATATATTATATATTATTATATATTATATATACTATATATATTATTATATATTATATATTATATATTATTATATATTATATATTATACTATATATATTATATATTATATATTATATATTATTATATATTATATATTATTATATATTATATATTATATATTATTATATATTATATATTATATATTATTATATATTATATATTATATATTATTATATATTATATATTATATATTATATATTATTATACATTATATATTATATATTATTATACATTATATATTATATATTATTATACATTATATATTATATATTAATATTATATTATTATATATAATATATATTATATAATAATATATGATATATATTAATAAGATATTAATAAGAAGAAGATAATAGCACCACCATTACTAGAACATTCAACAAACGTATTTTCATTTTGGGAAACAAAAATAATAAACTATCATGTACTATCTACATCTGTATAACTTAAAGGTATTTAAAAGCAAGTAACAGAAACCTACCCTAACACATGCAAACAAGAACTAAATATTTATTGAAGGGATATTTGGAAGGTCATAGAAATGAAGGGGAGTTTGAAAGTAGAGACTCATGAACAGCCTCAGAAGTAAGTGGCTTTGCATAAATCACCTCCACCCTTGTGTGTCTCAGCTCAAGAATCAGATTCCCAGGAGAGAGAGCGCTTGGATTGACCAGATTGAGTTACAGACCCAGCTCTGCAGCCTGGGGTAGAGTTTCATAGATGGCAGGCCTATAGAGTCATGTTGCACAGGTGAGGGGCAGTTCACCAAAGGAAGTGATGCTGAGCAAACAGAAACAACCAGTGACAAATCTAGACACTCCCCCCAGCACCAGGACTCCTTCTAAGAATGCCAAAGCCTGGTGGGAGGTAACCTCCTCATCTAAGCTTTAAGATCTTTCACCAGAACATCTTCCAGCCAGGCACAAAGGACTCAAATCACAGCAGTAATGTCATACTCAGTGAAGAGCTTGAAGGGCCTCTGACCCTTCTTGAGATTCAAGGCCAGAGCTAGATAAGGACCTTCAAGGTATTTAAGCAGCTTCCCAAGGTGCGGCACCCAGAAGAAAATGCTAACTGGATTTATGGGGCACATTATTGATAAACCCAATGACCATGTGTCAGAATTCAGTATGAATTCTGACGGGGAAGCAAATGGCACTAAAGTCGTTGTATTAATTAGACAGACCCTGAACCTGATTTACGTGTTAAGTGCAAATTCCTCCCAGGAGCACCCGGGATGACAGCTCTAAACTACCTCTTCTGACTTTGCTGTTTGACTCCTTCCTCCTCTGTGTCTGAAAGAATTCACTAGTCAGTACAGCCTTTGCAATGGCATCATTGCCTGTTATACCTGTGCTAAAAGGCTGGATCTACAGATATACCAAGGACAAAACACACCCAGGACTATTGCCTTTGAAATGGGACATTGTCACCACTGGACATTGTTAAAACACTTTGGAAGGAGGTATCATTCCCTCTGCCTTTACATGAAAGCTGCTTTCAAGATATAACAAGTCATTTATGTGTTTATTCTTCTATTACTTGTGACCCAAAAGAAACAGGCTGTCTGCTAGGCATTCTGGTGACAAAAATATGTAAGATTGTAGCTTTCACCCTTAAGGCTCTCACAGCCTAGTGGGGATTGAGCATATGAGAAAATGTACCAAAGAAGGAGTGAAAAGACTTAGGTTCTTATCACAACTGGACTGCTTAGCTATCTATTCAAATTTCAGCATATCACAAACCCTCTTTGATCCTCAGTTACCTCACCTGAAAGAGACAGATGAGAGTAAATCCGTATCTTCACTAAAGAGGAAAAGGAATTGCATTCTGTATTAAAAGGCCATTAGGAAGCTCAAAGAATCTACAGAACACAGTATTATGCAATGCACTACACTCTACAAAGCCAGTATAATTCCCACGTTCGTGTTCACTATCATACATTTCTTAAGCCTCAATTATTTGCAGGCTCAGGACAAAGACTTTAGGTCTGAATCCACTATGATGTTTTAGAGTGCAAATAAAAGACATTCTTACTCGAACTAACTAAACTGGCTAGGCACAGTGGTTCATGCTAGGAATCCCAATGCTTCAGGAGGCTGAGGCAGGAGGATTGCTTAAGATCAGTAATGCCAGACCAGCCTGGGCAACAGAATGAGACTCCTGTCTCTACAAAATAAAAATTAAAAATTGCCCAGGCATGGTGACTCATGCCTGTAGTCCCAGTCACTCAGGAGGCTGAGGCAGGAGGATCGCTTGAGCCCAAGAGTTGAAAGTTGCAGTCAGCTATGATGACACCACTGCACTCAAGCCTGGGTGACAGAGCAAGACTCTGTCTCAAAAAACAACAACAACAAAAAAAAACAACTGACTAAATCAAAAAGAGCATTATTTATGATAATAGAGCATTGAAAGGGGAAGGTGTCTTCATTGATTGATTCAGCAGCTCAATGCTGACATCAGAAACCCAGAATTTCTCTGCTCATGGCACCCTGTCTCTATTTCCACAATGTGGGCTTCATCTTAAGGCTGGCTTCCCTCACTGATATAAGGTGACTGCCAGCAGAAACTGGGGCATGGGCCTCTTTAACTCACATACAGTCAAAGAGGAAAACTGGATGTCAAAGAGGAAAACTGGATGTCCTTCTCCAGAAGCGGTCATCAAGTTCCTCCTAGAATCTCACTGGCCCAGACTGGCATGGGCTTAACCCATCCCTGAGCCAATCACTGACAAGGGTGATGGGCTTACCATGACTGGCATGGGTAAACCACAGGACAGGAATGGATGTGTGGAGTTCCTGGCACTTCCTGTCCTCAAGGAGTTTACATTCTAAAGATGAAAAACCAAAGGTGTCTTTGAAAAGGGGATGCTTGGAAGGATAAATTTTTCAATTTTTCTTAATCTGTGTACCTGCTCTCTGTATCCATCTGAAAGGACAAATTTTGGAAATGGACTTCAAATGAAGAAAAGAGTATTTTGTGGGGGAATGGTGTTGCTGTTTGACAAACTTATCAGATCTTCACTAGAGAAGAAAAGGACCTGCATTCTGAGTGCTTTTGTGTGCCAATCATAGTATTCATTACTAGTTTGTGATCTCATTTTATCTTCTCACCATACCTAGAACACCAGTAGGATAAGCATCATTCCCATTGTATAAGTTTGAGAAATGTGTTCAAAGTGACACAGTTAATGGTGGAGACAGACCAGAACCCACATGAGAATGATTCCACAACCATGTTATTTCCAGCATATCATGACGACTCCTAAAGACATTTGGAGAGTATCCCTCTTTGCTTTTCCCCCACTTATAATAGTTACAAAAATAAGAGTAAGTACCATTTATTAAGTACTCACTACATACCAGGCATGGAACAGAGTGCTTAAAACATGATAACAACTATATCTATATATGTAGTTATATATAGATATAGTTGCTATATCTATATATATATAAAACTATATAGTTACATGTAGTTATATAACTATATATGATTTTATACTTAGATATATAATTACATAACTATATATAGTTAGATGTAGTTATATATCTATAGATAGATATGTAGTTACAGATATATAGATATGTAGTTATAGATATATAGATATAACTATATTGTTAGGATTATATATATATACACCTATTTTTACATATTCATATAGTCAGACATATAGTTAGTTATATAACTATATACAGTTATATAGTTATAGTTATGTAACTAGTTATAGTTATATAACTATATATAGTTATAGTCATGTAACTATATATAGTTATAGTTATATAACTATATGTAGTTGCTATCATGTTTACATATATATAGTTAGATCATTTTTTAAACACTCTGTTATATATATAACATATCAAGAAATTAACCTAAAAATGAATGCACTAGAACTTCATGGAGAAAAGTAAAGCTCTTATAAAGAACATTTTAAAAAACCTCAATAAGTTAAGACAAACACCGTACTCATGAATAGGATAACTTAACATTGTAAGAATATTAATTTCTCCCAACATTAATCCATGGATTTAATGCAGTTCCAATCGAGATTCCAGTGGGGGAGGTTCCAAGATGGCCGTATACGAACAGCTCCAGTCTGCAGCTCCCCGCGTGAGTGATGCAGAAGACAGGTGATTTCTGCATTTCCAACTGGGGTACCGGGTTCATCTCACTGGGGCTTGTCAGACAGTGGGTGCAGCCCATGGAGCAGGGTGGGGCATCGCCTCACCCGGGAAGCACAAGGGGTCGGGGAACTCCCTTTCCTAGCAAAGGGAAGTTGTGACAGATGGTACCTGGAAATTTGGGACACTCCCACCCTAATACTGCGCTTTTCTAACGGCCTTAGCAAACGGCACACCAGGAGGTTGTGCACATGTACCCTAGAACTTAAAGTATAATAAAAAATAAAAAATGAAGATTCCAGCACAATTTGAGGACTTTGACAAATATTAAAATGTATGTAAAAATATAAAAAGCATGAATATCTAAGGTAGTTTTGAAAAATTGGAGAAGGATTCATTATACTAAATACCATGACCTATTACTAAGCCATAATAATTTCAAAAACTGGTACACGGAGCCCAGGAAGCTAAGGTCCACTGGCTTGAAATTCTCACTGCCAGCACAGCAGTCTGAGCTCAAGGTGCAATGCTCGAGCTTGGTGGGGGAAGGGGCGTCCACCATTGCTGAGGATTGAGTAGGCGGTTTTACCCTCACAGTGTAAACAAAGCTGCTGGGAAGCTTGAACTGGGCAGAACCCACCGCAGCTAAGCAAGGCCACTGTGGCCAGACTCTCTCTCTAGATTCCTCCTCTCTGGGAAGGGCATCTCTGAAAAAAAAGGCAGCAGCCCCAGTCAAGGACTTACAGATAAAACCCCCATCTCCCTGGGACAGAGCACCTGGGAGAAGGGGCAGCTATGGGTACAGCTTCAGCAGACTTAAACGTCCTGGCCTGATGGCTCTGAAGAGAGCAGTGGATCTCCCAGCACAGCATCTGGGCTCTGATAAGGGTCAGACTGCCCCCTCAAGTTGTTCCCTGACACCCACATATCCTGACTGGGAGACACCTCCCAGTAGGAGCCAAAAGACACCTCATGCAGGAGAGCTCTGGCTGCCACCTGGTGGGTGCCCCTCTAGTAGGAAGTTTCCAGAGGAAGGAATAGGCAACAATCTTTGCTGTTCTGCAGCCTCTGCTGCTGATACCCAGGCAAACAGGGTTTGGAGTGGACCTCCAGCAAACTCCAGTATACCTGCAGCAGAGGGTCCTGACTGTTAGAAGGAAAACTAACAAACAGAAAGGAATAGTATCAACATCAACAAAAAGGATGTCTACTCAGAGACCCCATCTGAAAGTCACCAACATCAAAGACCAAAGGTAAATAAATCCATGAATGGGGAGAAACCAGCATAAAAAGACCGAAAATTCCAAAAACCAGAACATCTCTTCTCCTCAAAGGATCAATAGCTGAGTTGATCAAGTGGAAGAAAGGATATCAGATATTGAAGATCAACTTAATGAGATAAAGCGAGAAGGCAAGATTAGAGAAAAAGGAATGAAAAGAAATGAAGAAAGCCTCCGAGAAATATGAGACTATGTGAAAAGACCAAATCTACATTTGATTGGTGTACCTAAAAGTGATGGGGAGAATGGAACCAACTTGGAAAACATTCTTCAGGATATTATCCAGGAGAACTTCCCCAACCTAGCAGGACAGGCCAACATTCAATTCAGGAAATACAAAGAACACCACAAAGATACTCCTCGAGAAGAGCAACCCCAAGACACATAATTGTCAGATTCGCCAAGGTTGAAAAGAAGGAAAAAATGTTAAGGGCAGCCAGACAGAAAGGTCGAGTTACCCACAAAGGGAAGCCCATCAGACAAACAGCAGATCTCTTGGCAGAAACCCTACAAGCCAGAAGAGAGTGGGGGCCAATATGCAACATTCTTAAAGAAAAGAATTTTCAACCCAGAATTTCATATCCAGTTAAACTAAGTTTCGTAAGCAAAGGAGAAATAAAATCCTTTACAGACAAGCAAATGCTGAGAGATTTTGTCACCACCAGGCCTGCCTTACAACACCTCCCGAAAGAAGCAGTAAACATGGAAAGGAACAACCGGTACCAGCCACTGCAAAAACATACCAAATTGTAAAGACCATTGCCACTATGAAGAAACTCCATCACCTAATGGGCAAAATAACCAGCTAGCATCATAAAGGCGGGATCAAATTCACATATAACAACATTAACCTTAAATGTGAACGGGCAAAATGCCCCAATTAAAAGACACAGACTGGCAAATTGGATAAAGAGTCAAAACCCATTGGTGTGCTGTATTCAGGAGACCCATCTCATGTGCAAAGACACACATAGGCTCAAAATAAAGGGATGGAGGAATACTTACCAATCAAATGGAAAGCAAAAATAAAAAGCAGGAGTTACAATCCTTGTCTCTGATAAAACAGACTTTAAACCAACAGAGATCAAAAGAGACAAAGAAGGCCATTACATAATGGTAAAGGGATCAACGCAACAAGAAAAGCTAACTATCCTAAATATATATGCACCCAATACAGGAGCACCCAGATTCATAAAGCAAGTTCTTACAGATCTATAAAGAGACTTAGACTCCCACAAAATAATAGTAGGAGACTTTATCACCCCACTGTCAATATTAGACAGATCAATGAGACAGAAGATTAACAAGGATATCCAGGACTTGAGCTCAGCTCTGGACCAAGCAGACCTAATAGACATCTAGAGAACTCTCCACCACAAATCAACAGAATATAAATTCTTCTCAGCACCACATCACATTTATTCTCAAATTGACCACATAATTGGAAGTAAAACATTCCTCAGCAAATGCAAAAGAACAGAAAACAAACAGTCTCTCAGATCACAGTGTAATCAAATTAGATCTCAGGATTAAGAAACTCAGTCAAAACCACGCAACTACATGGAAACTGAACAACCTGCTCCTAAATGACTACTGGGTAAATAACGAAATTAAGGCAGAAATAAAGATGTTCTTTGAAACCAATGAGAACAAACACATAACGTACCAGAATCTCTGGGACACATTTAAAGCAGTGTTTAAAGCGAAATTTATAGCACTAAATGCCCACAAGAGAAAGCAGGAAAGATCTAAAATCAACACCCTAATGTCACTATTAAAAGAACTAGAGAAGCAAGGGCAAACACATTCAAAAGCTAGCAGAAGACAATAAATAACTAAGATCAGAGCAGACCTGAAGGAGAGAGAGACACGAAAAACCCTTCAAAAAAAAAAAAAATCAATGAATCCAGGAGCGGGATTTTTTAAAAGATCAACAAACTAGACCATTAGCCAGACTAATACAGAAAAGAGAGAAAAATCAAATAGACACAATAAAAAATGATAAAGGGGATAGCACCACCGCTCCAACAGAAATACAAACTACCATCAGATAATACTATAAACACCTCTACGCAAATAAACTAGAAAATCTAGAACAAAATGGATAAATTCCTGGATACATATACCCTCCAAAGACTAAACCAGGAAGAAGTTGAATCTCTGAATAGACCAATCACAGGTTCCAAAATTGAGACAGTAATTTCTAGCCTACCAACCAAAAAAAAGTCCAGGACCAGATGGATTCACAGCCAAATTCTACCAGAGGTATAAAGAGGAGCTGGTACCATTCCTTCTGAAACTATTGCAAACAATAGAAAAAGAGGGAATCCTCCCATCTCGTTTATGAGGCCAGCATCATCCTGATATAAAAACCTGACAGAGACAACAAGGAAAGAAAATTTCACGTCAATATCCCTGATGAACATCGATGCAAAGATCCTCAATAAAATACTGGGAAACCAAATCCAGCAGCACATCAAAAAGCTTATCCACCATGATCAAGCTGGCTTCATCCCGGGGATGCAAAGCTGGTTCAACACAGGCAAATTGATAAACATAATCCATCACATAAGCAGAACCAGTGACAAAAATCCCATGATTATCTCAATAGATGCAGAAAAGGCCTTTGACAAAATTCAACACCCCTTCATGCTAAAAACTGTCAATAAACTAGGTACTAATGGAACGTATCTCAGAATCATAAGAGCTATTTATGACAAGCCCACAGCCACTATCATACTGAATGGGCAAAAACTGGAAGCATTCCCTTTGAAAACCGGCACAAGACAAGGATGTCCTCTCTCACCACTCCTATTCAACATAGTGTTGAAAGTTCTGGCCAGGGCAATCAGGCAAGAGAAAGAAATAAAGGGTATTCAATTAGGAAAAGAGGAAGTCAAATTGTCTGTTTGCAAATGACATGATTGTATATTTAGAAAACCCCATCCATCATCTCAGCCCAAAATCTCCTTAAGCTGATAAGCAACTTCAACAAAGTCTTAGGATACAAAACCAATGTGCAAAAATCACAAGCATTCCTATACACCAAGTACAGACAAACAGAGAGCCAAATCATGAGTGAACTCCCATTCACAATTGCTACAAAGAGAATAAAATACCTAGGAATCCAACTTACAAGGGATATGAAGGACCTCTTCAAGGAGAACTACTAACCACTGCTCAACGAAATAAGACAGGACACAAACAAATGGAAAAACATTCCATGCTCATGGATAGAAAGAAACAGTATTGTGGAAATGGCCATACTGCCCAAAGTAATGGATAGATTCATTGCTATCCCCATCAAGCTACCATTGACTTTCTTCACGGAATTGGAAAAAAACTACTTTAAATTTCATATGGAACCAAAAAAGAGCCTGCAGAGCCAAGACAATCCTAAGCAAAAGTACAAAGCTGGAGGCATCATGCTACCTGACTTCAAATTATACTACAACGCTACAGTAACCAAAACAGCATGGTACTGGTACCAAAACAGATATATAGACCAATGGAACAGAACAGAGGCCTCAGAAATAACACCACACATCTACAACCATCTGATCTTTGACAAATCTGACAAAAGCAATGGGGAAAGGATTCCCTATTTTATAAATGGCGTTGAGATAACTGGCTACTGTACGCAGAAGGCTGAAACTGGATCCCTTCCTTACACCTTATACAAAAATTAACTCAAGATAGATTAGAGACTTTAACATAAGACCTAAAACCATAAAAACCCTAGAAGAAAACCTAAGCAATACCATTCAGGACATAGGCATGGGCAAAGACTTCATGACTAAAACACCAAAAGCAATGGCAAAAAAAAGCCAAAATTGACAAATGGGATCTAATTAAACTAAAGAGTTTATGCACAGCAAAAGAAACTATCATCAGAGTGAACAGGCAACCTACAGAATGGGAGACAATTTTGCAATCTATCCATCTGATGAAGGGCTAATATCCAGAATCTAGGAAGAACTTAAACAAATTTACAAGAAAAACACAAACAACCCCATCAAAAAGTAGGCGAAGGATATGAACAGACTCTTCTCAAAAGAAGGCATGTATGTGGCCAAGAAACATATGAAAAAATGCTCATCATCACTGGTCATCAGAGAAATGCAAATCAAAACCACAATGAGATACCATCTCATGCCAGTTAGAATGGCGATTAAAAAGTCAGCAAACAACAGATGCTAGAGAGGATGTGGAGAAATAGCAACACTTTTACACTGTTGGTGGGAGTGTAAATTAGTTCAACCATTGTGGAAGACAGTGTGGCAACTCCTCAAGGATCTAGAACTAGAAATACCATTTGACCCAGCAATCCTATTACTGGGGATATACCCAAAGAATTATAAGTCATTCTACTATAAAGACACACGCACACATATGTTTATTGCAGCACTGTTCACAATAGCAAAGACTTGGAACCAACCCAAATGCCATCAATGATAAACTGGATAAAGAAAATTTGGCACATGTACACCATGGAATACTATGTGGCCATAAAAAAAGATGAGTTCATGTCCTTTGCAGGGACATGGATGAAGCTGGAAACCATCATTCTCTGCAAACTAACACAAGAACAGAAAGCCAAACACCGCATGTTCTCGCTCATAAGTGGGAGTTGAACAATGAGAACACATGGACACAGGGAGGGGAACATCACACACCAGGGCCTGTCAGTGGGGCTAGGGGAGGGATAGCATTAGGAGAAATACCTAATTTAGACGACAGGCTGATGGGTGCAGCAAACCACCATGACACGTGTATACCTATGTAACAAACCTGCACATTCTGCGCATATACCCCAGAACTTAAAGTATAATAATAAAAAACTGTGCTACAGTCTTAGGAACAGCTAAATAGATCATTGAAGCAGTATAGAGATTCCAGAAACATCCCCACATACATAGGAGACATGGTGTCTTAACCCAGTTGGGAAAGAATAAATAACTTGGTAGGTTTGGGGGAGGATGGTTTACTGTATGACAAGGATTAAATTGGATTTTTTCCTTTACATCTGAATGTGAAAGGTAAATCATAAAAGTAATCAAACAAAATGTGGGAAATATCTTTGTGACTTTAGAATTGAGCAGGTTCTTGAGCAAGACTTAAAAGAACAAGCCATAACGGGAAAAGATGAAGTGTTTGACAAGATTACAATTGAGGTTTCTACTCAGAAAAGGACATCATCTACACGTTTAACACGTTGGTAGACTGTGAGAAGATATTTTCAGTGTGTAAAATGAAACTGGCATTAATATTGAGAGAAACTCCTGAAAATAGCAAGAAAATTTCAGGAAACCCAATAGAAAAAAATGGGCAAAGCCTACGAAAATAAAATTAATAGAAGAGGAAACACTAATGGCTAATAAGTATATGAAGAGATACTCAACATCAGTAATAATCAGAGAAAAGCAAATCAAAACAACAATGATATGCCACTTTACAGCCATCAGATTGGTAAAAATTACAACGCCAGAGAACATCAAGTGCTAGTAAAAAGTGTAAACCAAGCAGCCATTCTAAGTAACAATTTCTCAGTACTCAGTGCAATTAACTATTCATCTACCCAACAATCCCATATCTGGATATATACGTGCACTAGAGAAATTTGCACAAGGCCATAACAACACATGCATTAGGATGTCCACCATAGTTTTGCTTGTGACGACACAGACTTTGATGTTCCTATACAATAACCACTCAAGGAATGGATAAGCAAATTGTGTTTTATGCATACGTTGACTTTAGGACACAATCAGAAATTAACTAGATTTATATAGAGCAACATGAAGGGATTTCAAAAATATGGTGTTGAGTGGAGGGAAAGAAGGTTTTTGGCCCCAAATTATTTATGTAAATTAATCAGAAACACATTTTAAAACTCTTTTACCAACTATGCAACTCTTACCAACACGCTCTACCACCTCTGTTCACAAAACTCTACGCATGTTCAACATGGTGTCATGTAACAAAAAGTGCAAGCACATTAATTTCCCTCACATCTGAGTTTTCTTAGAATCTAAGACGATCACTGATACAGACTTATTTTTAGCTGACTAGCAACACCTGACCAAGCAAAACAACAACTTGAGCTCAACAATTTCACAGATTTTAATGAAAAACAAAGCCTAAACAAAAACTGTTTCTTGCAGCCCATCTTTTTGCATGATACAGCAACTTGTACCATACACCACCTATTCCTGAATAAGTTGCGTAGTTTTCAATGCCAAGTATAGTTATGTAAGAGCCAAAATCTATATAAACTCATATTACATTTTGCTTCACTTTAACAAAACTCCTCAGGCAAATTTGACTTCCAAAATTATTTTATAGCAAAAAAATGCAGTCTTGGAATTTCCTAAGAACCAAGTGTTGGTAGCCCTAGACAATGCCTGGCACATTATGTATGCTTGGTTAATGTTAAGCAGATGGGTAGATGGATGGATAGATGAATAGGTGGGTGTGTGGATGGATGAATGGATAGATTGGTAGGTGGATGGATCAAAGAGTAGGTATATGAATGGTGGATATAGGGTAAATTGATGAATGGATGGTGGATAGATGGATAGATGGATGGATGGTGGGTGGGTGAATGGGTAAATGGATTGATGGGTGAATTGATGGATGGGTGAAGTGTATGGATGGTGGATAGATTGCTAAGTAGATGGATGGGTGGGTGGATGGATAATTGATAGATGGATGGTAGATAGATTGGTGAGTAGATGGATGGGTGGATGGATAGGTGGGTGTATGGATGGTGGATAGATGGGTAAGTGGATGGATGAATGGATGGACAATAGATAGATGAGTAGGTGGATGGATGGACGGATGGACAGATGAGTAGGTAGACGGACAGATGTATTAATGGATAGATGGATGGAAGAATGGATGAATGGATGGATGACAAATGGATGGATAGGTGGATGGATGGGAGGTTGGGTGAACACATGGGTGAATTCCATGTATTCTTGTCTTCATGGCTGGGAATTTTAACTAATAACACAACCTAGATGCTTCCATGAGTACATCAGGGTGACTATCATATTTCACCCTCTCATCCTCCCCCCAAAAAAATTTTTTGAAAACTTTAGTACTACTTTAAGCTGGTATTTTCTGTTAACTTTCAGGAAACTTATTAATCTGCCAGTGACTACTCCAAAAGTACAAGCAGCCCAGAGGATGACAGCAGTGTGACTTAGGTCAACAACTATCCTAGAGACTCTGAAGACTTTGGACACTGCTTCTTGTTCTTTGTTCCCTTGCATTTTTGCTTGGTCTTGGTGTTGGGAGGAAAGATGAAGAGAAAACTCATCATTAGCTTAACAGAATCTCAGTGCTTTCAGATAGAGTGAGCTGCACCAGATCCTGGCCTCAGCTCTCATGTTCTGAAGTGCTCCAGGAAATGTGTTTCCTTGAGGCACTCTTTAGAGATACCAGTCCATCTAGCTGGGTCCCAGGTGCTGCCTCTACTTACCCACCTTGCTGCCTCTCTCTATACATTGAGCTCGACTGCCTTCCACTACAGTGCTCCTTACAATGGGCAAAGTCCCCAGGATTCCGTATCAAATGTGTTCATGACATAGACAAGGACTCAAGAGAGCAGAAACTAAGAAGTGAAAAATTGCAACTTACATTCCAAAACAATCAGTTTAATTTCCATAAAAGATTTCCCCACTGGATCATTTTCACTTGAGCTTTGTCCAGCAACATTAAACAATGTTCTGCCTGCTTACATGTTATAAGGAGCTCAAATACAGATGCAGTAACATAGATGTAGTTTTCTTTCATAAAAATGTCTGTGCTGTTTTCTTCATGATAGCCCAGCCTAGTAGGGCCTTCATTAAGAAAGGTGGTAAATTACTTCCATGTTTCCACATAAACTACCTATATTAGAATGCCGAAAAATAACAAAAACCCTCCTCTTTAGCTTAGAGAATATCTTTCTCAATTCTCTTGGAAATTTCTGGATTATATTTCATGAATTCTACTTCCTGGCCTTGGGTAATTTGCTTAACTTTCTTAAGCCTAAATTTGCTCATGTGTAAAACGGAAAGAAAATACTCACCTTCTGACATTGCTATAAAGATTCTTTAATTCTGTAAACAGTTTTTGAGAACCTGCTCTATGCAAGGTTCTAAAGTGAAGATCGGGATCCAGACATAACACAGAGTGCACGAGATCAGGAAGCTCACAGGTGAGAGGGATGCACAGACCAACAAGACAATACTGTAAGTACACTACTCACCATAGCAGAGACACAGACTCAACCTAGATGCCTATCAACAGGACAATCCAGCAAGTGCGCTGCTCACAATAGCAGAGACACGTAGATGCTCATCAATGAGACAATACAGTAAGTGAACTAGTCACAATAGCAGAGACATAGAATCAGCCTAGATGCCCATCAACAGTGGACTGGATAAAGAAAATGTGGCACATATACACCATGGAATACTACACAGCAATAAAAAAAGAATAAAATCGTATCCTTTGCAGCAACATAGATGGAGCTGGAGGCCATTCTCCTAAGCCAATTAACACAGGAACAAAAAATGAAATACTACATGCTTGGTTTTTTTTTTTTTTTTTTTTTTTTTTGAGACAGAGTCTCGCTCTGATGCCCAGGCTGGAGTGCAGTGGCACGATCTCGGCTCACTGCAACCTCCACCTCCTGGGTTTAAGCAATTCTCCTGCCTCAGCCTCTGGAGTAGCTGGGATTACAGGCACCTGCCACCACGCCCAGCTAATTTTTATATTTTGTAGAGACAGGGTTTCACCATGTTGGCCAGGCTGGTCTCGAACTCCCGACCTCAGGTTATCTGCCTGCCTCGGCCTCCCAAAGTGCCGGGATTACAGGCATGAGCCACCGCACCTGGCCTTAATATCGCATATTCTAACTAATAAGTGAGAGCCAGACATTGAGTACACGTGAACATAAAGAAACGAACAATAGACACTGGGACCTGCTTGAGGGAGGAGGGTGGGAAAAGGGTGAAGCTTGAAAAACTACCTATCGGGTATTATGCCAATTATCTGTGTGGCACAATTATCTGTGCACCAAACCTCTGCAACATGCAATTTACCCATGTAACAAACCTGCACATGTACCCTTTGAATGTAAAATAAAAGTTGGAAAAAAAAAAAATACAGTAAGTGCTAATGTCGGAGGTAAGAAAACTGGGTTCAGAGTCATTGAGACCCTAGTTGAAATCTTGCTTTTGCCATTTCCTCATTGTATGATACAAAGAAAATAACCTAGAGCCTCAGCTTCTATATGGAGATAATAATGCCTTTCTATTGTTTTTATAAGGATTAAATTAGATGTTGCTTGATAAGGCACTTAACACAGTGTCTTGCACATGGAATGCCTTACGTGTTATGGAAAACACAACATAATATGACACAAATGAACCAAGCACAGTATCTGATAAGCAGTAGGAGCACTGTGAATGTTAGACCATATATCCCTGTCCACATCATCTCTTCCCCCACATATAAGGTCATTACCTAATTCAAGTAAGGCAAGGCAAGACCTAGAAATGGACCTGAGATGCCGGGAACGGTGGCTCACACCTGTAATCCCAACACTTTGGGAGACCGAGGTGGGGGGATCACCTGAGGTTGGGAGTTTAAGACCAGCCTGACCAACATGGAGTAACCCCGTCTCCACTAAAAATATACAGTTAGCCAGGCGTGGTGGCGCATGCCTGTAATCCCAGCTACTCGGGAGGCTGCGGAAGGAGAATTGCTTGAACCAGGGAGGCAGAGGTTGCGGTGAGCCACAATCGCACCATTGCACTCACTCCAGTCTGGGCAACAAGAGCGAAACTCTGTCTCAAAAAAAAAAAAAAAAGAAGAAAGAAAGAAAAGAAAAGAAAAAGGAAAAAAAAAGAAAAAGAAAAGAAAAGAAAAGAAAAAGAAATGGACCTGAGATCTTAGAGATACAAAGCTGGGAGAAAATTCCAGTAGCTAGCTGCCTACAAACCTCAGGCTGGACTCTCTCTGGTGCAGAGAGAGGTATTTGTGCATTCATAAGGATCTACTGATCTACTGGTACAAGGTAGGGGGAGGACAAGGCACAGCAGAGGTAAATGCCATATCCTCAGAGCATGGATATAGGGCAACCATGATGAATGCTAGAAATGAGAATCCTTGACGAGACTGGGCTGAGACCCTCTGATGAACTGTGGACTGGAGCTGTCACTCCAGCCTGAACACAGTCTATTATACAGTGGTGACCAGCAATAACAGACGGGGAGAGGACTGATATTTTATTATGGACATGGGTATTGCTGGCGCTGACCACACTCTCCCATACATGAGACTTTACTGAAACTTGGAAAACATAAGTATTTAGGACTTTCTTCGAGGTAAGTGCCAGAAACCCAAGTTAAACGGACTCAGGCAAAAAATGAAAATGTATTAGCCTGCCTAATTGAAGGGTAAGACTTCAGGCATGGCTAAACACTGGTATCCAAGTGACATGATCAGGAACCTCCCTTCATTTCTCAGTGTTTTCCCTTGTTTGACTTCAAGAATGCCCTTTTTTGGCCAGGCATGGTGGCTCACGCCTGTAATGCCAACACTTTGGGAGGCTTAAGTGGGAGGATCAGTTGAGCCCAAAAGTTTGAGATTAGACTGGCTAACATAGTGAGACCCCATCTCTAGAGAAAATTAAAAAAAAAAATAGCTGGGCATGGTGTCACATGCCTGTGGTCCCAACTGCTTGAGAGGCTGACGAGGGAGGATAGCTTGAGTATGGGAGGTTGAGGGAGCAGTGAGCTACGATCATACCCCTGTACTCCAGCCTAGGTGACAGAGCAAGACCCTGTCTCAAAAAAGGAAAAAAAAATTTAGTTAGCCAGGCATGGTAGCACATACCTGTAGCTCCAGCACTCAGGGGGCTAAGGCAGGAGGATCTCTGCAGCCTAGGAGTCCGAGGTTGCCGTGAGCCATGATTGCACTACAGCACTCCAGCCTGGGTGACAGAGTGAGACCCTGTCTCAGAAAAAATAAAAATAAACATTAAAAAAAACCTTTCCCCGGAAAGCAAAGATAACCAGAAGCAGGTTTATGTCTTGTTCTTTCAGGAATTCCAATCAAAAAAAAAATTATCTTTTCCAATAGTTGTAGCAAAGGTCCCAGAATTCTAATTCGTTCTGGTTGGCCCAATTTGATGTTTTTGATTGGTCAGGTCTGGGTCTTTTGCCCACCCCTAGCACCAGGAATAAATCAGGCCCATCTGAGCCACCTGCCTTGAGAGTAGGGGAAGGGATCCTCCTAGGGAAATAGGGGTGTTATTATTCAGAGAGATCATTAACCTGTGGACAGATAAGAACTCCAGATATCAACGACACTTCCTTACCACTCTTTTTCTAGGCATCCACAGCACATCTGAAGAAATATTCAGAAGTTAACTAATCTCAGATGATTTCAGCAGGAGTAAAGAAGAGAAACAGACTCAGAAATGCCATTACAACAGTTAATTATGTCAAATTTATCACCGATTGATCACGCAGCATTAACCTCAAGAATGCCAAGCCAAGTTTTTTTGACAAATGTGAGCCAAGGTTTCCGAAAAACTAGCAGATATGACTGTGACTTACAAAATGGAAAAAGTAAACGAGAAACACAATTTGATATGATTTAATAAAAGATTTGTTTCCACCACTTCTCCTGGGAACCTCAGCACATTTTCTTTCCACTGACAGTTATTATCTCTACCTTTATTGAACAAAGACACCCGGAACACAGCTGCTGAGGATCAGTAAAGAAAATCATTCTTTTATTAATAAGACTGTTATTAGCAGGAAAAAAAAATCCATGTTTGGGAGTTTGCACTGAAGTTACAGGCCATTTTGAAGAAATATGGCTGACTAGTGCCAACATTATTTCAGGCAATTTCATGATCAAATGTCTTGTTAGGTTGTTTAAAATTTTTATAGAGATGTAAATCAGAACTATTTTCTATTTGCCCTAAATATTTAGGTGCTACAGGGAAAGCAGATCAAATTAAAGGGTACTGTGCACATTTTTTTACTGGGAACTCCCAGGGATATAAATCATTTCGCCTGCAGCATGGAATTCTTCAGTACACATGCTTGTGGAAACATTCCACGCTCCTCCAGCACGCTCATTAAAGTGATGATTTGGGTTGCAACAACAGTGCCAAGTACTTCCTGTGTTCAACTGGGGACCATGTGGCAAGACCCAAAGCTTTCCCAGAGATCCTATGGGAATAAGTTTTT
Organism: Homo sapiens; assembly: GCF_000001405.40. Taxonomy (NCBI): domain Eukaryota; kingdom Metazoa; phylum Chordata; class Mammalia; order Primates; family Hominidae; genus Homo; species Homo sapiens. Next base: position 16,761,594 of record NC_000016.10, on the reverse strand, counting down.
TGAGCCACCATATTCCATTATTTCAGCCTAAAATAACACCATGGGACAAGAATCAGAAGACAGAGGAGCAGACAAATGTGTGTAGACACGCTGGAAGGAATCTTTCTTTTTAGAAACAGGGTCAATATCTATTAAACTTTAAGATGTGTATCTCTTGACCTGGCAGTTTCTGTATTTGAGTTTTAACCTACTGATATACCCATGCATGTGAATAAAGTATCTTCCTGCATGTAACAGGATATTTAATGTAACCTTGATTATAGTTGCAAATGCTGGGAAACGATCCAAATGTCTTTCAATATGGCACTGATTAAATAAATTACGGCACAGTCTCACAATGAAAAACAAATGTAGCCATTAAACAGAATGAAATGGGTCTAGCTAAATTGAAATAGGACTACCTCTAAGATATGTTGTTAAATAGAAAAAAAAGAAAGTGCAGAGGAACAAGTATGATACCATTTTGTATTTTTTAACATATGCAAGCGTGATTGTGCCCACACAGAATACCTTTGAAAATAAACTCAGTATTTGCCTCAGTGGATAAAAACAAGAACCAGCCTTATTTTCACTGTTATATCTTTTGGTACCACTTTTTGAACTTTTTACCATATGTGCATATGTAACTTTCTAAATAAATTTTGTAAAAAAGAGAAATATGGCTCGTTGCAATAAATCTAACAAGATAAAAGATTTGTTGAAGAAAATAATAAAACTATTCAGACATGAGTGTTCTTGAAAAATGGAGAAATACATTATTTCCTTGTATGGTAAGGAATGGTAAGTAAGCTGGGTGGTATGGTAAGCTGGATATTGTTCCCGACTCTTCATTCCCTCTCTTAACAGAATTATACATCTTTGCACCTTTGCAATCTTCCCACTGTGAGTGGAACATACATCCTGACCCACTGATATCAGTCTTGCTAATGCCAATTGTGTTAGTACATGTGATGCAAGTCAAAGCATTATATGTGCCTCTGTGGTCTGGTTTGGCCCCTTGCACTTCTGCCATCCACCCTGAGAAGTACAAATCTTTGGGATCCATTGGTCCCAGAATAAAAAGATATATAGAGCAGACCCAGACCAACCCACAGCGTGGAGTCAAGCCGAGCCAACAGAGCCCAGCAGAACCACAGCCTATGCACAGACCTGTGAAGGAAAAAATATTTTTTTGTTGTAAGCAAGATTTGGGGGGATGCTTGTTATGCAACCTTGTTGTAGCAATATCTGACAGATACATATGGGAAAACTACATTATTTCCTTTGGCTCTATTCTACCTCCACTAGGAAAATATTCCTGATTAACCTCATTCCACACCAGATTGTGATCTCTTCAATGACAGGAAGTGTGTGTTATTCATCCCTGTGTTCCTAGACTTCTGCACAGGGCCTAACAGAATTTCTAGAAAACAAAAAATTCTGACTACTGTGCCTAAAGTAGCCATCTCCGCCCAACAGTTAATCTCTGCCACATCACAGAGTTTATTTAGTTCAGACCATGCATAACAATCAATAATCATCTTTCTATTTTGCTATGTTTCCCTCATACACAGTGTAAACTTCCTAGAAGAAATGAATCAATGAGTGGGGGAAAAATGAATATATGACTTTCTTACTCTGATTTGCATAAGTACTCACACATTTTTGTCTACCACCCTCTCCAAACTTCTCAGTCTGCCTTTCAAAAGCTGGTCCCAAATGGTTCCCAATTTGATCACCCACTGCTCCCCTTAGGCATATGTAGTTATTCACCATTGCCCACCCATTACCCACACTTTTTCTTTCTCTGCAACATTAGTGTTATATTCCCTATGTCATGGATGCCCTTCTCTGCCATCCCTGCTTGTTTAAATCCTGACCATCTGTATTCTTTTGCAATAGGTTCAGCTATGAGTAACTGCAAAACTCAAAACAATGACCTAAACAAAAGTTTATTAACTTCTGTTTAGTAAATTTAGAAGTACCAGAATAGAACTGGAAAGGTAATCAGTGGTTTTACAGGAACAAGACCCTCCCAGCTTATTGCTCTGCCAGGAGTGTCTTCCATTCCTAAACTTACTTCATGATCCAAGATGGCTGCTGGAGCTCCAGCTATTACATACCCATTCCAGGCAATATAAAGGAAAAAAAGTGGAAGAAGAGCATACCTTCTCCCTGGAAGGAAATTCCCCAGAAATTACACACACCGTTTTTGTATGTAGAAACTTAGTCACATGGATACACTCAGCTGCATAGGAAACTGTACTAGTTAGTTTTGCTAAATCACAAACCACTATTCGGCAGCTTTAAACAATAAGCATTCATTTAGCACATGATTCTGCAGGCTGGCAATGTGCGCTGGGTCTATCTGGGCAAATGTAGTGCTCTTGATTGGGCCCATCTCAGGTACCAGCAGTTAGCTGCCTGGTTGGTCGGGTGCTGACTGGTCCTTACCTGGGCTGTCTCCTCTCCATGTGGCATCCCATCCTCCCAAAGGCTAGCTGGGGCTGGTTCACATGGTGGTTGGGCAGGATTCCAAGAGATTGAGTGGAAGTGTGCAAGTTATCTTGAGATTTAGGCTCAGAACTGGCACACTGTCACCTCCATCACACTGTATTAGCCAAAGCAAGTCACAAGACTGGCCTGGATTCAAGGGTGGGGAAATAGACTCTAATAGGAGAAGCTACAATGTCACATTGCAAAGGGGTGTGCCTATAGAGAGGAGAATAATTGTGGCCATTTTTGCAATCACTATTTCACAGAACTCTAGTCTTAATTCTGAGGGACAGCTTGCATTTTCTGTGACACCAACTTTTAAAGCCCAGTTCAAAATGAACTTTCTCCTCCAGGAAGCCTTCCTTGACTATTGAGCTAGAATTCTGACCACCAAATATTTTTACCCATTTGTTCTGTGGCCTTTGCATAGCTACACATGGAGAGACACTGTCCCATCAGTGATGGTTCGGGATGACAGAAGGTGAGCCCTTCGCCATCCTCAGAAGCCACCAAGAACTTAGACCCCATCTTCACCAAGATACTAACATTTCTGTTGAAACAAGTGCCCTTATGATTTAAAAGTAATAGACCCCTTGTTTCAATGGCAAGAGTATGAAATTGTTACTTTTGCTTTCAGCAAGCCCACAAGAGGCACGAAGAATCCACGTGACCCAAAAGTAAGAGGTCAAATACTGAGATCTGGAAGGAATCCCTTAGCATCCAGAGCCTGAATAGATATATACATTCTTCATCAGAGAAGATGTCGGAACTAGTCCATGTGTACATTGGCATTTTTCTTTCTCCCTTTGTAATTTTTCCTCCTCTCGGTATGACTGAAATATAAATCAGTAGCCTAGAGTCCTTCTGGTTAACAAGGTTCTCATTTGGGAGGTTGCAGCCTAGGAGGCTATTAAAAACAGAAAGAAAGGCTTCTTCTATAAACATTTCCTGCCAGCTGCTGATAACTGGGGAGGAGGGAGAGCACAGGGGTGACAGCACAAAACAGGACAATTAGGGGAAGAAATCTGCAAAAGAGGAAGAATTCTTGGTCCACGTCCCTGGCAGAAGGATCCATGAATAGAAGTCCAAAGTGCAAAAGAAAACCTCTGGGAAGAAAGGAGGAGGGGCAGGAGAGCCTTCCACTGATCCAAACAGGCCAGTGCCATCGGAAGGGAGACAGGAGGACAAAATCCCTGCCTGCAGATGCTTCCAAATGTTTAAGACAAAATACCAGGACATTAAAAGTTGGAGAAGGGGTGGTCTTGGCATCTTCCCTCAACTCCTACAAGAATAAGAGTTTGCATTTGTTGAGTGATCACTGTGTGCTGGCCCACATTAATCATTTTTTTAATTTTTTAAAAGTTGTATATATTTAGGGGATATAGGTGCAGATTTCTTAACCGCATACATTTCATTATGATGAGATCTAGGTTTCTACTGTATCCATCACCCAAACAGCGAACATTGTACCCAAGAGATAATTTTTCAACCCTCACTCCCCTCCTACCTTCCCACCTTTTGTAGACTCCAGTGTCTGTTATTTTACTCTGTATGTCTGTGTGTACCCATTGTTTAGCTCCCACTTATAAATGACCACATGCAGTATTTGACTTCCTGTTTCTGAGTTATTTCACATAGGATAATGGCCTTCAGTTCTATCCATGTTGCTGCAAAAGACATGGTTTCATTTTTATATGCATTAATTATCTCAATTAAGGCCATAAGGTTGGAGCTATTATTAACCCCATCTTCACCATGAGCCTGGTGATGCTCACAATTTTCCCAAAGCCCCTTGGTTAATAAGTGGAAGAGGTAGAGTTCAAATCAGTTTCTCTGACTGCATAGGCCAGACTCCTGGACCTCTGTACCATCCTGGTCTTTGACACCATGATAGAGTAAAAGAGGAGATGTTTCAGAACCTACCATAGAATCATCTATCTTCAAGATTACCCATTGGATGAGACTGTTAATGGACACAGTGTCTCATTGAAGAGCTCCTGAAGTTTGTGAAGACAGTTGAGTGTTTACAAATAAGAATGAAGCAACAACAACAATAATAAATTGAGTCATTGTGTTGTGTTAGGTACTGTGCTGTCTAGATTCTCTCACTTAATGCACTGATGTAAGAATTATTGTCCCCATTTCACAGATGAGAAAATAGAAGCTCAGAGAAGGTAAGTCACATGGCCAGGATCTCACAGTCAAGGAGTAGCAGAGTTAGAACTCAAACCCAGGTCTGAGACCAAAGAGCAGGCTCTTTGTTTATTGTTGTGAAGTGCCTCCTTAAGTGGGCAACTTGGTCACTCATTGCTTCATTCACCCTTCAGATATAGACTACTACTCACTGTGTTTGGAAAATTTTTTAATTTCTAAAATTGAGGTGGGGGACTAGAAAGAAACCCATTGCATTTTTGTTTGACTGAGGGACACAAACCTTTTATTTGTAAAAAATGTAATAACTGCAAAGCACAATAAAGCTAAGTGCAATAAAATGAGATATACCTGTAATCGGTTTTTTCATAAGCTAATTTCAGAAGTGACAGCCCATCAGGACAGCCATATTGCATTCACTACAAGTGAGTCAGTAAGTCCAGCCCATGCTAAGGGGAGGGTATTACACAAAGGCATGAATACCAGGAGACAGGGATCACTGGGGTCCCTCATAGAGGCTGCCTGCCACATTGTACCTTTCATAAGATCACAAATACCTTTCAGTCATCCTATCACCTAATCTCTTAACATGCAACCTGCTTTCTCAATGAAAATCATGGTATAAATTGAGTTCTCCATCATTCTCAAGACTATGAAATCAAGGTAGAGCCCTGGTTTTCAAGCTTTTTGATGACAAAGATTTCTTCAAATAAAATCTTCCTCAAGGTGAATGGACATACTCATTGTTTTGTACTATAAAACAGAATACTTCTCAAGGTGAGAAAATAGAAAAACATGACTGATACACACAATAAATAGCACAGATGAATAACCAAAGCATTATTCTAAGCAAAAGAAGCCAGGAGCACATACTGTATGATTTCATTCATATGAAACTCCTAGAAAGAAAAATCTAATGTATTGGGATAGAAAGTAGTTCAGTGGGCCAGGCCTGGTGACTCATGCCTGTAATCCCAGAACTTTGGGAGGTTGAGCCGGGTGGATTGCTTGACCCCAGGAGTTCGAGACCAGCCTGGACAACATGGAGAAACCCCATCTCTTTGAAAAATACAACAAATTAGCCAGGCATGGTGGTATGTGCCTGTAGTCCCAGCTGCTCAGGAGGCTGAGGTGGGAGAATTGCTCGAGCCCAGGAGGCAGAGGCTGCAGTGAGCAAAGACCATGCCACTGCACTCTAGTCTGGGTAACTGACAGACACCTCAGGGAGGGGAAGGGGAAGGGGAAGAAGGAGAGGAAGGGGAAGGGGAGGTTAAGTTCAGTGGTTGCCTGGAGTTGGGGTGGAGATTAAGGATTAACTGGGAAGAGGAGCAAGGAGCCCCACCCAACTCTCACTTAATCCCCACTGTTGGAGGTGGGGCCTCCTGGGAGGTATTGGGATCATGGGGGCGGATCTCTCATGAATGGTTTAGCACTATCCCTTTGGTGCTGTTCTTGTGATAGTGAGTGAGTTTACACGACACATGATCATTTACAAGTATGTGGCACCTCCCCACCTACTGATATGCCTCCTCCCCCTTGCCTTCCACCATGATTACAAGCTTGAGGCCTCCCTAGAAGCTGATGCTGGAGCTATGCTTCCAGTACAGCCTGCAGAACCGTAAGCCAAATAAACCTCTTCTCTTATAAATTACCCAGTCTCAGCTATTTCATTACAGCAATGCAAGAACAGCCTAATACATCATCACGAAAGCTTCTTTGCCTAAGACTTGCAGAGATAGATATGTCCTATCAGGCCCTCCTCAGCCCAACCTCTAACACCCACAGAAAACCCTGAAAAGTGAGAACCCAGTGAACATCCTGAACATCCTCTGATGGCTGTGAAAAGTTAGTGCACTTCTGCTGTTATTGACACCTGATAACTCATTAAAACCAGACTAATCATCAACAAGCAGCAGGTTTCTTTCACACTCAAAGCATACCAGCTCCATTCTGAAATGATGGCTAAATTAACCGCAGAGAAGCAGCCAATAACCTCCTCCTCTCACCCTGTTCACTCTTTGGGCTAATAAGTGTCTTCTTCATCAGCTGCCTTGGATAAAAAACAAATGACTGGGTTATACATTTTCTTGTACTTGATACATAAGCCTTTCAGCAGAATATGATAACAACGTAAATAATAAAGATGGCCATTGCTTATTGAATCATTTACTGTGTGTTGTGTCTTTTGTACAGCATATAACACTATATGCTGTGGCCTCTATATATGCTAGAGTTATAACCCTCACTCTGAGCCGATTTAACTTTATCAATATGAAAATGGATACAAAGAATGTAATCTAGTCACCCAATGTCATGCAGCTAATGTGGTGTCTCAGGTCCCTCTATTCCAAGCCCCAGGTTTAGAGTGAGACTAACTGGACCTGACCGTCAGGAAAAATTAATAAACAAATAAGGACTTCCCTGCTGAGATACCCCAGGATAATTTGTACAAGTCTCCAAAGCCTAGCACACTGCCTGGCACATAGTAGCTGCTCAATAAAATCTTGTGATACGAGAAAACCGGAACTCCTCATGCACTGTTTTGTCGGTTACAAAATGTGACCCCGGACAGAGCATCATGATTTGATTAGAGTAGGCGGACTTGTTTTCAACTCCACAGGTAGTCAAATGGGGAGAGTGGGCATCAGAAAATACATAGGTATATATAAGATAATCCATCTTTCAAAGGAGTCTGAATGGCAGCTCAAAGGCATAGAGAGAAACTAGGGCAAGGTTATCCAACCTGTGGCCCAAGACAGCTTTGAATGGGGCTCAACATAAATTCATCAACTTTCTTAGCTCATCAGCTGTCGTCGGTGTTAGCGTATTCTATGTGTGGCCCAAGACAATTCTTCTTCTTCCAATGTGGCCCAGGAAAGCCAAAAGACTGGACACCTCTGACCTGGGAAAAAAGTACATTTTCTCCCCAGTGTCACAAAGGAATGTCATAACAAAATATTCTAAAATCAGAAAGGACCAAAAAAAATTGGGTAACTATCCAAAATGAAATAAATTCATGAAATTATGAAATATTAGTCATGGTTTGATTTATTCTGCAGCTATATAACATCACTCCATCAACAACACAGAAACAAAAAAGTTCTCTCAAAAATGAATAATGGATATGTTCAATCAATCATGGCATAACCAGGGAATGGAATGCTTTGAAGCTATTAAAAAGTGTAATTGGCCAGGCGCAATGGCTCACGCCTATAATCCCAGCAACATGGGAGGCTGAGGCACGTGGATCACTTGTGCCTAGGAGTTCGAGACCAGCCTGGCCAACATGGCAAAACTCTGTCTCTACTAAAAATACAAAAAGTTAGCGGGCATGGTGGTACATGCCTATGGTCTCAGCTACTCAGGAGGCTGAAACAGGAAGATCACTTGAACCTGAGAGGCGGAGGTTGCAGTCAGCGAGATTGCACCACCGCACTCCAGCCTGGGCAACAGAGCAAGACCTTGTCTAAAAAAAATAAAAAGAAAAAAATTAAGTAAACAATGTAATCAACACATATTTAAGGAGTTTTAATAACTAAATGAATAAAGTCAGTAACAAAACAGAAGATGAAGTATAATACCACTTTGCATAAGTATAAACTGATAAGAAAAATAATCTAGAAGGATGCGGAATAGAGAAATGTACAGTTTTTTCTAGATGGTCAGCTTATGGGTGATTTTTTAAATTTTAATTGGCATATCTGTGTTTTGAATTTTTATATAGTAAATGTGAATTGATTGCTGAATTTAAACTAAATAAGGGCCGGGCACAGTGGCTCATGCCTGTAATTCTAGCACTTTGGGAGGCCGAGGTGGATGGATCTACAAGGTCAAGAGATCAAGACCATCCTGGCCAACATGGTGAAAACCCATCTCTACTAAAAATACAAAAATTAGCCAGGCGTGGTGGCGTGCACACGTAGTCCCAGCTTCTTGGAAGGCTGAGGCAGGATAATCGCTGGAACCCAGGAGGCAGAGGTTGCAGTGAGTGGAGATCGCACCACTGCACTCCAACCTGGCGAAAGAGTGAGACTCCGTCTTAAAAAGAAAAAAAAAAAAAACTAAATAAAACCTGTTGTAATGGTGGTGTTTAAACAGAGACCTAAGGAGAAGTCAGTCAGAGCCTAAAGTGGTCCCAGGAAAGGAATAAGGAACTGGAAATTCAATCAGGCTTGGCAATTAGCAAAGGATCTGAGACAATTTAGGTGGAAATTAGAAACAGCTAAAAAATGAAGAAGGGGCTTTTTAAGACCTCACACTACTATGGTTCACAATAATGCCTCTCAAAACTCTGTCATAACTATTTTTCAATATGTCAAAGTAAATGTCATCTCTAGTTATCTAAAAACATCTTGATGCCTGATACCTACTAGAAAAAACAGCCCGAGTTTGTCCACAGTTTTCAGTTCCTGTGTCATTTCAGTTGCCTGGCGAGGAACTTTTCTTACTATATTGGCTCTCAGGTAACTCTCTAACTAGACAATTCCATCTCCCCAAAAACTATCATGGAAAAAGAACAGTCCTGAAAGTCGAGAGAGGCAGCCCAGCTCTGCTATTCAGGCTGTGTGACCTTGGGCAAGTCTCTCCCCATGGTCTCAGTGGGTTGATCTATGGAGCCCAAGCAATAGGATTCTCTCCCCCAGGAATTTGAAACTTGGAATCCGAGATTGGAAAGTGAGACACATTAATGGTAGAACTCAAGAAAGGTAGGGGCTGGGGGCCGTGGCTCACGCCTCTAATCCCAGAACTTCGGGAGGCCGAGGTAGGAGGATTGCTTGAGGCCAAGAGTTCAAGACCAGCTTGGGCAACAGAGCGAGACCCTGTCTCTACAAAAAGCAAATTAAAAATTAGCCAGGCATGGTGGCATGGTGGCATTAGCTACTTGGAAGGCTGAGGCAGCGGGATTGCTTGAGCCCAGGAGGTCAAGGATACAGAGAGCTATGATGGTGCCACTAGATTCTGGTCTGGGTGATGGAGTAAAACCGTGTCTCTAAAAAAAATTTTTTTAAGAGAGGTAGATCATGAATTCCATCTGCTGCTAAGCTTCCAAAACTCTATTAGTATTTTCCTTCCTATGCAAACTCCTCTCTCATTCAGTGAGAGCACCTGTTATCCTAACAATCACGAATTTATTTTCCTTACTTAATCAGAGTCAGTTTCTATTGCATGGAACCAGGCAACACTTAGCTACTGTGGCTTAGATAGAAGGAAGTCCTTCCTGCCAGCATGAAAGGAATTGGTCAGTCAGGCAAAGGAGTCTGACCCAAAGGGAAAAGCTGCCACAAAGAGTGACTTTCATCCTTGGGCTAAGAAGCAGGGGCCCAATGGGGCAACTTGTCACATTCAATAAGGATTCTTGGTCAGCCCAACCATGCTCTCCAAGCATCCAGGCATGAATCCCCACAGGGCAAGGCAGCAGAGAGGAGCAACAGTGAGCATGATGGGTTACCTATTCTCCCAGCTCCCCACAGCCCACTGACTGCACTCAGCTGAGTGCAGGCACCAACTTCTTGCATCTGAGTTTTTGCAGCTGCTGTTGGAATCTCTCTAACACAGAGCTTCTCAACTGGGAACCATTTTGCTCCCCAAGGAGCATCTGACAATGTCTGTGGACATTTTTGGTGATCACAAATTGGGAATGGGGGCTGGACAGGGTGGTTCATGCCTGTAATCCCAGCACTTTGGGAGGCCAAGGCAGGTGGATCACTTGAGGTCAGGAGTTTGAGACCAGCCTGGCCAACATGGCGAAATTGCATCTCTACAAAAAATACAAAAATTAGTTTGGCAGCCAAGATGGCCAAATAGGAACAGCTCTGGTCTACAGCTCCCAGCATGAGTGATGCAGAAGATAGGTGATTTCTGCATTTCCATCTGAGGTACTGGGTTCATCTCACTAGGGAGTGCCAGACAGTGGACGCACGACAGTGGATGCAGCACACCGTGTGTGACCCAAAGCGGGGTGAGGCATTGCCTCACACGGGAAGTGCAAGGGATCATGGAGTTCCCTTTCCTAGTCAAAGAAAGGGGTGACACACGGCACCTGGAAAATCGGGTCACTCCCACCCTAATACTGCGCTTTTCCAACGGGCTTAAAAAACGGCGCACCAGGAGATTATATCCCACACATGGCTCGGAGGGTCCTACGCCCACGGACTCTTGCTGATTGCTAGCACAGCAGTCTGAGATCAAACTGCAAGGCGGCAGTGAGGCTGGGGGAGGGGCACCCACCATTGCCCAGGCTTGCTTAGGTAAACAAAGCAGCTGGGAAGCTCCAACTGGGTGGAGCCCACCACAGCTCAAGGAGGCCTGCCTGCCTCTCTAGGCTCCACCTCTGGGGGCAGGGCACAGACAAACAAAAAGACAGCAGTAACCTCTGCAGACTTAAATGTCCCTGTCTGACAGCTTTGAAGAGAGCAGTGGTTCTTCCAGCACGCAGCTGGAGATCTGAGAATGGGCAGACTGCCTCCTCAAGTAGGTCCCTGACCCCTGACCCCCGAGCACCCTAACTGGGAGGCACCCCCCAATAGGGCCAGACTGACACCTCACACAGCCAGGTACTCCTCTGAGACAAAACTTCCAGAGGAACAATCAGACAGCAGCATTCGCAGTTCACGAAAATCCGCTGTTCTGCAGCCACCGCTGCTGATACCCAGGCAAACAGGGTCTGGAGTGGACCTCTAGCAAACTCCAACAGACCTGCAGCTGAGGGTCCTGTCTGTTAGAAGGAAAGCTAACAAACAGAAAGGACATCCACACCAAAAACCCATCTGTACATCACCATCATCAAAGACCAAAAGTAGATAAAATCACAAAGATGGGGAAAAAACAGAGCAGAAAAACTGGAAACTCTAAATACAGAGCACCTCTCCTCCTCCAAAGGAATGCAGTTCCTCACCAGCAACAGAACAAAGCTTGACGGAGAATGACTTTGACGAGTTGAGAGAAGGCTTCAGACGATCAAACTACTCCGAGCTACACGAGGAAATTCAAAGCAAAGGCAAAGAAGTTAAAAACTTTGAAAAAAATTTAGACAAATGTATAACTAGAATCACCAATAGAGAGAAGTGCTTAAAGGAGCTGACGGAGCTGAAAGCCAAGGCTCGAGAACTACGTGAAGAATGCAGAAGCCTCAGGAGCCAATGCGATCGACTGGAAGAAAGGGTATCAGTGATGGAAGATGAAATGAATGAAATGAAGCAAGAAGGGAAGTTTAGAGAAAAAGGAATAAAAAGAAACGAACAAAGCCTCCAAGAAATATGGGACTATGTGAAAAGACCAAATCTACATCTGATTGGTGTACCTGAAAGTGATAGGGAGAATGGAACCAAGTTGGAAAACACTCTGCAGGATATTATCCAGGAGAACTTCCCCAATCTAGCAAGGCAGGCCAACATTCAGATTCAGGAAATACAGAGAATGCCACAAAGATACTCCTCGAGAAGAGCAACTCCAAGACACATAATTGTCAGATACACCAAAGTTGAAATGAAGGAAAAAATGTTAAGGGCAGCCAGAGAGAAAGGTCGAGTTACCCACAAAGGGAAGCCCATCAGACTAACAGCCGATCTCTTGGCAGAAACTCTACAAGCCAGAAGAGAGTGGGGGCCAATATTCAACATTCTTAAAGAAAAGAACTTTCAACCCAGAATTTCATATCCAGCCAAACTACGCTTCATAAGTGAAGGAGAAATAAAATACTTTACAGACAAGCAAATGCTGAGAGATTTTGTCACCACCAGGCCTGCCCTAAAAGAGCTCCTGAAGCACTAAACATGGAAAGGAATAACCGGTACCAGCCACTGCAAAATCATGCCAAACTGTAAAGACCATCGAGGCTAGGAAGAAACTGCATCAACTAATGAGCAAAATAACCAGCTAACATCATAATGATAGGATTAAATTCACACATAACAATATTAACTTTAAATGTAAATGGACTAAATGCTCCAAGTAAAAGACACAGACTGGCAAATTGGATAAAGAGTCAAGACCCATCAGTGTGCTGTATTCAGGAAACCATCTCACATGCAGAGACACACATAGGCTCAAAATAAAAGGATGGAGGAAGATCTAACAAGCAAATGGAAAACAAAAAAAGGCAGGGGTTGCAATCCTAGTCTCTGATAAAACAGACTTTAAACCAACAAAGATCAAAAGAGACAAAGAAGGCCATTACATAATGGTCAAGGGATCAATTCAACAAGAACAGCTAACTATCCTAAATATATATGCACCCAATACAGGAGCACCCAGATTCATAAAGCAAGTCCTGAGTGATCTACAAAGAGACTTAGACTCCCACACAATAATAATGGGAGACTTTAACACCCCACTGTCAACATTAGACAGATCAACGAGACAGAAAGTTAACAAGGATACCCAGGAATTGAACTCAGCTCTGCACCAAGCGGACCTAATAGACATCTACAGAACTCTCCACCCCAAATCAACAGAATATACATTTTTTTCAGCACCACACCACACCTAGTCCAAAATTGACCACATAGTTGGAAGTAAAGCTCTCCTCAGCAAATGTAAAAGAACAGAAATTATAACAAACTGTCTCTCAGACCACAGTGCGATCAAACTAGAACTGAAGATTAAGAAACTCACTCAAAACCGCTCAACTACATGGAAACTGAACAACCTGCTCCTGAATGACTACTGGGTACATAACAAAATGAAGGCAGAAATAAAGATGTTCTTTGAAACCAATGAGAACAAAGACACAACATACCAGAATCTCTGGGACACATTCAAAGCAGTGTGTAGAGGGAAATTTATAGCACTAAATGCCCACAAGAGAAAGCAGGAAAGATCCAAAATTGACATCCTAACATCACAATTAAAAGAACTAGAAAAGCAAGAGCAAACACATTCAAAAGCTAGCAGAAGACAAGAAATAACTAAAATCAGAGCAGAACTGAAGGAAATAGAGACACAAAAAACCCTTCAAAAAATTAATGAATCCAGGAGCTGGTTTTTTGAAAGGATCAACAAAATTGATAGACCACTAGCAAGACTAATAAAGAAGAAAAGAGAGAAGAATCAAATAGATGCAATAAAAAATGATAAAGGGAATATCACCACCGATCCCACAGAAATACAAACTACCATCAGAGAACACTACAAACACCTCTACACAAATAAACTAGAAAATCTAGAAGAAATGGATAAATTCCTCGACACATACACCCTCCAAAGACTAAACCAGGAAGAAGTTGAATATCTGAATAGACCAATAACAGGCTCTGAAATTGTGGCAATAATCAATACCTTACCAACCAAAAAGAGTCCAGGACCAGATGGATTCACAGCCAAATTCTACCAGAGGTACAAGGAGGAACTGGTACCATTCCTTCTGAAACTATTCCAATCAATAGAAAAAGAAGGAATCCTCCCTAACTCATTTTATGAGGCCAGCATCATCCTGATACCAAAACCTGGCAGAGACACAACCAAAAAAGAGAATTTTAGACCAATATCCTTGATGAACATTGATGCAAAAATTCTCAATAAAATACTGGCAAACAGAATCCAGCAGCACATCAAAAAGCTTATCCACCATGATCAAGTGGGCTTCATCCCTGGGATGCAAGGCTGGTTCAATATACGCAAATCAATAAATGGAATCCAGCATATAAACAGAACCAAAGACAAAAACCACATGATTATCTCAACAGATGCAGAAAAAGCCTTTGACAAAATTCAACAACCCTTCATGCTAAAAACTCTCAATAAATTAGGTATTGATGGGACGTATCTCAAAATAATAAGAGCTATCTATGACAAACCCACAGCCAGTATCATACTGAATGGTCAAAAACTGGAAGCATTCCCTTTGAAAACGGGCACAAGACAGGGATGCCCTCTCTCACCACTCCTATTCAACATAGTGTTGGAAGTTCTGGCCAGGGCAATTAGGCAGGAGAAGGAAATAAAGGGTATTCAATTAGGAAAAGAGGAAGTCAAATTGTCCCTGTTTGCAGACGACATGATTGTGTATCTAGAAAACCCCATTGTCTCAGCCCAAAATCTCCTTAAGCTGATAAGCAACTTCAGCAAAGTCTCGGGATACAAAATCAATGTACAAAAATCACAAGCATTCTTATACACCAATAACAGACAAACAGAGAGCCAAATCATGAGTGAACTCCCATTCACAATTGCTTCAAAGAGAATAAAATACCTAGGAATCCAACTTACAAGGGACGTGAAGGACCTCTTCAAGGAGAACTACAAACCACTGCTCAATGAAATAAAAGAGGATACAAAGAAATGGAAGAACATTCCATGCTCATGGGTAGGAAGAATCAATATCGTGAAAATGGCCATACTGCCCAAGGTAATTTGTAGATTCAATGCCATACCCATCAAGCTACAAATGACTTTCTTCAAAGAATTGGAAAAAACTACTTTAAAGTTCATATGGAACCAAAAAAGAGCCTGCATTACCAAGTCAATCCTAAGCCAAAACAAAGCTGGAGGCATCATGCTACCTGACTTCAAACTATACTACAAGGCTACAGTAACCAAAACAGCATGGTACTGGTACCAAAACAGAGATATAGATCAATGGAACAGAACAGAGCCCTCAGAAATAATGCCGCATATCTACAACCATCTGATCTTTGACAAACCTGAGAAAAACAAGCAATGGGGAAAGGATTCCCTATTTAATACATGGTGCTGGGAAAACTGGCTAGCCATATGTAGAAAGCTGAAACTGGATCCCTTCCTTACACCTTCTACAAAAATTAATTCAAGATGGATTAAAGACTTCAACGTTAGACCTAAAACCATAAAAACCCTAGAAGGAAACCTAGGCATTACCATTCAGGACATAGGCATGGGAAAGGACTTCATGTCTAAAACACCAAAAGCAATGGCAACAAAAGCCAAAATTGACAAATGGGATCTAATTAAACTAAAGAGCTTCTGCACAGCAAAAGAAACTACCATCAGAATGAACAGGCAACCTACAACATGGGAGAAAATTTTTGCAACCTACTCATCTGACAAAGGGCTAATATCTAGAATCTACAATGAACTCAAACAAATTTACAAGAAAAAAACAAACAACCCCATCAAAAAGTGGGCGAAGGACATGAACAGACACTTCTCAAAAGAAGACATTTATGCAGCCAAAAAACACATGAAAAAATGCTCACCATCACTGGCCATCAGAGAAATGCAAATCAAAACCACAATGAGATACCATCTCACACCAGTTAGAATGGCCATCATTGAAAAGTCAGGAAACAACAGGTGCTGGAGAGGATGTGGAGAAATAGGAACACTTTTACACTGTTGGTGGGACTGTAAACTAGTTCAACCATTGTGGAAGTCAGTGTGGCGATTCCTCAGGGATCTAGAACTAGAAATACCATTTGACCCAGCCATCCCATTACTGGGTATATACCCAAGGGACTATAAATCATGCTGTTATAAAGACACATGCACACGTATGTTTATTGCGGCACTATTCACAATAGCAAAGACTTGGAACCAACCCAAATGTCCAATAATGATAGACTGGATTAAGAAAATGTGGCACATATACACCATGGAATACTATGCAGCCATAAAAAATGATGAGTTCATATCCTTTGTAGGGACATGGATGAAATTGGAAATCATCATTCTCAGTAAACTATCGCAAGAACAAAAAACCAAACACCACATATTCTCACTTATAGGTGGGAATTGAACAATAAGAACACATGGACACAGGAAAGGGAACATCACACTCTGGGGACTGTTGTGGGGTGGGGGGAGGGGGGAGGGATAGCATTAGGAGATATACCTAATGCTAAATGACGAGTTAATGGGTGCAGCATACCAGCATGGCACATGTATACATATGTAACTAACCTGCACATTGTGCACATGTACCCTAAAACTTAAAGTATAATAATAATAAAATAAAAAATAAAAATTAAAAAAATACAAAAATTAGCCAGGCGTGGTGGCGGGCACCTGTAATCCCAGCTACTTGGGAGATTGAGGCAGGAGAATTGCTTGAACTCGGGAAGCAGAAGTTGCAATGGGCCGAGACCACGCCACTGCACTCCAGCCTGGGTGACAGAGGGAGACTCCATCTCAAAAAAAAAAAAAGAAAAGAAAAGAAAAAAAGAGTGGGGTGAGGGGAATGCGGTGTTACTGGCATCCAGTAGGTAGAGACCAGGTGTAACCATTTCTTATTGTAACTGTAAAAACTTGCCATGAATTTAGTGGTTTCATTTTTATTTTTTTATTTTGAGACAGGGTCTTGCCCTGTCACCCAGGCTGTAGTGCAGTGGCACCATCATAGCTCACTGTAGCCATGACCTCCTAGGCTCAAGCCATCCTCCCATCTTAGCCTCCTGAGTTGCTACAACTACAGGGCATGCCACCATACCCAGCTAATTGTTATTTTTTGGAGAGATGGGGCCCAGGCTAGTCTCTAACTCCTAGGCTCATGCAATACTCCTGCCTCAGCCTCCCAAAGCACTGGGATCACAGGCATGAGCCACCACACCCAGCCAATTAAGTGGTTTTAAACAACTCAAATTTATTCTTATAATTCTAGAGGTCAGAAGACAAAAATGAGTCCACAGGGCTGCATGTCTTCTGGAGGCTCTAGGGGAGAATCTATTCCCCACCTTTCCCAGCTTCTAGAGGTTGCCTGCATTCCTTGGCTCATGGCTCCTTCCTCCATCTTCAAAGCAACAGGGTAACATCTTCTCTTCCCACTCTTATTCTATCATCATGTCACATCATCTTCTAAGGACCCTTGCAATTACCTGAGTCTCACCTGAATAACTCAGAATAATCTCCTCATCTCAAGATCTTTCATTCCAATCACATCTGCGAGAGTTTTCTCTTGCTTTGTTTTCGTTTGGATTTTGCCATCTTAATGTAATATATTCACAGATTCTAGGAGTTGAGATATGAACATCTTTGAGGAGAGGGGGCATTGTTCTGTCTACCACACCAGGTAGACATCCTGCAGCCCGCACAACAAAGGATCATCCAGCTTAAAATGTCAGGAGTACAGAGGTTGAGAAGCCTGCATGCTCTGATACTACCAGATTTCCCACAGACCCTAATTCAATGCCACTGCTTAATGTGCATGACAACTGCAGACCCCCTATTCCTTGATACCATCCATCCAAAACACTCCCTACAATGTTTTTTAAATATGTGTGAGTGTTATTCAGTCCAAGTAAGTGACAGAAATCCTGTTTCCCTAAAAAGTTTGATAACAGGAAAAAACAGTCATTTATTAGGCTTGACATGATTCTTGTGACTTCTAAGTTTGGGGCTTCAGGTGTTTGAAAGTTACTCAGAAGCCAGGCACGGTGGCTCACACCTGTAATCCCAGCACTTTGGGAGGCCAAGGTGGGCGGATCACTTGAGGTCAGGAGTTCGATACCAGCCTGACCAACATGTTGAAACCCTGTCTCTACTCAAAAAATACAAAAATCAGCTGGGAGTGGTGGTGCACGCCTGTAGTCCCAGCTGCTAGGGAGGCTGAGGCAGGAGACTAGCTTGAACCTGGGAGGCGGAGCTTGCAGTGAGCCTAGACCATGCCACTGCACTCCAGCCTGGGCAACAGAGCAAGACTCTGTCTCAAAAAAAAAAAAAATTTTTTTTACTCAGAAGGGAAAAAATGAACTCCTCAAACTTTGGGACAGAAAATGGGAAGTAAAAGCAGAGAAGAACTATCACCAACCCGGTGCCTCATACCTGCCCATTTTCTGCTTCCACTTCCTGGGAGTAAAAGTCTTTAGGAAGGGAAGGTGAATTAGTATTGATTATACATGCACCAAAAGACAAACACTGGGCTGTATGCCTTACGTATGTGACTCTTCCAGGTTGGTGTCATCATTCCCACGTTAACATAAGTGGTAAAGGGAATGGAGACACCAAAGAGGTGTAATATAACTTCTTTAATGAAATAAACCAGGAGGCAGCAAACGTTTTCTGTAAACCATCAGTTAGTAAATATTTGAGGCTCTTTTGACCATGTGGGCTCTGTTGCAATCACTTAACTCTGCCCTTGTAGGGCCAAAGCAATCACTGATGCTATGTAAATGAACAGGTGTATGAGGCTGTTCCAATAAAACTTTATTTACAAAAATAGGCAGAGACCAGATTTGGCCCTAGAGCTATAGTTTGCTGCCCCCTGAAATACATTTTTTTAATTCCCAAAATAGCCTTCATCAGCAAATATTTCCCAAGCACCTACTATATGTCAATATACAACTGAACAGCCCAGAAACTACAAAGATGAATAAAGAAGCCAATAAAATTCCAGGTGCAGTGGCTCACTCCTGTAATCCCAGCACTTTGGGAGACCAAGGCAGTGGATCACCTGAGGTCAGGAGTTCGAGACCAGCCTGTCCAATGCAGTGAAACCCCATCTCTACTAAAATTACAAAAATCAGCCAGGCATGGTGGCGGGTGCCTGTAATCCCAGCTACTCAGGAGGCTGAGGCAGGAGAATCGCTTGAACCCAGGAGACAGAAGTTGCAGTGAGCCTAGATCACACCACTGCACTCCAGCCGGGGTGACAGAGCAAGACTCCATCTCAATTAAAAAAAAAAAAAAGCCAATAAAAATAAAACAGTTCAAATGCCACCACCCAGAAATAACCACTATAAACATTTGGTATTTATCATGAATGATTTTTTTAAACTCTATGAACATATATTTTCAAGACAAAAATAAGATGATTGCATACATAATTTTTATGACCTAATTTCAAAATAAATCCAAGACTGCTTTCTCTGTCACCAACTGTAAATGTAGATTTAACATTTAATATTTCATGACTAGGCAACGATTTGCATGTAGCAGGATTTGCTGAATGACCTCCCTATTGATAGACAGTGAGACTGTCTCCTTTTTATCACCAATAGCATTTACCCAGTTTCCTCCTCCGCCCCCTTCTCCTCCCACTCCCAACCTCCTGCCCTCTTTCTGGCATACCTTACATTGCTCGTGGGAATATAAGTCAGCACAATCTTCCTAAAAACAGTTTAACAATGTGACCCAGAAATTCTAGGTCTAAGACAAGAGGGCAAAGATAGACATGTAAAGATGTTCTTGGTAGCATTGCTTAGAATGGTGGAAGAGGGAGGATAGTCTCACTGTCCATCCACAAGGAGTCATTTCACAAACCCTGCTACATGTAAATCATTGCCGTAGTTAAATGTTAAATGTTAAATCTACATTTACAGTTAGTAACAGAGAAAGAAGTCTTGGATATATTTTGAAATCAGGTCAGAAAAATTATGTGTACAATAATCTTATTTTTATCTTAAAAATATGTGCTTATGGAGTTTTTTATAAAAAAAATTCATGATAATACCAAGTGTTTATGGTGGTTACTTCTGGGTGGTGGAATTTGAACTTTTGCTGGCTTCTTAGTCTTTGTAGCTTCTGTGCTGTTCAGTTCTACACTGACACATAGGAGGTGCTGGGGAAATATTTGCCGATAAGGTGAACACAACACTCCAGCATCAGGGGTTTCATGTGGCTATAAGGAAGGTATTTCTACCATGATGCTTGGCAAACACAGGAAAGGATCATTAAAGTCGCATCTGGAATCCCCTTTTCTGAAGGTGTTTTTTTAAAGAATAGAATTATCTTATGATCTTGAAATGACAAAGGTTTTTCTTAGCATGTCACAAATGCAGGAGACCAAGTATGTCACAAATCCAGGAGACCCCCCCCCCAAAAAAAAAAATTTGACTACATAAAAGTTTTTTAAAAAACAGAGCTGCAGAACCAAAACCACCCTAAGCAAAGTCTAAATACAAAAGAAAACCCAGGAAATAATGTTTGTGAAGCATGGCGTGGAAAATGGCTAATTCCCCTAATGTATAAAATCAATAAGCAAAAGAGCAGATTCATCACAGAAAAATGGACAAAAGATAAGAACAGTTCGTAAGAAAAGAAACACAAGTGATTCTTGGGCAAATGAAAACACGCTCTGTGTTATTCAGAGTAAGATAAATGCAAATTAAAACTATGCTGAGATATGAATTTTCACCTATCAGATTGGCAAAATTAAAAAGAACTCAATAATACATGGTGCTTGATGCCACTATGGGAACTCAAACATTCCTTGAGGGGTGGGTGTAAATTTTTTACAACCTCTGTGGAGAAAAGTGTGTCATTTGACCCAACTATTACACTTTTAGAAATTTATCCCACAGACAGTTGCACAGGAGCAAATTGCACCGGTATCAGATTATCGATTATAGTTTTTTTAAATAATAGCAGAAGAGTAGAAATAACCCAAACATCCATCAGTAGGAGGTTGCTTAAACAAATTATAGGGTACTACATGGTGTACTCTGCCACTCAGAAAAGAAAATAAGAAAGTTAACTGTGTACTCATAAGGAAGGATCTCCAAGATACGTATTTAAGAGAAAGGTGAAAAAAGCAAATAACGGAGAAGCATTTTTCATATTAAAAAATAAAAGATGATATGTGAATATCATATATATACTATATATAGTGTGGATATGTATATACATAAACTATACACACTATATATACACATATACATATACACACTATATATAGTATATATATGTGTATATATACACATATACATATACACACTATATGTAGTATATATATACACATATACACACTATATATAGTATATATACATATACACACTATAGTGTATATATATACACACTATATATAGTATATATATACACATATACACACTATATATAGTGTGTGTATATATGTATATACACCATACACACATACATTTTGCTTATGTATGCACAGGATATTTCTAGAAGAATACCAAAGAAATTGGTTCATTTGTTGCTTCAGGGATAGAGGTAGGGGGAAGGTGGTAAATGGAAAAAGGGAGACATTTCACTGTTTATCCTTTTGTATTTTTTGGAATTTGGACCATGCGAAAGTATTACCTATTCAAAACATTAATGGGTCAGGCATGGTGGCTCACACTTGTAATCCCAGCACTTTGGGAGGCTGAGGCAGGCGGATCACTTGAGGCCAGGAGTTTGAGAAACCCTATCTCTATTAAGAATACAAAATGATTGGGGCATGGTGGTGCATACCTGTAATCCCAGCTACTCAGGAGGCTGAAGTACGAGAATCGCTTGAACCTGGGAGGCAGAGGTTGCAGTGAGCTGAGACTGTGCCACTGCATTCCAGCCTGGGCAACAGACTGAGACTCTGTCTCGAAGAGGGAAAACAACAACAAAAAAACCATTAACAGAGGATCCTTCCTACTTCAGAGCTTCCTATACACTGTTTCCACTGCTGGAGGTGTTCTGATGTTGACTGACTTACACACACACACACTCCTCCTGGAAGTATTTTATCTTTCAGATCTCTGTTCAAATGTTACTTCCTCCAGGAAGTCTTACCTATCACCTCCACCTCCTCCACAGAAAGGGAGCTGTTATACCCATTCATGGTACCTTGTGAGATTTATCACAATGGGTATCAATTAATAATTAACATCTATCTTCCTTGCTGGAGGTACCAGAGGGACTAGTCTGCCAATGAACCCCAGGCACCAAGTCCAGCATATGCCACATAAGACACGCATCTCAGAGACTTTCTTCTGTTGGAAGGGAGGGAAGAAAATAGGAAGAAATAACCACAGTTACACTCCCATCATGAGCCAGACAGTTGTCTATGTGCTTTATGCAGATTAGCACATTAAATTCTCACAAGAGAGTTGTGATTCTTGCACAGATGAAAAAAACAGGCTCAGAGAGACCAAGCAACCTGCCCAAGATCCCCAGGCAGAGGCATGATTCAAACCAGGCAGGCTGGTTCCAGAGCCTATGCTCTTGGCTCCTAGAAGGGAAAACAGAAGAAAGGGAAGAAGAGGAGAGAGGGAAGAAGAGAGGAGGTTGCTCACAATATCAGGAGGATGCATTTTTCTGCTGTCTCCAGTTCAGTATCTCACAAGACCAGCAAGCCTTCCAGTCTGGGAAGTTATAAGAACATCATTGTATTACTCCATTTTCATACTGCTGTAAAGAACTGCCTGAGACTGTGTAATTTATAAAGGAAAGAGGTTTAATTGACTTACAGTTCAGCATGGCTGGGGAGGCCTCAGGAAACTTACAATTGTGGCAGAAAGTGAAGAGGAAAACAATGCATCTTCTTCACAAGGCAGCAGGAAGGAGAAATGCCGAGCAAAGAGGGAAGCGTTCCTTATAAAACCATCAGATCTCGTGAGAACTCACTGTCATGAAAACAGCGTGGGGGAAACTGCCCCCATTATTTAATTATCTCCACCTGGTCTCTCCCTTGACATGTGGGGATTATAGGGAATGTAATTCAAGATGAGATTTGGGTGGGGACACAAAGCCTAATCATATCAACCATTAATGGGGATTCTGTAATGTATATGAAACATGAAACACTTGCAGACTGACACTACTGGACCTCAACAAAGAGACAGCAGACTTGAAGTATGACAGCTGTCTTATCTAGAGGAGCAGGTAACATGCATTGTAGATAAATACACTATCTGATGTGGGTTAATAGGCTTCATTGAATTAACGATGACAGAATAATTACAGCGACATGCAACAGCAGCAGGGACTCTAATTGAGGATAATTCAAGCACACGGCAAGATCGGAAGTTTTGACTTTAGGACTTGGAAACTTCCCTGAGATTGGAGATTTATTATATCTATTATTTTAAATCAACAATATTCACCATTGGCAAGGTGCAGTGTCTCACACCTATAATCCCAGCACGTTGGGAGGCTGAGGCGGGCAGATCACTTGAAGTCAGGAGTTCAAGACGGGCCTAGTCTGTTTAGTAAAGATGGTTAAACCTTGTCTCTACTAAAAATACAAAAATTAGCTGGGTGTGGTGGCATCTGCTTGTAATCCCAGCTACTCGGGAGGCTGAGTCAGGAGAATCACTTGAACCTGGGAGGCGGAGTTTGCAGTGGGCTGAGATCATGCCACTGCACTCCAGCCTGGGTGACTGAGCAAGACTCCATCTCAAAAAACAAAAACAAAATAGTATCCATATCTACCATAGCATGTCTGAGCTCTCTGCAAGTCAATGGGAAGTTATCCACAGGACAGGATTTCCTTACTTTTACTTGTTAATAAGAGAAATGGAAGGGAATGGGAAATCAGAAAAGCAGAGGCATACCAATTTTTGCCATTTCTCCTCACATAGAATTTGTTCCTCATCTTAAAGGCTTGGACAGGATGCTGAAAAGTATAAGAGAATGGGGATTACATTCAGGTAATCACAACAGCAATAATAATAGTTATCATTTATTGAACCTTTACCTCCAAACAGCATCTAAAGTAAGCACTATTTATACCTTAGCCCACTGAATTCCCAAACTAATTTTGTAGAGTGGGAACAAATGTGTTTGCCCATTTTATGGGTAAGACAACTGAGGCTCTGAGAAGTAAAGTGATTTGCCTAAGCTAGGAAAATGCAGAAGTTAAGAAATGAAAGCATTAGAATAATACCCAAGAAGGGGTCATTTCTGAAGGAGGAGATGGATTCATGAACAAACAAGCAGGCAGGCCAATATGTAATTTGTTGATAAGCATGAATATATTTAATTAAATAAGGATCTACTGGATACCTGTCACAAGCCCAGTGCAAGGTCCTTGTGGCAGATGGTTTTTTTCCAAAGGTGGCCATAGTGATATCTCCCATACCACATGCTGTCATAATGTGACCTTTTATTTCTCGTGTTGAGTGATGAAGTCCATGATCCCTCCCCTTTTAACCTTAGAAACTGCCTCAATCATTAAGATTACAGCAGAAAATATGCTATTTGATTTCCAGGGCTAGAACATAAAAAGCATATGCACTTCCTCCTTTTTTTCTTGAGCTACTCACTGTTGGACCCCAGCTACTATGTTGTGAGGAAGTCCAATTAGCCCACCTGAAGAGACCACCTAGGGAGGCCACATGCAGACGTTTTGGCTAACTGGCTAGCTGAGGTCTCAGCTAACAGTGAGTATGAAATACAGGCATGTGACAGAAGATTCCTCTAGATGCCTTTAGTCCCCAGCCATCAAGTCACCCTCAACTTTTGAGTTTTCCCAGCTGAGTCCCCAGACATCATGAGGCAGAGCAAGCCACCCTCTCTGGTCTGATTCTTGACCTACAGGATCTGTGAGTGTAATAAAATTGTGGCTTATAGCACTAAAAATTGGTGTGATTTGTTACCCAGTAATAGCAACTGGAAGAGCC
Source organism: Homo sapiens (assembly GCF_000001405.40). Classification (NCBI taxonomy): domain Eukaryota; kingdom Metazoa; phylum Chordata; class Mammalia; order Primates; family Hominidae; genus Homo; species Homo sapiens. The sequence continues at coordinate 16,736,725 of NC_000016.10, read as the reverse complement.
CTCATATATTTTTAATACAAAAAAAAAGTGTGTGAAACAGGACCTGCCCTTCTGTTTAATTTGGAAAACAAGACTTCTATAACAATGTTATTTACAAAATGTATCTTATAATAGCCAAAAGGTGGAAATAATCCAAATGTCTGTAAACAGATAAATAAACAAAATGGGGTCTATCCATACAATGGAATGTTATTTAGCCATAAAAAGAAATGAAGTACTGATATATTCTACGACAGAAATGTAGAAATTAGAAATTAGAAAACACTGTGTTTCGTGAAAGAACCAAGACACAAAAGGCCACATATTGTATGACTCCATGTGTATCAAATACCCAGAATGGGCAAATCCATAGAGACAGAAAGTAAATTAGTGGTTGCCAGAGGCTGGGGGACAGGAGTGAAAGAGTGGCTGCTTAATGGTAGAGGTCTGGGGTTGGAGGGTGATGAAAACATCCTAGAATTAGACAGTGGTGATAGTTGAAAAATCTTGAGAATACACTAAGACCACTAAATTATACACTTTTAAATGGTGAGTTTTATAAGACATGAATTATATCCCAATGTAAAAAAAAGCAATGTGCCATATTAGGACCTTCTGTGAGGGTGGAAACTCATCAGCTTTGGGGTCAAGTAGATCTGGGTTGTTGTCCAGGGACTACCAGTGCCTAATTGTATGGACTTGAGCAAGTTTCTCAGTACCCAAGGGCTCAGATTATCCATCTGTGAAATGGGAATAGTAAGACTCACTTTGCAAGGCTGCTGTCAGGATTAATGATTGTCTTTATCAAAGATGGTAACAGAAACTCACTCGAGCAGCATAAGCCAAAATAAGCATTTTATGAAAGGAATCAGGGACATTTTACAGAAGCCCAGGTCACTAAGAACAATTTGGCCACATAAGAAACTTGAACCAGGAATTTAAAATATATCAAAAGCCAAGGTTGATATTCTTTCTGGCGTATATGTAGTGAACAGAGAAATTTCTTTCAAATTATTCATTCGTGGAAAATCAAGATTTGGCATTGCATTTTAAAGTTAATCCATTAGAGTCACTTAGTTATTTGCAAAATAACATTTTGGTAAAGGAGAATTTATTTGAATCTCAAATAAGAAAAGGTTCAATACCCTACCTGGTAGAGCTGGAAAACAGTTAATGATCACAGGCTTGGAACACAAAATCAACCTCCTGTAACAAATTTAGTTTATGACTTTAAAAGGAAAAATGGACTTTTCTACAATAAACATTCAAACAAACATGGTTCAAACAAACATGGTTTCCAATAATAAATGTTTTTAAATCTCAAGGTCATAATAAATCAGTCCTGGGACTCTTAAAGCAAACTTTTTTATAGTATAGGAAAATGCTTTCCTATTTTATAATCAAAATTAGAAGGAAACTAGACTCTATGTTGACAAGAGACAAACTTACACATAGACTTTAAGTTAATTCTTTAGGGTAGTTGCCTTAATAGCCATTGACCTTCTTTATTAGTCTGAAGGAGTGATTCTCAGCTCTAGCTACACATTGAAATCACTGAGTACCTTTTTAAAAATACCAATGTCACCGGCCGGGCCCAGTGGCTCACATCTGCAATCCCAGCACTTTGGGAGGCCAAGGCGGGTGGATCACTTGAGCCCAGGAATTCAAGACCAACCTGGGCAACATAGTGAGACTCTGTCTCTCCAAAAAATTCAAAAAATTAGCCAGGCATGGTGGCACATGCTTGTAGTCCCAGCTACTTGGGAGGCTGAGGACAGGTGGTTGTAAGCTTCTATTTCTCATGTTGAGTGATGAAGTCTATGATCCCTTCCACTTGAACCTTAGCAACTGCCTCAATCATTAAGATTAAGATTACAGCAGAAAAGATGCTATTTGACTTCCAGGGCTAGAGCATAAAAAATCATAGGCATGTCCTCCTTGCTTTCTGGAGCCACTCACTCTTGCACACCAGCCACCATGTAGTGAGGAAGTCCAACTAGCCCATGTGAAGAGAACACCTGGGGAGGCCACACGCATACATTTTGGTTAACTGGCTGGCTGAGGTCCCAGCTAACGGTGAGTATTAGAAGGATCGCATGAGCCTGGGAGGTCGAGGCTGCAGCGAGCCGTGTTCGTGCCACTGCACTCCAGCCTGGGCAACAGAGTGACCCTGTCTCAAAACATAAAATTAAATTAAAAACAAATAAAATACTAATGTCCTGATCCCACTCAAAAAGTCTGATTTAATCCGTATGAAGTAGGGCCTGGCACGTTTGACGAACAAGCAAGGAGGCAGGAATGGCTGCAGCGGAGTAAGCAATGGCGAGAGGGACGGGAGATGAGGCCATTGAGGCTAGGGCAGGTGTGTCCTGGCATGCCAACGTGAGGGCTTGGGATTTTCATCTAAAGAAATGGGGAGCCATCACGGGGACCACTTGGCTAAAGTAGCAAAAAACCAACTCAAATCAGTCCAAGAAAAGTGGGAAGTTATTGGCTTTTCTAAGTCTAGATAGAGCTGATTTAAAGCTCAACATTATATTATGTCTCTCTCTTTCTCTCCCCCACTTCAATGTCCCTCTCCCTCTCCCTCTCAATGACTTTCCATCTTTTGGCTCGTTCTCCCTATAGACGAGATTTCTCCTCATGGTATAGGAGACAGCCCCTGGCAGTCCCTGACTCACTTCTTTCAGCCCCATTATTCAAAAGCCAAGACCCTGTCTCTCACAGCTCTGTATTAAAGAACAAAAAACATTCTGAATAGGTGATTGGCTTAGCTAAGGTCACGTGCCCATAGCTGGACCAATCCACATGGCCAGGATATTGGGGAACTCTGATTGGCCTGGTCACTTGCCCAGTCCTTCTACGGGAGTGAGGGAGAAGGCAGGATGCTGGGACTGGAAATTATCAGGACTGATGTGGGTAAAAGAAAGTGAGGCCGGGTGCAGTGGCTTACGTCTGTAATCCCAGCATTTTGGAAGGCTGAGGTGGGTGGATTATCTGAGGTCAGGGGTTCGAGACCAGCCTGACCAACATGGTGAAACCCCATCTCTGCTAAAAATACAAAATTAGCTGGGTGTGGTAGCACACACCTGTAGTCCCAGCTACTTGGGAGGCTAAGGCAGGATAATCGCTTGAACCCGGGAGGTGGAGGTTTCAGTAAGCCGAGATTGCGCCACTGCACTCCAGCCTGGGCAACAAGAGTGAAACTCCGTCTCAAAAGAAAAGAAAAGAAGAGAGAGAGGGAGAGAGAGAGAGAGAGAGAAAGAAAGAGAGAAAGAAAGAGAAAGCGAGAAAGAAAGAGAGAGAGAGAGAGAGAAAGAAAGAAAGAAAGAAAGAAAGAAAGAAAGAAAGAAAGAAGGAAAGAAAGAAAGAAAGAGAAAGAAAAAGAATAGAAAAGAGAGAGGAGATGCTCAACAGTCAAAACAATCCAGGTTTACGGCATGGTGGTGTAAAATTCTACTCTTGCTTTGCCCATTTGATTCACCCATGTGTGTGATGGGCCGTAGAGGAATAGTAACATTTTTTTTCTTTATTCTTATCCCTCTACTAACTCGGGCAGACCAGATAGAACACTTAGAGCTCCATAGAACCTTCTCTTCCTCTCTCTTCTCTCTTCTTTTCTCCTTTCTTCACTCCTTCTCTCTCTCACCCCAGTTTATTCTCCTGTCTTTGAATATTGCCTTTCTGAGCTAAAAGAAGAACTACCATCAACCCAGCAATCCCATTACTGGGTGTATACCCAGACGAATATAAAGCATTTTACCATAAAGACACATACACGTGAATGGTCACTGCAGCACTGTTCACGATAGCAAAGACATGGAATCAACCTAAATGCCTGTCAATGACAGACTGGATAAAGAAAATGTGGTACATATACACCATGGAATATTATGCAGCCATAAAAAAGAACAAGATCATGGCTTTTGTGGGAACATGGATGGAGCTGGAGCCTATCATCCTCAGCAAACTAACGCAGGAACAGAAAACCAAACACCACATGTTCTTACATATAAGTGGGAGCTAAATGATAAGAGCTTACGAACAGAAAGAAGGAAATAACAGACACTGGAGTCTACTTGAGTGGGGAGGGTGGGAGGAGGAAGAGGAGCAGAAAAGATAACTATTGGGGACTGAGCTTAATACCTGGGTGATGTAATGATATGTACAACAAACCTCTGTGACAAATCTTTATGTAACAAACTTTCACATGTATCCTCAAACCTAAAATAAAAAAAAAATTTAATAATAAAAAATTAAGAATTAAAAAAGATCACCTTTCTCTACTTTTCTGCTTTTCTTTCCAACAAACATTCAAACAAATATGGTTTCCTATAACATTTTTTTAACCTCAAGGTTCTAAGTCAACAGAGCAGAAAGTGGTCACTCAAGGACGCTTGACATCACTTCCCAGTCTACATATCCAACCCTGAATGACAAATATTGGTGTCCAATTTCAAAATTCCAGGAGAAATAATACAATTGTCCTGGCTTGGTTCAGGGAACCAAGGTCCCAAGGTCTTACGGTCCACCGTTTTTTTCATCACAGGTACAAAGGCAAACTCTGATAAACTAAGCAGAGAAACATATAGTTCTATTGAATCATTGGTAGTCAATAGCATACCAACTGCTGGCCAGATACCAGGCTAAAAGTTTTTTCATGCTTTTTTTTTTTTTTTTTTTTTTTTGAGACAGAGTCTTGCTCTGTCGCTCAGGCTAGAGTGCAGTGGCGCGATCTCGGCTCACTGCAATCTCCGCCTCCCAGGTTCAAGCGATTCTCCTGCCTCAGCCTCCTGAGTAGCTGGGATTACAGGCATGCACCACCACACCTGGCTAATTTTTTTATTTTTAGTAGAGATGGGGTTTAACCATGTTGGTCAGGCTGGTCTCAAACTCCTGACCTCAGATAATCCACCCACCTCGGCCTCCCAAAGTGCTGGGATTACAGGTGTGAGCCACCGCACCCGGCCTCATGCATTATTTCATTGGTGCATCATAATTGCCCTATAAGTTAGGCACTATTATTACCCCCATTTTACAGATGAGGGAGTCGAGGCTAGGGTGGTCAAGTGAACTTGCTCAAGGTCACACAACTAAAATGATTTTCTGAATAAAGAGCACTTGTTCTTTTTTTTAAGAGACAGGGTCTCGCTATGTTGCCCAGGCTGGTCTCGAACTCTCGGACTCAAGCAATACTCCTGCCTCGGCTTCCCAAAGTGCTGGGTTTACTGGCGTGAGCCACCACGCCTGACCTCAAGATCATTTGTTCTTAACCACCATACTCTACTGCCACTTACCACACCATGGTGCTGTGATTATCCCCGCAAAAGATAGGAGGCTAATGTAATAAATGCTCTCAATTGTGTGAACACACTGGACTACCTTACTTTACATGAGAAAAGTACTGGAAGGAGCAAATCCAAAGCTAGTGATAAAGAGGAAAGCAGCCCCTGACAGCAGGGAACTGGCCTGGTACTGACAGGTCAATCTCGGTGTTTTCCTAAACATAAACAATTTCACAGAGCATCAATGTTAGACAAAGCCACTCTGTAGTCATGATGAATCAGGACAGAAAGAAGACTCCGTAATCACACGTGAACACAGACAAAACAGGAACATTGTTCAAGCCACAAAATGCCAAACATGACCTTCTCCTGGTGAATGCGAGTAACTAGTGTTCTTCACCAATCATAGTTTTAGCCTCGCTCTAGTCTGCTTTCCCTCCCTTCCTTATAGATAAAATTTATTGAGAGAGTCAATGGTAACATTGCCTCTTTCAGGCTGCACCCATGCCAGTGCACATCCCAGCTTGCTTGGACTCTCCCCAAAATCACACAACCAAAGTCCAATTCCATAATGAGTCCTTTCCAACACCTTCCATGGTTCCCCATGTGTGTGTCCTCTCTTGCTGCAATGAACATGAAACACAACTTGTTCAATATGGGTGTGTTCCTGGAGGTCTTTGGCTGGAGGGCATCAATACTGTTCACTTGTCAGGGGCCTGTTCTGACAGACTCAAGACTGCTCTCTCTCCCTTGACCAAAGAGCTTGAAAACCAGTCCTTGGTCCTAGAAGGCAGCGCAATGCAAACAGAATTCCAGTAACCAGAGACATCCACTAAACCTCCCCTCCACACATACACACATAAGGAAAGTAGAGAGGGCCATTTCTGCATCTTGCTCTACAGCAGAGTGACCCCAACACCATAGAATGGATGGAACCCAGTGAGATGCACCCAAGGTGCCACACCGCGTTCCTGCTTGAAGTTGCTCCAATTCTTTCCCAACCCCAAAGTTCTTCTCTGTCACTCTGAGCTATACAATTGTAGGCCCATAACAGTTGGACAGCTGAGAAAAAAACTCAAGGCTCAATTTCATGCTTCCTGTAAGACTGTGGTGAAGTTCAAGTTTTCCATAAATGTAACAAACCTTCACAGATTGAAAAGGAAATGGTTTCCCTTATCCTCTTGTCCTCAATCTAGTTGCATGGGACTGACTCAGCATCTCACGGGGGTGAAAATCAAGGATCATTGTTTCTTAAAGCACCCCCGAGTGACTCTCCTGTGCAGCCAGGGTTGAGAATCACTACTCTAGTCATTCAACTGATCGTTGCTGGGCACGCACTGGGTTCCATGAACTGTGTTGTATGCTGGAGACGCTCTGGCAAATAACACAGATGCAATTCCTGTCCTTGAGACTCTACACTCTAGGGGGAGAGAAAAGCAACAAATAAACAAAGAAACGTCTAATTATACATTGTGGTAAGTGCAATAAAGAAAATTTACAGTGTGTTAGGGTAGAGAACAACAGGCAGAACTCTTTAGGTAAGAAAGGAATTAAAAGCTTCACTAAAGGGGTGAAATGAGGCTGAGAGTGGAGGAATAAGAGGGAATGAGCATTGAGGAAGGGAAGTAAGACTGTTCTAGAGGCTGGTTGTGGTGGCTCATGCCTGTAATCCCAGCACTTTGGGAAGCCAAGGTAGGAGGATCTCCTGAGCCCAGGAATTTGAGACCAGCCCGAGCAACATAGCAAGACCCTGTCTCTACAAAAAAAGTTAGCTGGGAGGCCGAGGCAGGTGGATCACGAGGTCAGGAGATGGATACCATCCTGGCTAATATGGTGAAACCCATCTCTACTAAAAATACAAAAAATTAGCCAGGCGTAGTGGCACATGCCTGTAGTCCCAGCTACTCAGGAGGCTGACGCAGGAGAATAGCTTGAACCCAGGAGGCAGAGGTTACAGTGAGCAGAGATCACGCCACTGCACTCCAGCCTGGGCAACAAAGCAAGACTCCGTCTCAAAAAAAAAAAAAAAAAAATTAGCTGGGAGTGGTGGCACATGCCTGTAGTCCTAGCTCGTCAGGAGGCTGAGGTAGGAGAATCACTTGAGCCCAGGGAGGTTGAGGCTGCAGTGAGCTATGATCACGTCACTGCACTCCAGCGTGAGTGACAGAGTAAGACTCTGTCTCAAAACAAGAAGAAAAAAATGTTCTAGGCAGAAAAAAAACACACATGCAAAGGCCCTAAGATGGAAGAGTATTTGCAAAGAAGTGAAAGGAGGCTGCCATGGCTTAGGTGAGCCAGGAGCAAGTGGCAGGCATCTGCTTCCTCGAGCTGCCACACAAAGTGCCGCTGGCAGGGTGGCTTAAAGTGACTGAAATGTATTTTCTTGCAGTTCAAAGGCTAGAAGTTGAAGATCAAGGTGTCAGCAGGGTTGGTTCCTTCTGAGGGCTGTGAGACAAGGATCTGTTCTGGGCTGCTCTCTTTGGTTTGTAGAATGCTGACTTTTCCCTATGTCTTCACGTGGTCTGCCTTCTGCTTGTGTCGGTGTATGCCTTTCTTATAAGGATGCCAGTCATATCGGATTAAGGCCCAGTCAAATGAAATCATTTTAACATAAGTACCTCCACAGAGGCCCTAACTCTAAAGAAGGTAGGATTTGGAAGGAAACAATGAGGGTTAGGACTTAGAATTTGGAGGGGGTTAGGGTGAGGGATACATAATTCAGCCCACAGCATCATAGTAGGGGGATTTGGAACTTATTTAAAGTGGAATAGGATTGGAGGGTTTTAAATGAGATGGCATGTCTGATTTAAATGAATGCTCTGGGCCAGGTGCAGTGGCTCATGCCTGTAACCCCAGCACTTTGGGAGGCCAAGGTGGGTGGATCACTTGAGGCCAGGAGTTCGAGACCAGCCTAACCAACATGGTGAAACCCTGTCTCCACTAAATATACAAAAATTAGCTGGGTGTGGTGGCACACACCTGTAATCCCAGCTACTAAGGAGGCTGGGGCATGAGAATAGTTTGAACCTGGGAGGCGGAGGTTGCAGTGGGCTGAGATCACACCACTGCACTCCAGCCTGGGTGACAGAGCAAATGCTCTGGCTATTGTGTTGGTAGCAGATTGGAGGAAAACAAGAGTGGGAGGGTGAGACCTCTGAGCGAGTTACTTATGTTCAGATAGCAGTCCTGTCCTTTACTTGTTATGTGACCCTGGGCACATTACTTGACCTTTCTGAGACTCGGTCTCCCCGTCTGTAAAATTGGAATAATTATAATACCTCACACACACATTTGTTGAGAGAATTAATGAATCATCCGTGTTTAGTATATACTAACTGCAAATGCTAGATAAATGTTAAATATTATTATATTTTAGCCATCTTAGGAAGAGACAGCAGTGCCCGTGATAGGCAGCCTCTAAGTGGCTTCCAACCCTCTCATTCTCGTATTTATGCCCTTGTGGAACCTCCTCCCTAGAGTGTGGGCTGAACCTGATGACTTGCTTCTAAGGAATAGAACTGGCAAAAGTGGTGAGATGTCACTTCCAAGATCAGGTTATCATATTAGGCAGCTCAGGCTGCCAAAACAAAATATCACAGACTGGGAGATTAAACAACAGGCACTTATTTTCTCACAGTTCTGGAGGGTAGAAGTCCAAGATCAAGGTAGGACAGCAGGGTTGGTTTCTGGTGAGGGCTCTCTTCCTGCCTTGCAGACGGCCACCTTCTCACTGTGTTCTCACATGGTCTTTCCTATCATGTTTCTTCCTCTTCTTGTAAGGACACAGGTCCTATCAGATTAGGGCCCCACCCTTATAACCTGGCTTATTTTAAGTATCTCTGAAAGGGCCCTGTCTCCAAATACAGGCACATTGGGAGTGAGAACTTCAACATGTGGATTTGGGAGATTGGGAGATGGCTGCAATTCTGTCCATAACCGTTAAAAAAAAAAAAAAAAAAAACCTGTGAGTTCTGTCTTCTTTCTCTATGTAGATATAGACATATAGATAGATAAAGGCAGAGATAGAGATATTTTCTCACAAGCTTGCTTTGATGGAACAAGCTTCCCTGTTGTCAGGGAGAACCATCTAGCAGGAAACAGGGCAGCTTCTGGCCAGCAGCCAGCAATGAAAGGAGGCCCTCAGCCCAACAACTCTCAAGGAACTGAATTCTGCCAATGACCACATGAGCCTGGAAGCAGAGCCTCTCCAAGTTGAATCTTGAGATAACTGCAGCCTTGTGGGCACCGTGATTGCAGCCTGTGAGAGCCTCTGAGTAGAGGTCCCAGTTAAGCTGTACCTGGATGCCTGACCCCTAGAAACTGCGTGTTGTTTTAAGCTACTAAGTTTTTGGGTGCTTTGTTATGCCATAATCAAAAACAAATACATTAGCTAGACATGGTGGCATGCACCTGTAGTCCCAGCTATTTGGGAAGCTGAGGAAGGAGAATCACTTGAGTCCAGGAGTTCAGGGTAAGCCTGGACAGCAAAGTGAGACCCCATCTCTATTGAAAAGAAAGAGAGAGGAAAGGTAGGCAGGGAGGCACAAAGGGAGGGGAGGGGAGGGGAGGGAAGGGAAGGGAAGGGAAGGGAAGGGAAGGGGAGAAAAAATTTTAAAAAGTGAGTAATTCGCCCAAATTCACACAGTAAATGGCAGAGCCAAGAAAAATAAAATAAAAAAATGATAACAGGTCAGGCATGTTGGCTCTCGCCTGTAGCTCCAGTACTTCGGGAGGCCAAGGAAGGAGGATCTCTTGTGCCCAAAAGTTCGAGACCAACCTGGGCAACATAGGGAGATCTCCATGTCTACAAAAAATTTTAAAAATTAGCAAGGCATGGTGGCATGCACCTGTAGTCCCGGCTACTTGGGAGGCTGAAGTGGGAGGATCGCTTGAGCCTGGGAGGTCAAGGTTGCAATGAGCTATGATTATGCCACTTGCACTCCAGCCTGGGCAACAGAGCGGGACACTGTCTCAAATGAAGAAAAAAAAAGAAAAAAATGATGATAATAATATTAAGGAAAGACAAAAACAAAGAATCCTACCAAGTCTCTTGGATTCCAGAACCAATGTTAAAAAAATCATGAAACCAAAGTAAACTACTGCTATCCTGAAACAATGATAAATAATCCACAGATCATAAAACCAGGGACTCTGGAGCATGTACATTAATATAATTGTATGTCCCTTAGACTGAAGTTCTATCAAAGCTTAATGACCAAACAAATTAGCTATTGGCATTATTTTGCCTCCACTAAAACCTAAGCAGTAGCAGAAGTACAGATCCACAATTCTAAAAACTTCATCATGCGGGCTCCTTTTATAATAGCAGGTGGTTGTGATTTTCTTGTTTCTCGTTTCCTTTTCTCTATCCTTTGGGGGAGCCATCTGTAAGTGTTTGGTTTCAAGTTTCAAAAACAATCTCCATGACCTTGAACAATGGGTTAAAAGGGTTGTCCACATGTGAACTGAAAAAGGAACAAGTTATAGAAAAACATTCCAGGCCGGGCATGGTGGCTCACGCCTGTAATCCCAGCACTTTGGGAGGCTGAGGCGGGTGGATCACCCGAGGTCAGGAGTTCGAGACCAGCCTGGCCAACGTGGTGAAACCCCCGCCTCTACTAAAAATACAAAAAATTAGCTGGACATGGTGGTGGGTGCCTGTAATCCTAGCTACTAGGAGGGCTGAGACAGGGGAATCACTTGAACCCGGGAGGCGGAGGTTGCAGTGAGCTGAGATCGCACCATTGCCCTCCGGCCTGGGTGACAAGAGGGAAACTCTGTCTCAGAAAAAAACAAAAACAAACAACAAAAAAGAAAAAACAAAGAACATTCCAAAAGAAATTTCTTCTGACCATTTTCTTAGGAAACATCAGTGCTGCAAATTAATCCTTCCATCCAAAGTCCTGTCTTCTAACATTTTACATCTGTATATGTGCTTTACATAGTTGTTGAATTGCTCTCATATTCAGTATGTCTTGGTATTTCAATGCCTCCATTTCCTTCTCTATAAAAAAATTTTAAAAAAGAAGCAATAAAGTGCTTATTCCAGTACCTGGGCTGCTTGAATGATAGCACTGTTGTTAATCATATTCAACATTCATTCATTCAACAAACACCTAGGTAGCAGCATGAGAGCCAGTTTTCTATCAATTCATGGTCCTAAAATGGAGGATCCAGAATTTCCATGTATAGCAGCAGCAACCTAGCTAGAAATAGAAGACAAGGCTGTCATCTGGAAGTGGTGATGGGGAAGGGCAGCTGACAGATGCTTAAGAAGGCTTAAACCATCCTGCTGCTGCTGTTGCTTGGTCTTTTCAGAAAAGGAAAGCATTGGTTGGGTGCCCTGGCTTACATTTGTAATCCCAACACTTCAAGAGGCCGAGGCAGGAGGATCCACTGAGGCCAGAGTTCGAGATCAGCCTGAGCAAAATAGTAAAACCTTGGGTCTAAAAAAAAATTTTTTTTTTCTTAAATTAGCCAGGTATGGTAGAATGTACCTATAGTCCCAGCTACTCCAGAGGCTGAGGTCAGAGGATCACTTGAGCCTAGGAGTTCAAGGCTGCAGTATGGTGGAATCATGCCAGTGCACTCCAGCCTGGGTGACAGTGCAAGACTAAAAAATAGAAGGAAAAAAGTAAAGACAAGCACTGTTACCACCATTCGATTGATAAGAAATTTGAGGCTCGCATAGCTCCAGCGACTTCTCAAAATTACAAGACTAGGGGCCGGGTGTGGTGGCTCATGCTTGTAATCCCAGCACTTTAGGAGGCCAAGGCAGGTGGATCACAAGGTCAGGAGATCAAGACCATCCTGGCTAACACAGTGAAACCCCGTCTCTGCTAAAAAAAATACAAAAAATTAGCCGGGCATGGTGGCATGCAGCTGTAGTCCCAGCTACTCGGGAGGCTGAGACAGGAGAATCGCTTGAACCCGGGAGGCAGAGGTTGCAGTGAGTTGAGATCACGCCACTGCACTCCAGCCTGGGTGGCAGAGCAAGACTCCGTCTCAGAAAAAGAAAAAAGAAAAAACAAATTACAAGACTAGGATATGGAAAATCAGACCCCCTAGAAGGCACTGAGCTGCCTTGGGGCAGAGACTTTGCTCGAAGGGTTTAACACTCTATCTCCAAGGCATAGACACAGTGCCCAACACACAGCAGGTCTTAGGCAGGTTCTGCAGGAGCAAAGCCTGAAACAGGGACTTATGCCCTGCTTTATTGAGGGAGTGTTCTTGTTACCGGAAAGGGGTCCCAATCTAGACCCCAAGAGAGCATTCTTGGATCTCATGCAAGAAAGAATTCAGGGCGAGTCCACAGAGTAAAGTAAAAGCAAGTTTATTTAAAAAGAAAAGGAATAAAAGAATGGCTGCTCCATGGGCAGAGCAGCCCCAAGGGCTGCTAGTTGGCTATTTTTATGGTTATTTCTTAATCATATGCTAAACCAGGGATGGATTATTCATGAGTTTGCTAGGAAAGGGGCCAGGAATTCCTGGAACTGAGGGTTCCTCTTCCTCTTAGAGCATATAGGGTAATTTCTGGACGTTGCCATGGCATTTGTAAACTGTCATGGCACTAGTGGGAGTGTCTTTTAGCATGCTAATGCATTATAATTAGCATATAATTAGCAGCAAGGATAACAAGAGGTCACTATCGTCACCATGTTGGTTTGGGTGGGTTTTGACTGGCTTCTTTATTGAATCCCGTTTTATCAGCAGGGTCTTTTATTTATTTATTTTTGAGACAGAGTCTCACTCTGTCGCCCGGGCTGGAGTGCAGTGGCATGATCTCTGCTCACTGCAACCTCCGCCTCCCTCGTTCAAGTGATTCTCTTGCCTCAGCCTCCCAAAGAGCTGGGATTACAGGCGCTCGCCACCACGCCCAGCTGATTTTTGTATTTTTAGTAGAGATGGGGTTTCACCATGTTGGTCACGCTAGTATTGAACTAGCTGGTCTTGACCTGCTGACCTCAGGTGATACACCCACCTCAGCCTCCCAAAGTGCTGGGATTACAGGTGGAAGCCGCAGCGCCCGGCCATCGGCAGGGTCTTTATGACTTGTATCTTGTCCTGCTGACCTCCAACCTCTTCCTGTGACTAAGGATACCTAACTTCCTGGGAATGCGGCCCAGCAAATCTCAGCTTCATTTCACCCAGCTCATATTAAGATGGAGTCACTCTCGTTTGAATACTTCTGACACCCTCAGGAGAAAGGGAGTGAGGGAAGTGAGATAGAAAAGGAAAGTATATAGATTCAGCAGGAGCCTATTCTCAGACCAACTCCACAAGGAGCTCTGGGGCATGAAGCCATCACAGAATTATCCAGCCTGTATCAAGGGGCCAGCTTTACATATGGCCTCTCCATTGGCAGGGGGCTGCCCCTGGGGAGGGTGCAAAATGTAACCTCCCAGGCATTCCTCAGCACCATCAGCTGAGCACAATTCCCTGGCAGCTGCCTTAGACTCCTAAGTGGGATCCAGGTGGGAAACCAATCGTATCCGGGACAATGCTCAATAAATATTTGTTGGATGAATGACTCATAACTAGAACACAATTCTCTACTCTCTCTATATCTTTTCTGTATACCCAAGAGAGGACTTTCAACCCACAAACATTTTACAGTCATCATCTCTAATTCAGAGACCTTGCCCAGCACAACTAAACAGCCTGGCAAGAGTCACATCTGACCGTGTTTAATTACCACTTTGGAGGAGGAAGGACACGCTGTTGAGGTTTTAAGCTACAGACTAATACTTTCACCCATCATCCAAGGCCACCACAAATTAACAGTTGCATTGGGTTTTTGTCTGACGGCTGGACAAAGCCAATTCATGTCAAGGGACCTGAGACATAACATAAAAAGTCCCCTAGAATTTTATCTCCTGGAGAGAGTATTTGCTTCTCACATTCTTGTACCGCCCCTGGGCGGAGAACTCAGCCTAGGGACTAATATACCTTTCACAGAAAATCGGTGTTAAAGCGGGAATGTGTAGTACAATCATTCCTGGCAAGAGAAATCAAGCCAGGTCTTTCCACCTTTTTTCTTTTAATTACACCCATTCTCCATTCAGCTCTCAAATGTCCTGCCATTCTGGTAGAGCTGCTAGCAGCCCTCATCTACCACTACTCTGTTCTTGCTCTTCATCTCACAAACAAAAGCAGCCCATATGAGGGAAAGAGAATTTGGCAAGAGAAGGGTTACAATGTGATCCTTTCCAAAAAAGGAGAGATCCATCCCCTCTCCACCCTGCTGCCAGAGTGAGCTCCTGCTAATATGCTAATATTAACATCCTGTTTAAAACCCTTCAATCTTTGGACAACATGTGCAATCTTTCATAGGGCTCACAAGGTTTGATGTAGGAGGGTTTGCACCTGCTCTCCCTCCAGCCACATTGACTTTCTTTCAGTTCCTCCAGCCTGCCACAGGATCTTTGCATATGCTGAATGCACTCACCTCCAGCTACTTCTTCAGATCAGAGCTTAAATGTTATATCTTGAGCTCCCTGTCCCACTCAGATCTGCTCTGGTTGTCACAGCACATTTTCTTCACGGCACGTCACAGTTACTATCGTTTTATGTGGGTGTTCTCCAGCGCAGGTGCACCAGAAGAAAGCTCTTAGTTTGATGATTATCAAATAGCTAGCTCTACTTCTCAGTTAGTTCCTGGCATGGAGGGAATAAAGGATACACTCTCTCATTTTAGAGATGAGGAAATTGAGCTGGATAGGAAACAATATTTATCTGAGGTCACATGGTTTGTTGGTTAATTGGCTGATTTTTTTAAAGACAAGATTAGCTATTTTCTCCTGAAATATTCAACCCTTTTGCAAACATCCTGTGTTACCACCTCAGCTCTAAGGACTGCTGTCTTCCTGATTTACTGCTGGCCAGGGAAGAGTGTCCTGGAACTCAGTGAAGAACCACATAGAAACCTCATAAGGAGGTGGGGCATGGTGGCTCACGCCTGTAATCCCAGCACTTTAGGAGGCTGAGGCAGGTGGATCACATGAGGTCAGGAGCTCGAGACTAGCCTGGCCAACATGGCGAAACCCCGTCTCTACTAAAAATACAAAAAAATTAGCCGGCATGATGGCGTGCGCCTGTAGTCCCAGCTACTTGGGAGGCAGTGGCACGAGAATCGCTTGAACCTGGGTGGCAAAGGTTGCAGTGAGCCGAGATCACGCCACTGCACTCCAGCCTGGGCGACACAGCGAGACTCCATCTCAGTTAAAAAAAAAGAAGAAAGAAAGAAAAAGAAACCTCCATAAGAGCTCTGTAGACCTTGCTGTTTTCATCACCAATCTCTTCTAGAAGTGCCTTCTTCAAACTCCTGAAACTATCAAATTTCCCATCCACGCTCTCCCCCGGCATCACCTCAAAGCTTATCTTTAAATCATATAAAATAAAACAATTTATCAACATCATATTAATGCCTAGCCTTTATTCAGCACTGACTGTAATGTGCCAAGCCCCATGCTGAGCATGTTACACATCTTAATCCATGAGCTCCTGTGCTCACCAAGGCAGGCCGGGCAGAGGCCATTCTCTGGGGGAAGGGGAGGGCACAGCATCCTCCCTGAGGTGACACAGCTGCTGAGTGGCAGCTCCTGGCTTTACACCCAGCTTGGTCTGACGTGAAAGTCCATGGACTACCCCATCATGTTACTCTGAGGTGATCAGTTCCAGACTGGGACAGAGTCCTTTATCCTCTCAGCCACAGGACTTGGTCCCTGGCTCCATGACCGTCTTCCAGAATGTACATGGGCCTTCATGAGCCAAGACATCTGCATAGAGCAAGCATCAAACTAGTATACAGGAAATGGGGCAATGCAAAGTCTGACAGACTCCATGTCCTTGTTGAATATCTCTCCACATTGACACAAAATCACATAAAGAGAATGTGTTCTGGGCCAGGCACGGTGGCTTGCGCCTGTAATCTGGCACTTTGGAAGGCCGAGGCAGGCGGATCACTTGAGGTCAGGAGTTTGAGACCAGCCTGGCCAACATGGTGAAACCCAGTGTCTACTAAAAATACAAAAATTAGTTGGGCATAGTGGTGGGCACTTGTAATCCCAGCTACTCGGGAGGCTGAGCCAGGAGAATGGCATGAACCAGGGAGGCAGAGGTTGCAGTGAGCCAAGATCACACCACTGCACTCCAGCCTGGGCAACAGAGTGAGACTCCATCTCAAAAAAAAAAAACAAAAAAAAAAAAACAAAAAAAAAGATGAGTTCCACTGCTTGTGATTGTAGATGATTTTGTTCTTTGCTTCTTGTGTTTTTCAGTTTCCGATAATGCACATATTAACTTTTTTTAAATGAAGGTTATTTAAAAAGAAAAGAAAATGAGCCCCAAACAAAGGGTACACATGGACATATAGAGCGGAATAATAGACTAGACACTGGAGACTCCAAAAGGTAGGAGAGCGGGAGGGGAATGAGAAGTGAAAAATTACCTATTGGATACAATGTTCACTATTCGGGTGATGTTTACCCTAAAATCCCAGAATAGGCATGTAAGAAATCTTCGCTTGTACCCCCTAAATCTATAATTTTTTTTTTTTTTGAGACAGTCTCACTCTGTTGCCCAGGCTGGAGTGCAGTGGTACGACCTCGGCTCACTGCAACCTCTGCCTCCCGGGTTCCAGCGATTCTCCTGGCTCAGCCTCCCGAGTAGCTGGGATTACAGGCACCTGCCACCACGCCCAGCTAATTTTTGTATTTTTGGCAGAGACAGGGTTTCACTATGTTGGCCAGAATGGTCTAAAACTCCTGACCTCAGGTGATCTGCCCATCTCGGCCTTATAAAACATTTTTAAATATATTTTTAAAAAAGAAAATGAGCTCCCTCTGTAACCAGCACTCCAATCATCAAAAACAGTTGGCTTTTTGACTGCCTGGCATACAATCCAGCTTCTCCTTTCCATGGCAGTGCCCATTTTCTTTTTTGAAGCTTAAAAAAATATATAATGGGTGCAGTGGCTCATGCCTGTAATCCCAACACTTTGGGAGGCAGAGGCGAGTGGATCACGTGAGGTAGGAGTTCGAGACCAGCCTGGCCAACATGGTGAAACCCCCTCTCTACTAAAAATACAACAATTCGCCGGGCACAGTGGCACAGGCCTGTAATCCCAGCTACTCTGGAGGCTGAGGCATGAGAATAGCTTGAACCTGGGAGGCAGAGGTTGCAGTGAGCCAAGATCATGCCATTGCACTCCAGCCCGGCCAACAAGAGTGAAACTTCGTCTCAAAAAAAAAAAATTAGCTAGGCATGTCAGCTCGGGAGGCTGACGTGGGAGGATTGCTTGAGCCCAGGAGTTCGAGGTTGCAGTGCGCCATGATTGCACCCCAGAATTCCAGCCTGGATGACAGAGTGAAACCCTGCCTCAAAAAAAAAAAAATTCAAAACAAAAGACAAAAACAAAAATCAAAATGCAGATTTGGATTCTGTAGGTCCCTGAGGGGGACCTGAGCCTCTGCTTTTCTTATGAGCTCCCAGGCTGGTGCTGATGCTGCTGGCCCAGGCACTACACTTTGAGTAGCAAGTGTCTAGCAAGGCATACAGTGGTTCCAGGGCTCTCTAAGCACAAAAGCCGCTCGTGCATCACCCTCACAGGGCCAGGCCCCCATGCAGGACAGATGCTGCTTTGGGTCAGTTTGCTCAGAACATCTGGGCCTTCCTACAATCACAAGTCACCCCCTGTCTCCCCACTCAGATGGCAAGAGGTGTTCCCAGGGGCACAGAAGGAAACATACTGTCACTCAGGGCCACCCCAGATGCTCCCTCAGCCTCAGATCGAGTCAGTCTGAGACCCCCTGAGCCAAGTTGCTCCCACTCACCCCTCCTTGTCCAATGCCCAACCCCTGTGCACTGAGCCTCCTCTCAAAATAAACTCACAGAGCCCCCCACCCCCACTTTCCATTGCACCTGAGGCAATTATTACTTGTCAAAAACAAGAACTGCCAGCTGTGCGTAGCATTCAGCTTGCTGTTCTTAAAATGCCTTATAATCATTTCCCTCGGAGAAGAATTCTCCAGCCCCACAATGGTTCTGCACAGCCAATCACAGTGTAGTCCCGGACCCGTGTTTTGATAAGACAATCTGACACTGTCAGTCAGAGGGATTCAAGACTCTTGCTGCAGGGAGGAGGGAGAGAGGAAGAAAAGAGGAGAGAGAGAGAGAGAAAGCGTATGCCTCTTCTCCCTCTGGAAGTGCAGCTGACTGCAGAGTCTCCCAGGAGCCTGTCCCTGCAGAGGCCTTGACAAATGTCAACAGACAGGACGAGATTTCTGCCTCTCCAATACCTGTAGGCCCCATCCCACCCCAGCTATACTCACACTCATTTCTTGTTTGTTTGTCTTCAAGCTCCATTCAGAGAGAATGGAGATGTCTTCTTGGTCTAAATTAAAGTTGAAGCCCGGCTGGGTGCGGTGGCTCATGCCTGTAATCTCAAAACTTTGGGAGGCTGAGGTGGGCAGATCACAAGGTCAGGAGATCGAGACCATCCTGGCTAACACGGTGAAACCCCATCTCTATTAAAAATACAAAAAATTAGCCCAACATGGTGTGGCGGGCGCCTGTAGTCCCAGCTACTCGGGAGGCTGAGGCAGGAGAATCCCTTGATCTCGGGAGGTGGAAGTTGCAGTGAGCCGAGATCACACCACTGCACTGCAGCCTGGGTGACAGAGTGAGACTCTGTCTCAAAAACAAACAAACAAACAAAAAAAAAAGTTGAAGCCAAGAGGGAAAAGTTGGAGGGCACTTGGAGGAACAGGGAGGCCCTCTATGGCCCAACCTGCAAGATGGTCCCAATTATTCTTGCCTCCAGGTATTCATCCCCTTGTGTGGCATCCCCCACCATGCACAGACCAGGGCTAGTCTGCATCATGAATAGAATAGGGTTGTGCTTGCTCTCTCCCTCTCTCTCTCTCTCTCTCTCTCTCTCTCTCTCGGGAACCAGCTGCCATGTTGCAGAGACATTCAGGCCATCAATGGCGAGGTTCGCATGGGGAGGCACAGCCCCCATGTGAAGGAACTTCGGAGCAGAGTCTCCTCTGGTTGAGTCCCAGTGTGACAGCAGCTCTAGCCAACAGCCTGACTTGCAGCCTCATGAGAGATCCTGAGTCAGAACCACCCAGCTAAGCTGCTCCTGGGTTCCTGACCCGTAGAAGCTGTGAGATAATAGGTATTTATTGTTTTCAGCTACTGCATTTGGGGTAACTTTTTACACAACAATAGATGATGAATACACTATCCCAAATCAATCCACAAATTTGGTGTCCCCACAAGTGTGGGGTGTGTCTTTCAATTTTTTGAGACAGGGTCTCGCTCTGTCACACAGACTGGAGTGTAGTGGCACAGTTACAGCTCACTGAAACCTCAACTTCCTGGGCTCAAGCAATCTTCCCACCTCACCCTCCCCAGTAGCTGGGACCACAGATTTGCACCACCGCAGCTGGCTGATTTTTTAATTTTTGTAGAGACTAGATCTCATTGTGTTGCCCAGGTTGGTCTCAACCTCCTGGGCTCAAGTAATACTCCCGCCTAGGCCTCTAAACACGCTGGAATTACAGGCATGAGCCAATGTGCCCAGCAAGTATGGGGTCTTTCTATGGCAAGATGTGGTGCCCATCACTGTGAGGGACAAAGATAATATTATTAATAATAATAGGCCTGTAATGGTGCCTCACACCTGTACTCCCACCTACTCAGGAGGCTAAAGTGGGAGGATTGCTTGACCCCAGGAGGTTGAGGCTACAGTGAGCCATGATCACACCACTGCACTCCAGCCTGGGCAACACAGCAAGACGCTATTCCGAATAATAATAACAATAATAATAATATCTAACATTTTAATAGACCTTACTTGGAGCCAGGCATCATTCTAAGCATATTGCATGCATGAACTCATTTAAACCTATAGCCATCTATTATTATTCCTGTCATGCTCATCAGCCAGAAGCCACCAGAAACACACCTGTAGTTGAACAGAAATGGGTTTAGTAACCTGTTGCAACAAGGAAGACCACACACCATGGGGAGTGGGAGCTGTGTCCCAGTAAGAGTGTGTTGGGGCGCTTCTGGTTAGCTGGCAGAAAGCAGTGTTAATTCCATGGCTGGGCATCATCATAATTTTTATGTAGGAGGCAGGAGGAATAGAGTGGGGCTAAAGCTGTCATTGGAAAACCAGCAGTAACTGCATGTGTCAGTCAGAAGGAGAGGATGCGTTTGGCCATTTTTTTGTGGTTTGCCCACTGCTCATACTTTCATGCTCAGATAGGATTCATTACAGACTGTCTTGTTTTTGTCTTGTTTCATCATGGTCAGCATGACATCTTCCAGTGTGACCATCCTATGAAATTGCTTAAGTAGGGAACACCACAGCCTAGCAGTAGTACCAGGCCAGCTACTAGCTGACAACGATCAAGACTGGGCTCCCGGCCGGGCACAGTGGCTCACGCCTGTAATCCCAGCACTTTGGGAGCTCCAGGTGGGCGGATCACTTGAGGTCAGGAGTTCAAGACCAGCCTGGCCAACATGGTGAAACCACATCTCTACTAAAAGTGCAAAAATTAGCCGGGCATGGTGGCACAAGACTGTAATCCCAGCTACTCAGGAGGCTGAGGCACGAGAATCGCTTGAACCCAGGAGGTGGAGGTGGTAGTGAGCCAAGATCGCGCCACTGCATGATCCACCCTGAGCAACAGAGCCAGACTCTGTCTCAAAAATAAAATAAAATGAAGACTGAGCTTTCCTTTTCTTATCCTCATTTTATAGATGGAAAATCTGAGGCCAAAATAAGTTCAGTAGTTATGTTGCCAAGCCTGGGCGGAACTGTAGAGCTTCTCAGACTGTCAGGGCTGCAGGGCCAGCTTTGCTTTGTCTTCTTTTGTTTGCCAATCCATCGTGGGCCAATACGTTCATAAAATACAATAAAAGCAAATTACTAGAATAACGATCATGCATTCAGATGTTTTAGGAATGTTAAATTGCTATCCTTCTAAACAGGTACCCTCAAGTTCTGTCTTATCTGGTCTCAGACAAGGAACAGTTCTCAGGCCATTACTGACCACAGACCACACTTTGGGCAGCTTTAGAAGTTGTCTGATCAAGAGTTTTCCAGGTTGGGCATGATAGCTCACACCTCTAATCCCATCACTTTTGGGAGGCCGAGGCGGGCAGATCACTTGAGGTCAGGAGTTCGAGACCAGCCTGGCCAACAATGTGAAACCACATCTCTACTAAAAATGCAAAAATTAGCTGGACATGGTGGCAGGTGTCCGTAATCCCAGCTACTTGGGAGGCTGGAGAATCGCTTGAACCTGGGAGGCAGAGGTTGCAGTGAGCCAAGATCGTGCCACTGCACTCCAGCCTGAGTGACAGAGACTGTCCAAAAAAAAAAAAAAAAGAGGTTTCCAAACTTCATGCATTGGTACATCTTCATTTTTGCCATTTCTATTGAACACCTCTACTATTATTTACTTAATATTATCTTGAAATATCCTCATCTCATATCACCTCACACCCATTATGATGGCCACAATTAAAAAAAAAAACAGAAAATAACAAGTGTTGGCGAGGACGTGAAGAATTGGAACTTTTGTGCACAGTTGGTGGGAATGAAAATGGTGCAGTTGCTACAGGAAAACGGTATGGAAACTCCTCAAAAAGTTAAAAATAGAAATACCATATGATCCAGAAATTCCATTTCTGGGTATATATCCCAAAAATTTGAAAGCAGGATTTCAAAGAAATATTTGCACACCCATGTTCATTGCAGGGTTATTCACAATAATCAAGAGGTGAAAGCAACCCAAATGCCCATTGGCAAATGAAGGGATAACGAAAATCTGATATCTACGTACGATGGAATGTTATTCAGCCTTTAAAAAGAGGGATATTTGGCCAGGCACAGTGGCTCACGCCTGTAATCCCAGCACTTTGGGAGGCTGAGGCGGGCCAATTGCTGGAGCTCAGGAGTTTGAGACCAGCCTGGGCAACATGGCGAGACCATGTGTTGCATCATTTAGAAACATTTATAGCTACAAAAGCTTCAGAGATCTTGTATTTCAATGTACAAACAAACTGCCAAATGCCAAAAAAAAAAAAAAAGCCAGGCATGGTGGTGTGTGCCTATAGTACCAGCTACTCAGGAGGCTGAGGTGGGAGTATCACTTGAGTCGAGGGAGCAGAAGTTGCAGTGAACCGAGATGATGCCACTGCACTCCAGCCTGGGTGACAGCGTGAGACCCTGTCTTTAAAAAAAAAAAAAAAAAAAAGAGAGAGAGAGGGAAATCTTGTGGGGTGCTGCACCATAGACAAACCTCGACGACTTTATGTGATAAGCCAGTCACAAAAGGACAAATACCGAACAATTCCACTCCAATGAGGTATCTCAAGTAGTCAAACTCCTAGAAACAGAAAGTAGAATCACGGTTGCCAAGGGCTGGAGGTATTTAGTGTTTAATGGGTCTAGAGTTTCCGTTTTGCAAGATGAAATACTTCTACAGATCTATTGCACAACGTGAATACACTTAACACAACTGAACTGTACATTATAAAATGGTGAAGATGGTAAGTACAATGTCATGTCCTTTTCAGCACAGTTATAAAAAGAAGAAAAGTCCTCATCCTAGGCAATAATAACCCATATTATGTATTAAGATGGCTAGTTCTATATGTTTTCTTTTATTTTTTTAAGAGATAGGGTCTTGCTATATTGCCCAGGCTGGTCCGGAACACCTGGACTCAAGCAATTCTCCCACCTCGGCCTCCCAAAGTGCTAAGATTACAGGTGTGAGCCATCACACCCAGCTGAGTTCTATATATTTTCTTATCTGCATTAACATAAATGTTTAACTGTTAAATAATAAAATGTTTTTTTCCATGAACGACCGAAAATCGTTTTGTGTAAACATTGATCTTTGAACCTCCTGTTTCTTCAATGCCTATCATCTGAGGCCTGACAAGAGAAGGGACTTAGAACCACTCCCAGCCTTCAAGGAGTTTGCAATTACACTGAAGGGTGAAGACACTCTCCCCCCAGAAGGAAGGCGGGAAAATCTTAAAAGAAATCTATCTGTTCCTTGAAGGCCAGCTCTGTGTGTTCAGTGCTCTCTCCCAAGTCCCTAGCACATGCCTTGCCCACAGTGGGGTCTCAACAGGTATTTGCTAGAGTCTATCAAATTAAGAGAAACACGAAACAGGCCCGGTGCAGTGGCTCACACCTGGAATCCTAGCACTTTGAGAGGCTGAGGCGGGTGGACTGCTTGAGCTCAGGAGTTTGAGACTAGCCTGGGCAACATGGTGAAACCCCATCTCTACAAAAAATTACAAAAATTAGTTGGGCGTGGTGACTCATGCCTGTAGTCCCTGCCACTTAGTGGGCTGAGGTGGGAGGATTGCTTGAGCCCGGGAAGCAGAGGTTGCAGCCAGCTCTGATCGTGCCACTGCACTTCAGCCTGGGTGACAGAGTGAGACTTTGTCTCCAAAAAAAAAAAAAAAAAAGAGAGAGAGAGAGAGAGAGAAATACTAAATAAGCAGCACAAACCAATGGGGTACTAGGCCAGGGCTCCCAACTTGAGGTTTGTGGGTAGAATTCAGAGGGTCCATAAACCTGCCTCATTTTCTCTGATTGCTAACTAAAATTTAGCATTTCCTTCTATTATAAATGGAAGCAACAAACCACAGTAGTATTTGCAATATCTGTGATTTTTGTCACCGATATAAATCACGATATTTTCATATCTCATTACAATCATAGCAGACATCTCATTATATTGTACGTGTGCATCACTAATTGGAATTACATAGTTATTAGACTCACCACTAAATCTTGTTATTTGATGCATTAGTAAAGATTCACATATTACTATGACACAAATTTGGTGAGTTTTTTTATATTTTGATAACCATATTTTAGTATAATTGGTTTCCTTTGTAATTCCATGCACTTTATTTTTTGCATAGATAAATAATTTAAACAATATTACAAAGAACAATCAATCAAATCTAGTATAGAATATTTCATAGCCTAAATAACATTTTCCCAAAACTGAATGGACCAAAAATAAAAAGTGCTAATGGTTAAATATTGTTTTGGAGTTAGAAAGATTTATATATATAAAAAAGGAAATATGTGAATTTTGGGCCTTAATTTAAACAAACAAACTGCCAAAGGGAATCTTTAAGGCAATAGGGAAAATTTGAGTATAACTAGTATGATGATACTTAAGCTATAGTTGTCTAATATGAAGATTACTAAGTAGAAGAAGTTATATAATATGTTTACTAGCAGATTTATAATTGTAAACATATTTACCTATAGGTTGAGATAAACGTCTGACACCAAGAAGATCTCAGTTTAAATAAAATAAGGGCATGCAATAATACTTTAAAAAAAGTAAGTTATATTGAGAACAAGTTATGTTATTCAGTTTGAGTTGAATAGAAGATCAATATTAGTAGGCATATTTAGGTTTGTTGCCCAGAAAGCTAATGTAATCATCCATTAATAAACATATCTTCTCCAAAAAAAAAAAAAAAAAAAAAAGGATATTGTTCTCAGAAGGAGGTCATAGACTCCGCCAGATGCCAAAAGGGTACATGGTACCAAAAAGAGGTCAGGGTCCAGCGTGGGGTTAATTCAGTGGGTAACTGACTGGGCCTAAGAAGAAACAGACTGAACCAAGGACAAGCCCACTGTTACCACCTTTTAGGAGGGAAACACTAACTTACCATCGGAAAGAACGGTGAATTCACCGGCTAACATTTGTGTGCAGAAATCCCCTGACAACCGCAGGATTCAATGTTCCTAAAAACATATGTTCATTGGCAAGATCGAGGTCTCAGAGGAAATTCAGTGTTGAGCACTAAGTGATCTCACATCTGCTGGGTTCAAAGCATGGACTCTGGAGCCAGACTCTCTCTGTTTGTATCCAAGCTCCACCAGTTAGGACCTGTGTGAATTTGGATGAGTTATTTCCCCTCGATGTATCTCAGTTTCCTTGTCTGTAAAACAGGAACCAAAGAGCCTAGTGGTGGCTGGCAGAATAATGTCCCTTCAGAGATGTCTGTGTCCTAATTCCTGGAACCTATGAATATGTTAGATTCTACAGCAAAAGGGAATCAAAGTTGCAGATGGAATCAATGTTGACCTTAAAACCAGGAGGTTGTGCAGGTAGAACCGATGTAATCAAAAGGGTCCTTAAGTGTGGAAGAGGGAGGAAGAAGAGAATCAGAGAGAGATTTAAAGATGTTATGCTAGTAGCTCTGAATATGGAGAAAGAGGCCACAAGCCAAGGACTGCAGGTGGTCTCTAGAATTTGGAAGAGGCAAAGGTTCTCCCCAGAGCCTCCAGAAATAATGCAGCCCTGTCAATGCCTTGATATTAACCAAGTGAGACCTCTTTGGGACTTCTGACCTCCAACACTGTAAGATAATAATTTGGATTGTTCCAAGCCACTAAGTTTGTGGCAATTTGTTACAGCAGCAATAGGAAATGAATACACAGTTTTAAAGATTTTTGTGAGGATCAATAAATGCATTCATTTATGTAAAGCCCTTAGAACAGTTCCTGGCACATAATTGGTGCAATATACCATTAATTTTATAGAAATGGTGAATAAAAATTAGAGAATTAATCACTTCCAAAATAAACTGGATCCACTCAAGTCAAAGCCTTGCTCTGTTTTGCAACCCTTAATGAATTCATGGATCTAGGCATTATCATACAGCAGATAGATAACATCACAAATGAGGCTGGGCATGGTAGCTCATGCCTGTAGTCCCAGCAAATTAGGAGGCCAAAGTGGGAGGATCACTTGAGCCCAGGAGTTCCAGACCAGCCTAGGCAACACAGTGAGACCCCATCACTACAAATTAGTTTTGTAAAAAACTAACCGGGTATGTTAGTGCATGCCTGTGGTGCCAGCTACTCAGGAGGCTGAGGTAAGATGACTACTTGAGCCTGCAAGGTCAAAGCTGCAGTGAGCCATGATCATGCCACTGCACTCCAGCCTGGGCAACTGAGCAAGACACCATCTCAAAAATTAAATAAATAAATAATAAAAATAATTTTAAAAAATAAAAACACAATGGGAGATAACCAGACATCAGTTACCTCCTCATGGAAAAACATAACAATCTAAAAAGTGGTCTTGCTAAAAAAAAAAAAAAAAAAAAAAGAAAAAATCAGACCTAAATCTGATAAAAATGTATAGATACAACTTATCAACTTACAGAAATGTGGACAATGGGCCAGGCACGGTGGCTCCCACCTGTAATCCCAGCACTTCGGGAGGCTGAGGTGGGTGGATCACAAGGTCAGGAGTTTGAAACCAGCTTGGCTAAGAGACCAGCCTGGCCAATAAGGTGAAACCCCGTCTCTACTAAAAATACAAAAATTAGCGGGGCGTGGTGGTGGGTGCCTGTAATCCCAGCTACTTGGGAGGCTGAGGCAGGAGAATTGCTTGAACCCGGGAGGCAGCGGTTGCAGTGAGCCGAAGATCACACCATTGCACTCCAGCATGGGTGACAGAGTGAGACTCCAACTCAAACAAAAAAGAAAGAAAGAGAGAGGAAAAAAGGAAGGAAGGAAGGAAGGAAGGAAGGAAGGAAGGAAGGAAGGAAGGAAGGAAGGGAGGGAGGGAGGGAGGGAGGGAGGGTAGGGGAGGGAGGGAGGGAAGGAAGGAAGGAAGGAAAAGAAAGAAGGAAGGAGGGAAGGAAGGAAGGGAGGGAGGGAGGGAGGAATGAAAGAAAGAAAGACAGAAAGGAAGGAAGAGAAAAAGAAAGAAAGAAAGAAAAAGAAAGAAAGAAAAGAAAGAAAAGTGGAAGATGAAGGAATGCACTAAAGGACACCACAGAGATGCAACTGGCAATGTCTAGACTGCGGGGGACTCTACAGCAGTGCTTCTCAAACTTAATTGTGCATACAAAACACCCAGGGACCTTGTGAAAATGTAGTTTCTAACCCAGGAGGTCTGGGATGGGATCTGAGATGCTGCATTTCTACCGAGTTCCCAGGTGATGCTGATGATCCTGGTTCACTGACCACATTTTGAATTACACAAGATGAATAACCTATTTTTCCAGCAATAAAAGAACTGAAGGGGAAACCTATAGATTAAAAGACACATGAGCCAATCACTATGTGTAGGACTTTAGTTGGATTCTGATTCAAAGAAATTATTATTAAAATGTATTAGGCAGAGCCGGGAGTGGTGGCTTATGCCTGTAATCCCAGCACTTTGGGAGGCCAAGGCGGGCGGCAGATCACTTGAGGCCAAGAGTTCAAGACCATCCTGACCATATGGCAAAACCTTGTCTTTACTAAAAATACAAAAACTAGACTAGCCAGGTGTGGCGGCATGCACCTGTAATCCCAGCTACTGGGGAGGCTGAGGCACGAGAATGACTTGAACCCAGGGGAAAGAGGTTGCAGTGAGCCGAGATTGTGCCACTGCACTTCAGCCTGGGTGAGAGAGCTTACTGCAGCACTATTTACAATAGCAAAGACTTGGAACCAACCTAAATGCCCATCAATGATAGACTAGTTAAAGAAAATGTGGCACATATACACTATGAAATACTATGCAGACATAAAAAAGAATGAGTTCGTGTCCTTTGCAGGGACATGGATGAAGCTGGAAACCATCATTCTCAGCAAACTAACACAGGAACAGAAAACCAAACACCACATATTCTCACTCATAAGTGGGAGTTGAACAATGAAAACACATGGACGCAGGGAGGGGAACATCACATACCGGGGCCTGTTGGGGGGTGGGGGTCAAGGGGAGGGAGAGCATTAGGACAAATATCTAATGCATGCTGGGCTTAAAACCTAGATGACGGGTTGATAGGTGCAGCAAACCACCACGACACTTGCATACCTACGTAACAAACCCGCACATTCTGCACATGTACCCAAGAACTTAAAGTAAAATAAAAATAAAAAAGAAAGAAAAAATTGTATTAGGCAGTAAGTAACCTGAACGGTGACTGGATAGTTGATGTTCTAAGGAATCATTGTTAATGTTTTGGGTGCACTGATGGTATTGTGCCTATGTTTTTAAGAGTTTATCTTTTCAAGATACACATTGTAATATTTACAGATGAAATGGTAGTGACTGGAATTGGCTTCAAAATAATGTATGTGGGGAAAACAGGTAGAGGTATAAGCAAAACTGGGCATGAGTTGTCCATTGTTGAAGCCAGGTAGTGAGTCCTGAGAATTCATTGTGCTATTCTTCTACTTTCATATACCTTTGGAATTTCCCATCATAAAATTATTTTTAAGACATATTTCTTAAAATCTTCTCTGCTAGCTAATCCTTCTCTTGAACCACATTCTTCAAAGGTTCTCCTGCGGCCCATAAGTTATAAAGAGCTCATAAGTTATAAAGAGTCTGTGACTTTTAGCAGTTACAGACTTGAAATCTCATGTTTTTCATGCTGGCATTCCCTCTGGTTTCCTTTTTGCAAGTCTCAGCAAAATACTTTGTGTACCCACCTAATTATCACAGTCCTTAAGGCACGTACCCCTTGACCCAGTCTTCTGTCTGTTACCGGGATGTTTCTGGCACCTGAAATGCTTTTCTGCAGAACTGCTCATGGCAGCTCCTCCCTCCCCTTCTGTTCAATTGGCCCTGCTCAGAGGGGCCTCCACTGACCACTCAATATAAGCAGACATCCCAGTGTCTCTCTGTGGCAATGCCTCAGGGCACTCTCAGCATCTGAGATGATCTTGTTCATTTATTCATCCGCTTTATTTTCTCCTTCTTCACACAACACTCCCTCATTCTCCCCTTATAATGTATTCAACAGGAAGACAGGGACCTTGCCTGTTCATTGCTGCAGACTCAGAATGTAACACACTAGCAGGCACAGCACAGAATGAGTGAGTAAATGAATGCTATAGCTGTGTGCATAGCTCCATAGACCTAGAAAATCAACTGCATTCTTGCTAAGAGGCATATACACATCCATATATCTGGATCACACGTTTGCAGTCTTTCTCATCAAATCATGGACCAATGGAGCTGCACATCCCAGGCCAATAGAGCTCTATAGCCCATTTCTTTCAAGAGAAGAGTAGCTCCCTGCGAACTTTCATTGGACACCTGAGCTCTTGACTCACAATAATTGGTCACAAGAAGGTCTCTGTGCAAATCAGAGATGGTGGGACTCAAAATGTCTGTGGTCACAGATCCAAATGCACTACTCCATTATTTAGGAGGCCCTCAATACCCACCTAACAAACCCTATGCCAGGGTCTAATCAAAGAACCGGGTACTGCATTGAAAGTTGGGATTTGGACTGGTCTATTGGAAAAGAAGGGTTTTCAGATAGAGGCTTCACTCTGTATTTCAGCTTCATCAGCTATGGGCTGGAAAATGGTTATAGTGTCCTGGAGACTAATGAACGTGGATTTGAATCTCTGCTTCTCCTTTATTAGCTGTGTGACCTTAGCTAAGTGATATCACTTCTATGATCCTCGGTGGCATTTATATAATGGGAATAACAATAATGATATCTACCTTGTAGATTTGTTGTGAAAATTAAATGAGATGATAGAAATAAATATTTCATCTAGTGCCTGGCATAGAGCAAATGTAATAAAATTTATCTATTACTACTACTGCTGCTGCTACTGCTACCACTATCTTCTGATCTTGGAAGAGTCACTTAATTCCTCCAATTCTCAGTAGACTCTTCTCTAAGAAGAAATAACAATGTCCTAGATCCACAGAAAGTCTGGTGCTTCTCTCCCTTATTTTCTTTAGTTCTCTGCTCAGATACCACTTTTGCAAAGAGAGCTTCCCTGACCAGTGTCCCCCTCCCACATAAAATAGTCCACACTCTCTCCATCTCATTACTCAGCTTGGTTTTTCCTCCTAGGACATATCCGCCTGATTTGTACTTACCTGTTTAATGTCTGTCTTGTCTTCCTTGTCAGAAAGTCAGCCCCAAGAGAGAAGAGGCTTTGTCCATTGTGTTCAATGCTTATTCCTGGGGCCCAGAACAATGTCTGGCATATAAAGACACTCAATGAATATTTCTTGTGGAATGAATGAATGAATGAATGAATGAATGAAATTAGGTAACTTGGGACCATAACTATCCAGTCCCTGCATTGCTGTTCAATAGATATTAGCTTCCTTCCTTCCCTCCTTCCTTCCTTCCTTCCATCCTTCCAAGGCCAGAAAAAAGAACAATAAGTGAGAGAAAAACGCCTATCGGCCTCTTTTTTCCCTGCTTCTCCTCCAAGCATCATGCAAACAATCAAAACAAAAATGCAGCAGCAGGTGCCAAGAAGTCAGGTGCATCCTTCATCCCCAGTCAGTCTTTCCTGGCTCTGAAATGTTTGCAGGAGCAAGGTGCCCCCGAGGCACACTGCTTTAAATGAGTCCAGGCAGGATTTAGACAGCTGCTCTGTAACCCCAATAAACGATGTCTGTCTAACTTTACGCAGGGGCACTGAGGGTTAGGGTTGTATGGCTCTTGGGGTCTCTGAAGTAGAAAATCAATGGGTTTGATGTATGGCCCCATTTATGGCACCTGAAACAGAACATCCACTACCAGGTCGGCTACCATCAAACCTCTCCTAATATAACAATACAAGCCATCTCTGAGCCTTGAAAACCTCTTTACAAAGCCAGTGGTCAAAGAGTAGAACCGTCTTTTTCAACAGCAATCAGTGAAGATGATCATGTCACTCTCCTGTGGCCAACCCTCCCCTGGCTTCTGATCGCACTAGGAATGAAGTGCAAACTCTTCTCCCAGGATCTCACCAGGTCAGCACAGCCTGGCCTCACGTGTCTCTTCACCATCTCAGACCATTCTCCTGTCTTGCTCCACTCCAACTGCATTCATCTCTGTGTTCCCAGGCACGTGCCACCACACCTGGCTAATTTTTTTTTTTTTTTCTTGGTGGAAACAGATTCTCAACATGCTGCTCAGGCTGATCTCAAATTCCTGGTCTCAAGTGATCCTCCTGCCTCAGCCTCCCAAAGTGCAAGGATTAAAGGCATGAGCCACTGTGCCCAGCTGCATTTTATTTTATTTGATTTTATTATTATTATTATTTTTGAGATGGAGTTTCACTCTTGTTGCCCATGCTGTGGTACAATCTCGGCTCACCACAACCTCCACCTCCCGAGTTCAAGTGATTCTCCTGCCTCAGCCTCCTGAGTAGCTGGGATTACAGGCATGCGCCACCACAGCCGGCTAATTTTTTATTTTTAATAGAGACAGGGTTTCTCCATGTTGGTCAGGCTGGTCTCAAACTTCCAATCTCAGGTGATCTGCCCACCTCGGCCTCCCAAAATGCTGAGATTATAGGCATGAGCCGCCATGCCCAGCCTGCATTTCATTTTTCTAAGACAAAAATATTCTGGAGATGGATGGTGGTGATGGTTGCCCAACAATATGAATGCACTTAATACCACTGAACTGTACGCTTAAAAGTGGTTCCAATGGTAAATATTATATTATTTGTGTTTTACCACAATAAAAATGTGTTTTAAAAAAGGAAGAAATTCTGAAACATGTTACAACATGGATGAAACTTAAAGATATTATGCTGAGTGAAATAAGCCAGTTACAAAAAGACAAATATCATATGATTCCACTTATATGAGGTATCTAGAGCAGCTGAATTCATAGAGAAAGAGAATAGAACAGTGGTTGCCCAGGGATGGGGAAATGGAGGCATAGGGAATTGGTGTTTAATAAGGACAGAGTTTCAGTTTGAGATGATGAGAAGCGTCTGAAGATGGATGGTGGTGATGGTTGCCCAACAATGTGAATGTACTTAATGCCACTTAATTGTACACTTAAAATTGTACACTTCAAAATGGTTAAAATGGGCCTGGCGCAGTGGCTCACGCCTGTAATGCCAGCACTTTGGGAGGCCGAGGTGGACGGATCATGAGGTCAGGAGATTGTGACCATCCTGGCCAACATGCTGAAACCCCGTCTCTACTAAAAATACAAAAATTAGCTGGGCATGGTGGCGCATGCCTGTAATCCAAGCTACTCAGGAGGCTGAGGCAGGAGAATCGCTTGAAACCGGGAGGTGGAGTTTGCAGTGAGTCAAGATGGCACCACTGCACTCCAGCCTGGCAACAGAGTGAGACTCCATCTCAAAAAAAAAAAAAAAAAAAAAGGTTAAAATGGTAAGTTTTATATTACCCTATATTTTTATCACGATTAAAAAAAAAAATCACACTATCCCAGGCTGGACACAGTGGCTCATGCCTGTAATCCCAGCACTTTGGGAGGTTTGGGAGGTCAAGACAGATGGGTCATTTAAGGCCAGGAGTTCAAGACCAGCCTGACCAACATAACAAAACCCCATCTCTACTAAAAATCTTTTAAAAAGCTAGTCAGATGTGGTGGTGCACACCTGTAGTCCCAGCTATTCAGGAGGATGAAGCACGAGAATTGCTTGAACCTAGGAGGCAGAGGTTACAGTGAGCTGAGATTGTACCACTGCACTCCAACCGGGACAACACAGCGAGAGACTCTGTCTCAAAAAAAAATTTTTTTAATCATGCTACCCAGCCCAGGCAACACAGTGAGACCTGTCTCTACAGAAAAATAAAACAATTCGCTAAATGTATGCTACTCTCAGCTACTCAGGAGTTTGAAGTGAGAGGATTGCTGGAGCATGGGAGGCAGAGGTGGCAGTGAGCCAAGTACCTCTGCACTCCAGCCTGGGCGACAGAGTGAGATCCTACCTCAAAAATAAAAATCGCAGTACAAAAACAATTTTAAGAGGAGGGGTGTAGAGTATTTTATCCAAAGGCATGAGATAAACTAGCTCATTGATCCATTTTCTTTCTTTGTCCTGGGCGATCTCTGAGCCTCACCTAGTAAGAGTTAATATTTATGCCAGGCACCATTATAAGCAGTTCGCCAGTGTTTCCTTCATTTAATCCTCTCTACCGTCCTACAAGATGGGGAGCCTAATCATCTCCATTTAAAGGATGAGAAAACAGAGGCCCAGAGAGGTTTCGTGACTTAACCTACAAAGTCTGACTCCAGAGTCTAGGCAATTTTCCAGACCACTTTTCCCACAAGACTTGACCTCACCCTTTGATATTCAAAATAGGCTCCTCAGATCTACATAAAATATTCTAAAGTATCAGGAATGTATAAGTCAGGTTAAGGAGAATAAACTTTTTTTTCTGTATTCACCCCATCTTTGTTGAAAAAGTGCTGTTACTGGCTTCAAGGCCTGCAGGCTACATTGCTTAACACAGGTGTACTAAGTTAAAGTTCAGCAAACTTCTGTAAAACTCCATAAAAATTAATCTTTGAGGCTTTAGGGGCAGATGGCGTATGTTGCAACTACTTGACTCTGCCGTTGTCGCACAGAAGCAGTCATAGACGAGAAGTAAATGAATGGCCTTGACCGTGTGCCAATAAAACTTTATTTACAACAACAGGCACTGGGTTTGGTGGCTCCTAAAAGGGTTAAACACAGAATTGCCATATGACCCGGCAACTCCCCTCTTAGGCATGGGCCGAAAATAATTACAAATAGGAGTTCAAACAAAAACTTGTACACAAATGTTCACAGCAGCCCTATTTATAGTAGCTAAAAGGTGCAGACAATCCAAAGATCAATCAACTGAAAAATGGATGCACAAAATGTGGCATATGCATCCAATGGAATAGTAATCAGCCATGAATAGGAAGTATGGACGCATACTGCCAGGTGGATAAACCTGGAGAACAATATGCTAAATGAAAGAAGCAGACACAAAAGGCAACGTAGGCCGGGCATGGTGGCTCACGCCTGTGATCCCAGCCCTTTGGGAGGTTGAGTCGGGTGGATCACCTGAGGTCAGGAGTTCAAGACCAGCCTGACCAACATGGCAAAACCCTGCCTCTACTAAAAATACAAAAATTAGCTAGGTGTGGTGGCGCATGCCTGTAATCCCCACTACTGGGGAGGCTAAGGCAGGAGAATCACTTAACCCAGGAGGCAGAGGTTGCAGTGAGCCGAGATCGCACCACTGCACTCCAGCCTGGGCGACGGAGCGAGACTCCGTCTCAAAAAATAAATAAATGAATAAAAGACCATGCAATGCATGACTCTCCATTGATATAAATTGTCCAGAATAGGCAAATCCACAGACACAGAAGGTAGCTTGGTGGTTGCCGAGGACTGAGGAGAAGAAAATTGAGAACACCTGCTCAACAGTTATGGGCTTTCTTTTTGGAGTGATGAAAATGTTCTGGAACTAAGCAGATGTGATGGTTACAGAATATTGGAAATGTGGCCAGGCATGGTGGCGCACACCTACAATCCCAGCATTTTGGGAGGCCGAAGCAGGTGGATTGCTTGAGCCCAGGAGTTCAAGACCAGCCTGGGCCACATGGTAAAACCCTGACTCTACAAAATACTCTACTAAAAGGTGGAGACAATCCACCTTTGTTCAAAATAAAATAAAATAAAATAAAATATAAATTAATAATACAAAAATTAGTTGGGAGTGGTGACACATGCCTATAGGCCCAGCTACTCAGGAGGCTAAGGTGGGAGGATCGCTTGAGCCCAGGATGTCGAGGCTGTAGTGAGCCGAGATCACATTACTGCATTCCAATCTGGGCGACAGAGTCGAATTGTCTCAAAAAAAAAAAAGTGAATGTCCTAAATGCCACTGAATTGTATGTTTTTAAATGGTTAACTTTACGTTGTGTGAATTTTCTCTCAATTTTAAAAAATGTTTTAAAAAAACAGGTGGCTGATTGCTTTTGGCACACAGACCAAAGTTTGTTGCCCCCTATTCTAAGCCAAACAGCCAAGAAGGGGAGAAACAGAAGCATACTATGACCTATATGTAAAATATTCAAAGCCATTCATTTACCAGTGCTTGGGGAAGAAGCGCGTATCGTATGCAGTCTTATACCTCCCTGAAATTAACATTAGGCACCACCCTTGGACCTGAGAAGATAGGAAAGCTCCTAGGACTCGGTGCCCACACTGAAGCCTGAATCAGGGAGGAGAGGGCATTTCATTTACAGCACATGCTATAGCTTGAGGTGAGGTGGCACAGTCTCTCTGCAAAACCAAAACAAGTTTAATACGATCAGACTGCAGAAGGAGATGGAGTGAGGAGAGATAAAGCCAGATGAGGAAATAAGGGTCATGGCATTAAGACATGATAAGAAATCTGGATTTTATCCTGAGCGCAATGGGAAGCCTATCAAGGTTTTTCAGCAAAGGAGGTGGAAAGCCAGACTTGCTTTTTAGAAACATGATTCTCAGTGTATCCAGATAATGGATTGGGAGAGAGAGATGCTAGAAACCAGGAGAGGTTTTGCAGAAAATCTTGAGTGGCTTACGGTGCACAAATAAAGCTTCAAGACAACTCAGGAAAGTTGGCCTAAGGCAGGAGGCTCGCTTGAACCCAGAAGTCTGAGGCAGCAGTGAGCCATGATAGTACCAATGCACTCCAGCCTGGATGTCAGAGCAAGACGCTGCCTCTAAAAAAACTTTAAAAATTAAAAATTAAAAAAGTTGGCCTATTGAAGGTTTTCCACCTCTGACAGACTCCTCTTTCAAACAGGAGAATAAAGAAACTTCTTTATTTTTCCAAAAAAAAAAAAAATCCAATAAGGACCTCATAAGGGGTCCAGCTGCCAAGCATAGGAGTTGAGCAGAGCAAAAATGACAGGGAAATAAAACATAAAATGAGAATCTATTTCGCACTTTTAACTGAGGCCAATAGATAGAAAAGAGCTTGCAGTTTTCCATGAACAACAACTGATGCAGGCAATAATGCTAATTATTATTATTATGTATGTTAATAATGATATTCAATTGAACTGCTTAAACAGAGGATGCCTCGGAGGGCAAAGATAGTCTAAGGAATTCCATTATGAAAATTTCATTTTCAGCCCATAGCCTCCTTAATATCACTAATTAATATTCTTTCCCTAAACAAATGCGGGTGGAGGAGGTTGGCAAAGTACAGAAGTAGCACTTATCACAGGAAACGGTAGAGAATAAACAGGATAAAAGGACTGAGGTCACATTTGTGATTATTATCGTAATAAAATGCTTCGGAGGAACGACTTGGCAAAGCTTACCTGCACCATATGCCTGGCAGACTAGCAGCTTCAAAACAATCGCAAAATTAAAACAAGTCTTAGGGTCAGTTGCTGAGTTTAAACATTAGGAAAACACTTATTTTCCTCCAGTAACCAACACATGGCAGGTTTTTGTATTCTGGGTTTTGGGGATTCGGTTTTGTTTTGTTTTTTCATTAGCTTGGTTTTGATTGTATGTTTGCTTTACATGCTGGCATTTAATTCTGTAACCAGGTTTCCTCTGTCTTGTTCACAATCTTTTTCAAATATACACCTGAGAGCAGCGGATTCCTGGTGCCGCTGAGGCAGTGACTCACAGGAGTTAAAAGTGTGAGCTCTAGAGTCTGTGGAATGTGTTCAACTTCTGATTCTGCTCTTTAACCAGCTATGGCCTTAATCGCTCCATGCTTCCATTTCCTCATCTATAAAATGGGTATGACAGGACTATCTAACCTTGTAGAATTTTAAAGGATAATTGTGCTGAGACAATTTAGCCTGGCACTTGACATACATTTCAGTAAGTGGTAGTTATTATGGAATTATTATGCTGCATCCCTTCCCCTGCCCACATTGACAAATAACCCACACTAAATCAGATCCTACACCTAGACCACTGGCTTTCAACAAATGTGTTTTTTGTATATGAAAGAATACATGATCCTGGCAACTATTCTGGTCACTTCAAATCCTCACCCAGCTTTTGGAACCATCTTACTTCCACTAGTGTAAATGATAAGTGGGTGGTCCTGTGTGTCAATCATATAAGTCCCATGTCACAGAGAGAGAGAGAGAGAGAGAGGGAGAGAGAGAGAGAGATTAAATCTCTGGAAAGGGACAAAGATGGAACAGAGCCTCAGACCATTAACCTAGAGAGCAGGGGTCAGAGGGAAGGGAAAATGTCAATCATTTCTTAAGTGTGCTCTGGGAAGAAAGTTTAAAATATAGATAGTAAAGGATTCTTTGGGGCTTTAGGGCAACAGTAAATGTTGCCATTCATTACTAATAATAACCATTATAATAACCACCACCCATCACGTGTTTACTATGTGCCAGGTATTTCTTTGGCTTAGTGCTTTAAATACATTATCTCATTTAATCGTCATGACAGTACTATCAGGTCTAGATTTATTATATTCTCTATCTTATTTTAAGGAAATTGGAAGCCTAGAGATGATGAGTAATTTTCCCAGATTATCCGCCTGGGTGTCTGGTTCTAAAAACCCAAGTATTTAACCACTATGCTATATCACCTCTCAAGTAAATAGAGACCTTTAGACAAACATCGTGAGAGTATCACCTATATTAGTTTCCTAGGACTTCTATAAAAACAAAGACCACAAATTAGGTGACTTGAACAACAGAAATGTATTGTTTCACAGTTCTAGAGGCTAGGAGTCTGAGATCAAAGTACTGGCAGGGTAGGTTCCTTTTTTTTTTTTTTTTTTTTTTTTTTTGAGACGGAGTCTCATTCTGTCACCCAGGCTGGAGTGCAATGGTGTGATCTCACTGCAACCTCCACCTCCCAGGTTCAAGCGATTCTCCTGCCTCAGCCTCCCAAGTAGCTGGGATTACAGGTGCGTGCCACCATGCCCGGCTAATTTTGTATTTTTAGTAGAGACATGGTTTCACCATGTTGGCCAGGCTGGTCTTGAGCTGACCTCAGGTGATCCGCCCGCCTTGGCCTCGCAAAGTGCTGAGATTACAGGCGCGAGCCACAGCGCCCGGCCGGATAGTTTCCTTCTGTGGGCTGTGAGAAAGAATCCGTCCCGTGCCTCTCTCATAGCTTTGGTGGTTTGTTGGCAATTTGGGGCATTTCTTGGCTTCTAGACCTCTGCCTTAATCTCCATGTGGAGTTCTTTTGTGTGCGTCTGTCTCCAAATTCCCTCTTTTAATGAAGACAACAATCATATTGAATTAGGGCCCCAGCCTACTCCAGTACAACCTCATCTTCACTAATTATATCCCCAAGAAACCTATTTTCAAAGAAGGTCACATTCTGAGGTACTGGGGGATAGAATTTCCACATACAAATTTGGGTAGATATAATTCAACCCATAACCTCACTCATAAGCATTTGTCTCTGCTGATTATTCCTTCATCTTCCAACCCAGGGGCACAGGGGAGGGGGCAGGGAGGAGCCCAGGATCTCCACACACGCACTTGCTGCAAGACATAACTCTTCATTTCAAACCCCACAGTGCCGTTTGTCCTACATGAGAAAGGAGAGTTGAAAAGGGATACAGTGCAAAAGATGTCAAACCCAAGATAAATGTTTCCTCAGATGCAATGACTTCCAGAGATTTGGAGTCGTAAGTTTTTGAAAAATGGACACATGAGGAACAAAGGTTGAGTTTTCTGAAATCATTGATAACCCCCAAGACAACACCCAGCTTTCTCCCATGATTATAAATGGGGGGATTTGAAATGGAACTTCTATTGTGTGGCTTTCAAAGCCCACGATGGCCCAGGAGTAGTGAATCATTTCTAAGGTAAAGCACTTCCTCTGAACTCAGGGGAAGCAGAAGTAGGCAGATAAGAAATGGTAATGCAGGAGGCAGATTTATGAACAACCTGAAATGTGAACATTTTTTTTCATATTCCATAAGATGGACCAGTCCTGTGGCCCATGTGGGAGTATAAGATTAAACACCAAAAATAAAATGTCTTAGCATTTCCCAAATTCACACAGGCAATGTCACATAGGCCCCTCCCCAGTAAACAATAGACATGATGTAAAATGCAGATTCTTTTGTCTGGCAATGAACATAAGCAGATGAACATTTGTTCATTCTTTCAACAATTGCTTCCTGAGTGACTGTCATATGCTGGGCTCTGTCCCAGGTGCTGAAAATAAATATCTCGAGTAGGGTTTACAGATTAGGTGGATACCAAACTCTGAATAATTAAATCATAGCTCTACAAAGGAATTCAGGGCAGTCATTTATGCAGACAGAAGAATGGAAAGGGAGATAGAGGAAAGTGCATCTTGTGTATTTCTATCAGGTGTTATCTAATGAATTCCTCACAGCATCCTTTCAAGATGGTGTCTTTCCTGCAAACCATTATTATTAATCTCATTGTTACCATTCTGTGGCAACCCTCAGTGACTGAATTTCTCCTCTTTTGGTCTAGCATATATACCACTAGGAACTATCATTTTGCTTTTGAGCTCCTCCTATCTAGCTGAAGACAAAGTTATTCAAGGAAGAAGCTAGCTCCCTGCCTTGGAGAAACAGTCTTGAAGAAACCATAGATGTATGAAGAGACTATTTCCATTAACAAAGGGAATAAGATCAGGAAATATTTTTGATCTTACTATATGACCTAAGCATATATCCCAGAGAAATTTTTTAAAAAGTACTCAAACAAATACTTGTACATGAATGATCCTGGTAGCTCTATTCACAATAGCCAAAAGATGGAAAGAGCTCAAATGTCCATAAATGGAAGACTGGATAAATACATTGTGGTATAATACATACATACAATTAACTATTACTTAGCCATAAGAAACTAATATATGCTACAATGGGGATGAACCTCAAAAGTATTATAAGTGTAAGAAGACATAAAAGGTGTATAATTCCATGTATATGAAATATCCAGAATAGGTATATCCACAAATGCAGAAAGCAGGTTGGTAGTACCCCTTTCTGGGGAAAGAGAAAAATGAAGAGTAACTGTTTAATGGGTACAGGTTTTTATTTGGGGGTGATGAAGCTATTTTGGAAAAAGGCAGAGGTGGTCATATAACACTGTGAAGGTACTAAATGCCACTAATTTGTTCACCTTAAAATGATCAATTTTGTCATGTGAATTTAACCTCTATAACACAGGGTACTTCAAAAAATAGACCTTCAATAAATGTTTGTAGAATGAATGAACAATAAACAAAGGAATGTATGTGGTCTTGGCAAACGGCTCATACTGAAAGGTGGTCTATGAAACGAGACTTTGTAAGTGGAGATGGTGTTGACCAGCAGAGTCTAAAATGATTCTTAGTGGCCTTGGCTCGGTTTTATTATTCTGTTCATGGAGAACAGGAATCAGAGCCTAGGGTTCTATCCAGGAGGAAAAAAATCTTCCTGTCTTGGAATTTTCAGAACCTAGTGTCTTCCTACATAGCAAAAGACATTTCTGGCTGCCAGGAGGGAGTAAAGCCAGTGGGAGTTAGTCCCATCTGCCTGCAGAGAGTCAGAAACATTATCTGTCTAAATTCTTCTTCATCAGAAAGTCTTATGGCTGGGGGCGCTTCCCAGCTCTCACTGTGACCTAGCCTTAGGACCACATTAAAGAGCACTACCATGCCGCAGAGAGGGGGTTGGAGGGAGGAGACTGGCTGCCAGACTGAAACTAAATTAAAAATAAAGCTCCCCTTATTAAATTCATAATTATTGTGAAGCTGTGAAATCTTATTTTAAACCTCTGGCTCCTTTCTTTGTCCAGAGTAGAGGCTGCCTGCTTCTGAATCCCTATTTTGCTTTATGGACAATTTCTTTTTAGCATTCTGAGCATTTAACCTTGAAAAATAGTGTTGTTTTGCTGCTGTATTTTCTGATTGTTAGTCTCCAGGCATCTCCATGGCATCTTTATAAATCTGCAGGAGCTGGTAAATATTTCTTGCCGACCAGCCGCTGAAATCTGAAAATACCAGCTCACTTTTTAGCTGTCAGGCAATTAATGTAATTCAAAGGAAATGAAAGGTGTGGGCAACTGGGACTGCTTTTAATAACAGGAGGGTTCCTGGCTCAGGCTTAGAAACACAAGAGAGAAGAATCAATAAAAGACTAACAGAAAGGGTAGAAGAGGGCGTGGAGTTCTCTAGAAACATTTTGTCAGCATCCTGGCAATGCTGCAAATCTGTGCCAAGAGAAACTGATAAATGCAGCTACTGATGATCGACTTGGAGATGAGTCAAACTTCGAGGCCTGGGCCAGGGCATCCACTGGCCTAAAGGGTGCCTTTGTGTAAAATGGGAAACGATACCCCATCTGGGTAGCTGAATTAGGAGAAAGTGCTCCCTGAGTATAGATGCAGCCCCACGCCAAGGCACACAGCTTGGTGGGCAGAGTGCTACTGGATTTCAGCCTTCTTCCTCCAAATTTATTCTTATGGCCAGCAGCCTTCGTGCAGCGTGCAAACTGAACAGCTGTGTGTAACATCGCTATCCAGATCAATTCCCACTTCCCTGTTTCTTGGATAATATTGGTTTTCCATTCTTCCCTGCTAAGTCAGGAATCAACTACATTGGCTTTGGACCCCAAAGGTGATTTAAGTGTAATTGGATTCATAGGAGGAGTTAGACTATGGAGAAGGAGGAGGAGCTCTCACATATGGCAATGCTATTTTGTTTCTCAAAGACAACAGGCTAGAAGAGGAAAAAGTCTTTCCTTCTAGTGAGGTATAGACTAGTCACTAAAGAAATACAATTTTCCAAGCATGGGAATGATAATTCTATCAATATCTGCCACCTTTCATATACTTCTTTTTTTTTAATATACATGGAGTCTCGCTCTGTTTCCCAGGCTGGAGTGCACTGGCACAATCTTGGCTCACTGCAACCTCTGCCTCCTGAGTTCAAGTGATTCTCCTGCCTCAGCCTCCCAAGTAGCTGGGATTACAGGCGTGCACCACCATACCCGGCTAATTTTTGTATTTTTAGTAGAGACGGGGTTTCACCATGTTAGCCAGGTTGGTCTCAAACTTCTGACCTTGGGTGATCCGCCTGCCTCAGCCTCCCAAAGTCCTGGGATTGAAGGCATGAGCCACCGTGCCCAGCTCATATACTTCTTACATGGCAGTCAAGGTTACACAATGCAT
The DNA here is from genome assembly GCF_000001405.40 of Homo sapiens. Lineage (NCBI taxonomy): Eukaryota > Metazoa > Chordata > Mammalia > Primates > Hominidae > Homo > Homo sapiens. The sequence continues at coordinate 16,694,540 of NC_000016.10, read as the reverse complement.
AGAGCACAAATCATATTCTACTGTATATAAATAATGCCTCTCCTGACTACATGGATTACAATGTCATTGCTGCCCCCGGAGTTGTGCAATATGGCAACCTTGAGTCCCATAGGCAGTGCATCGGGGGAGGCCTACAGAGTATATTAGGGTACATGGATGAACCTACTTCCCAAGAGAAAGCAAGATTTCAAAACCCAGTTGATCAAAATAAATACAAAATCATCAAATGTATTTTGATATATCAATAAATGTTTAGCAAACAAAAAGTCCATCTATAATCATATTTTTAAATCAAATATCCAGGAGTAAATCTAGCAAAATATGTGCAAGACTGCTTCATGGAAAACTCTAAGATATTTTTGATAAAAATGTTTAAACACCTAAGTAAATGAAGGGATAAACGAAGGTCCTGGACTGGGGGACTCCGACTCCATGCTGTAGTAGCACTGTAGTAATATTAATTGTCTGCAAACTGATCTACAGATTTAATACAACTCCAGTCAAATTCCCAGCCTGTGCTGTTTGTTTGTTTTGGAAATTAGAAGCCGATTTTTAAATTTATATGTAAAGGCAGAGTCAAGACTAGCCAAGACAATCTTAGAGAATGACAAAGTAGAAGGAAACGCTCTACCAGGTATTAAGACTTATTACAATGATAGACATTAAGAAAGTGGTACTGGTGGCTGGGCATGGTGGCTCATGCCTGTAATCCCAGCACTTTGGGAAGCCGAGGCAGGCAGATCACCTGAGGCCAGGAGTTCGAGACCAGCCTGGCCAACATGGTGAGACCCTGTCTCTACTAAAAATGCAAAAATTAGCTGGGCGTGGTGGCGTGCGCCTGTAATCCCAGCTACTCGGGAGGCTGAAGCAGGGGAATCACTTGAACCCAAAAGGCGGAGGTTGCAGTGAGCGGAGATCGTGCCACTGCACTCTAACCTGGGCAACAGGGCGAGATTCCGACTCAAAAAAAAGAAAGAAAGAAAAGAAAAAGAAAGTGGTGTTGGCTTGAAAACAAACAATGGAAGATAATTGAGTCCAGAAATAGACCTTTGCATCTATTAACATGTGATTTATGATAAAATGGCAGAACAGTGAAGAAATAAGTCTTTTCAATAAAATGGTGCTGGGTCAACTGGATAAAACATGGTAAAAAAACAAAACTTGAGCCCTTCTTCACATCATACCTAAAACCAAATCCCAAATGGTATGTAGGTTTAGATGCAGAAGGTAAAACAAGCTTCCAGATGATAACATCGGAGTGTATCTATCTTCATTACTTTAAGGAGGAAAAGATTTCTTGGACAAGCCACACAGAGTACTAATCATAAAGCAAACAACTGATAAACTTTTAATTTTAAAATTAAACTTTTGAAATTAAGAACACTTGTGTATTAAAAAAAAAAACCACACTATTACAAAAGTGAAAAGGGCCGGGCATGGTGACTCACGCCTGTAATCCCAGCTACTTGGGAGGCTGAAGCAAGAGTATTGTTTGAGGCCAGGAGTTTAAGGCCAGCCTAGGAAACATAGCAAGACCCCCATCTCTACAAAAATAAAAATTAAAAACTAGCCAGGTGCGGTGGCACATGCCTGTAGTCCCAGCTACTCAGGAGGCTGAGTTGGGAGGATTGCTTGAGCCCAGGAGTTCAAGGTTGCAGTAAGCTATAATCACACCACTGCATTCTGGCCTAGATGACAAAGCAAGACCCCCTTCTCTTATTTAAAAAAAAAAAAAAAGTGAAAAGGTAAGCCTTATAGTGGGAAGAGATAATTGCAACATGTAAATGAAAAGGGATTCATACCAGATTACAAAATAATTTCTAAATCAAAACAAAAAACTACAGAAAAATGAAAAAAAGACTTGAACAAACAACAGATACTTCACAAAACAAGGATACCTAAATTGCCAATAGGCAGATAAAAAGGTGTTCAACCTCATTAGTCTTTGGCAAATGCAAGATAAAATCATTATCAGATGCCACTACATACCCACTAGAATGGCTAAAATTTTAAAAAGACTAACACTATCAAGCACTGAGAGCAATGTAGAGGAACTAGAACTCCCATTATGCTTCTAGTGGGAGTTTAAATTAACACAAGCACTTTAGAAAACTGTTTAGCAGCATCTACTACATTCGAACATATGCTAATTCTATGACTCAGAAATTTATATTCTAGATGTATGTCCAACTATATTTACATATAGCCAAAAATTAAATATAAATTTTTTCATAGCAACACTTTAAATAATAGTCAAAACACTGGAAATAACATAAATATACAACAATAAAATGAATAAATAAATGGTAGTATAGTCACATGATGGAATAGTACACAGCAATGAAAACTGACTATGGCTACATGCAAATACCTGGATGAATCTCATAACCACGTACAAAATAAGCAAAGACAAGTTGATTCATATTTCTTGATTCCATTTATATTGTTTTTAAAGTGGTAAAAACTAGTATCTGTGTTAAAACTCAGCATAGAAGTTACTTTTTGAGAAAAGAGGACACTGGCATTTTTGAGATGCTGGTTATGCAAGCATGTTCACATTGTGATAATATATTGAGCCATATCCTTATAGCTTGTGCACTTTTCTTTAAATAGATTATATTTTACTTAAGTATTTTTTAAAAAGATTTTTAAACCCATTTCAAAGGCCATATCTGGGAAGCCTTCCCAGAACATGCAGATAGATTTAATTACTCCCTCATTGATATCTTGGACTTATTTAGGTTGTTATACTTCGAACAGTCTATTATAATTTGTGTTCTTCCATGCAGTTCTTCCCTGTTACACATGAAATTCTTGAGTTAAGAGCAATATGGATATTTATTGGGATGTTTGGTTGCCATTGTTTGTTTGCATTGTTTTTTGCCCACAGCATCATATGTTTTCCCATTCTAACAGAGCCCTAGTTTTTCTTTGAGAATTCATTCTTCTACATATAAGGTCTGTGTGATTTGAGTGAGGCTCCATTCCTAGTCACACAGGTAGAGGAGGTGACCCAGGTCCAAGACAATCACTGTGTATCACATGATATATTAGTCTATTCTCACACTGCTACAAATGAATACCTGAGACTAGCTAATTTATAAAGAAAAGAAGTTTAATTGGCTCACAGTTCTGCAGGCTGTACAGGAAGCATAGCAGCTTCTGCTTCTTGGGAAACCTCAGGAAACATTCAATCATGGCGGAAGGGGAAGGGGAAGCTGGTATGTCTTATGTGGCTAGATATAGAGAAAAGATGGGAAGGTGCCACACAATTTTAAATGACCAGATCTCATAATAACTCACTCACTCTCATGAGAGAAGCACCAAGGAGATGGTACTAAATGATTATGAAGGACCATCCCCATGATCCCATCCCCTTACACTTGGCCCCACCTCCAACATTGGGATTACAATTGAACATGAGATTTGGGTGGCGCACAGATCCAAACCATATCACATGACCTAAACTGATCTAATCAGACTGAAATTCATTCTGGATTAGAATCAATTTCAGGATTTTTGTGGAAAATACCAAGCCACAGATGCTCATCTTTTACTGAGCATGAAACTGAAAAATGAGGTTTCAGGAGCTACTGTCAGACACCTTGAAACCATGAGAAAGAGTCTTCCTGAAAATGGAGCCAACACTGAGGAAAAGTCAGGATAGAAAGCCCCGAAGGAAACCCATGCTTGTTTGGTCAACCGTGTTTCAGAAATGTGTGAGGTGGCCAGACGCAGTGGTTCACACCTGTAATCCCAGCACTTTGGGAGGCCAAGGCAGGCAGATCACTTGAGGCCAGGAGTTCGATACCAGCCTGACCAACAAGGCAAAACCCCATCTCTACTAAAAATACAAAAATCAGCCAGATGTGGTGGTAGGCACCTGTAGTCCCAGCTATTTGGGAGGCTGAGGTGGGAGGATTGCTTGAACCTGGGAGGCGGAGGTTGCAGTGAACTGAAACAATGCCACTGCACTCCAGCCTGGGTGACAGAGCAAGACTCTGTCTCAAAACAAAAACAAATGTGTGAGGCAATTTAGTAGAGAAAGGATTGTCTTTTCAAAAATGGTGATGAATTGGATAACTATTTGCAAAAAAAAAATAAAGAACTAAACCTCAACAAACACCTTATATAAAAATTAAACTCTAAGTGGATTAAAAAGCTAAATGTAAAATCTAAATCTATAAAATTTCTAGAAGAAAACATAGAATAAAATTTTTATGACCATGATTTAGGCAAAGATTTATTAGTTAGAACATGAAAAGCATCATCCATAAAAGAGAGAATGGATAAGTTGGACTTCATCAACATTTTACACTTCTGCTCCTCAAAAGACACTGTTAACATATTAAAAGGCAAGCCACGTTTCAAAAATGCAAGCCACTGGGATAAAAGTATTTGCAAAATACATATCTGATAAAGGATTTACATCTGGAATATATTTTTAAAACTCTCAAAGCCCAATAATGAAACAATAATACAATTTTTATCTAATGTTATGTTATTTTATGTCTCTGCAGCTCTATGTTCATTTACATGTTTTAGATTTTTTTTAACAAGTTCGACTTTTATTTTAGATTCAGGGGGTATATGTGCAAGTTTGTTACATGGGTATCTTGTTTAATGCTGAGGTTTAGGGTACAGCTGATCCCGTCACCAAGGTAGTAAGCATAGTACCCAATAGTTTTTCAACACTCACCTTCCTCCCTCCCCCACCCAGTAGTCCCCAGTGTTTATTGTTGCCATCTTTATGTCCATGACTACCCAATGTTTAGTTCTTACATATGAGTGAGAACATGTGGTATTTGGTCTTCTGTTCCTGCATTAATTTGCTTAGAGTAATGGCCTTCAGCCACATCCATGTTGTTGCAAAGGACATGATTTCATTCTTTTTTATGGCTGTGTAGGTTTTTTTAAAATAAGCCTCAGTTTCTAGTTATTGTTGTTTCTACTTGCTCAAACAACTTATGAGGGTTCTATCTAAGAATAACATTTATCCCCTGTTAGATTTTTCCTGCTTTCTCTTGCGGGCATTTAGTGGTATAAATTTCCCTCTACACGCTGCTTTTAATGTGTCCCAGAGATTCTGGTACATTGTGTCTTTGTTCTCATTGGTTTCAAAGAACATCTTTATTTCTGCCTTCATTTAGTTATTTACCCAGTAGTCATTCAGGAGCAGGTTGTTCAGTTTCCAGGTAGTTGTGCGGTTCTGAGTGAGTTTCTTAATCCTAAGTTCTAATTTGATTGCACTGTGTCTGAGAGATAGTTTGTGGTGATTTCTGTTCTTTTACATTTGCTGAGGAGTGCTTTACTTCCAATTATGTGGTCAATTTTAGAATAAGTGGGATGTGATACTGAGAAGGATGTATATTCTGTTGATTTGGGGTGGAGAGTTCTGGAGATGTCTATTAGGTCTGCTTGGTGCAGAGCTGAGTTAAAGTCCTGGATATCCTTGTTAACCTTCTGTCTCGTTGATGTGTCTAATAGTGACAGCGGGGTGTTAAAGTCTCCCATGACACCCTAACATCACAACTAAAAGAACTAGAGAAGCAAGAGCAAACAAATTCAAAAGCTAGCAGAAGGCAAGAAATAACTAAGATCAGAGCAGAACTGAAAGAGATAGAGACACAAAAAAACCCTTCAAAAAAATCAATGATTCCAGGAGCTGGTTTTTTGAAAAGATCAACAAAATTGATAGACCACTAGCAAGACTAATAAAGAAGAAAAGAGAGAAGAATCAAATAGACACAATAAAAAATGATAAAGGGGATATCACCACCGATCCCACAGAAATACAAATTACCATCAGAGAATACTATAAACACCCCCACGCAAATAAACTAGAAAATCTAGAAGAAATGGATAAATTCCTGGACACATACACCCTTCCAAGGCTAAACCAGGAAGAAGCTGAATATCTGAATAGACCAATAACAGGTTCTGAAATTGAGGCAATAATTAATAGCTTACCAACCAAAAACAGTCCAGGACCAGACAGATTCACAGCCAATTTCTACCAGAGGTACAAAGAGGAACTGGTACCATTCCTTCTGAAACTATTCCAATCAATAGAAAAAGAGGGAATCCTCCCTAACTCATTTTATGAAGCCAGCATCAACCTGATACCAAAGCCTGGCAGAGACACAACAAAAAAAAGAGAATTTTAGACCAATATCCCTGATGAACATTGATGCGAAAATCCTCAATAAAATACTGGCAAACCGAATCCAGCAGCACATCAAAAAGCTTATCCACCATGATCAAGTCGGCTTCAACCCTGGGACGCAAGGCTGGTTCAACATACGCAAATCAATAAACGTAATCCATCACATAAACAGAACCAATGACAAAAACCACATGATTATCTCAATAGATGCAGAAAAGGCCTTTGACAAAATTCAACAGCCCTTCATGCTAAAACCTCTCAATAAACTAGGTGTTGATGGGACATATCTCAAAATAATAAGAGCTATTTATGACAAACCCACAGCCAATATCATAATGAATGGGCAAAAACTGGAAGCATTCCCTTTGAAAACTGGCACAAGACAGGGATGCCCTCTCTCACCACTCCTATTCAACACAGTATTGGAAGTTCTGGCCAGGGCAATCAGGCAAGAGAAAGAAATAAAGGGTATTCAATTAGGAAAAGAGGAAGTCAAATTGACCCTGTTTGCAGATGACATGATTGTATATTTAAAAAACCCCATCGTCTCAGCCCAAAATCTCCTTAAGCTGATAAGCAACTTCAGCAAAATCTCAGGATACAAAGTCAATGTGCAAAAATCACAAGCATTCCTGTACACCAAGAACAGAAAGAGAGCCAAATCATGAGTGAACTCCCATTCACAATTGCTTCAAAGAGAATAAAATACCTAGGAATCCAACTTACAAGGGATGTGAAGGACCTCTTCAAGGAGAACTACAAACCACTGCTCAACGAAATAAAAGAGGACACAAACAAATGAAAGAACATTCCATGCTCATGGATAGGAAGAATCAATATCGTGAAAATGGCCATACTGCCCAAGGTAATTTATAGATTCAATGCCATCCCCATCAAGCTACAAATGACTTTCTTCATAGAAGTGGAAAAAACTACTTTAAAGTTCATATGGAACCAAAAAAGAGCCTTTAGAGCCAAGACAATCCTAAGCAAAAAGAACAAAGCTGAAGGCATCACACACCTGACTTTACACTACAAGGTTATAGTAACCAAAACATGGTACTGGTACCAAAACAGAGATATAGACCAATGGAACAGAACAGAGTCCTCAGAAATAACACCACACATCTATAACCATCTGATCTTTGACAAACCTGACAAAAACAAGAAATGGGGAAAGGATTCCCTATTTAATACATGGTTCTGGGAAAACTGGCTAGCCATGTTCGGAAAGCTGAAACTGGATCCCTTCCTTACGCCTTATACAAAAATTAATTCAAGATGGATTAAAGACTTAAATGTTAGACCTAAAACCATGAAAACCCTAGAAGAAAACCTAGACAATACCATTCAGGACATAGGCATGGGCAAGGACTTTATGACTAAAACACCAAAAGCAGTGGCAACAAAAGCCAAAATAGACAAATGGGATCTAATTAAAGAGCTTCTGCACAGCAAAAGAAACTACCATCAGAGTGAACAGACAACCTACAGAATGGGAGAAAATTTTTGCAATCTACCCATCTGACAAAGGGCTAATATCCAGAATCTACAAAGAACTCACACAAATTTACAAGAAAAAAACAAACAACCCTATCAAAAAGTAGGCAAAGGATATGAACAGACACTTCTCAAAGGAAAACATTTATGCAGCCAACAGACACATGAAAAAATGCTCATCTTCACTGGCCATCAGAGAAATGTAAATCAAAACCACAATGAAATACCATCTCATGCCAGTTAAAATGGTGATCATTAAAAAGTCAGGAAACAACAGATGCTGGAGAGGATGTGGAAAAATAGGAATGCTTTTACACTGTTGGTGGGAGTGCAAACTAGTTCAACCATTGTGGAAGACAGTGTGGCGATTCCTCAAGGATCTAGAACTAGAAATACCATTTGACCCAGCAATCCCATTACAGGGTATATACCCAAAGGACTATAAATCATGCTGCTATAAAGACACATGCACACGTATGTTTATTGCGGCACTACTCACAATAGCAAAGACTTGGAACCAACCCAAATGTCCATCAGTCTTGACTGGATTAAGAAAATGTGGCACATATACACCATGGAACACTTTGCAGCCATAAAAAAGGATGAGTTCATGTCCTTTGCAGGGACATGGATGAAGCTGGAAACCATCATTCTCAGCAAACTATCACAAAGACAGAAAACCAAACACTGCATGTTCTCACTCATAGGTGGGAACCAGACAATGAGAACACTTGGACACAGGGCGAGGAACATCACACACCGGGACCTGTCGGGGGGTGGGGGACTGGGGGAGGGATAGCATTAGGAGAAATACCTAATGTAAATGATGAGTTCATGGGTGCAGCAAACCAACATGGCACATATATACCTATGTATCAAACCTGCACATTGTGCACATGTACCCTAGAACTTAAAGTATAATAATAATTTTAAAAAAGAATAACATTTATCCTCAAAATAGGTAAGTACACAATTATTAAAATGGGAAAAGATTTGCATGGACACTTCCCCAAGGAGGACATACAGATAGCACATAAACACATAAGGATGACTGACATCATTAGTTATCAGGAAAATGTAACTTAAAAGTACCTTGAGATAGCACCGCACACCTATTAGAATAGCTAAAATAAACCTTAAAAGGTGAGTGAGAACAAGTACTGGTGAGAATAGGAAGTAACTTTTATTTTATTTTATTTTATTTTATTATTTTTAGTAGAGATGGGGTTTCACTGTTTTGACCAGGCTAGTCTCAAACTCCTGGCCACAGGTGATCCACCCACCTCTACCTCCCAAAGTGCTGGGATTACAGGGGTGAGCCACTGTGCCCAGCACTGGTACAACCCATTTTGGAAAACAAATTGGTAGTTTCTTATAAAATTAAATACAGATTTACTGTATCACTAAGCAACTTCCCTACTAGGTGTTTACCAGAACAATGAAAACTTACATTCACACACACACAAATAAAAAACATATGCACAAACGTTTCTAGTAGTTTTATTCACAGTTGCCAAAAATGGTAACAAATCAAATGTCCTGCAATTGGTTAATAGGTTTTAAAAATCACTGTACATCTGTACAATGGGCTACTCAGTGATAAAAAGAAATCAGAGGTGTGATTACACAGATGACTCCTACACAAAGGCAGGATAGTGAGTAACAGAGGCCAGACACATAATCTTATGAGTACATCTAGACTACTTAATTCCATTTAAAAGATATTCTGAAAAAGGCAAAACTATAGGTACTGAAAAGAGATGAGTGGTTGTCAGGGGCTGAGGGTAGCAGGAGAAGTTGACTACAAAGGGACAAGAAAAAAATTAGGGAGGGGGGATTGTGGAAATGTTCTATATCCCGATTATGTTGGTGAGTACACAACTGCACGTTTATCAAAACTCACTAAACTGTGTACGAAAAGGGTACCATACCCAAGTTACGTCTCAATAACCTTAACCAAAAAAGTAAACAAATAAAATATTTTGCTGAAGCCCTGAACCCAGCTACACCTGAAGTGAAATTTACTCTTGGAGTTTTCAGCTGTATAAGCTAATACATTCTCTCTTTCCTTAACCACTTGAGTTGGATTTTCTGTTGCTTGTCACTAAAAGAGACCCAACTGTTACACGGGCTCGGTTTACCCAATGTTATAGCCCAGCATCTAGATTTAATGAGGATAAATGGTCTCCCTACAGTTTAAACTTCTCAGAAACCAGAGTTTGTAGTTAGGAATAGCAACGGTATGATATATGCACACGTTATCCCTCCTCTTTGGCCCATGATACTCAATGATCACAACATCCTTCAGAGTAAATTCAGCTTCAGAGATCTTCTTATCAAGACAGTGTACTTTCTCTCATTACTACTTCACTGAAATCATTACTTCTCTCTTCCTGTAGCAGGTAGACTCTAAGATGTCCCCCGATCATCCTCTCCTCTTCACCTTCGTATCTTTGCATGGTTCCTTTTTTTTTTGGTATGGACAGGACCTGTGACCTACTTCTAATCAATAGAATATGTCAACAATGATGGGCTGTCACTTCTATAATTAAGTTATGTAAGATTGTAACTTCCAGCCGGGCACAGTGCCTCACGCTTGTAATCCCAGCACTTTGGGAGGCCAGGGCGGGTGGATCATGAGGTCAGGAGATGGAGACCATCCTGGCTAACACGATGAAACCCTGTCTCTACTAAAAATACAAAAATAAAATTAGCTGGGCGTGGTGGCGGGCCCCTGTATTCCCAGCTACTCGGGAGGCTGAGGCAGGAGAATGGCGTGAACCCAGGAAGTGGAGCTTGCACTCCACTTGCCGAGATTGGGCCACTGCACTCCAGCCTGGGCGACAGAGCAAGACTCCGTCTCCAGAGGAAAAAAAAAAAAAAAAAAAAAAAGATTGTAACTTCCATCTTGCTAGCAGACTCTATTGTCTTCTTGGCTTGCATGGTTTGATGAAGCAAGCTGACATACTAGAGAGGCCTCCATGCCAAGGAACTGAGGGTAGCCTCCAGACAACAGCCAGCTAAGAACTGAGGGCCTCAGTACAACAACCCTTGAGGAACTGAACCCTACTAACAGCCATGGGAACTTGGAAGGGAGTTCATCCCCAGTAGAACCTTCAAATTAAACCTCAGCCAGGTTGACAACCTTAATTGCAGCCTTATCCAAAGACTCTTGACACAGAACACCTAACTAAATTGTGCCTACATTTTTGATCATGGAAATTGTGAGACAACAAATGTGTTTTGTGTTAAGCTGATAAGTTTGGGTGTGATTATCGTGTAGCAACAGATAACTAATACACATCCCCATCATAAACAATTCCAAAAGATGTAGGTAACTATGCACCTCACAGAGAGAATGTTTCATGGTGTTTTCTTGACTGTACACTTATCTGACAATGATTAAATCTCACTCTGCTAACCTCCCTGCAGCCTCTAAGTTTTGCCCTAATTAACTGTGGACTGATTTTCTCAAATGAAAGCAAGTCATCTTCAAGCACATTTTCTTTTCTTTCTGCTTATTTTTTGATACCCTAATAAAGCAAGCTAATCTTGGAAGCTAAGTGGATAATTCTCATCTTATAGATTAAAATTAATTGAGTTGCAGGGAGAGATAAAAGCTTGTCCTTTTATTTGGATGTTCTGGCAAGTTGTACCAGGAATGCCATGGTAACCAAAACTACATTACAGAATTTTTTCTCTTAATCCCACTGTTTAGGTAGAAAAATTTCCATCTCTATTTTCCCTCTTTTAGAAAATTATAAATAAAAAGAAACTGAGTTAGCTGGGATGGAAAAGTAAAGCTGGTTTTTGCCTAATCATCCTCATTACTTCACACACCACAGCTCTTTCCTCTGGCTACTTCTTCACATTAAGCATTTGGCTAATGGCTTCTGTTTCATGTAGAAGAGCATTTATTGCTCTGGTATTTCCCTTTAACACTTCAGCTGGGGATATCATAGAGCAGAGATTTGCAACCACAACCCATGGGCCAAATCTGGCCCACCACATATTTTATAAATAAAATTTTATTAAAACACAGTCACATCCATTCATTTGCACGCTGTCTATGGCTGCTTTCAGACTGTAATGGGAGAGTTGAGTGGTGGTAACAGACAGATGGCCAACAAAACCCAGAATAATTTACTATCAGGCCTTTTGCAGAAAGCATTTGCTGACCCTTATCATTAAAAAAAAATTTGAGAAGCTTCAGAGAGTGAACATCCTTTGGCTACAGGGCATTGCAAGGAACATGAACAGGGATCAGGAGAAGTATATTCTAGGTCTAGCCCTATATAACCCTGCATTAGTCAGTTCTCTGTGCTTCCGTTTACCCATCAAAATTTCAGTAAGTGGACTAGATCAAGTTTCTTCTGGTTTTGAGTAATATATCAACTCAAACAACCTGGGGTATTTTGTTCATGTGAATAGCCCAACTATTTTCATCTGAAATCTTATTATTTTGTTTTTCTTTTCTTGGTTTACCGTGCTAGACAGCTTAAACATGATATTACCAACTTAGAGTCTAAATTCACCATGTCTTCAAAGAAAATAAGAACTAATTCCTATTTGATTGGGCTTTGAGACTAAATGGGACATTACCATTTAGTACAAATGAACCAGAAGAAAGGAGGGAGTTTGTGTAGAGTAACTTTAATTATCACAATCATCATCGTCACATATATTGCACGTAAGATGTTCCAGGTACTGTTCTAAGTGCTTTAAATATTTTAATTCCTTTATACTCTCACAAAAACCTTATGAAATAGGTACTATTATTAATCCCATTTTACAGATAGGGAAGCTGAGGTACAGAGATGTTAAGTAACTTATCCAAGGTCAAGAAGCTGGTAAGTAGCAGAGCCGGGATTCAAACCCCATGCAGTCTGGCTCCAGAGTCCTTTCTATTAACTGACATCCCATATAAAAGAAAGAACATTCCTAGCCTTGACAACATGTCTTCAGCAAAAGCAAAAGAAAGAGAACAGTTTCTCCATCTGCCCCACCCCTTCCAGTCTAAAACAGTATTCCCCAGGTCTATGGGCAGGAGAGCAGATGAGAAAGAGATCCAAGAGTTAGGAATTATGGCTGAACTAAAAGCAACTTCCCTTAGATTTTTGTTTCTTGAGCTCAGACTTCCATCTGCTGGGGGCAGTTTTCACATACCCCAGAGCTGTGTAGCCTACAGACGGTCTCAGTCAAGACACTCCATCAGCTGTCTATCCAGCAATTGTCCATCTATGTCCAAAATTTTGCTCAGTCTGTCTGAACCAAATGTAGAAACAGTCCCTGGACATTTAAAGGGTAGAAGTGGGGGAGGAAGCCTCTGAACTGTATTTCTGAAAGGCTGAATGGAGACAGTTTGAGGGCACACTCTTCCAAGTTGGGCCACGGGTCTATGCAAGCCAGAACCTCAGCAAAAATGAGAATTTACTGAAGAATACTGAGGAACACAAGAAACTCGGGTCCTGAGTTGAATTACAAGTTTTGGGGACTTTAGCGGCAGGAATGCATTCTTACAATATTCAGTGAGCATCTACTGTGTACTGAGCACTGTGTGAACACCGGAAATCCTGAGATGACTAATACTTTTATAATTCCCTAAATAGCAATGCTCCCTCACCCCTAAGCCTTTGCATAGCCTTGTCTCTCTTCCTGGAGTTCCTTCCCCTGACTCCTTCATCTGGCCAAATCCTCACAGTCATGACATTGCTGGGCCTTGCCTCCTCCAGGGGGGCCACGTTGAGGCTGGAATTGTGAACACTTGGTAGCCTTATGTTCTTTCATGAGTTATAGTTTCTCCTTAGCTCAGGCTTTTCAATGGTAAAATGGGAATCCTCACAGATGCATCTAAGGTCATTTGGAAGACTAAACGAAAGCATTATGTAAGGTTTTACCTCAGTGCCTCGTTCTTTAATTGCTCCCACATTGTCTTGAGATCTCCCTTCCAGACCAGGGGCTGTGTCTAATTCATTTCTGTATCCACAGATCCTATCACAGGGTCTGACGCTTAATACATGTTTGATGAAGGAAGAGAGGGAGAGATGCTACTCTTGACTCAAAGTTTTCCCAGTATAAAGGGAAAGACGGATATGTACACAAAGAATGAGAGCCCAGTATGAAAAATGCTATAAAAGAAACATTAAAAAGAGCCTCACAGAATCAAAGAAGAAAGGGCCATCGAGGCTGGTGATCTTGAGAAATACTTCGCAAAGGTAATAGCTGGTTGAGGACTAAGAGCTTGCCAAGCATAGCAGCAGGCAGATTAGAGCATTCTAGGCAAGGAGAATTGTACACTTCATTCCCAAGCACAAGGATTAAATTCTTACAGGGAATGGTAGGTTGGAACAAAAATAAGTGAAAGAGATAGAATAAGGAATATATATCCTTAACATAAAAATGAGTTACAAGGACAAAGATAATGTATGTAAATGTGTGACTATTTTACCTTTAGTAAATAACAGAGAAAAAAGTGGAGAACAAAAAGAGGCCATCAGTGATTTTTATATGTCTTAAATTAGCAGCAATCAGTACTATACAACCCATTTTCTATTTACTGCCTCAAGACGGCAGGAAATTTTTCAGGCTCTCCCTCTGCTTCATCTGCAATAAGAAGCTCACAAATTTGTTTTGCTTTGTTGCAAATAACATGTATGCTGAGAGGCATTTTTCCTCTCTATAACTGTACAGCCATCTAAATGGGTCTTTTCTGGTTTTACAACTTGAATATGTTAACATGCACCCCTCAGGGTCCCCCTTGTATCCCAGAAACAGCACGCTTGTAAAACCTTATTCATGTGATATCCTTAATAGCTGCTGACATTTATTAAGTGTTTAAGATGTGCCAGGCATAGTGCTAAGTGTCTTAGAACTCTTCCAGCCTGTAATCCCCGAGCCTCCCTGTGAAAATACAAGCATCTTAAGAATGCCCCCTACTCTGGCATTTACCTTCAGATGACCGATGAGGAAAGTGAGGATCAGAAACATGAACTTATCCTAGGCCAGCCCACTAGCAAGTGATGGAGGCAGCATTTGAACTCAGGGCTGCCTGATTCCAGACAAAAAGCCTCCAACCATAAAGCTATGCTGCCAATTCCACTTGGCCCGGGTGAGTAGCTCTGTCTCCAGTCTCCTCAATACTCAGATTCTAGAGCCTTAGCTGTCCAGGTGATAACTTCAGGCCGGTTAATACCTGGGGCACTCAGCACCTGTGACACACAGAGTTCAGGAACCTCCTCCTATAGACAGGGGTTTCAGTGCCAAAGCTCTCTCAGGCATCAGTTTGTTTTCCGCCTCCAAGGCTCATTGCAGAAATATCTGCTTCTGCTTCACTATCCTCCTTACCACTCTTTTCCACTCAAAACCTCCAATTTCCTCTTCTCCAATTACACCCAACAGAGGGGGCTCACATTTACCTAGAACCAAAATTCCTCTTCTTCCAAGAAAATGTTCAGTGCCTTTGTTATTTTACAACATGGACATTCATGTCTGCTGTGGCCTAAGAGAAGCAGAGTTGCAATAATCTCTGGGTGGTGTCATGTAGTTGACCCTCTTAATAACAGCATTTTTAAGCAGTTACTGTGTCTGAACTGTGCTTAGTGCTTTGTTGGCATTAGCACCTGGAACTCTCCCAACTACTGTAGGCTGTAGGTATTCTTAGAGCCCCATCTTACAGGTGAGGAAACTAAGGCACAGTCATACAGCAAGCAAAAGGCAAGGAGTGAAAAGTAGCAGAGTAATTGGAGAATACGAATAAAACAATGCTATTCTCCCCTGCAAGTCGGTGCTGAGCAGATAGCCTCTACTTGAGCAGGTCTTCAAAACATGAGCCAGCCTTGGGGAAACAGGCACTCTCGTTTATTGCTAGTGGAATCGCAAAAGGCTACTATCACCATGGAGGATAATTTGGCAACATCTATCAGAATTACATATGCATGAAAAGTTGACCCAGAAATTCCATTTCTAGAAATTTATCCTAAATATATGTAAAAGTATATGCACGTGCCTCATGCAAGTACAAGTTTATTCCTTACAATGTGTTTGGCCTAAGAAATAGTTGGAAAAAATCCAATGTCCCTCTATAGCAGATTGGTTAAATAAAGTATGGTACAACCTACAACAGGTAGTATGGGGCTGGAAATAAAGAATGAGGGAGCTCTCTATGTGCTGATTTGGAATAATCTCCAGGATATATTGGAAAATAAGAAACAAAAGCAAAAGACCCACGGCTCAAAACTGTGTGAAATGAGTCAAAATTAGTATTTGCTGATATATACAAAGAAACCCTGAACAGGTACATAAAAATGATCATGACGTCAGTGATTACTTCTGGGGACGGAGCACTGTAGGCCAAAAAAGACAGAGAAAGAAGGAAGGGTTTTCGCTGTATTTTTTTTTTTTTACTTTTTACTTTTTGAGCCATATGAATGTATTATCTATATTCCAAAAATATAGACCAGGTGCAGTGGCTCATGCCTTGTAATCCCAACACTTTAGGAGGCCAAGGCAGGAGGGTTGCTTCAGGCCAGGAGTTTGAGACCAGCCTGGGCAATAGAGCAAGACCCCATCTCTACAAAAAAAATTAAAAACTAGCCAGTCATGGTGGTATGTGTCTGTCGTCCTAGCTACTCAGGAGGCTGAGGTGGGAGAATTGCTTGAGCTCAAGAGTTCGAGGCTGCAGTAAGTGATAATTGCACCACTAAACTCCTGCCTGGATCACGAGCAAGACCCTGGCTCTTTTAAATGAATGAATGAATGAATGAATGAATGAATGAATGAATGAATGAAAATGTGTTCACAAAAGGAAGTCATCCTGAGTTTCACCAATTAAAAAAAGGTATCCAGAGATCAGATATTTCTACATCAGATTTTACACCTCTCCCAATCACAACACCCATTCTTAAGTGGAAAATTAGAGCTAGATCCTCTAAAAAATTTTAGCAAAGGGAACATGGTTAAATTCCTATTTTGTACATCAGATGCTTTTAAGTAGCTTTACAACCCCCTCCAAATGCTGATATTACTGAAATGTAAATGATTATGTTAATAGCAGCTGCATCTTAATAATTGATGATCTGTTTGCTTAACATTCAGTTATTACTTGATGTAAGAAGTCTCTAGTGCAAAATATTCTCTGCTAATGGCCCAAATAAAATTGATCACGTGAGGTGAATGGTTTGTTTTTCACTTTTCCTATTCAAACACCACCGTGTGTGCTGAGTTCTTTATCTGTAGATAAGAATATTTCAGAATATGTACCTGTGACAATGCTTTTGGCCCACAGATGAAAACTGTCTGTTAGGAAAATAATGCTTGCATCCTCAAATAAAATGGAAAAGCCTATCACCACTTAACTCATAAAAGTTTCAACCCTTAGGATTATTCACAGAATGGTCAAATCAGAAGTTGAGAAAACACCATTTAGATAAGAAATATGGAGAGAAGTTTCCACAGGCATCCAAAGGGATGGTTTATGCATTCCGAGATGCTATCCAGGTGTTTCAGTCCTGAAGTTCTTCTCTGAACCTCTGTCTCCCCACATACATCTGCAAGGCCACCCTTAGACCTGAGCAACAGGGGCTCCTGTCCTGGGCCACTCAGTCACCTGGGACCTGGACCTAGCCCTGACAAAACGCATTGATTACTCCAAACACCCACCCTAATACATAACACCATTCAGGCCCCAGAGAAGCACTGCCTCCCAGATCTTGATCTCTGTCCTCAAAACAAAAGGCAACTGTGCCCAAACACCTTGAAGGTTCATGTGCAGTACTACAGCCTAAAGGAGAGATGGGTACTGCTCTGGTGTGCAGGGGTCACAAAAGCACTTAGGAAAGAAAAGGACAAATTAACTTGTCAAATATTTCCTCTCAAATAGAGTGGGTAATAGATTCTTGCAGAGCAGAACATCATTTCCCCATAGTGCTGACTGCCTGTTTCTTGCTTCTCTTTGTGTTCTAATTTGTGGTTCTAGAATCAGTATGGCATTTTTGACAGTTGCATATTACGGCCACGGAAAATGTTGCAGTAGAAAGAATTCATGGCCAGGTGCGGTGGCTCACACCTGTAATCCCAGCAATTTGGGAGGCCGAGGCTGGAGGATTGTTTGAGCCCAGGAGTTCAAGAACAGTTTGGGCAACATGATGAAATTCCATCTCTACAAAAATGCAAAAATTAACCAGGCGTGGTGGTGCACACCTGTAGTCTCAGCTACTCAGGAGGCTAAGGCAGAAGGATTGATAGAGCTCAGAGGGTCAAGGCTGCAACGAGCCATGATTGTGCCACTGCACTTCAGCCTTGGCAACAGAATGATGCCCTGTTTCAAAAAAAATGTACTCTTAATTATGTATATTCATAAATCTGGCCATAATACTGAATGACTCTTGAAACTGACAACTGAACAGACATAGAAAACTAGAATTATGAATAGTTTTTAAATAAAAATATGTAATAAGATCTAAATCAAATTTCAAAAATTAAATTTCAACTTTCATTTTTTTAATTGTTTAATATTTAATTGTTAATACTAACATAATTTTCATTGTACCTTTTAATTGTAATAAATAATTTCAAATACCTAAAGAAAAAATAATGTTTTGAAAACATATACGAAAAATAACTTTAATTTTTCCATTTTATCTTTACTATGATATACTTTCTTGGTGAAAATATATCCAAATAGTTTTAATCCAATAATATTTTATTTTGTAATGACTAAATCATTGCTGTCAATAGAAGCAAATTGGTAGAACTCTTGATTATAAAAACATTATTGGCTGGGCACAGTGGCTCATGCCTGTAGTCCCAGCAACTTGGGAGGCCAAGGCGGGTGGATCACTGGAGGTCAGGAGTTTGAGACCAGCCTGGCCAACATGGCGAAATGCCGTATCTACTCAAAATACAAAAACTAGCCAGGCATGGTGGCTTGCACCTGTAATTCCAGCTACTCTGAAGGCTGAGGCAGGAGAATCACTTGAACGCAAGAGGCAGAGGTTGCAGTGAGCCGAGATCATGCCAGCCTGGGCGACAGAGTAAGACTCGGTCTCAAAAGCAACATTATTAGTGACTTTGATAAAATTAAAGCCAGAGAAAGAAATTTTATGAAATATCTAATTTGTGAATTATATGTGTCTTTTTTCTTTTATTCATCCAAACATTGCCAGCCAGTCCACCAACAGAATATCCAAAAATAACAGGGGTTTAATTGAGTGATGTTTGATATTGTGTCAACTTCCAGTAACATTAGAGCTAAACCTTAGCTCTATTGTATGTTTTAATCTTATCATTATGGAGTTTTGCCAAGGTAAGAGGATATGACATATATTGGTTTATGCTTAAATGTGTAAACATACAGTACACAAGCCTCCATTTTTTTTGTTGTTGTTGTTGTTTGTTTCTTTGTTTGTTTGTTTGAGATAGGGTCCCGCTCTGTCGTATAGGCTGGAGTGCAGTGGTGCAATTCGGCTCAGTGTAGCCTCAACCTCCCAGGCTCAAGAGATCTTCCCACCTCAACCTCCCAAGTAGCTGGGACCACGGGCATGTGCCACAACGCCCAGCTAATTTTGTTTATTTTTTGTAGAGCCAAGGTCTCACTTTGTTGCCCAGGCTGGTCTTGAACTCCTGGGCTCAAGCAATCCTCCCACCTCAACCTCCCAAAGTGCTGGGATTACGGGCATGAGACACCGTGCCTGGACAGATTGTACACTTTAAATGAGTAAATTGCATGGTATGTGAATTACATCGCAATGCTGTAGGAAAAAAGAGAGAGAGAGAAAGAAACAAACATCCGCAGGAGAAGCAAGGATAATCAAATGATTTTGTCTTTGTCGTAGGTCGGGGGGCCGCCCAACTTTGTCCTTGGCCTGATTCCCCGCTGGCTGTCTGCCTCCTGATGTCAGAACTCCCCACCCTGGGAAGAGGGGAAAAAACTCCACTCTAACCTCACCACAATTTAACAGAAAATTAAACTGAAATATGTGTGTGAGCATTAAACCTAGCCCAGCACATCATCTCCCGCAGATTAAAAAGAGCCAGCAAAAATGAAATATTGTTCTCTAAGCTAATATGTAATCTTCATAGACACCATCTTATTAAAGTTTGAGAAGCCATGCCTTGAGGGTAAGCCCACCTATCGATTTACGGGCCTGGCTGGAATTCCTGCTATTAGGTCTCTCATATTTGTTTTGCTCCCTGTCTTGATGCCAGCACTGTCTACCTCCACCTCCCCACTCCCAAAGCTGGCCCCCTGTAACTCTCTAAAATCTCCCTCCTTGGACTAGGGGTGGGGACCACTTTCCCTGCCAACGTCAGGCCTGTGCGTATTAACGGGGCCGTGCGCTTGGATTTGATGGAAGTGGCAGCTTAGACACATAAGCTCCTCATATACAGATGAATAATCACAGATAAAAACTACTTTCAAATATGATTAGGCTCTAACAGAGACAGACAGAGGCCAGAGGGAACGCAGCTCTCAAAGAGCAAGGAGCTACCGGCATCCGAAGCCCAGAATAGGAGATTAAGGCCTCTACAAGAACCCCTGGGACTTTCCTAGGGAAAATATTACAGTGATTCGCAGCATCCTCTGCTCCTCCTCTCTTTCCTCGGGACACCGTCTCCCCGTCCTGAAGCTTTGTGCTATTTCTTTCCGTGGGCTGTCATTTGCCTCTGGGAACAGGACAGCTCTTCCCGCTGTGACTTCTCGACTCTTTAATCCAGGCCGCCTGTCACGGAAACGCACGTGGAAATCCAGCAGGGTTTTTATTTACCATGCTTTCTTCTCACAGATGATAACATGTTTCTTTACTGACAGGCGTGCTTGTTGCCTGTGTCCCCACTGTATCCCAACCCCATGATAACAGCTAAAACACGAGAACTATGTACCAGCTACTTCAAGCCCTTTCAAAATATTAGCTTAGTAAACCTTCATCATAATGATATGAGCTACAAACTATCATTATCCCATTTTACAGATGGGGAAATTAAGCCACAGAGAGGGTAAGGAATTTGCCCAGTGCCACACAGCTAGGGAGTAGCAAAGTTGGGATTTGAACCCAGACATCCTGGCACTAGGAGGCCCAATCCTTAACCATGAAGCCATAGAGTCTCTCAATAATGACTATGTCTCGTATGTCAACTACATGTTAGGCCCTGTTCTGAGAGATTTGTTGCATTAACACATTGAATCCTCTCAAAAAGTTGATGAGGTAGATATATTTATTATCCCCATTTCACAGATGAGGATACTGAGGCTCCCCCAGAAGAGCAGGAATTTTGTATTGTCTGCCTCTATTCTGTTTCTGGACTGATGAATAGCAGTTCCTTAAATACCAGAGTGAATGTCCTCCCATCAACCACTACCCTTTTCCCAGGAGCTTCTCAGGACATTTATTTATAGCTAACCTATTTTGGGAAAAGATTTGAGGCATGTAGGGTTCTAATTCTGGCTCTGTCACTTATGAGCTGTGTGACTTTGGGCAAGTCACTCAACCTCTCTGGGCCTCACTTTGCTCAGTTTAGACCAGGGATAATAATAAAGCCCACATCAAGGAGCTGGAGTGAGGATTCAATGAGATAGAGCAGGTAAGGTGTTTAGCATCTGTGTGGCACAGAACAGGTATAAATGCTGGCTGCCTTTACTGTTACTACTGTCAGAGCTATTGTTTACCACTGCTACAGGCCAAAATGAGTTTTAAAGGGGTGAAAAAATACAATAAGGGGAAATAAGGGAACTAAGTTCTTGAAATTCTTTCTGAACTGGTGCTAGGGTTCCCATCCTCCTGGTTTTCCTACCTAACCAGCTGCCCCTTCTGTGTCCCCTAATGCCTTTCCCAATCCTAGGTCTCCTCTATCTAAGGGATCTTATCCCCTCTTGTGATTTAATCAGCTATAGACCAATAACTCTCAACTATCTCCAGGCTCGTACCTCCTACACCTGCCTACTCCATGTCACTGAGATGTCTAACAGGCATCTCACACAGGGCATGTATCCATCATAATACAGTTGTTGAGGCTTCTTTCATAAACCGAGGCCTCTGAGGGTCTTCCCCCAACATGGCTCCCACCCACAGATTATTCAGCCTCGAGACCTTGGAGTCATCCTCAACTCCTCTCTTTCCTTCCCATCCACATATAATTCAAACCCTGGGAGTTCTACCTTCAAATGTATATGCCAGCTGCAACCACTTCTCACCCCTTCTGCTGACACCACATCATTTCTTGCATCAGATGACTTTGGAAGTCCCCTTGCTGGTCTCCCTCTTCCACTGTGACCACCCCATTGCCAACCTACTCCTGCCACAGTAGCAGGCAGAATCATGTTAAAATAGAAACCATCTTACCTCCTTTCCATTCCAAAGACTGTCATGGTTTCCCCCCACACTTAGGATAAAATCCTAGCTCCTCCTTAGGACCTACAAAGCCCAACATGCCCTGGGTCTGTCATCTCTGACCATTCTCCTCCTCTGTCCAGCAACCGAGATCTTCTTGCTGTCTCTGAAGCAAGCCACAGGGACTGCACTGTCCCCTCCCTCTGCCTGCAACACCCTTCCCCACGCTTTCTTCCTGGTGGCTTCATCTCATCATTCTTCTCTTGCTCAATTGTACTTTCTTGGGGAAGATGATTCTTACATGAATCAATTATTATTAGTATTAGTATCATTTGAAACAAAGTCTTACCCTGTCACCCAGGCTGGAGTACAGCAGCACGATCTTGGATCACTGCAACCTCCACCACCTGGGCTTGAGCGATCCTTCTGCCTCAGCCTCCTGAGTAGCTGGAACCACAGGTGTGCACCACCATGCCTACCTAATTTTTTTTATTTTTAGTAAAGACGGGTTTCACCATGTTGCCCAGGCTGGTCATGAATCAATTATTACAATGGGGCTTGAAACATGATTTTTATTTTATTATTTTTTTTTAGAGACAGGGTCTCTCTCTGTTGCCCAAGCCAGAATGCAGTAGCACGATCACAGCTCACTGCAGCCTCAGCCTCCCCAGGTTCAAGCGATCCTCCCTCCTCAGCCTCCCAAATAGCTGGGACTATAGGTGTGTGCTACTATGCCTGGATAATATTTTTTATTAGTAGTAGTAATGAGGGTCTCACTATGTTTCCTAGGCTGGTCTTGAACTTCTAGGATCAAGTGATCCATCCACTTCAGTCTCCCAAAGTGCTGGGATTACAGGCACGAGCCACCACTCCTGGCCATGATTTTTAATTCTACCGATCCTTTTACAAGGATTAGTTAGCTCCCTAACTAAGAGCTTTCCTCCTTCACTTCTCCCTTTCTCTTTAGACACACTATTGACTCATGGGTTTTTATTTCTCCAGTGTGCGACATTCAGTTACATCCTTTTTACCAATGCTCAAATTGCCCCTAATTTAACCTGACCATTCTATTTAAAAGAGCAGCCCCTAGGCTTCAACTCAGTCATTCAGCATTCCAGCACCCAGTTTAATTATTTTTCATGGAACACATCATCATGTGTGAAATGATATTATTCATTTACTTCTTTATTGTCTGTCTCTAGTCAAATATTCATTCATTTATAGTAAGCTTCATGTGGCCAAAGATATTGTCAGTCTCACTCACTGTGATATTCCCAGAATCCAGAATCATGCCTGTTACAGAGCAGGAATTCAATAAATATGAAGCAAAATTAAGATGAAACCAGGAATAATGCCCCTAGATCAGGGACTGGCCAACTCCATCCCACAGCCCCAATCTGGCTCGCCTCCTATTGTAATTTTTTTTTTTTTTTTTGAGATGAAGTCTCGCTCTGTCATCCAGACTGGGATGCAGTGGTGTGACCTAAGTTCACTGCAACCTCCATCTCCTGGATTCAAGCGATTCTCCTGCCTCCGCCTTCTGAATAGTTGGGATTACAGGTGCATGCTACCATGCCCGGCTAATTTTTGTATTGTTAGTAGAGATGGGGTTTCACCATGTTGGCCAGGCTGGTCTTGAACTCCTGACCTCAACTGATCTGCCCTCCTCAGCCTCCCAAAGTGCTGGGATTACAGGCATGAGCCACTGCACCTGGCCTGTTGTAAATAAATTTTTATTGGAACAAAGCTCTGTCCATTCACTTAGGTATTTCCCCTGGCTGCTTTCACTACCACAACCAACTTGAATAATTCCGTGAGAGAATGTATGGCCCACAAAGCTAAAAATATTTACTATCTGGCCATTTCCAGAAAAAGCTTGCCAATTCCTGGTCTAGATCATTCCGAGTGCTAAATAGGGCTGACCCTTCAGGATCCTATTAGCATAGGGTCCCATTGGAGCCATTCAACAAGTCATTATTCATACATTTATTCAACAGATATTTATTGAGCACCTACTATGTGCTGGGCACTGTGCTAGGTGTTTTGGATATTTACAGGGATGAACAAAATTAGGCAGGCTTCTTGCCCTTATGGAGCTCAGCTTCTAGGGAGGGTAGGGGAGACTAATATAATAACCACATTAAAAATGAAAAATTTCCGTTGTGATGAGCCCTTACAAAAAGAAACTTATGTGGTACTTTGAGAACATTTGACAGCAGTATTTTGCCCAAACTGGGATGGGGAGGACAGTCTAGGAAGACACCCTTCAGGATAGGACCCCCTAGTGAATACCAGAAGTGTGAGAAGGGGTTAGCCGGGTGAGGCAGAGAGTGATGTGCTCCAGGCAAGGATAGGACAGAGGGAGCACGGTGCACTCCATGCAGTGAAAGATGGCCAGCATGGCTGACCTGCAACAGGAAAGAGGAGAATGTCCAAGATGACTCCAGGGAGGTGGCCAGGGCCACAGCATGCAGGGCCTTGAGAGCACCTAAGAGCAGTTGCATAATGTCCTGCTCTCAGGGCAGCTGATGCTTGAGTGGGGGCTCAAATGATGAGAAAGAGCCACCCAAAGGAAGACCACAGAGAGGCGTGTTCCAGACAGAGGGAGAAGCCTGCATATTATGCACTAATTCCAGAGGGGAAATGTACCTTTGCAATGGAGAGGTCTGGTGTTATGTCCCTAGCCAAGGGCTCAAACTTGGCATCACCAAGTGGGGAGCAAAGAAATACATGTTTCCTGGCATGATGCAATGTGAAAGATATGGCATCACCTTGAAGGATTCTTGCCAGAAATGTTTCACCCCAATCAAATCAAGCCTCTGAAACTAATCTTCAGGACAGAAGAAATATAGGGGAGAGAGGAACAAGTTCAATAACACCCAGAGGAAACTTCGGACAAATCCAAATGTGGGACATTCTACAAGACATCTGGCTGAGATTTTTCAAAAGTCAATGCCACATGCTGCAACTTTAAAAGGAAGGATTTTAAGCCAATTTCATTTAAAAGGGGAAGTGAGTTTGGTGTTATCCTGTGGACCAAATCTGGCCCACTACCTGTTTTTGTAAATAATGTTTTATTGGAATACAGCCATGTTCACTTGTTTACTTACTGTCCATGGCTGCTTTTGTATGAAAAGAGCAGAGTTAAGTGACTGCAACAGAGATGATATGGCCTGCAAAGCCAAAAATATTTGCTACCCGGCCCTTTCTAGAAAATGATTACCAAACTTTGTTATAGATTTAGACTAAAAACACCTAGTGACCAAATGCAGTGTGTAAGCCTTGATTATATCTGGGTTCAAGAAGAAAGCTATAAAAATATTTTTGGGCCAATGAGGAAAGCATGAATATGGACTATATATTAAATAATATCAGGCTCTATTGTTCATTTTCTCAGGTGTGAAATGGTATTATGATTATGTAGTAGAAGTTCCTGTTCTTAGACAACGCACACTATTATTTAAGAGTGAAGTACCATGTAATCTACTTTCAGGTGGTTATATACATACACATGCATGCACACATGGCAGGTGGCATCCTCAGTTACCCCTCAACTCATGCCAATATTTCCAAAATATGACATGCACACTGCTGGTACTTCCTGGGCTGTTTTTAGGTGGCAGAAGACAGGTTTTATTTTATTTTTATTTTTTTCATTTACTAAAACCAAAGAAAACTTTAATATTAGGCTGGGCACGATGGCTCACACCTGTAATCCCAGTACTTTGAGAGGCCAAAGCAGGCAGATCATTTGAGGTCAGGTGTTCGAGACTAGCCTGGCCAACATGGTGAAACCCCGTCTCTACTAAAAACACGAAAAAAATAGCCAGGCATGGTGGCACACACCTGTAATCCCAGCACTTTAGGAGGCCGAGGCAGGCGGATCATGAGGTCAGGAGTTCAAGACCAGTCTGGCCAACATAGTGAAACCCCATCTCTACTAAAAATACAAAAAATTAGCCAGGTGTGGTGGTGTGGGACTGTAATCCCAGCTACTCGGGAGGCTGAGGCAGGAGAATCGCGTGAACCCAGAAGGCAGAGGTTGTAGCGAGCCAAGATCACACTATTGCACTTCAGCCCAGGCAACAGTGTGAGACTCCCTCTCAAAAAAAAAAAAAAAAACAAAAACAAAAACAAAAAAAAAACCTTTATTATTAATTGCTAAAAGAGTAGATTTTAAATGTCTTCAACCCTCCAAAACTAAGTATGTGAGGTAATGAATTTTTTTAACTTTTACTTTAAATTCAGGGGTATAAGTGCAGGTTTGTTACATAGGTAAACTTGTGTCACGGGTGTTTGACTATTTCATCACCCAGTACCTAGTACTCATTAGTTATTTCTCCTGATCCTCTCCCTCCTCCCACCCTCCACCCTCTGAAAGGGTGTGTTGTTCCCTTCTATGTGTCCATGTGTTCTCATCATTTAGCTCCCACGTATAAATGAGAACATGTGACAGCTTTCATTTTAATAGTTATGTATTTATTCTTCTGATTAGTTTCCATTTCTGATAAGTGATACTGGCTTCCCACTTATTGTAGGAATATAAGGTCTTCATTTCAAATAAATATATTTAAGTTTAAAGCAATATGAGCCAACTAAAAAGGAAATATGAAGCAGACACTATTATAAGGCAAGGCAACAACCAAGAAAGGCTGAATTTGGATAACCACTTTGCCTTCAAAGCATTGATCATAGTCCATGATTACTTTGTTTTTTGTTTTTTTGTTTCTTAGATACAGGATCTCACTCTGTCACCCAGGCTGGAGTGCAGTGGCGTAATCATAGTTCACTGCAGCCTCAACCTCCTGGGCTCAAGCTATTTTCCCACCCCAGCCTCCCAAATAGCTGGGACTTCAGGGATATGCCACCACCATGCCTGGCTAATTTTTTCTGTTAGGTAGAGACGGGGTCTCTCTATGTTTCCCAGGCTGGTCTCAAACTCCTGGCCTTGAGCCATCCTCCCACCTCCACCTCCCAAAGTGCTGGGATTACAAGCACGAGCCATCGCACCCAGCCAAAGATTACCTTGTTTTAATAAACAAAAACAACACCTGTTTACTGTCCATTCTTCTCTCATTGGATTGCAAGCTAAACAGGCTCCTTGATGCTCTCATGTGATGTCACATACCAGCATAGTGCCCAGCATACAACAGGCAATCAATACATGTCTGAAGGCAGAGTGATGAAAGTACCATCCCCAACCAGAATCCCTACCATCTGACCAAGAAACAACTATTTGCAGGTAGGGTAAGAATTACTCATTTCCCTCCAATCACAGGATACATAATGACAGTTGATTCCTGAAACACAAGATAATCCTAATAACTATGCACATTTTAACATTTCTAAATAAAAGTTCAAGCTGGCTGGGTAGGGCGGCTCATGCCTGTAATCCTAGCATTTTGGGAGGCTGATCGCTTGAGCTCAGGAGTTCAAGACCAGCCTGGACAACATGGTGAAGCTTCGTCTTTATTAAAAATACAAAAAACTTAGCAGGATATGGTGGCACATGCCCGTAGTACCAGCTACTCAGGAGGCTGAGGTGGGAGGATCGCTTCAGCCTGGGAGGCTGAGGTTGTGATGAGTTGAGATTGCGCCACCGCACTCCAGCCTGGGTGACGGAGTTAGACCCTATCTCCAAAAAAAAAAAAAAAAAAAAAAATCTGACAAATTACTGAATAAGACATATGAGGACTCTGTGAGACTTTCTACATAGAGACGTTTGCAGATCCAAAAAAAGCATTTTGTCTAAGGCTACCTGGCTGCATTTCTGAATGAGAGGTTACCATTCCTGCATTTTTCTTTCAGGACATATAATCTCTGCATATATAAAGGACCCATCCCTGGCCCCATGCTCCTGGGGCAGCCAAGATTCCAGGGGGGAGCTAAAACACATCTACTGCTGACTTCGAGGTCAAACTCTCCCAGGTAAATGCAGACCACTAGGAAAGATGAGGACCACTAGGAAATGCCTCTGGATTTCATTTTTTTCTGGCATCATCATGAGCCTAGAGATCCAGACTGCTTCCGACACTCCATTCTTTTATGTTTAGTTTCCTCTTCTATTTTCTTTACCAATGCAAACTTTTGAAGAAGATATTGCTTTGGGGAGGTTTATAAGAGCTGCAAAGATCTCTATTAACCATCCTTTAACAGTGAGATAAAGACCAGCTGTTTCACTAATTGCCCTTAACTGCTTGGGCTTGGTTATTAATGAATGCCCTCGCCTTGAGTTCAAACAGCTTAATTAGCTAAAGTTAAGTGTTCCCAATAAATTTACTAACCTATGATAAGCTTTCCTTTAATAGGAAATGTGCAGTTCTTAATTAAATAGAATAATTTACAACTCCACGTCTATTATAAGTAATGGTTGCCCAGTTACCATGTTACCTAATTAGGTGATAGTGAAGTTTCTCCAAAGGGGAACGGAGGGTTACAGTTGAACATGCCCTTGGACAAACCAATTTGTTAGCAGCTCAACAGTAGCGGAGCTATGGGCAGCCTCTGGCACTGGCATCTGGGTTGGAATGTCCTCTCTGCCATGCAGAAGGGTCCGGCTGCCTCATCTGTAAAATGGAAACTAACTCCC
This sequence comes from Homo sapiens, assembly GCF_000001405.40. Taxonomy (NCBI): domain Eukaryota; kingdom Metazoa; phylum Chordata; class Mammalia; order Primates; family Hominidae; genus Homo; species Homo sapiens. The sequence goes on along the minus strand of NC_000016.10, from coordinate 16,665,961 downwards.
TGAGGGGCCTCTCGGGAGTAGATTGGATAGCATTTGCAATCATTTAAATGAAGAATAAAAAGACAAGTTAATACCCCCATTTAATACCTCTAGGGGCTAGGCCTGGTATATCATGCCTGTAATCCCAGCACTTTGGAAGGCTGAGGCAGGAGGATCACTCGAAGCCAGGAGTTTCAGCCTGCACAACATAGTGAAACCACACGTCTAGAAAAAAAAAGAATTATCTAGCAGTGGTGGTGCACACCTGTAGTCCTAGCTACTCGGGAGGCTGAGGCAGGAGGATTGCTTGATACCACGAGATCAAGGTTGCAGTGAGCTATGATTGCACCACTGTACTCCAGCCTGGGGACAGAGACAGACCCTGCCTCTTATACACACACACACACACACACACACACACACACTCTCTCTCTCTCTCTCTCTCTCTCACTCACACACAACTCTAGGGTCACATTTCTTTTATTTTATCTTATTTTTTTAGAGACAGGGTCTTACTCTGTCACTCAGGCTGAAGTGCAGTGGCATGATCTCAGCTCACTGCAGCCTCAAACTCCCAGAGTCAAGCCATCCTCCACCTCAGCCCCCCAAGTAGCTGGGACTACAGGTGTGCGCCACCGCGCCCAGCTAATTTTTTGTATTTTCTTAGAGACGGGGTTTTGCCATGTTGCCCAGGCTGGTCTCGAACTCCTGAGTCCAGGCAATTAACCTGCCTCAGCCTCCCAAAGTGCTGGGATACAGGTGTGATCCACCACGCCCGGCGGGTCACATTTATATAGGCAAAATTATTCCAAGAGGAGATTAGTCTGGATAACACACACAAAAACAAACTGCTCCAGCATAATCTGGAGAAGGCATCCAGCAAACCCAGATCGGGGAACTTTCTACAGGATACCTGGCCAGCACATCTCGACCATCAAAGCCATAAAACGTAGGCCGGGCGCGGTGGCTCATGCCTGTAATCCCAGCACTTTGGGAGGCCAAAGCAGGCAGATCACCTGAGGTCAGGAGTTCAAGACTAGCCTGGCCAACATGGCAAAACCCTGTCTCTACTAAAAAAATATATAAAAATTAGCCATGCATGGTGATGCATGCCTGTAATCCCAGCTACTCAGGAGGCCAAGGCAGGAGAATTGCTTGAACCCGGGAGGCGGAGGTTGCAGCGAGCCGAGATCACACCACTGCACTCCAGCCTGGGTGACAGAACAAGACACCATCTCAAAAAAAAAAAAAGCTATAAAAAATAATGAAAAACTGTCACAGACAAGAAATGACTGAGGATTCATGCCAACAAAATGCAGTGTGGCACCCTGGATTGGATCGTAAAACAGAAACAGAACATGATTGGAAAAGTGAAAGCCATATAAACTCTGGAGGTTAGTTACAAGCAATGCGCCAGTTCCCATCTCTGAGTTTAGACAAAAGTACCATGGCGATGTAAGGTGTTAGCAGAGGGGAAACTGTGGTGGGGGTCAGGGGAGGATTTAGCAGTCAGGTTAAGCAGGTCATACTTTGAATTTTGCCATGGTTGAGGACTACATTTAATCCAGGCAGAGTGATTTCAATAGTTCATCTGAAAGGATATCAGCTATTAATGAGGTTGGTTATTATTATCTGTCTAATGGATAAAACCTTATTAGACCTAGAAGAATAAAAAATTATTTGCTCAAAGTCACATCACTGGCCACGTGCAGTGGCTCACATCTGTAATCCCAGCACTTTGGGAGGCTAAGACAGGAGGATCACCTGAGCCCATGAATTCAAGACCAGCCTGGTCAACATGGACCCAGTCACTACAAAAAATACAAAAAAAAAAAAAAAAATAGCCGGGTGTGTTGGTGCATGCCTGTAGTCCCAGTTGCTCAAGAGGCTGAGGTGGGAGGATCAATTGAGCCCAGGAGGTTGAGACTGCAGTGAGCTGTGATCGCACCACTGCACTCCATCCTGAGAGACAGAGTGAGACCCTGTCTCAAAAAAAATAAATAAATAAATAAAATCACATCACTATTATAAGTATCATTTGCATATCATAATAAATTCCACCATCACATATTTGGGCAGAGCCTTGAACATTTTCAAAAAAGCCTTCACATCATCCAGTGAAATTATCACACAAGCTGTATTAGTCCATTTTCATACTGCTATAAAGAACGGCCCGAGACTGGGTAATTTATAAAGGAAAGAGGTTTAATTGACTCACAGTTCAGCATGGCTGGGGAGGCCTCAGGAAACTTACAATCATGACGGAAAGCAAAAAGGAAGCAAAGCACCTTCTTCACAAGGTGGCAGGAAGAAGTCCTGAGCGAAGAGGGGAAAAGAGCCCCTTATAAAGCCATCAGATCTCGTGAGAACTCACTCACTATCATGAGAACAGCAAGGAGGAAACCACCCCCATGATTCAATAACCTCCACCTGGTCTCTCCCTTGATCTGTGGGGATTATGGGGATTACAATTCAAGATGAGATTTGATTTAGGTGGGGACACAAAGCCTAACCATATTACAAGCCCTGGAACAACAATAAGATGGAATTTTGATCTCCATTTATCTGATGAAGCCCAGGTAATTTGGGTTTTTTTCTTCTTCTCTTTTGGCTTAATCCATTCTCCCTCCACATCAGACCACCCTTCCTCTTTCTGTTAATCCTCATTGACAATTTAGAATACATCCTTCCAAATTTGTCTCTATACTCATAAATCACACACAAATATATGTATTCACACACAGTATATAATACATAGGCATTTGTCATTTTATGCACGCTTCCGCAGCTCCCATTTCCTCATTCTACAATATGCCATGGAAATCCCTCCAAGGCATCTGGTATTGCTCTAATTCATCGTTTTTTAATAGCTGCAGAAAATTCCATGGTGTGGATGTCCTGTAATTTGTTCAATCATTAATGGGCATTCACTCGTTTCTCCCTCTTTGGCTACTACAAACAGTGCTGCAATAAACATCCTTTCTACAAACATCCTTATGTACCATGGCCTTTATGTCTACGAGATAGAGTCCCAGGATGGGGATTACGGGGTCAAAGAGTATATGTATTTCTCTTTAACTATTTTTAAAAGAGCAAAGCAAGAGAACAGGGTAGTAGATACCTCTAGAGAAAGGCGGAGAAGGCAGAGAAAGTGGACTAGAGAGAAGCTTGCAGGTGGCTTCAACAGTATTGGTGACGACCACATTCTTAGGTTGGAAATGGGTTCATTTTATCATTATTCTATATAATTTATGTGTCTTATTACCTATATTATTTCCTATATATCCAGTCCTATATAATTTCCAAAAATCTATATATTTTATGTTAATAAATGTGGCCAAAACACAGCTGAAATAATTCTCATTCCCATCAACAATATAGGTGAGATTGGTCTTTTCCATTTTTTTTCCCAGCCTGAGAGGGATATCTCACTGTTACTTTAATTTACATATCTCTGACACTGGTGAGTTTGAACATCTTTAATAAATGTATCATTCATTTCAATGAAATAAGTGACATTTTAAATCATCTACAAACCCTTTCCCATTAAGTAAAAAGGGGAAGGCTGATCTTCACTCCTTTTCATCTTACCCCTCTAAAAGATAAAGCTCAGAGTTTTTAAATGCCACAACAACAAAAAATCAACATGAATTGGTTCTCTTTTATCTAAAGTTCAAGATGCCATGACGTCAAAATGCATGATGACATGCGCTCTCCTCAGGGAAATCCCCAACTGGAACCTCAAATCCCCTAAAACTCTGGGCACAAATGTTTCTTTCCTATGAGAATCAATGAGACTAGCAGGTCATGGCCGTTGGCAAGGTGACTGTGTCTTTTTCAGAATAAGAGGCTACCTGGACGCATTGTGGGAGAACATGCAACCTTGTCCCTATCTAGCCTGGCTGGTCTCCTACCCTCCCGTTTTCTCTTCCCTCCCTTACAGGTCCTTACCCTGACCTGTAAGTTGACATTTTGACAAAACTAGAATCAAGCTCAACTCCTGTCTCTGCTCCTTCCTTTTCTCACTTTACAGCCCACCACAGACATGTCTTTGGAAAAATAGCCAGAGATCTAATTTGTTTTTAATAGCCACATAACATCACATAGTATAGCTATATCAAATTTTATCCAGTCATTTGCTGTTGACAGACAGTCAGGTCGCTTCCAAAATGCTCTGGTTTTCATTTTTGCAAACAGCGTGGTAATATATTTTCTTGTATGTGCATCTTTTATCATTCTAGACCAGATTCTTCCCCCTTCAACTATATATATTTAACCTTTTCACCATACCTTCTTCGATACCAAATGTATCGACTTTTTTTTAGTTGGTTGGTTGGTTGGTTGAGTTTCTTTGGACCAAATTTAAGGGGTTGAGAATGAAAGGGGGAACTTCACTGTAGTACTAGCTTCCCTATCTATCCTCTACATAACAATCACTTGTAATTTTATAGCCAGAACATAATTTGTATAGTTTCCCCTCCTTCTGATCAACTGATTTAGTTGTTCTTTTTCCTCCATTCTGAAATTAGCTATTACAGAGCCATAATATAATTTTTTAAATTTCAAATTCTCTTTAAACAATTGATTTCTTGTTGCTATTTGTAGGCAAGAAGTTGAATCTGATATGAGCCCTGCCAGAAATTAATTTACAGTGTTAGAGAAGGATTATGACATATATAAATGAGTACAATTTTAAAAAGGTAAATATCACAGTGTAAATACAAACTCATGGGATTCAGAGATAAGGGAGATCTCATTTTAGACAGAGAGATATAAAGGCAACTGGAAAGACTTGGCTTTGGAGTTAGTTAGGCCTTGGGACACTGGTCCAATTTTGACATATGGAAATAGATGGAAGGAAAAGAATTAGAAAAGAACAGAGCAACAATGTATCTTTATGTGACATTATGATTTATAATAAGAAATATATATATCTTTATCTCCAGTTCCTGGCAGATAGTGCCTAAATCCCTTGCAATTTCCTGGGCAATAGAGATGTTAGGAGCATCTTTTGTTCCAATATTTGGTCTTTAACCCTGGTTCCTGCCACAGAGTTCCTAATCCCTTGCAATTTTCTGAGTGATGGGAGCATCTCTTGTTCTAATATGGGAACTCTCAATGGGGCTTCTGGGTGGGGGCTGGTCACCAGAAAGACCAAGCCAAGAATAGAAGCTTGGAACTTCCATCCCCATTCCCATCCTCTGAGAAGGGGAGAGAGGCTGGAAATTGACTTAATAATCAATCATACCTATGTGATAAAGCCTCCATAAAAATCAAGGGGTTTGAGGAGCTTCTAGGTTTCTGAACACATGGAGGGTGTCTTACCCATACAGGATGTATTAGTTCATTTTTACACTGCTAATAAAGACATACCCAAAACTGGGTAATTTATAAAGGAAAGAGGCTTAGTTGATTCACAATTCCACATGGCTGGGGAGGCATCACACTCATGGCGGAAGGCAAAGGAAGAGCAAAGGCACATTCTTACATGGTGGCAGGCAAGAAAGCAGGTGCGGGGGAACTCTCTTTTATAAAACCATCAGATCTCATGAGACTTATTCCCTATCACAAAAACAGCATGGGAAAAACCTGCCCCCATGGTTCAATTACCTCCCACCAGGTCCTTCCCACAACACGTGGGGATTACGGGAGCTACAATTCATGATGAGATTTGGGTGGGGACACAACCACACTATATCAGAAGACATGGAATCTCCACAGCCCCTCTCCCCATACCTTGCCCTGTGCCTCATCTTTTTCATCTGGCTGTTCATCTGTATCCTTTGTAATATCCCTTATAATAAATGGGTAAACATTAAGTATGGTGATTTCCTGAGTTCTGTGAGCCACTCTAGCAAATCATTAGGGAGAGGGTGGTGGGAACCCCTAATTTATAGCCAGTTGGTCAGTTCCAGAGGCCCAGACTTGCTATTGGCATCTGAGGTGGAAGCAGACTTGTGGGACTGAGTCCTTATCTTGTGGGATCTGACTCCAAGTATATAATGTCAGAATTGAACTGAATTAGAGGATACCCAGTTGGTACCCATGGGAGTACTGACATGTAAGGAAAACCCCACCCATATGGTCACAGAAGTGCATGGAGTTGAGTAAGTGTAGTAGGAAAAAACAGTCAATTTGCTTTTTTTTTTTTTTCCTACTACACACTTTCCTTTTTAAATTTCTGGCCAGGAATAAAATCAAATAACCAAGAATTACAAATATTCATTGATTATGGGTGACTACTGTTGAAATGCATGCAGGGTAGGACATACTCCATGAATACATTACAAATGCATTCATGTCTTCATTTTCTGAGATATCAGTCATTTCATAATGACAGGGAGATAAAATAAGGCATGACTCTGCTGGGTGTGGTGGCTCATACCTGTAATCCCAGCACTTTGGGAGGCTGAGGCAGGAGGATCACTTGAGTCCGAGAGTTCAAGACCAGCCTTAGCAACATGGCGAAACCCTGTCTCTACAAAAACACAAAAATTAGTCAGGCGTGGTGGCACACGCCTGTAGTCTCAACTACTCTGGAGGCTGTGGTGGGAGAATCGCTTGAGCTCGGGAGGTGGAGGTTGTAGTGAGCCAAGATTGCGCCACTGCACTCCAGCCTGGGTGACAGAGTGAGACCCCACATCAAACAATAATAATAATAATAATAATAATAATAATAATAATAATCAGGCATGACTCATTTTCTTGGTCTAGCTAGATTACGGCGTTACACAAAAGTAAAATTAGTGTAATATTAAAAGAATCAAGAAAAAAGCTAAAACTTGTTTCAATGAACTTCATTCATTCAATAAATACTAGATATTGTATGTACAAGAGGCAACATGGTGAGAGAGACAGCAAAACCACCACGCAGAATGAGGTTTATAGCCCAATGGGGAGCTTGGGAAAGCTTACAGAGCAATAAAATTAAAGTTTGTCACCACATCCCAGTCTTCATTTCTCACTATTATTCTCCAGGAACCATGGCTCCTTGGAGAAATGGCTGTTTGTGGTCTGGGACAGAGAAAATACAAGATGAGCCTGCAGCATCTTGTAGTGACGAAAAGTAAAGACGTGCTTTAAAAAAACAAGGGGACGGGCCAGGCACAGTGGCTCACGCCCATCATCCCAGCACTTTAGGAGGCCAAGGCAGGTGGATCACTTGAGGTCAGGAGTTCAAGACCAGCCTAGTCTCTTTAGTAGAGATGGTGAAACCCTGTCTCTACTAAAAATACAAAAATTAGCTGGGTGTGGTGGCAGACACCTGTAACCCAGCTACCCGGGAAACTGAGGCAGGAGAATTGCTTGAACCTGGGAGGCAGAGTTTGCAGTGAGCCGAGATCGCACCACTGCACTCCAGCCTGGGTGACAGAGCAAGAGTCTGTCTCCAACAAACAAACAAACAAACAAACAAAAAAAAAAAAAAAAAAAGGAAGGGACAGCTTATCACAGGAATGCAAGGCCCAAAACTCACTATGATTAAAGCTGGAACAATTTGAGCAACAAAATAAATAACACAGTGTAAGGTTAAAACCCAAAGTATAAAATAAATGATTGATTGAATAAATTAATGTACTGGGGTAAAAGAGGCAAGTCTTCCTAACAAAGAACTTTAAATAATATCTGTAGACACCCCACACTTACCGATTCCACTCCTTTTGAGTGTAAGCGGGTCTTAGTAACTGGCTTCCAATAAATATGGAGTATAGCTTGAGTCTAGAAAAGGGAAATAGGACCAGGTGCGGTGGCTCATGCCTGTAATCCCAGCATTTTGGGAGGCTGAGGCAGAGGACAGCTTGAGGCCAGGAGTTTCAGACCAGCTTGGGCAACATAGCAAGACCTTGTCTCTACAAAAAGTAAAAATAAAAAAATTAGCTGGGCATCCTAGTGCACACCTATAGTCCTAACTACTGAGGAGGCTGAGGAGAGAGGATTGCTTGAGCCCAAAGGTCAAGGCTGCAGCCCAGAAGGGCTTCCAGCCAAGGCCTTCCTGGCTCTTTTTTCCTTGGGATGGGAGGCCAGGGAAGGTAAAAATAACTGGATAATGTTGCTAGAATCACACCACTGCACTCCAGCCTGGGTGACAGAGTGAGACCATGTCAAAGAAAAGAAAAGGAAAAGAAAGAGAGAAGGAGAGAGAGAGAGAGAAAGAGAGACAGAAAGGAAGAAAGAAAGAAAGAGAGAGGGAGAGACAGAGGGAGAGAGAGAAGGAAAGAAGACAGAAAAAGGAAGAAAAGGAAAGAAAGAAAGAGGAAAGAAAGAAAAAGAAAGAAAGAAAGAAAGAAAGAAAGAAAGAAAGAAAGAAAGAAAAGAAAGAAAGAAAGTAAGGAAGGAAGAAGGAAAGAAAGAGAAAGAAAGAAAGAAAGAGGGAGAGAGAGAAGGAAAGAAGAAAAGAAAGAAAGAGAAAGGAAGGAAGGAAGAAGGAAAGAAAGGAAGAAAGAAAGAAAGAAAGAAAAGAGAAAGAAAGAGAAAGAAAGAAAAAGAAAGGAAAGAAAGTGGGAAGGAGGGAGGGAGGGAAGAAAGGAAGGAAAGAAAGAAGGAAAGAAGGAAAGAAGGAAGGAAGGAAGGAAGGAAGGAAGGAAGGAAGGAAGGAAAGGGACAGTGGAGAGGCCTGGCAGACACTGCTTTAATTCCACAATCAAGGTCAGCATCAGTGATAGGCCATGTTGATAGCATGTACCTCTGTGCAATTCCTCCTAAAAATCCATTATTCCAGTCTAAATCACTAGGAAAAACTTTATACAACCCAAACTGAGCAACATTCAACAAAATACCTGACCAGTCCTCCTCAGAATGGTCAAGTTCATGAAAAACAAGGAAAGACTGAAAAGCTGTCACAGACCAGAGGAGGCTAAGGAGGCCTGAGACTAAATGCAACGGAATCTCTTGCACAGGGTCCCAGAACAGAAAAGGAGCATTCGTGGAAAAACTAGAAAAATAAGGTCCGGAGTTTTGTATTAAAAAAAACACATAAAAAATAAAGTTGAGTAGATGCTATTTTTAAAAAGTACAAGGTGCAATGTGTCTGCTAAAAATTCAAATAATAAAAGTTAATTGACTTTTATTATTATTTTATATTTATTGTGTTTTTAATCAAAAAATGAGCTTTGTACTATATGCACATTAAGGCTGGGCGCAGTGGCTCACACCTGTAATCCCAGCACTTTGGGAGGCCAAGGCACGCAGATCACTTGAGATCAGGAGCTCAAGATCAGCCTGGACAACATGACAAAACCCTGTCTCTACTAAAAATACAAAAATTAGCTGGGCGTGGTGGCGTGGTGGCATGGTGGCATGGTGGCATGGTGGTGGTGGTGCACTGCAGCCTGGGTAACAGAGCAAGACTGTCTCACGACAAAAAAGGACCAGTTAAACAATACAGGAAGATACAGAGACAAACTTAACCCTTCCCCTGCCCACCATTATTCTCCAGCCAGTCCTCTTCTAGATAAGCAGTTTGTGTTGTTTTCTACAATCTCTTTGTGTTTACGTGAGAAACACAGAATATATATAGGAGCTTTTCCTCTTTTTTCACGTTTTAACTACAAAAGTATTATCTTACTACTCATTGCTCTGCAACTGGCTTCTTTCATGCAAAAATATATTTTAACACTGTATCATAAATATCTTCCCAGCACAATGTATATAAATTGAACCTGCTCTTTCTTTAAATCAACTTTGCTGGGATAAAATTTATACAGAATAAAATGCACCCATTTGAAGCATACACTTATTATGTATGCACAGATGTGTAGACCTAGATAACCACCAGCACATAACTTATTATTTTTAAAATCAAAGTCATCAATCATCTTGCCAAATCTAGTGAAATTTCCTGGCTCTTCTTTCTTTGGGGTAGGAAGCCAGGGAAGGTAGAAATAACTGGATAATGTTGGAGAATGACCATTGCAAGACTTCGCTCCTCACATCCCAGGTGCATATTCCAAGAAAATTCTGATTCCCCGGGAAAATTCTCCATGCTTGGCATAGTGCTGGAGCCATGTGACTTTGGAAAGGTCTGAGGGAGGCATTTAGGCAGAGACTCAGCTGGGGAAATCACTGGGGGGCCCTGCACCAACAGACAGGCACCCAGAGCTGAGGAGGAATGGCAGCGGGGCCTGCTGAGTTAAGCAGAGGCCACAGACATCACCTTCTGGAGGCTCCCTCTACCACTGCTCCATGGGCAAGCCTGCTAGATACCCAGAAACAAGACAAAAGTGCTACACTGCCCAGGATTTACTTTTAAAGATGCCAAGGAGGGGGCTGGGCATGGTGGTTCATGCCTGTAATCCCAGCACTCTGGGAGGTCAAGGCAGGTAGATCACTTGAGGTCAGGAGTTCGAGACTAGCCTGGCCAACATAGCGAAACCCTATCTCTACTAAAAATACTAAAATTAGCCAGGCATGATGGTGCACACCTGTAGTCCCAGCTACTCAGGAGCCTGAGGCACGAGAATTGCTTGAACCTGGGAGGTGGATGTTGCCATGAGCCGAGGTTTTGCCACTGCACTCCAGCCTGGGCAGCACAGCGAGACCTTGTCTCAATCAATCAATAAATAAAATAAAATAAAAATAAAGATGCCAAGGAGAAAGTGTGAACCACAGACTTCCTCCCAAGCTGTCCCTTGAACCTAGGCACCATCTGTAGAAGCAAGACAGAAAAGGAAGGAATAGCCCCAAAAGAGAGTTGAATGTTTAAACCAGCTGAATATTTACCTGAAAAAAAGATTGTTTTATGGGAGGGTAAAATGGGACCACTCAAAACTTTAAGAGACCGAGACATCTCTAATTGGCAAGTTTAGCTGTTTTCCTTGTTCCTTGGCAGGACAGGGACCTCTCAGGAAATTTGATTTGGTTAGATTGGGACTTTGCAATAGAATTATAATGCAAGCCACACATATACTTTCAAATTTTCTAGTTGCCACATTTAAAAAACCAAAAGCTGGCCAGTGGCTCGTCTGTAATTCCAGCACTTTGGGAGGCCAAGGTAGGTGGATCACTTGAGGTCAGAAGTTCGAGAACAGCCTGGCCAACATGGTGAAACCCTGTCTCTACTAAAAATACAAAAATTAGCTAGGCATGGTGGTGCACACCTGTAATCCCAGCTACTCGGGAGGCTGAGGCAGGAGAATCACTTAAACCCGGGAGGCGGAGGTTGCATTGAGTTGAGATTGTGCCATTGCACTCCAGCCTGGGCGACAGAGTGAGACCCGTCTCAAAATAAATAAATTAATAAATTAATTAATTAATTAAATAGCAAAAACTATAGGACCCAGCAATCCCACTCCTAGATATATACCCAAGAGAAATCAAAACACATGTCCACACTAAAACTTGTACATGCATGTTTACATCAGGATTATTCCCCAGAGCCAAAAAGAGAAAACAAACCAAATGTTCATCAACAAAATGTAGCATATAATAGAACATTATTCAGCAGTCAAAAAGAATAAAGTACCTATATATGCTACAACAGAGATGAACCTTGAACGCATTATGCTAAGTGAGAGAAGACAAATGTAAAAAAACAAATATTACAGTATATGATTCCATTTCTGTGAAGTGTTCAGAATAGGCAAATCCAAGAAGACAAAGATTAGTGTTTGCTTAAGGCTGGAAGGGTTGGAGAATAATTAGAACTGAGAAGAGTATGGGGCTTTTTTGGGAGATGATAAAAATGTTCTAAAATTGATTGCAGAGATAATCACACAACTCTTTGAATATACTAAAAATGATCAAATTGTACATTTTCAATGTTACGTGAATATCTCAATGGAGCTGTAATTTTAAAAAGCAAAAAGATACATACAGCATTAATTTATAATATTTTAAGTCAATGTATTCAAAACGTTATTTCGACATAGTATCAAGAATTTAAAATTATTTTTGAGATAGTTACATTCTTTTCTTAAAATCTAGTGTGCATTTTACATTTGCAACACATCTCCATACAGATGCTAAATTTTCATTGGAAATACTTACTATATAGTTAGATTTCATAAAATTTACCATTGAAAGAGTAAATTCATACGCACAAGTTGTTCCAAAAATATTTTAAAGTCTTCCAACAGCTGAATTGAGTAGTGTTAGTGAGGTAGTTTCTAGATATAGCTGTAGATATAAATGGGTAAATATAGTTATTCAGCACAGATACATACTCAGAGTATGGTATGTTAAAATTTAACTCCTACTGTGAAAATGGAGGTCATTACGTTAAGTGAAATAAGCCAGGCACAGAAAGACAAATATCACATGTTCTTACTCATATCTGGGAGCTGAAAAGTTGATCTCATGGAGGTAGAGGGTAGAATGATAGATACCGAAGGCTGGGAAGAGTGTGTGGGTGGGGGTAATGAAGAGAGGCTGGTTAATGGGGACAGACATACAGTTAGATGGAAAAAATCAGTACTGCAGTTCAACAGCATGGCAGGGTGACTGCAGTTAACAACGATGTGTTCTATACTTCAAAATGGCTGGAAGAGAGGATTTGAGATGTTCCCAAAACAAAGGAATGATAAATGCTCAAGATAATGGATATCCTAAATACCCTGATTTGGTCATTACACATGTGAGACATGTAACAAAATATCTCATGTGTCCCATAAATATGTAAAAATATTATGTATCCATTTAAAAATTAATCTCTACTATATACACCAAAAACAAAACTAAATTCCTCATATGGCCTCAAAACCCTACAACATCTGCCCTCACCTCGCTCTCTAATCTCACATCATATCACTCTCCTTTTCTTCCACAATGCTCTAGCCATACTGGTCTTTCTACTCCTCATTCACTCCTGCCCCAGGGCCTTTGCACTTGCTATTCCCTCTTCCCAGAACACCTTCCACCAAGATCTTCTCATACTTGGCTCCTTCCCATCATTCTGGTCTCTGCTCAGGAGTCACCATCCTCAGAGAGTTCCCTGTCTTGTTCAGTGTGGTCTCCATCCATCACTCTTTAACCCATTATTCTCTTTTTTTGTTGCATGTATCACCAGTTGAGTTTATTGGATTGTCTCCTTGTGGTTACATTTTTGGCAAGAATATTGTACAGGCATTGTATGAGGAAGCATATGATGATCAGCTTGATTACTCAGCTAAGATGGTGCCCACATATTTCTCCACTCTGAAGGTGCCTTACTATGAAATAATAAGTTATCTGTGGGGAAATATTTCAAGACTGGTACCATACCCTTCCCAGCAATATTCCATATTCCATCTTACTCTGTCACCCAGGCTGGGGTGCAGTGGCATAATCATAGCTCACTGCAGCCTCAAACTCCTGGGCTTAAGAGATTCTTTTGCCTCAGCCCCCAAGGACATGGGACTATAGGTACACACCATCGTGCCCAGCTAATTCTTTTTTTTAAATTTTTTGTAGAGACAAGCTCAGGCTGGTCTCGAACTCCTGGCCTCCAATGATCCTCCTGCCTCAGCCTCCCAAAGCACTGGGATTACAGGCATAAGCCACTGCACCCAACAAGAGTTTGAGTTTCTAAGTCTAATTCCTTCTACATTTATTAGTTGACATTCTTCAGTAAATAAGCTCATTCCCTTCTCTCTCCCTTGTCTTTTTTTTAATATCAGTATAAATTCAGGGATTCCATGTGTTGTTTTCCATTTCTGTCATTATTAATTTCCATGCTTAGATTATCCCAGATTTGGAAAGCCCAATCTGAATATTTTGACCCTGATTTTGAAGTTGGACTCCCTTCAAGCTGGCTCCTATATCATTGCGACATGCCCCTGTCATTTTTTCTTACCACTCCATACATTCTGATGAGAAAAAAAAATTTAGGTGTACCTTGTAGTTTTCCTGCCCCAGCCCTGGAATCAGCCATTTCTCCAATGGCTAACTTTTAATGCACAATGGTATTTAAGAACCAAGATTTGTCACACCTGTAACCCCAGCACTTTGGGAGGCCAAGGCAGGCAGATCACGAGGTCAAGAGATCAAGATCATCCTGGCCAACATGGCGAAACCCCGTCTCTACTAAAAATACAAAAATTAGCTGGGCATGGTGGTGGGCACCTGTAGTCCCAGCTATTTGGGAGGCTGAGGCAAGAGAATCACTTGAAACCAGAAGGCAGAGGTTGCAGTGAGCCGAGATCACACCACTGCACTCCAGCCTGGCAACAGAGTGAAACTCCACCTCAAAAAAACAAAAAAAGAGCCAAGATCTGAGCATTAGGTGTGCCCATTCCTACTGGTATGCCATGCACCAAGGAAACAAATGCACTCATAACAAACAGGGCCTGGGAAGTCAGGTCCAGGCAACTGTGACATCAACAGGATTCAATATTGAAATTAAGTCTTATTCTCCAAGTGGAGAAGACATTTGTTGGTTTTAGTTGCCCAGCATCGAATCATTCTTCTGGTAACAGCACCCCTTTTTTCCTTTTGGAGAATTACCTCTCCCTTCTGTGAAGAGACATGGCGAACTGTAAATTAAGGTATCCTGACCCTCTCCCCATATCCAAAAGGGAGGCACTATTTTTCTAAATCAGACAGGTCCCTGATTTAGGGATGGAGTGAGACAGGTATGAGGATAAGGGGGTTTGACCACATATCCAGAATTGACAAAGCCAAGTGCCCTTCAAGGTGAAACTGAACGCCCCTTTCCAAGGTCTGTTGGCTTCTCATTTGGTGCAAGGCTTTATCTCACACAGCTAAAACTTCCCTGTCTTTGTAGAAAAATTCTAACACAACAGAGCCCATCTTGAATTTCTTTCCCCAGGATTGGTTGTTTCGTTCATCCTTTCCAATTCATAGAATTCAGTTGTTTTGACAAATGTCTAGATAGCTAGCAATATATTTTCATCTCCTTCGAAATCCTCACAACAGATATGCTGCTTGTAAATCTGCGAGGGTTTTTTTTCTGAGGAAAATCTTCTAAAACTTTGCTCATCTTGTGTCAATCCCTGCAGGGTTTCTTTATTTGCCTGCTTGCTGGTTTAGTGGGGAGAAAAAAAAAAAGGCTGAAATCCTAATTTTCACACCTTCAAAATGCATAAGCTCTGTCTACCTTTCATTTTTCTTTCTTTGAATTTTTTCCCTCTTTAAGTCCTTGTTTTCTTTCTTCTCCAGCACATGGGTGTTAGGCAAAATGGCAGATATAGATGAAAAGATGGAAGAGAGGGAAGAGAAGGGAAGGGAAGGGAAGGGAAGGGAAGGGAAGGGAAGGGAAGGGAAGGGGAAAGGAAAGGAGGGGAAGGGAAGGGAGGGAAGAGGAGGGGAGGCAAGGGAAGGGAAGGATGAAGGAAAGGAGAAAGGGGAGGAGGGCAGGAGAAAGGGAGGGAAAGGAAGGAAGGAAAGGATGAAGGAAAGGAGAAAGGGGAGGAGGGCAGGAGAAAGGGAGGGAGGGAGGGAGGGAGAGAAAAATCAAAGAAAAATGCTTAACACTCCCCAATGCTTCATAATGCAAGAACACAATAAAATATTTTGCATCTTTCAATGCCTGGGTTTTCTGAGTCATCCAACACTCTGCCATTGGACTTGTTTATATCAAAAGGAGTTAATCGTCATGTAATGCCATTGTTCTGGGGGAGAGGAAGACACAGAGAGGCAAAAATGATGAATGCCACTTGTCTCTCTAAATGAGTAACAGGGGATTTGAACTCAATATGAGCTTTGGGAATAAACGTGGTAAACGTGGTTATTTCAGGGTTACAGGAGAGACCAACAA
Organism: Homo sapiens; assembly: GCF_000001405.40. Classification (NCBI taxonomy): domain Eukaryota; kingdom Metazoa; phylum Chordata; class Mammalia; order Primates; family Hominidae; genus Homo; species Homo sapiens. The sequence continues at coordinate 16,650,294 of NC_000016.10, read as the reverse complement.
GCAAAGTCTAAGGGCTTCTTTGCCTGCCCTGCCCTTATAAATCTGAACTTATAGGACAAGATGGGTGGAAGTTGAGTCTCAGGTGATGAGTTCAGCTATGTATGGAAAGAAATAAAGCAGCATAGGGAGGAGATGTTCTGTAAAAGTTATGATTGGTTTTTCTGAAGTTTGGAGCAATAGATGTACAATCAAGGGCCTTGCTTAATTTCCCACTCACTAAAGGCACTTTTAGCTCATCAAACATTTACTGAGGGTCAGTGCTATCTGGGAAGGCAAAAATAATGCAGCTCTCAAGTTTTTGCTCATAAACAAGCAAGGGAAATGGCAACCTATCCCCTCACAAATGTAATAGTTTAGGTTTGTGTTGTACAATGTTTATAACCAATGGTACGCTACAAACTCTTCTAGGTGCACTGCCAAGTTTGGGTCCTTGTGCAAATGTTATTGTTTGGGTTTTTTCATTTGTTTGTTTGTTTCTACAGCTGCGGGTACTTACTGCTAGTGATTGTTGTATGACTTCCGTTGAGTTGCATGGGTCATGTGAGACTGCAGGAGGTGGAGTCTAGTTGAGACAAGTAAATACAAGTGTAGCAAAACATCAAGAGAGCCACCAGAAAAGACCATGTTTCCTACATTCTTGCTACTAAATGTGATACCTGCAGCATGGGTATGACCTGGGAGTTTGAGGAAAATGCAGAATCAATCTCCAGTCCTGCATCAGACCCAGTGAATCAGAAACTGCACTTTAGCAAGGTCCTTGCATGTAAAAAGAGAGGCAGTATCTTCCAGTATAGAAACCCTTTCTCATATGGATGTATAAGAGATCTTCGTCAGGGCATTAAACAGCCCAATTGACATCCAAGGCTCAGCCAAATGATTTGTAGATAAAATGTAATATTTGTATTACATTAATATATAATAATATAATTTACATTTATAATGTATTTTGTATAACATTAATATATAATAATATAAAAAATAATATATATATAAAATATAACCTCTTCTAGTGCCTTGCTACGGTTCCTAACGTGAGAGAGAACAGGCGCACATTCAGATAGCTGAGAGTTACAGTTTACCCAACGCTCCCCTTATATCACCACCTTTGAGACTTGCCACATCCCTACAAGGCAAGTGGTACAGGCTCTAGTGCCACATCCATTTTACAGGTGGAGAAACTGAGGTTCTCAGAGGTGAAGAACCGGCCCAAAGTCACATGACTCGAATGAGATCCCACTGGGACTTGAACACTGATTGCCTGGCCCAGGAAAAGAGAATTCTTTTCCAGCTGACTCTGAACCAGTGTAATAAAGACCAGGCTGGTTGTCTGACTGAAAAGAAACGGGGTTGGGAGGATGAGGTGGGAGGATCACTTGAGGCCAGGAGTTCAAGACCAATCTGGGCAATATGACGAGACCCCATCTCTACAGAAAATTAAAATACAAAAAATAGCCAGGCACGATGGCTCACGCCTGGAGTCTCAGCTACGTGCAGGTTGAGGTAGGAGGATTACTTGAGTCCAGGAGTTAGAGGGTGCAGTGAGGTAGGATTGCACCACTGTGCTCCGGCCTGGACAACAGGGCAAGACCACATCTCTGGAGGGGAAAAAAAAGGAAAAGAAATGTTCTTAGTAGCGCAGTGACCTATGCTGGTAAGAAAGCAGGATTTCTCTAATGGGGAGCTGGACAAAGTAGATAAGCTGACATAATGCAGGAAGCTTCAGATACCAGATCCTGAGTGTGGAGCTCCATGAAGAATCCACCTTCACATTCATCACCTTCCTAGGTACCTGGGGGGTGAGACGAAGTCATCAGACCATCCCACTGAGGCCTAGAAACCATCCAGGATAACGCACCTCCCTTAAATCTAGGACAGGTGCCTTCTTTTGACAATAATGGCCTTTTCTCTCCTCAGCAGGGTGACTGAACTCTTTCTTCATCTCCAGGAGGGACTGGAAAAAAAAAAAAAAAACAGATTTAGGGCTTCTTGCTGATATAAACCAACTTGACGGAAAACCCATTGTTCAGCCTTGTTTACTCAGCCACCTGCTAACCTGATTGTGGTCACTTAGGGAGAAGTTCCCCACAGAGAAACTGAAGAGCTTTGCTTAAAGTAATCAACAGAGACCTTGGGGGCTCCTACAGACCTCAGGAGCACAGTTTTAGCAACTGTGCCTAGGAACCTTTTTCCTTTGGTCCTAATCACTCCTCCTGACATCATCTATAAAACCGCGGAGCCTGACGGGCTTCAGTAAAAGGGTCCATGTGGATTCTGTCATCTGGGGCAAGACTGGAGGATTCAGGGCACTGTGTAGGTAGGTCACCGTTTTGTGGTGACTTGAACACTGACTGCAAGTGTAATGCAGCTTCACCCTTTTCTCACCTTCCTCCTGGGGCCACTAACTTCATGGGGAAGTCCAGGGTAGGACAGCAAGAAGCAGAATTCCTGGGTTGATGCCCAATTAACTCAATATGTCACTAGCTTATTTTGGCCTATCCTCAGGGCAAATTAGAAAGCAAAAGTCTCAAGGGACGTCTTGGTGTTGATTACCTGACACCCAAGCATTGACAAGCTATGTTCAATGCATTATGCTACTACTACTAATAATAACAGGCCAGGCACAGTGGCTCATGCCTGTAATCCCAGCACTTTGGGAGGCCGAGGTGGGTGGATCACCTGAGGTCAGGGGTTCGAAACCAGCCTGGCCAACATGGCGAAACCCTGTTTCTACTAAAAATACAAAATTAGCCGGACGTGGTGGCACATGCCTGTAATCCCAGCTACTCAGGAGGTTGAGGCAGGAGAATCACTTGAACCTGGGAGGTGGAGTTTGCAGTGAACCAAAATTGTGCCATTGCACTCCAGCCTGGTCAACAAGAGTGAAACTCTGTCTCAAAAATAATAATAATAATAAATATAATTTAAGAGCCCTCCTGGGCTTGCAGAATTAAGATTGGCCAGTGTCTTTCTCATACACAGAAGCAGACAATTTTGCATCATTCTGTTCCTCCCATTCACCCCAATATCAATTATGTCCTATGCTCATGTTTCAGAAACCAGTGGTATCAGCAAAGCAGAAACCACTCTAGATATTTCAAACCAAGGAGTTAGGTATAAGGTTTGGAGATGGATGGAAGAGCAATTGGAAAAGTGGGTGGGTCTGAGGAGCAAAAAGAAGACGTGATAACCGTAGATCAAAAACTGCTAATGGGCTGGGTGCTGTGGCTCATGCCTATAATCCCAGCACTTTGGGGGGCCGAGGCAGGATCGCTTAAGCCCAGGAGTTCAAGACCAGCCTGGGCAACATGGGGCAACCCCATTTCTATAAAAATAATAATAATAATTTGTTTAAAAAAATAAAAATAATAAATTTTTAGAAGCTGCTAATGCTCCTAGGCTGGAACCCATCAGCCTCCATCTAACATTGTGCCATTGAAGACACTGCTGATAAATCAGCTCTGAATTTATCAGAGGGCCACCTCCACCAGGGCTAGTTCTGCTAAGTGCCGCCTCTGCCTAGAATACTGGAATCTGGAATCACCCCACCTCTGTTCCTGCTGTAACTACAGAAATTTCCCTCAAATATCCAGAAAGGATCACGGCTGGGATTCAAGCCCAGTATTGTGATTCTAGAACTCACATGCTTAATCACTACAATAGGACAAACAAACAAAAGATTTTAATGTAAGTATAACTGATAGCTTCAAAGAGCTAAGAGCAGATCATGTATTCTATAAATAAGACCAATCTGACATGGAAAAGAACCACACCTAGTTGCAACAGGGTGCAATTTCAGTGAGAACAGAGTATCCTAAAAAGTTCCTAAGAGAAAAAAAAAAAAAAACCTCACTAAGGGATGAAGTAGCAGATCGGTAGCATATTCCTCGTTGGTAACACTGGATGCTAGAAGGCCACACAGGCGTTTTCAACTCGGAGACTTTCTGAAAGAGCGTACGTTGTTGTTGTTGTTGTTGTGGTTGTGGTTTTGGTTTTGGTTTTGAGATGGAGTATCGCCCTGTCATCCAGGCTGGAGTGCAGTGGTGTGATCTCAGCTCACTGCAGCATCCGCCTCCCAGGTTCAAGCGATTTTCCTGCCTCAGCCTCCCGAAGAGCTGGGAGTACAGGCGTGCACCACCATGCCCGGCTATTTTTTGTATTTTTAGTAGAGACGGGGTTTTGCCATGTTGGCCAGGCTGATCTCAAACTCCTGACCTCGGGTGATCTGCCAGCCTCAGCCTCCCAAAGTGCTGGGATTACAGACGTGAGTCACCGCACCTGGCCAGAAAGAGTATACTTTGGAAAAACAGACAAAATCTAAAATTGTTTTCAGTAATATTCTGCGAGGGGAGTAGGGAAGGTGGGAAAGGGTTGAAATTACCTGTTGTGTACTATATTCATTGTTTGGGTGATGGGTTCAATAGAAGCTAAAACTCCAGCATTATGTAATATGCCCACATAATAAACCTGCACATGTACCCCCTGAATCCACAATAAAAATAAATAAGTACATAAATAACATTCTGAAACTAAAGTTCCAGATCATTTCAACGTAGGAAATAGCAGCAGATGGCTAAGGTAGAGAAGTGAAAACATGCTGCTTGTTCTTTTGCTCCGGATGAAATCCTAATTAACTCTATACTTTGAAAGAATAGTATGTTTCATAATGTGTTTAAAATGTCAAAGATAATTGCCAAAGAGACAGAACTAGCGTGCATTTCTTCCAAACCACTGAAGAAAAAAAATGCATCAAGGAAAACATAACCAATGTAACAGGGGGAAAAAAAAGCAGGAAAGAAAAAGAACAAACTTTAAAACAGGGTAAATGAACATTTCTCAAAAGAAAACATACAAATGGACAACAGGGATATGAAAAAAATATTCAATGTCACTAATCACAAGGGAAATGCAAAGCAAAACCATTACGAGATATTTCACCCCAGTTAAAATGGCTAGTATCAATGAGACAAAAAATAACATGCTGGTGAGAATGTGGAGAAAGGGCAACACTAGTGCATTGCTGGTGGGAATGACAATTAGTACAGCCATTATGGAAAACAGTACAGAGATTTCTCAGAAAACTAAAAATAGATCTACCATATAATCCAGCAATTCCATGCTGGGTATATATCCAAAAAAAGGAAATCAATATGTAGAAAAGATACCTGCACACCCATGTTTATTGTAGCACTAATCATAATAGCCAGCATATGGAATCAAACTAAGTGTTCGTCAATGGATGAAGAAAGAAAATGTAGTATATGCCGGGCGTGGTGGCTCATGCCTGTAATCCCAGCACTTTGGGAGGCCGAAGTGTGCAGATCACCTGAGGTCAGGAGTTCGAGATCAGCCTGAACAACATGGAGAAACCCCGTCTGTACTAAAAATACAAAATTAGCTGGGCATGATGGCGCATGCCTGTAATCCCAGCTACTCAGGAGGCTGGGACAAGAGAATCACTTCAACCCGGGAGGCGGAGGTTGCAGTAAGCCGAGATTGTGCCATTGCACTCCAGCCTGGGCAGCAAGAGTGAAACTCTGTCTCAAAAAAAAAAAAAAGAAAAGAAAACAAAATATAATATATATACACAATGGAATATCCAGTTAGCCATAAAAAGGAATGAAATTCTGTCATTTGCAGTAACACCAATGAAACTGGAGGACGTTAAGGGAAATAAGCCAGGCATAAAAAGATAAATATTGCATGTTCTCACTAATATGTAGGACCTTAAAAAGTTCATCTCATAAAAGTAGAGTAGAAGTATGGTTACCAGAGGGTGGGGGGGTGAGTGAGGGGTGAAGAGAGGTTGGTTAACGGGTACAAAAATACAGTTAGAAGGAAAAGTTCTAGAGTTCAACAGCACAGTAGGGTGACTATAGTTAACAATAATTTATTGTACATACCCAAATAGCCAGAAGAGAATATTTGAAATGCTCCCAACACAAAGAAATGATAAATGTCTGAGGTGATGAATATCCTAATTGCCCTGATTTGAAAAGTACACATTGTATGTACGTATCAAAATATCACATGTACCTCATACATGTGATATTTTGCATAATTGATGCATAATAATATATAATTATTATGCATCAATTTTTAAAACATGGTAAATTGGAATTTGAAATATCAGGAGTAAATTCAAACTTATCAATAGGCACAATAAACATAAATGGGTTAAATTTCTCTAATAAAAGACAATGCCTTTCAGTTTGGAGTGCTTCTTTTAAAAAAAATCCAGTTAAATACTGTAGACAAGACTATGCAATACAATAAACAACAAATAAAACAAGACAACATAGAAACATTGAAAACAAAAATGTATATCACAAAAATTCTAACAAAAAGAAAGCAGCAGACGCAAAAGAAAAGTAAAAACAAATTTCCCTATAATCATTATCTGGTTGTCACTCCAGAGAAGTAGGCATAAAACTGGTTAATGGGAGTTGGCAAGATAAGTCAGTTAAGTATTTAAGAGACTCATTTTTAAATTCGATATGGTGGTGGTGGTGGTGAGTCTGTGGGTGGTGGAACACGTCCATGACCAGATCTAGACAGTAGCAACAGCCATCAATGTCTGTCACTAAGCTCCTGTGGATTTTAGATCTAACATAAAGATTGCAAACGGCTCATTCTGGAGGGATGACCAGAAGTGACAAGCTAAAGGTCCTCACCCTGAAAGTGGATGCATCTCTGTCTTCTGAGAAACTTAGATCACAGGACATGAGCCATAGATAGGCATAAAACCTGGAGGTATAAAACTTTCAGGCCTTCGCTTATGCTGTTTTCTTTGCTTAGATGACATCCCACTGCACTCATTTCCACCTGTCAAAATCCTCCTTATCCTTTAAGACCACCTTTTTCATGAAGCTGAATTTTACCCTTACCACCAGAGTGGTTTCCCACAGTACTCATTTTGTGTCTCTCTCCAGACATTCACTGTACTCTCTATTATAGATTGCTTTATATTTCTGTGTATCTCTTTATATAGGCTCTTTAAAGATGCATTAGTCAGCTATTGCCGCATAACAAACAACTAATATTTCAGTTGTTTACAATGACAAACACTTCTGAAAACTCTCAGTGATCAGTAGGATGACTACAATTTAACTGATCTAGGCAGGGATCAGATGGGCAGGTCTACTTCATGCTGTGGGAAACCTGCACTTAGCTTTAGGCTGTGTGTTAAATTCAGGTCTGCCTCACATATTTTTGCTGTGACTCTCAGACTAAAGAAGAAACCGCTATGCAGAGTGTGTTCTTCTCATAATGGATCAGGAGAACACAAGAACATGAACTACAGCACAAAAAGCACATGTGAGGCATCTGTTTGCATCATATCTGATTCATGTTCCTTGGCCACAAGTCACATGGGCAAACCCAACACCATGGGGTGGTGCTATAGTTTGGATATTTGTCCCCAGCCAAATCTCATGTTGAATTGCAATCCCCAGTGCTGAAGGTGGAGCCTGGTGGAGTTAGTTTGGGTCACGGGGACAGATCCCTCATGATTTGGTGCTGTCTTCACGATAGTGAGTGAGTTTTCATGAGATCTGGTCATTTAAAAGTGTGTGGGCTACGCACGGTGGCTCACGCCTGTAATCCCAGCACTTTGGGAGGCCGAGGCGGGCAGATCACAAGGTCAGGAGATCGAGACCAGCCTGACCAACATGGTGAAACCCTGTCTCTACTAAAAATACAAAATTAGCTCGGCGTGGCAGTGCGCACCTGTAATCCCAGCTACTCGGGAGGCTGAGGCAGGAGAATGGCTTGAACCCAGAAAGCGGAGGTTGCAGTGAGCCAAGATCGCACCACTGCACTCCAGCCTGGTGCTGGAGCGAGACTCTGTCTCAAAAAAAAAAAAAAAAAAAAAAAAAAAAAGGGTGTAGAATCTAACCCACACTCTCTCTCTCGCTCCTGCTTTTGCCATGTGACGTGCCTGCTCCCTCTTCACTTCTGCCATGAGTAAAAGCTCCCTGCGGCTTCCCCAGAAGCCAAGCAGATGCCAGCTCCATGCTTGTACAGCCTGCACAACTGTGAGCCAATTAAACCTCTTTTCTTTATAAATTATCCAGTCTCTAGTATTTCTTTTTTTTTGAGATGGAGTCTTGCTCTGTCACCCAGGCTAGAGTGCAGTGGCGCAGTCTCGGTTCACTGCAAGCTCTGCCTCCCGGGTTCACGCCATTCTCCTGCCTCAGCCTCCCAAGTAGCTGGGACTACAGGCGCCTGCAACCATGCCTGGCTAATTTTTTGTATTTTTAGTAGAGACAGGGTTTCACCCTGTTAGCCAGGATGGTCTCGATCTCCTGACCTCGTGATCCGCCTGCCTCAGCCTCCCAAAGTGCCGAGATTACAGGTGTGAGCCACCATGCGTGGCCTCTGGTATTTCTTTATAGCAATGCAAGAACAGCCTAATATGGGTGGGGAAATATGCTCTGTCCATCTGGTACACTGAAAGGTCATATGGTAGAAAAATTGTGATCACTAACCAATCTAACCAGGCTAGGTGGCTCAAGCCTGTAACCCCAGCACTTTGGTAGCCTGAGGCAGGAAGATTGCTTGAGCCCAGCAGTTTGAGACCAGTCTTTGCAACACAGTGAGACCTTGTCTCTACAAAGAAAAAAAAAAGTGTAAGTTAGCCAGGCATGGTGGCACATGCCATGATCCCAGCTACTCAGGAGGCTGAGATAGGAGGATCACTTGAGCCCAGAATGTTGAGGCTGCAGTGAGCCATGATCGCACCACTGCACTCCAGCCTGGGCAACAGAGTGAGACTCTGTCTCAAAAATAATAACAATAATAATAATAATAATAACCCAATCTACCATAAAAGGCAGAAAACAAGCCATATCCTTTCATTTCTCTATTCCTACCATTTAGTACCACGACCAGCATAGAATAAACATCAAGCAATAATTGTCAAAATGAATTGATTATTCATGGCATGGAGTAACATGAGACATACACATAATGCAGTGGTTAAGAACTTGGACGTCAGAGTCACAAAGACCTGAGTTCAATGTAAAATGACAAAGGCTCTTTGAAAAGTTTCGCAGTTTCTTACAAAGTTTAACATGAGCTTACCATAAAACCCAGCAATTCCACTTCTAGGAAACTACCCAGATGAAATGAAAACATCCGACCATACAGAAACCTACACATGAATGTGCATAGCAGAACTCTTTATAGCAGCCAAGAAATAGAAATAATCCAAATGCTCATCAACTGGTAAAATGAATAAATAAAATGGGGTATACCCAAACATTGGAATAATATTCAGGAATAAAAAGGAATGAACTATGTTGTTGTCGTTGTTGTTTTTATTGAGGCAGAGTCTTACTCTGTCACCCAGGCTGGAGTGCAGTGGCATAATCTTGGCTTAATGTAACCTCTGCCTCCTGGGTTCAAGTGATTCTCCTGCCTCAGCCCCCTGAGTAGCTGGGATTACAGGTGCGTTCCCCACACCTGGCTACTTTTTGAATTTTTAGTAGAGACAGGGTTTTCCCATGTTGTCCAGGCTGGTCTTGAACTCCTGACCTCAAGTGATCCACTCACCTCAGCCTCCCAAAGGGCTGAGATTACAGGCGTGAACCGCCACGCCCAGCCAGGAATGAACTGTTAATATACAAAACAACATAGTTATCTCACCATAAGCAAAAGAAGTCAAATGAAAAGACTACATATTGTGTGATTCTATTTATATGAAATGTCCGGAATAGGTAAATTTATAGAGACACACAGGCCCAGGCACAGTTGTCAACTGAAGCTACAGATGGGAATGAGGATTGACGGCAAATCAGCACCAGGGGTCATTCTGGACACCATGGAAAGGTTCTAAGACTGTATTGTCATGATAATTACACAACTTTTAAAATTTACTAAAAATATTAGCTGGGCATGGTAGCCCATGCCTGTAGTCTTAACTACTCAGGACGCTGAGGTAGGAGGATGGCTTAAGCCCAGGAGTTCAAGACTACAGTGAGCTACGGTTATGCCACTGTCCTCCAGCCTGGCCAACAGAGCAAGACCCTGTCTCTTTACAAAATAATAAGTGGGCCAGGCATGGTGGCTCAAGCCTGTAATCTTGGCACTTTGAGAAGCTGAGGCTGGCGGATCACCTGAGGTAGGGAGTTCGAGTCCAGCCTGACCAACATGGAGAAACCCCGTCTCTACTAAAAATACAAAAATTAGCCAGGCGTGGTGGTGCATGCCTGTAATCCAGCTACTCAGGAGGCTGAGGCAGGAGAATCACTTGAACCCGGGAGGCGGAGGTTGCAGTGAGCCAAGATCATGCCATTGCACTCCAGCCTGGGCAACAAAAGTGAAACTCCATCTCAAAAGAATAAAATAAAATAAAATAAGTGGCTCATGCCTGTTATCCCAGCACTTTGGGAGGCCAAGGTGGGTGGGTCACCTGAGGTCAGGAGCTCAAGACCAGCCTGGCCAACATGGTGAAACCCCATCTCTACTAAAAATACAAACATTAGCCAGGCAAGGTGGCATGTGCCTATAGTCCCAGCTACTCAGGAGGCTGAAGCAGGAGAATCGCTTGAACCTGGGAGGCAGAGGTTGCAGGGAGCCGAGACTGCACCACTGCAGTCAAGCCTGGGCCACAGAATGAGACTCCATCTCAAATAAATAAATAAATGAAATAAAATGAAACGAAATAAATTTACTAAAAATTATTGACATGCACATCCAAATGGGTGAATTTTAATAAATTAAAGAAGAATCTGTGTTCAGAACTTGGCTCTACCATTTAGTATCCATGTGATCTAGAGCAACTTATACAGTGACATAACCTCTGTGAGCCTCAATTTCTCCATCTGCGAAATGGAGATGAAACAGAGGCCTGCTGAAGAGTAGATGAGATAATGCAGGTTGTTTCCCCAGCACAGGGCTTGAGAGGTGTCTGAGGAGTTCTTAGGGACTCTCTAGCACCCTGTGCTTTTAGGGAAATCATTTCCACCCAAGTCCCTCCTACGTCCAAGATCCAACCCTTGTTTTTATTTAAGTTGCTGGTTCCCATATTCCCTTAGGAATATGTTGTTCTCTGCCTTGTCCCCAAATCCCTAGTGCAAGAATATATATATATATATACACATATTTTTTTTTTTGAGATGGAGTCTCGCTCTTTCACCCAGGCTGGAGTGCAGTGGCACAATCTTGGCTCACTGCAACCTCTACCTCCCAGGTTCAAGGGATTCTCCTGCCTCAGACTCCCAAGTAGCTGGGATTACAGGCTTCTGCCACCACACGCAGCTAATATTTTCTATTTTTAGTAGAGATGGGGTTTCACCATGTTGGCCAGGCTGGTCTTGAGCTCCTGACCTCAGGTGATCCACCCGCCTCAGCATCCCAGAGTGCTGGATTACAGATATGAGCCAACATGCCTGGCCTCCCTGATGCAAGAATTACTCAGACTTTTTCTAGGCCAGAATAAGAGTAGGTCAACCTCGTCCAATCCACAGCTCCAGAAATTGAGGCATTTCCAGAATACTGTACAGAGATGAGAGGCCCTGGCCAAACAAACACATTACCTTTCCACTTTGTATTTTACTTCTCTTTCTTAACAACAACAAAAAAAAAAAAAAAAAAAAAAACAGAAACAGAAACAAAAAAACCTTGGCTTGGCAGTTCTAAGCTAGGGCTGACAGATTCTATAAGAAGTCCCAGAAAACATCTCAGCCTTTGCAATGAACCTTCAGGGAACAAGTGGCCAGTGAGAAGGTGATTCACTTTGATGATAGCTTCCTGATGAGGGCCGGAACCAGTTGGAGGGTTGGTCAATTTACGACTTCATAGAAGGCTCAATAAAAGTCATAAATAAAAGGGCACGTGGGTGTGAGTGCACTTCACAGTGTTGGGAGGCCCCATACGACAGAACACAAGACCGATAATTCTGATTTGGCTCAAGGTTTATCACCTACGCAGTGAAAGGTGCAGACCCCATATGCCTGGGCTGCTTCTCTCCCAGTGAAAATAGATTGAGCCTATGGACTAGGGGGGCCATTTCTCAGATTCCTCAGGCCTTGGATCTGTGGGTAGTGCGGGGTGAGGAATGGCTGCCTTCTCTAATAAAATAAATCTTGGTGCCTCCAAGGTTGACCCTGGATAAGGACACTCCTGGGAGTACACAAGGGATGCCTCCCCTTCCAAACTGCCTGCCCCTCCACCATTCAATCCCAGAGCTGAGTGCTTAGTCTTCTAATCACCTTAGAATAGGTCTCATGTTGTGCTTTCATTCATTCATTTAATAACACTACTATTATTATCAATATTAATAAAGCTGATCCTGAGTTCACCTCCTCTCCTGCAGTAATACAAACTTCAAGGCATTCTGTGATAGTGAGAGTTAAATGAGACAGAGTTGAAAAAAAAAAAAAACAACTTAGCACCTGCGGGGCACATAGTTAAGCTCCATAAATGGTAGCTATATAATTTCTGACTATCAAAACGGTTTCTTGGTCTTGCATGGCAGCTCAATCCTGTAATCCCAGGACTTTGAGAGGCCGAGGGAGGAGGATTGCTTGAAGCCAGGAGTTTGAGACCAGCCTAGGCAATATAGCAAAACTACAGCTCTACAAAAAACAAAAACAAAAAAAACAAAAAACAAACAAACAAAAAAAACAGGGCCAGGCTCGGTGGCTCACGCCTGTAATCCCAGCACTTTGGGAGGCCAAGGGGAACAGATCATGAGGTCAGGAGTTTGAGACCAGCCTGACCAACATGGTGAAACCCCGTCTCTACTAAAAATACAAAAATTAGCCAGGTGTGGTGGCACATGCCTGTAATCCCAGCTACTCAGGAGGCTGAGACAGAGGAATTGCTTAAACCCAGGAGGCGGAGGTTGCAGTGAAACAAGATCATGCCATTGCACTCCAGCCTTGGTGACAGAGAGAGACTCTGTCTCAAAAAAAAAAAAAACTTTTTTTTCTGGCGGGGGTCGGCGGGGCAAAGTCTTGTTCTCTCACCCAGGCTGGAGTGCAATGGTGTGATCTCAGCTCACTGAAACTTTTGACTCCTGGATTCAAGCAATCCTCCCACCTCAGCCTCCCGAGTAGCTGGGACTACAGGCTCGCGCCACCACACCTGGCTAATTTTTGTATTTTTAGTAGAGATGGAGTTTCACCATGTTGGCCAGGTTGGTTTCAAACCCCTGACCTCAGGTGATCCACCTGCCTCAGCCTCCCAAAGTGCTGGATTAGAGGCATGAGCCACCTTGCCCAGCCTTAAAAAAACCTTTTCTCATGAAAGGATTTAAAACTCACACAGCACTGTCTATAATAACAAAATGAATAGTAATAATTATTACCATTATTTACCTATTTGTGCCATACACTAAGCGCTCTGGGGCCTTTCAGAGAATGTAAAAATGCTAAATATATATATATATATATATATATATATATATATATATATATATATCCAGAGAGTATATGGTAAATGCTAAGTATGTATGTATGGCAAGATACGTTAAGAAGACACAAGTGATGGGAGGTGTTATTTTTGTTAGGATGATCAGGAATGTCCCCCCAGATAAAGCAACAATTGCAGAGAGTCCTGAATGGAGTGAACAAGAGGGCCATGCAGATATCTTGGAGGAAAGACATTCCCGGGCAAGGAAACAGCAAGTGCAAAGGCCACAAGGTGGGATTGAGTGTGGTGTGTTTGAAAGCTGAACTGTCACCAGTGCAGGAGCAGAGTGGGCAAGGCAGAGCAGGGGAGTGATCCAGGCAAAGGTACATTTCAGGAAAAATTGACAGTAAGGAGTTCGGAATTTATGCTACATGTGTTGGAAAAACCAATGAAGGGTTTTCAGCTAGGTAACATGATCCGATTTACTCCCTTTAAAGATTGGCCGGGCACAGTGGCACATACCTGTAATCCCAGCACTTTGGGAGGCCAAGGCAAGAGGATTGTTTGAGCTCAGGAGTTCAAGATCAGCCTGACCAACATGGCAAAACCCTGTCTCCACAATAATAATAATAATAATAAAGTAAAAAAAAAATACAAAAATTAGTTGTGGTCCCAGCTACTCAGGAGGCTGAGGTGGGAGAATCATCTGAGCCCAAGGCTGGGCGCAGTGGCTCACGCCTGTAATCCCAGCACTTTGGGAGGCCAAGGCGGGTGAATCACGAGGTCAGGAGATCGAGACCATCCTGGCTAACATGGTGAAACCCCGTCTCTACTAAAAATAAAAAATTAGCCGGGCGTGGTGGCGGGTGCCTGTAGTCCCAGCTACTCAGGAGGCTGAGGCAGGAGAATGGCGTGAACCCAGGAGGCGGAGCTTGCAGTGAGCTGAGATCGTTCCACTGCACTCCAGCCTGGGGACAGAGCAAGACTCTGTCTCAAAAAAAAAAAAAGAGTCATCTGAGCCCAGAAATGTTGAGGCTGCAGTGAGCCGCGATTGTGCCACTGCACTCCAGCCTGGATGACAGTGAGATCCTGTCTCAAAAAAAATAAAAATAAAAAAAAAAGATCACGCAGGCTACTACGTGAAGAGTGGATTATAAAGAGGTGAAGGAGGAAGCAGGGAGAGTAGTTAAGAGACTATTGTAGTTGTCTAGACAGGTGGGGGGAGCTGGCATGGGGTGATGGGGCTCAGAAAAGAGTGGATGTATCCAGGCCATGCTTTAGAGCCAGGATCAGTAGAGGCAGCCAGAGTGTTAGATGTAGGGTGAGTGTAGAGCAGGAGGGAGGAAAAGAGTTTCAATGTGTCAGTGGTGACTCCCAGCCCTTTGGTGGCCCTCCTGAGAGGAGGATGGCCCGTTAACCGAATGACAAAGGCAACAAGAAGTAGTTGAGGAAAAAACAGTAAAATAAAATATTAAGAGTCAGGGCCAGGCATGGTAACTCACGCTTGTAATCCCAGTACTTTGGGAGGCTGAGGTGGGTGGATCACCTGAGGTCAGGAGTTCGAGACCAGCCTGGCCAACATGGCGAACACCAGTCTCTACCAAAAATACAAAAATTAGCCGAGCATGGTGGCACATGCCTGTAATCCCAGCTACTTGGGAGGCTGAGGCAGGAGAATTGCTTGAATATGGAAAGTGGAGGTTGCAACAAGCCAAGATCACGCCACTGCACTCCAGCCTGGGTGACAAAGTGAGACTCCATCTCAAATCCCAGCACTTTGGGAGGCCAAGGCGGGTGGATCACAAGGTCAGGAGGTGAAGACCATCCTGGCTAACATGGTGAAACTCTGTCTCTACTAAAAATACAAAAAATTAGCCGGGCATGGTGGCAGGTGCCTGTAGTTCCAGCTACTCAGGAGGCTGAGGACGGAGAATGGCGTGAACCCAGGAGGCGGAACTTGCAGTGAGCCAAGATCACGCCACTGCAGTCCAGCCTGGGTGACAGAGCAAGACTCCGTCTCAAAAAAAAAAAAAAAGAAAGAAAGAAAAATTAAGAGTCAGGTAGTGAATCAAGCAGATGATAGAAAAAAAGAGACTCAGGGTCATACCACAAACCTTATCAGTCATCTATATCTCTATATGAATAATAACATCTTTTATTAATCATGGCTTTTCAATTCACAAGAAACTTTCATCTCTACTATATTATATTGGTATATTACATAATATATAATATAAGATATAGTTTAGAGGACAGTTGCTTGTATATATAGCATATATTACATAGTATACTATATTATATATAGTGTATATAGTACATATATTATAGTTTGTGTTATATGGTATGTATATCATATATACTATAGAATACTATATGATATATAGTATATGTTATGTACACTATAAAATACAAACATGGTATAATATGTGTATGTGCCATTATGTTACATAGTACATATGTTAGAGCATATATCATTGTACTCATGTTTATATGCTATAGTATTATATTTATTATAAAATATTTAATACTTAGTATACTATACTATATTAGATACATACTATATAATATATATATAACATATTGTATTAATCTGTTTTCATGCTGCTGATAAAGACATACCTGAGACTGGGCAATTTACAAAAGAAAGAGGTTTATTACTCCCCAGCCACGTGGAACTGTGGCTGGGAAGGCCTCACAAGCATGGCAGAAGATGAAAGGCATGTCTCACATGGCAGCAGACAAGAGAAGAGAGCTTGTACAGGGAAATTCCCGTGTATATAACCATCAGATCTCATGAGACTTATTCACTATCACAAAAACAGCACAGGAAAGACCCACTCCCATGATTCAATTATCTCCCACTAGGTTCCTCCCACAACATGTGGGAATTGTGGGATTTACAATTCAAGATAAGATTTGGGTGGGGACACAGCCAAACCATATCATATATTAGATAGTATATGTCATATACACCATGTAGTGTGTATATATAATATAATATGCTGTGTGAAGTTCATATAGATGACTTTCTTATATACTATTATGTGTTACATATTAACATATATAAACATATATATGATACAAATATTATGCTAAGAATTTCTAAATTATATCTAATTTAACTCTCCCCACCAGAACCACCCCATAGTGCATATTTTTTCATGGTCGTCTTTCCACAGATAGGGAAATTGAGGCTCTGATAGGTCAAGGACTTTGCCCAAGGTCACAAAGCTGATGAGGAACAAAACCTGAACTCTTCATCTGCCACAAAGGGGCACTTGGATGGAGACGTTCAAGTGCCAGTTACACCAGTACAGCTGCTGGAATCCAGGTGTTGCTTCTGTTAAGTCTATGGAAAGAAATGCCCAATTTTACTGTGACTTTTCACTTCTGAACTGTCTTGTCTGTAGTGAAAGAGATTTCCAATTTAGGTTTCTGTGCACTGATTATGTTGCAGAGTTAAACCCTCTTCCTGGGAGAAAAGAAAAAAAAGGAAATTATTAAAATTGAGCCTGAAAAAGAAATAACTAGCACACAGACAGCAAAGATGGAGTTGAAGCCTTCAAAGATGGAAATTACAAAATAGCCTACACTCCTAAAATGTAGATTTCTCCTATCCAGGTTCTTCAAAAGCTCCAGATGCTTGAAGGAAAATACCTCTAAATAGATGTTGGCTCCTGATTTTCTCTCATTACCTGTGAGAACTCTCCCTTCTAAGCTGCACATTTATCTTATCTTCTCCTATTTTCCATCACACAAGCTGCCTAGAGCTGATATTTCTTCATTGTTCATCTCTCTAAATTGCACAGTTTCCTAAAGCATTGCCCAGTGCCTTTGGTTTGTCAAGATGTTGCATATTCTGTGATACTGGCTAGAATAGGGAGATGGGGAGAGGGTGAGGAGGCAAATGAAAAGAGCCTAAGTCTTGTCCCCAGAGACCAGGAAAATAAGCATTTGCTCAGATGAGCTAATAGAGGGTGGGCTGCACAAATGTTAAAGATGGTGCAATGCCTTTTTCTAGGAGAACATCGTAGTCTCTTGGAATTGGCTTCATTCTCCCCCACGTACACAAATAGAGAGTTACCAGCTCCTGGGAGTGAAGGAAATCAGGAGCCAACACTTATTGAGCACCTACTAACTATATACCAAGCACAACACTTATTGAGCACCTACTATATACCTAGCGTAATGCTTATTGAGCATCTACTGGGTACCAAGAGCACATTTCCCTAAACCTCACAGCAACCCTCAAAGAGGGATAGTCTCATTTCCTTCTATAGATGAGAGTAATAGGAGATTGTGGCCAGCGCAGTGGCTCATGCCTATAATCCCAGCACTTTGGGAGGCTGAGGTGAGAGAATTGCTTGAGTCCAGGAGTTCTACAACAGCCTGGGCAACATAGCAAGACTTCATCTCTACAAAAAATAAACAAATAATTAGGCGGGTATGATTGCACACACTTGTTGTCCCAGATACTTGGGAGGTTGAGGTGGGAGAATGCTTGAGCCTGGAAGGTCAAGACTGCAGTGAGCTATGATCAAGCCACTGCACTCCAACCTGGGTGACAGCAAGATCCCATCTTTTTGAAAAAAAAAAAAAAAAAAACAGTAATAGGAGATGACTCACACTGCTATAAAGAAATACTCAAGTGATCCACTTTCCTCAAGCCTCCCAAAGTGCTGGGATTACAGGAGTACGACACCAGACTGGCCAACATAGCAAAAACCCCTCTCTACTAAAGATACAGAAAAATTACCCAGGTGTGGTGGCACATGCCTGTAATACCAGCTATTCGGGAGGCTGAGGCAGGAGAATTGCTTGAACCTGGGAGGCAGAGGCTGCAGTGAGCTGAGACCATGCCGCTGCACTCCAGTCTGGGCAACAGAGCAAGACTCTGTCTCACAAAATAGAAAAAAGGAAAGAAAGCCTCAAGACTGTGTAATTTATAAAGGAAAGAAGTTTAATTGACTCACAGTTCTGCATGGCTGGGGAGGCCTCAGGAAACTTACAATCATGGGGGAAGGGGAAGTAGGCACATCTTACATGGTGGCAGGCCAGAGAGAATGAGCAGGAGCAGGGAAACTGCCCTATAATATCATCACATTTCATGAGCACTCAATCAGTATCACGAGAACAGCATGAGGGAAACTGCCCCCATGATTCAATGACCTCCACTTGGTCCCTCCCTCCATACTTAGGGATTATGGGGATTCCAATTTGAGATAAGACTCGGGTGGGGACACAGGGCCAAAACATATTGTCGTGCTACCAGGAATTTTGTCTGTCTCATTTGCCCATATCAGCAGCAAAGGGCCTAGCACCTAGGAGGTGCTCAGAAAACATTTGGTGAATTAATTAATAAGGAAGCTAAGAATCACAGATGTATGGTACATAGTTTCAGTAAAGAACAAGACATTGGAATTGGGGTGACCTGGGTTGCAGCCCCAGCTTTGTTATTTACCTGCTGTGTAACCTCTAAACTTCATCCACAAAGTGGATGTAACTATGGTACCTATCTCCTGAAGTCTGAGGGAGGATGAAGTGAGATAACACTAACAAAAGCATTTGGCAACCAAGACCTCAATAAATGCTAGCTATCTTTATTATAGTTTCAACACATAGCCAAGTCCACATCTGAATTTAATTCATGGAAGAAGAGGAAAAAGAAGAAGAAGGAGGAGGAGGAGGAGAGGAGGGGGGGGGGGGAGAAGGGGAGGAGGTAGAGGAAGAAGAGAAGATTGCGGTGATCTCAGGAGTAAGTATCAATGGAAAAAAAGATCCTGGCTTGAAAGCACGTAGAAGACTTGCGAGCAGATGGAAACAACCCAGTCAGGGCCGGACATGATGGCTCACACCTGTAGTCCCAGCACTTTGGGAGGCCGAGGCAGGTGGATTGCTTGAGGCCAGGAGTTTGAGACCAGCCTGGCCAACATAACAAAACCCCATCTATACTAAAAATACAAAAAATAAAAATTAAAATTAACTGGGTGTGGTGGCACACACCTGTAGTCTCAGCTACTCAGGAGGCTGAGGCACGAGAATCGCTTGAACCCGGGAGGCAGAGGTTGCAATGAGCCAAGATTGCACTACTGCACTCCGGCCTGGGTGACAAGAGAGAGACTCTGTCAAAAAAAAAAGGAAGGGAAGGGGAGGGGAGGGGAGGGGAGGAGAGAAGGAAAGGAAGGAAGGAAAGGAAAGGAAGGGGAGGGGAGGGGAGGGAAGGGCAGGGAAGGGAAGGGAGAAAGAGAGAGAAAGAAAGAGAGAGAGAAGAGAAGAGAAGAGAAGAGAAGAGAAGAGAAGAGAAGAGAAGAGAAGAGAAGAGAAGAGAAGAGAAGAGAAGAGAAGAAGGAAGGAAACAACCCAGTTGGTGCCCAATATATTCTTACTGAATTATATCAGTCTCTATAAATGCTGCCAACTGTCTTAAACATTCCAGACTTCTCCTTTTCCTACTCCGGCTAAGTGGAGTTAGATGTTATATTCTTCCCTCCACTCTACACTTTGGGAGTGGCTTTTCAAGTTTTGCATTCAGTCTCTTTAAGGACACTCCACATTGATCATATCCAAAATGTCTGGATTGAATGTTCCTCAGATCCGGTGGTTCTCAAAGTGTAGTTCCCAGACCAGCAGCACCAGCATCAGAATCACCCAGGTACTTATTACACACGCAAATCTTATTTTGGACATGGTGGCTCATGCCTGTAATCCCAACACTTTGAGAGGCCAAGGCAGGTGGATTGCTTGAGCCCAGGAGTTTGAGACCAGCCTGGGCAACATAGAGAGACTCATCTCTACAAAAAATACAAAAATTAGCTAGGCGTGGTGGCACATGCCTGTAGTCCCAGCTACTAGGGAGGCTGAGTGGGGAGGATGGCTTGAGCCCAAGAGGTCGAGGATGCAGTGAGCCGAGATTGCACCACTGCACTCCAGCCTGGGTGACAGAGCAAGACCCTGTCTCAAAAAAAAAAAAAAAAAAAAAAAAAAAAAAAAAAGCAGATCCCTAGACCTTACCCTCGACCTCCTGAACAAGAAATTCTGGGGGGATGGATCCCAGCGATTTGCATTTTAACACGCCCTCCACGTGGTTCTGAGGTATGGGAAAGTTTTGAGAACTGCAGTTCTAACAAAAAGGCAAACAGGGCAATCAAAAGCTGTTTTCTCTGCTTAGTCCCTGAGTGGTTTCCTGGTTGGTTGGTTGATTTGAGCTGGAGTCTTGCTCTGTCACCCAGGCTGGAATGTAGTGGGGCGATCTCAGCTCACAGCAACCTCTGCCTCCCAGGTTCAAGTGATTCTCCTGTCTCTGCCTCCCAAGTAGCTGGGACTACAGGCGCATGCCACCACACCCGGCTAATTTTTGTATTTTTAGTAGAGATGGGTTTTCACCATATTGGCCAGGCTGGTCTTGAACTCCTGACCTCGTGATCCACCTGCCTTGGCCTCCCAAAGTGCTGAGATTACAGGAGTGAGCCACTGCGCCTGGCCCGGTTTCCTGGTTTTGAATTGGGAAGAGTGAGATGAAAACAGGACTCCCTGCAGAACAAATGGCTTCTCCAACAAATTGTAATGGAATTTTACATGAGAGGAGCCAGAAAACTGCTGCTCAATTAGTCAGCCAAAAAATATGGAATACCTACTATATTTCAGGTGCTGCGCAAAGTGCTGGGGGAACCATGGTGAACAAGACCTATGCATCCAGCTCTTCAGGATTGAACACTGGGTGCCAGCAGACTGCATTTCACACACATCAAACTGGCAAAGATAAAAAGTCTGACAAAACCAAATGTCGGAGAAACTGGAATTCTCATGTACTGCAGGTAAGAGTGTAAATTGGTACAACTGTTGTGCAGAGCAACTTGGTGAAATTGAGTAAAGTTGAAGAAGTATAACCCCCACAGCCCAGCAATTCCACTCCTAGGTACATACCCTAGACCAGGAGAAGCTCTATCAGTTTGCACAAGGAGAAATGTACAGGAATATATATATATCTGAGATGGCGTTTTGCTCTTGTTGCCCAGGCTGGAGTGCAGTGGTGTGATCTTAGCTTATCGCAACCTCCACCTCCCAGGTTCAAGAGATTCTCCTGCCTCAGTCTCCCAAGTAGCTGGGATTACAGGCATGCGCCACCACACCTGGCTAATTTTGTATTTTTAGTAGAGATGGGGTTTCTCCATGTTGATTAGGCTGTCTCAAACTCCCAACCTCAGGTGATCTGCCCACCTCGGCCTCCCAAAGTGCTGGGATTACAGGTATGAGCCACCGTGCCTGGCCTGTACAGGAATATTTACTACAGCACTGTTTGTAATAGAAAAATAGAAACAGGTCAGGTGCGGTGGCTCAGGCCTATAATCCCAGCAGTTTGGGAGGCCAAGGTGGGTGGATTGCTTGAGCTCAGGAGTTGAAGCCCAGCCTGGACAATATGGTGAAACCCCATCTCTACAAAAAATACAAATATTAGCCAGGCATAGCGGTGCAAGCCTGTTATAATCCCAGCTACTCAGGAAGGCTGGCGTGGGAAGATCGCTTGAGCCTGGGGGGTCGAGGCTGCAGTGAGCCATGATCATACCACTGCACTTCAGCCTGGGTGACAAAGTAAGACCCTGTCTCCAAAAAAAAGAAAGAAGAAAAAAAGAAAAAGAGGGAGAGAAAGAAAGAGAGAAAAAGAAAGAGAAAGAGGAAGGAAGGAAGGAAGGAAAGAAGGAAGGGGAGGAGAGGGAGATGGAGGGGAGGGGAGGGGAGGGGAGGGGAGGGGAGGGAAGGGAAGGGAAGGGAAGGGAAGGGAAGGGAAGGGAAGGGAAGGGAAGGGAAAGGAAGGGAAGGGAGACGGCCAGGCTCAGTGGCTCACGACTGTAATCCCAGCACTTTGGGAGGCCAAGGTGGGCGGATCACCAGAGGTCAGAAGTTCAAGACCACCCTGGCCAGCATGGCAAAACCCCATCTCTACTAAATATACAAAAATTAGCCAAGTGTGGTGGTGGGTGCTGTAGTCACAGCTACTCAGGAGGCTGAGGCACGAGAATCACCTGAACCCAGGAGGTGGAGTTTGCAGTGAGCCGAGATGGCGCCATTGCACTCCAGCCGGGCAAAAGAGCGAGACTCTGTCTCAAGAAAAAAAAAAAAAAAAAAGGAACCTAAATGTCCATCTGCAGAATAGATAGATTAATTATGATTGAGTTCTACCATGGATGCTAGTACTAACAGATTAACACTAACAATAGTAGAAAATAAATGAAACATAACCTGTATCAACATTAACACTTTGCAAAATCGGCCAGGCCCAGTGGCTCACGCCTGTAATCCCAGCACTTTGGGAGGCCAAGGCGGGCGGGTCACCTGAGGTCGGGAGTTCGAGACCAGCCTAACCAACGTGGAGAAACCCCATCTCTACCAAAAATACAAAATTAGCTGGGCATGGTGGCGCCTGCCTGTAATCCCAGCTACTCAGGAGGTTGAGGCAGGAGAATCACTTGAACCTGGGAGGCGGAGGTTGCAGTGAGCTGAAATCACACCATTGCACTCCAGCCTGGGCAACAAGAGTGAATGAAACTCTGTCTCAAAAATAAATAAATAAATAAAAATAAAAATAAATTGCAAAATCATAACAATGAACCAAAAAGCAAGCCATGAGAACAATACATACAGTGGTAGTCTACTTAAAGTGTTTAAATATGCAACATAATGTTATATGTTGATAATGGATAACATATATTCAATAAGAATACAAAATAGGCATGAAATATAAGACACAACTGCAGGATAGAGATCCCATTGGGAAGGAAGGAAGAGAGAAAGGAGCACGAGATTAAGAGGGGTCCACAGAAGGACTTGATTGTCTTTGTTATATTTTTTAAACTGAGTGACGGGTAAATGGTTGTTCACTGTACTGGTCTTTATAGTTTTTTGTGTGCCTGAAATAGTTCAGAATAAAATTATTTTAGGTCACTTTTTTTCTGGGTTTTTTTTCTTATTTCTTTTAAGGAAAGCAACACTTAGAGAATAAAATTATTTTAAATAAGCCACTTTGAGTAATTAATGTAAAATTACAAATGTGCAAAGCACTGCAAAGAGGGACTACAGGGTATCATAAGAGGAGCTCTGACAAATTATTCTTCCTCTATCTCAACCCTGCCCTTAATCTGGCTTCTTAAAAGTCTTACTATTAACCCCAGCCAATTATAAGTTATTTTAGATCAGGTGTGGTGGCTCACACCTGTAATCCCAGCACTTTGGGAGGCCGAGGCAGGCAGATTGCTTGAGACCAGGAGTTCAATCCCAGCCTGGACAACATGGAGAAACCCCGTCTCTACTAAAAATACAGAAATTAGCTGGGCGTGGTTGCATGCACTTGTAATCCCAGCTACTCAGGAGACTGAGGCATGAAAATCGCTTGAACCCAGGAGGTGGAGGTGCAGTGAGCCAAGATCATGCTACTGTACTCCAGCCTGGGTGATAGAGTGACTCTGTTTCAAAAAAAAAAATTATTTAAAAAAAGTTATTTTATTTTTGTTTGTCCATATTCTCTAATTTTTCTACCCAGAAGATATGCCACTTATATTTCAAAATATCTAAATGATATTTTTAAACAAGGCAATCAAAATCAGCTTACAAAAGTTTGCATAGGATATCTCAATGTTCTATGTATCTAGTATATGCTTATAAGTATAGCTAAATAAGGGGAAGTGAATTCTGGGAGGATTTACATTAAGAAGTCAACAGTCATTATTTCTAGATGGTGCAAGTATTGGAAACTTGTCATTTGCTTCTCTTTTTTTTGTTTTGTTTTGTTTTTTGAGGCAGAGTCTTGCTCTGTCGCCCAGGCTGGAGTGCAGTGGCGCGATCTCGGCTCACTGCAAGCTCCGCCTCCCGGGTTCACGCCATTCTCCTGCCTCAGCCTCCCGAGTAGCTGGGACTACAGGCGCCCGCTACCACACCCAGCTAATTTTTTTGTATTTTTAGTAGAGACAGGGTTTCACCATGTTAGCCAGGATGGTCTCGATCTCCTGACCTCGTGATCCGACCACCTCAGCCTCCCAAAGTGCTGGGATTACAGGCGTGACCACTGCACCTGACCTCTTTTTTTTTTTTTTTTTTTTTTTTGAGATGAAGTTTTGTTCTTGTTACCCAGGCTGGAGTGCAATGGTGTCATCTTGGCTCACAGCAACCTCTGCCTCCCAGGTTCAAGCAATTCTCCTGCCTCAGTCTCCCGAGTAGCTGGGACGTGCCACCACACCCAGCTAAATATATATATATTTATATTTAGTAGAGACAGGGTTTCTCCATGTTGGTCAGGCTGGTCTCGAACTCCCGACCTCAGGTGATCCGCCCACCTCAGCCTCCCAAAGTGCTGGGATTACAGATGTTATATGCTTCTTATATAGCAATATCCATTGTTTTCATCAATTCATTTCCTTCTCTTTCTTTTGGAACAGAATCACCACTCCCTGTGGAGGACCTATTTAAGTGGACCATTCCTTGATTTCATCTCCCCTGGCCATTGACTCACTGATCTGGCCAATCAGAGCACCTCATCCCCAACCACAGGGATTGGTTCAAGGATGCACAGGTGGTACATCCCCAACCACAGGGACTGGTTCAAGGATGCACACGTGGTACATCTTCAGCCAATCAAGTCCCTCCCTGAGACTTTCCTATCTGAGCACTGGGAAGAGCCTCTTCCTTTCTAGTAGCATTGTTCAGTTGGTGGAGATTAATCTGGAATTGATAATGTCTACCTTTTCCACCATCTGGAGAAGGCCTATTCATGAAATAGAGACAGAGCAAGCAAGATGGCATTCCGCTAATAACGTTTGAGCCCTGGATACAGCCATGCCTGATCCACCTCTGTGACAGCCTTGTTCTGTGGGCCAATATATTCTCTTGAATCATCTAAACCAGTTTGCAATTGATTTCTGACACTTTCAGCTGAATGAGTTCTGACTTTTTATATTTTTTCTGTTAGCTTGACTATATTCATCGCTCATGACTTCTGACTTTTACACTTTCATTTTGTTCCCATCTATTTTCCATATTTTCCACAATGAGCTTGTATCACACGTAGAATATGTCTCAGACTCTCTTTTTTTAAGCAATAAAAGAAATGGCAGATTAGCATTTGTCTGCAGAGGGCTGGCTCACAGACACTTTTCACCTAAGGCGTAGGTTGGGCCTGCCTAATCTGGGGGACACCATGGGTTGCCTCTGGCTCCTCTGAGGTCCCCAGGCCTGACTCACTGCTTCCAAACTAAAGACTTTACTCTCCCAAATCAAGAGCACTGCCAAAGACACCTTTGCTGGTTTCCCCCCCTCACACCCCTTGGTCCCTGCTTTAAAGTGGTAATTAGCATAGAGCTGGGTGTCTTTTTCCCTGTGGGAGAAACATTCCTTAACAGTGTGAAGTGGAACGGAGTGTGGGTGGCCTTAACAAGGAGCTAAGGAAGCTTATGTAAGTGGCATTATTATATATGATTATATCACCGGTATAAGAGAAACTCATTCCTGTCTGGGTGTTATACCGATCATATTGTTTTAGGCTTAAGTGGAATGAAATGATGAGGAAAAACCATGAGAGCCTCCAGCAACCCAAGGTTGTTCTTGCTCCTTCTCTCAACCCCAGAATAACATCAACACTTACTCAGCCTTACTATGTTCCAGACACTGTCCTAAACTCCTTCTGTATATTAAATCCTCATTGAAATTTCATGAGGGGAGAATCATTATTATCCCCATTTTACAGATGGAAAAACTGAGTTACCAGGAAATTTCATAATTTGCCCGAGATTTCATAATTTGCCCAATATCTCATGGCTGGCAAGTGGGAGAGCCAAGATCCCAACCCATGCCATCCAATCCCGATGTCCACATTCAAAACCTCTCAGAAAAGACAACACTGAAGCTGTGCACAAAACCAGAAATCAACCAGCCAGGTCTCTCCATGTCGTCAAATACACAACAAATTTATTAATGGGTTTGGGGGGGTGGGAAAATCAACCTCACTGGGGTTTTTGGGGTGGTTTTGGGTTGGGTTTTTTTTTTTTTTTTTTTTTTTGAGACGGAGTGCTAGGATTACAGGCATGAGCCACCACGCCCAGCTATTTTTCAAACCATTTTAGATGTTTCATGTGCTTTCTAGTTTACCATAGTCCCTCCCACTCTCTAATGTCTTACACTTGGCCCACATCACTCATTTACAGGGAATCTGACTGAATTAGCAGCCTCTGATGCAGGGAATGGTTGATAACAAAAGGAGAAGAAAACTTTCTTGTTGGCTTCGAAAGAATAACTGGGTAATCATAATAGTTAAAATATGTTGAGTATTTATGCCAGATCTTGTACCAAGTGTTTTACACACCTTGTCTCATTTGATTGTAGTAACAATCCCATGAGAGGTTAAGTGATGCGTGGCCACAAGAATGCACCTGCCACTGACCTCCAGCTATGGGGAGCATAAGAGAGCAAGGGCCCAGCTAGATTTAAAATCCATCTCACCCATCAATAGTGTATGGCAGCACAGAAACTAAGGCAGCTCATTCCTAGAAAACACAGGGGCCCTTGACAACTGACTTTGGAAACCCCAATTTTCTTTAGACCGCACAGCACGGACAGTTCCACCAACATTCTCTCTTCTCCTCCCTTGGAGTCAGGCTTCATCACTGTCTAACTCCTTTCACACAAGGGTTTCCCCTAACAAAACCCTTGCATGTTAGGCCAGGTGCGGTGGCTCACGCCTGTAATCCCAGCACTTTGGGAGGCCAAGGCGGGTGAATCATGAGGTCAGGAGATCGAGACCATCCTGGCTAACACGGTGAAACCCCGTCTCTACTAAAAATACAAAAAAATTAGCCGGGCATGGTGGCAGGCGCCTGTAGTCCCAGCTACTCAGGAGGCTGAGGCAGGAGAATGGCGTGAACCCGGGAGGTGGAGCTTGCAGTGAGCTGAGATCGTGCCACTGCACTCCAGCCTGGGCGACAGAGTGAGACTCCGTCTCAAAAAAAAAAAATCCTTGCATGTTGAGTCTCAAAGCAAGCTCTGCTTCTCGGAGGACCCAGACTGACACAAGGAGATTTCCTAAGGCCTCACACCAAGCAAGGATAGAACCAGGATTGGAACTGAGGCCACGAGCCAGAACTCTGAACCACTACCTCAAAATTTTCTTGTCCATGGATTCTTATTTTCTCAAACTTCTTGGTCCAGAACACCAGAACAGCTGGAGATTTCCATCTGGATCCAAGAGTGAACCAAAGGCAAAAGGGACAGTTTTTTGTTTTTGTTGTTTTGGCTGGGTTAATAGCTTTATAACTTTTTTTTTTTTAGACAGTGAGTCTCCCTCTGTCACCCAGGCTGGAGTGCAGTGGTACTATCTTGGCTTGCTGCAACTTCCACCTCCCTGGTTCAAGTGATCCTCCTCCCTCAGCCTCCCAAGTAGCTGGGATTACAGGCACATGCCACCACACCTGGCTAATTTTTGTATTTTTAGTAGAAACGGGGCTTCACCATGTTGACCAGGCTGGTCTCCAACTCCTGACCTCAGGTGATCCGCCCACCTCGGCCTCCCAAAGTGCTGGCATTACAAATGTGAGCCACCACGCCCAGCCTGATAGCCTTGACACCTCAAAATATCTAGCAAAGACAAAAACATAAAACCCAGATAAAAATGTATGTTGCCAATTCTGAAGACATTTCTATTTGTATTTACCAATAATTTTAAAGCTAGCTAGTTTCGTAAAGATTTACTTAAGTCACGTGAACTTGAAAATTGCTTGGACTTATTAAGTTATGGGCACTCTCTTACTTATAAGCCAATGTGGTAGGCACAACATATAACAGTAAGTCTACATACAAATAAACACATTTAGACATGTATACACGCACACAAATGAAGATCCAAATGGCTTTTACCTTGGAACTCTAGCCATGAGATAGCAATACAAGCTCGCCGGTTTTACATGGTTACACTCTGTTTGCCCCAGTAGGTAATCCAGTGAAGGCTGTGAACCAAAATTTTGGGGTAAAGCAGTTTCCATGCCAGTTTGATTTTTAAATTCCAAAGAACACCGGGGCCAAACAGCACCAAAAGAGAGCACCACATGCTAACCAGGCCTGACCCTGCTTAGAACAGCAGCACAAAAGCTTGGATACATACAACACCATCCCACTTTCCCATTCAACAACAAACTCCAGATTCCAAGCAATATTGGGGACAAACTATTGCAAAAGAATATCAAGCATTTCCTCCTTAGATTATTGGGGTCAAATTGATACCAGTGGTTGAGGATGCAGCCAAGCGGGGGATCAGGTAGCATAGATGGAGTCTTTCCCGTTATTGTCCCCTGGCTGGAACGCCAAAATATGTTACCAGTGGAGGGTGTCCAGGTTCTTGGCAGTTTGAACAAAGACTCAGACAAAACATACAAAGCAATGAAAGAGTAAATCAATGAAAGCACAGATTTGCCGGATGCAGTGGCTCACGTCTGTAATTCTAGCACTTTGGGAGGCTGAGGCAGGTGGATCACGAGGTCAGGAGATCAAGACCATCCTGGCTAACACGGTGAAACCCCGTCTCTACTAAAATACAAAAAATTAGCCGGGCATGGTGGTGAGCGCCTGTAGTCCCAACTACTCGGGAGGCTGAGGCAGGAGAATGGCATGAACCCTGGAGGTGGAGCTTGCAGTGAGCCGAGATCGCGCCACTGCACTCCAGCCTGGGCAACAGAGCGAGACTCCATCTCAAAAAACAAACAAACAAAAAGAAAGCACAGAGTTATTGAAGCAAAAGTACACTCCACAGAGTGGGAATGGGCTCAAGTAAGCAGCTCAAGAGCCAAGAGGGAGAGTTTTGAACCCCCAAAGCCAGGCACAATATTCATTCCTAGATCCTAGTAGGCTCCACAGCAATCAGGAAAGTGCATCGGCTGCCCAGAGCACAAGAAGGAAACACAGGTAACTGACAAGTGGACATATGTCTATGATTCTCCTTTCCTATAGTCCTGCAGAAAAGTCAGCCCCTCCCCCAGGACTGGGGCAACACAAGGCCATGAACAATAAGAGAGAGCACTTGACTAGGAGTCTGGTGATGCACCCAGCCTGCCCCACAAAGATGAAGCAGATAGCAGGGTGAAGAGCTTTGTAGTCCATGAAGTATTTTCATGTCCACTATCACACTATTGGATTCTTTTGTCCACTATCACACTATTGGATTCTTTTTTTTTTTTTTTTCTGAGATGGAGTCTTGCTCTGTCGCCCAGGCTGGAATGCAGTGGCCTGATCTCGGCTCACTGAAACCTCTGCCTCCCGGGTTCAAGCAATTCTCCTGCCTCAGCCTCCCAAGTAGCTGGGATTACAGGCATGTGCCACCACACTCAACTAATTTTTGTATTTTTAGCAGAGACGGGGTTTCTCCATATTGGCCAGGCTGGTCTTGAACTCGTGACTTCAAGTGATCCACCTGTCTCGGCCTCTCAAAGTGCTGGGATTACAGGCATGAGCCACTGCGCCCAGCCTGCTCTACACTTTGAGGCCTGCTTTCTGTTAGCTAAAATACAGAAAAGTCTTAGAAACATACTAGTATCAAATTGAGCTATTCTCCTTGGTGTAAGCAGATTAAAAGGGAACTGAAATGAGATTGATAGTTTCACTTCAAAATGCATCCCAGACCAGAGCTCTTCCTAACCTCAGCAGGGGTACCACCTTACTGCAAGTCCCCATTATCTCTCTCCTAGCTTTTAGCTACTCAAAATGTGGTCCAGGACCAGCAGCACTGGCATCACCTGGGAGCTAGTCAGAGATGCAGACTCCAGACGTAGACTCCAGGGGCAGGAGGCTGAGTTTTAACAACCCCTGCATGAAATGCTCATGCATGGTTAAAATTGAGAACCACTGCCCTAGATTACAACAACCTTCTAAGGGGTCTACATGATTCTATTCTGCCCACTACCCTGCATCCACCAACATGCCTTAGAGGTAGGAGGCAGGACTCAACTCCAGAGGTGGGGCTCAGACACCAGACCAAATTGAAGACTAGCTATAAAACAGGGCCCCTCTCCCTCCCCCTCCCCCTGCCCTCCCCCTCCCCCTCCCCCTCCCGTCTCCCTCTCCCGTCTCCGTCTCCCACTTTCCACGGTCTCCCTCTGATGCCAAGCCAAGGCTGGACTGTACTGCCACCATCTCGGCTCACTGCAACCTCCCTGCCTGATTCTCCTGCCTCAGCCTGCTGAGTGCCTGGGATTGCAGGCGCACACTGCCACACCTGACTGGTTTTTGTATTTTTTGGTGGAGACGGGGTTTCGCCATGTTGGCCAGGCTGGTCTCCAGCTCCTGACCGCGAGTGATCTGCCCGCCTGGGCCTCCCAAGGTGCTGGCACTGCAGATGGAGTCTCGCTCACTCAGTGCTCAGTGTTGCCCAGGCTGGAGTGCAGTGGCGTGATCTCGGCTCACTACAACCTCCACCTCCCAGCCGCCTGCCTTGGCCTCCCAAAGTGCCGAGATTGCAGCCTCTGCCCAGCCGCCACCCCGTCTGGAAAGTGAAGAGTGTCTCTGCCTGGCCACCCATCGTCTGGGATGTGAGGAGCCCCTCTGCCCGGCCGCCCAGTCTGGGAAGTGAGGAGCGCCTCTTCCCGGCCGCCGTCCTGTCTAGGAAGTGAGGAGCGTCTCTGCCCGGCCACCCATCATCTGAGATGGGGGGAGTGCCTCTGCCCCGCTGCCCCATCTGGGATGTGAGGAGCGCTTCTGCCCAGCCGCGACCCCGTCTGGGATCTGAGGAGTGTCTCTGCCTGACTGCCACCCCGTCTGGGAGGTGAGGAGTGTCTCTGCCCGGCCGCCCCGTCTGGGAAGTGAGGAGCGTCTCCGCCTGGCAGCCGCCCCGTCCAGGAGGTGGGGGGCAGCCCCCGCTCGGCCAGCCGCCCTGTCCGGGAGGGAGGTGGGGGCAGCCCCCGCCCGGCCAGCTGCCCCATCCGGGAGGTGGGGGGCGCCTCTGCCCCCCGCCCCGTCTGGGAAGTGAGGAGCCCCTCTGCCCGGCCGCCACCCCATCTGGGAGGTGTACCCAGCAGCTCATTGGGAACGGGCCATGGTGACGACGGCGGTTTTGTCAAGTAGAAAAGGGAGAAATGTGGGGAAAAGAAAGAGAGATCAGATTGTTGCTGTGTCTGTGTAGAAAGAAGTAGACATAGGAGACTCCACTTCGTTCTGTACTAAGAAAAATTCTTCTGCCTTGGGACGCTGTTAATCTGTAACCTTATCCCCAACCCCGTGCTCTCTGAAACATGTGCTGTGTCCACTCAGGGTTAAATGGATTAAGGGCGGTGCAAGATGTGCTTTGTTAAACAGATGCTTGAAGGCAGCATGCTCCTTAAGAGTCATCACCACTCCCTAATCTCAAGTACCCAGGGACACAAACACTGCAGAAAGCCACAGGGCCCTCTGCCTAGGAAAACCAGAGACCCTTGTTCACATGTTTATCTGCTGACCTTCCCTCCACTATTGTCCTATGACCCTGCCAAATCCCCCTCTGCGAGAAACACCCAAGAATGATCAATAAATACCAAAAAAAAAAAAAAAAAAAAAAAAAAAAAAAAAAAAAAAAAAAAAAAAAACAGGGCCAAAGTGGAAGCAGCTTTCCAACAGACACTCTCACCAGCGTGGCATGTCAGTTTACCATTGCCATGGCAACACCCAGGAGTTACTGCCCCTTTCCATGGCAATGACCCAACAACCCGGAAGTTACCAACTTTTTTCTAGAAATGTCTGCATAAATCCCCCCTTAATTTGCATATCATTAAAAGTGGGTATAAATATGACTGCAGAACTGCCTCTGAGCTGCTACTCTGGGCACACTGCCTATGGGGTAGCCCTGCTCTGTGAGGAGCAGTCCCTCTGCTGCTGCTGTGCACTGCTGCTTCAATAAAAGTGTCTAGGCCAGGCATGGTGGCTCACATCTGTAATCCCAGCACTTTGGGAGGGGGTGGATCACCTAAGGTCAGGAGTTCAAAACCAACCTGGCCAACATGGTGAAACCCTGTCTTTACTAAAAATACAAAAAAATATTAGCCAGACATGGTGGTGGGTGCCTGTAATCCCAGCTACTCTGGAGGCTGAGGCAGGACAATCACTTGAACCCAGGAGGCAGAGGTTGGAATGAGCAGAGATCTTGCCATTGCACTCCAGCACAGGTGACAAGAGTGAAAACTGTCTCAAAAAAATAAAAGTGTCCACCACCACCGCTCACCCTGGAATTCTTTCCTGGGTGAAGCCAAGAACCCTCCCAAGCTAAGCCCCAACTTTGGGGCTTACTTGTCCTGCATCACCTTCTCCACACAGCAGCCAGAGTCGTCTTTCTAAAAGCATAAATTTTACCATGTTGCTTCCCTGCTTAACCTCCATAGGCTTTCACTGGATTTAAAATAAAATCCAAACTTCTTCCTTTCCCTGCAAGAGTCAAGAGTTTCCCTCTCTGAAATCTATATCTTACCACCATCCTCCTTCATGCTATGCCCCAGACACTCCAGCCTTGTGCAAGTCCCTCACATTGCCCCAGGAACACTCCTTCCTCCGGGCCTTTGCAGGTATTGTTCTGTCAGCCTGGAAACCTACTCAGCCAGCACTCCCATCGTTCACTCCCTCATTGCATTGAGTCCCTAACCAAATCCTACCTCCTCAGAGGACAAGACCCTGACCACTCCCATCACAAGGATGACCCTCTTAGTGTGACTAGCTCATCCCAGTTTGTCCAGGGCTGCCCCAGCCTTAAAACTGAATGTCCCCAGCAAACTGGTGGTTGTCCACCCTGCAGTCCCCTCCACTCTCTGTGACATTGCCCTACTTTGTCCCCCATCATGTAGCATCTTCATATCTGTTCTTATTTGCTCTCCTGCTCCCTCACTAGAATCAGAACCCCATGAAGGGCAAGGAGTTCAAGATGTTCTGTTCACTGCTGTATTCCTGGCACCTAGAACAGTGCCTGGCACATAACTGGCACCTAATTCATATGATTGACAAAAATATCAAAAGAATGAGCACCGTGGCCTATTTAACCTATTGCTCACAGTTTAGTTGTTTCTCCTGTTTGGCAGCAATGCATAAGGCTCTCTCCAGATTTAAAATTATTTCCTTGGGCTAGATTGCCAAAAATTGACTTATTGGGCCAATGAGGATGCCCATGTTTAAGGTTTTGCTACCCAGTGTCAAACTGTTTCCCAAAATAATCAGATTTCCAATTCCCACTGCCAGGGTTCTTGCACCTATTTCATTCCACCAAGGCCAAAGCCAGGATTCTCATTTTCAGAATCTTTATGAGGTGAAAATATAACGGTTTGTTGTTTTAATTTGCATTTCTTTGATTACTAGTTAGGCTGACTTTTCCCATGTGCTTAGCTAATTGCATTTTCTCTTTAGTGAGTTGACGGTTCGCACCCCTTTGCTTGTTTTTCTACCCAGATTCAGGGACTTGTCTTAGTGATTTGTTTGAATTCTTTGAAACATAATTATGTTAGCCCTTTCCCTTCACACATTGAAGACTTCATTCTATGAATTTTCTGGTCTCTTGTCAATTGTGTCCCTTCCATATTTCCTTACACCTTTTTACATGTTTACACCTCATTTTGCACTTCTCTTTTCACTTATCTCTTTTAGTTTTTTTTGGGTTTTTTTGGGTTTTTTTTAGAAACACAAGGTCTTGTTCTGTCACCCAAGCTGGAGTGGCACCATCAAAGCTCACTGCAGCCTCAAACTTCAAACTGCTGGGCATAAGCAATCCTCCCACCTCAGCCTCCCAAATAGCTGGAACTGCAGGTGTGCGCCACCACATCAGGCTAATTTTTTGTTTTTATTTTTGCAGAAACAGGGTCTCCCTATGTTGCCCATGGTGGTCTCAAACTCCTGGCCTCAAGTGATCCACCCGCCTCAGCCTCAAAAAGTGCTGGGATTACAAGCATGAGCCACTGTGCCTGGCCCAGATTTTCTTTCATAGTCAGTTATTGAACAGGTGCTTAGAGAAACTGTCTTATGGTTTTCCGTCTCATTCAGAGGAAGACATTTTTCTCACAATCATCTATAAGGCCTTTCATGACCTCTCCCTTACCCCCACCCATAGGACCTCTTTGACCTCAGTTCCTGTCTTTCTGCCCCTGGATCTCCCTGCTGTGACCTTTCTGGCCTCCCCGCTGGTCCTCAAACACAGACACTCATTGTACTCTCTCCTCAGAGCCTTTGCACTAACATTTCCTCTCCCTGGAAGGTTCTCTCCCCAGGTGTCTATCCGTCACTTCCTTCAGGTCCCTACTCAAAAGTCACATCAATAAGTTCTTCTGGGAAGGCGTGGTGGCTTGTGCCTGTAATCCCAACACTTTGGGATGCTGAGGCGGGAGTATCACTTGGGCCTAGGAGGTTGAGACCAGCCTGAGCAACATAGCAAGACCCTGTCTCTACAAAAAAAGAAAATAGCCGGGTGTGATGGCACACACCTGTAGTCCCAGCTACTCAGGAGGCTGAAGTGGGAAGTTCACTTGAGCCCACAGTTCAAGGATGCAGTGAGCTATGATTGTACCACTGCCCTCCAGCCTGGGTGACAGAGTGAGACCCTGTCTCTAAAAACAAATAAATAAATAAGCTATTTCCTGGCCACCTTATCTAAAATCTCTGTTCCTGTGGTAGACAGAATAATTCACAACTACCCCCTCCCCAAATATGTCCACATGCTGATACCCAGAACCTGTGAATGTTACTTTACATGGTAAAAAGGAGGTTGCAGATGTGATTAAAGTAAGGATTTTGAGATGAGGAGATTATCCTAGATTATCTGTATGGCTCAATCTAATTGCAAAGGCTCTTATAAAAGGGAAGCAAGAGGGTCAGAGACTGAGGAGTGATGTAGATCAGAATGACGTAGGGCCATGATCCAAGGAATGCAGGAAGCCTCTAGAAACCAGAAAAGGCAAGGAAATGGTTTCTCCCCTAGAGCTTCCCGAAGAAATACAGCCCTGCTGATCCATTTTAGAGTTCTGACCTCCAGAACTATAAGATAACACATATGGGTTGTTTAAAGCCCCTAGATTCATGCTGTAATTTGTTATAGCAGAAAAAACTAGGAAACCAATATCCCTAACATCCCCTCATCCTCCTTCTCTGCTTTGTTTATCCTTAGCTTTCACAGCTCTCTAAGTTCCTATAATATTATCTATTTCTTTTTTACTTTTTCCTACCGCAGTAGAATCTCAGCTCCACGAGGGCAGGGGCTTTTGTCTGTTTTGTTCACTGTTATATCTCCAGTACCTTGGACAGTGCTTGGCACACTTAGGTGCTCACTGTGCTGAGTGAATGGATAAAGGCAGGAGAATGAAGGAACCTTTTGCTTTCTTTTTATTTCGAGATGGAGTCTTGATCTGTCACCCAGGCTGGAGTGCAGTGGCGTAATCTCAGCTCACTACAACCTCCACCTCTTGGGTTCAAGCGATTCTCCTGCCTCAGCCTCCGGAGTAGCTGGGATTACAGGTGCCTGCCACTACGTTCCACTAATTTGTTAATTAGTGGGGTGTGGTGGTGCATGCCTGTAGTCCCAGCTACTCAGGAGGCCGAGGCAGGAGGGCCACTTGAGCCCACGAGGTTGAGGCTGTGGTGAACTATGATTGTGCCACTGTACTCCAGCCTGGGCAAGAGAGTAAGAGCCTGTCTTTAAAAAAGGAGAGAACTAGCTGGGCGCAGTGGCTCATGCCTGTTACCCCAGCACTTTGGGAGGCTGAAGTGGGAAGATCACCTGAGGTCAGGAGTTCGAGACTAGCCTGGCCAACATGGTGAAACCCCGTCTCTACTAAAAATACAAAAATTAGCTGAGCATGGTGGCGGGTGCCTGTAATCCCAGCTACTCGGGAGGCTGAGGCAGGAGAATCCCTTGAACCTGGGAAGCAAAGATTGCAGTGAGCCGAGATTGGGCAATTGCACTCCAGCCTGGGCGACAAGAGCTAGACTCCCCATCTCAAAAAATAAATAAATAAATAAAAATAAAAAATAAAAAAGGAGAGAACTGAACTGACATTGTTGAATACCTATTGTGTGCCAACACTACACTTCAGATATTCAATCTCACTGGAACTTCGCAACTAGTCTGCAAGATGGGCATTATCGACACCCACTGCTCCACTGCCCTGAACTGCCCTTCCCTGATTAGGGAAGCCAGTTTCCCTACTGGGAGTGGGAAATGTCTAACAGAAACCCTTTGGGAAAACCCCACCATGCATTTCAGTTACCTTCAAAGACATCCACCTGGGAGGCTGTCTGCTGGCTCTTCCTGCTCATTTTTCTTCTCCCTGACCTCCTTCTTTCCCTCCCACTCTCTCCTCCTCTCCTTTGCCCTCTCTTTCCCCCTTCTCATCCTTTTCCAGGAAATCCTGGAGCCACTTCGCCAGTCTGTTCAGATCCTGCCAAAGTCTTGTCTCAGAGATTTTTTAACACAGGAAAATCTGTGTTTTCCCCCACAGGAATGGGTGATGGCAGATGGCTGCACAGATCCACTCTGAAAAGGGGAGGGCCACCTCCCACAGGCCCCGCCACGTCTAGACTCCAGCTTCCTGAGACATGAATCAGAGGAACTCAGCAATGGAACTCCCAGAAAAATCCATCTGATAACTTCAGCTTTCAAGATGTTCTTGCAGAAGATGGGGACAGAGCTCTGGACTTACCCAAATACCGTGGTAGAAAGTCTAAAAGACTGGGTTCACAGGGCTAGGCATGGTGGCTCACAACTGTAATCCCAACATTTTGGGAGACAGAGGTGGGAGGATCACTTTGCCACAGGAGTTTGAGGCCAGCTAGGCAATATAGTGAGACCCCCATCTCTACAATAAAAATCTAAAAATTAGCCAGGCATGGTTGTGTGCACCTGTAGTCCCAGCTCCTCAGGAGGCTGAGGCAGGAGAATCGCTTGAGCCTAGGGTGTTGAGGCTGCAGTGAGCTATGATCACACCACTGCATCCCAGCCTGGGTGACAGAGCAAGACCCTGATATAGATAGATAGATAGATAGATAGATAGATAGGTAGATAGATAGATAGATAGATAGATAGATAGATAGATAGATAGATAGGGAGACTGGGTTCACATCCTGACCCCAGCTCATAACTTCATGACTTCAGGCAAGTGGCTTAATTGCTCTGAGTCCAATTTCTTCATCTGTAAAATGAATGTAATGATTCTTTCTGGAAAGGTCACCACAAGGATTAATAAAAACATCACTAGCACCATGTCTTGCATACAGTAAATGCTCAATAAGTGGTAACAATAATCAGTGATCTGTCAACTCCTTGAGGTCAAAGACCGTGGCTGAGAATGTCTCATTCCCAGCCTGTATTAGTCAGGGTTCTCTAGAAGGACAGAACTAATAGGATATATGTGTATATGAAAGGGAGTGTATTAAGGAGAATTGACTCACACAATCACAAGGTAAAGTCCCACGATAGGCCGTCTGCAAGTTGAGGAGCAAGGAAGCCAGTAGTGGATCAGTCCAAGTCCCAACACCTCAAAAGTGGGGAAGCAGACGGTGCAGCCTTCCGTCTGTGGCCTAAGGTCCGAGAGCCCCTGGCAAACACTGGTGTAGGTCTAAGAGTCCAAAAACTGAAGACTTTGAGTCTTATGTTGGGCAGGAAGCATCCAGCATGGGAGAAAGATGAAGGCCAGAAGACTCAGCAAGTCAAGTCCTTCCATGTCCATCTTCCTGCTTTTATTCTGGCCATGCTGGTAGCTGATTAGATGGTATCCACCCAGATTGAGGGTGGGTCTGCCTTTCCCAGTCCATTGACTCAAATGTTCATCTCCTTTGGCAACACCCTCACAGACACCCAGGAACAATACTTTGCATCCTTCAATCCAATCAAGTTGACACTCGGTATTAACCATCACACAGTCCCATCCCCAGTGCTCAGAGTTTTGTAGATTCTGAATAAGTATTGGTAATATATACACATTCATCTTTTTCTTTAAATACATATAATGATGCTGAGCTCCCTCCAGACAAATGAGAACTGATGTGTTGCTTCTTAGGTGCCAGGACCGGGATGAGGGAGAGGCAAGTGAGACATTCTCCCCGGGAGCAAAATTTAAGGAGGCACCAAACACCCAGTCATCAAGATAAATAACACTTGGATGCAATATGTTTAAAAACGAAAAAGAATGAAAAAATTAATGCAAAATTAATGCAAAAATACCCATGATAAACAAATATCACAGTCTTCAGGAAATGATTGGTATTACTAACTTTTCCTTTGGCCCCTGGCACCAGAGTGCCAGGCATCATTGAAGTGCTTTTAAAATACAAACTCATTCTTTTTTCTTCTTCTTCTTTTAAGACAGGGTCTCACTACATCACCCAGGTTGGAGTGCAGTGGCTCACTGCAGCCTCAAACTCCTGGGCTAAGTGATCCTCCCACCTCGGCCTCCTGAGGAGCTGGGACTACAGGTGGATTCCACCATGCCCAGTTAAGTTTCTTTTTTTTTTTTTTTTTTTGAGATGGAGTCTCTCACTCTGTCACCCAGGCTACAGTGCAATGGCATGGTCTCGGCTCACTGCAACCTCTGCCTCCCAGGTTCAAGCGATTCTCCTGCCTCAGCCTCCTGAGTAGCTGGGACTACAGGCACGTGCCACCACACCCGGTTAATTTTTCGGCTAATTTTTGTATTTTTAGTAGAGACGGGTTTCACTATGTTGGCCTGGCTGGTCTCAAACTCCTGACCTTGTGATCCACCTTCCTCGGCCTCCCAAAGTGCTGGGATTACAGGCATGAGCCACTGCACCCACCCATTCAATCCTTATAACAAGGCTGCAATGTAGCCATTTTTTCAGATGAGGAAAGGGAGGCCCAGGGAAGTGAGATAACTTGCCCAAGGTCATTCAGCTTGTAAGTGGCAGAGCTTGGACTTGAACCCAGGCAGTCTTCATTCAGAGTCCAGGTTCCTAACCACTCTCCTGTGGCTGTGTGTGATATATCTCTGCCCAAAGGGTCCTGTGTCAGTACATCCTAGGCTCTGACCAAAGCTTTGGTGTTTGAGCAGTACCCTCGTCTTTCATTC
Organism: Homo sapiens; assembly: GCF_000001405.40. Lineage (NCBI taxonomy): Eukaryota > Metazoa > Chordata > Mammalia > Primates > Hominidae > Homo > Homo sapiens. The sequence goes on along the minus strand of NC_000016.10, from coordinate 16,610,899 downwards.
AAATTGCAGACATGCAGGGGCCCCTGCCATGCTCCAGCCCCTGGGCTGGACTCTGCAGACAGAGAAATAGCTACAAAACAGCACCTGTTCTTAGACGCGCCAGTGTCTCACATGACAAGTGTAGGGCTCCTGTCGACTGCTCTCAGAGACCTGGACAAGTGGTCTGTGAGGCTAGAGGAGGACATGACTAATTCTGCTTTAGCCAGGAGGTCCCTTGAAATTCAGAGGAGCTTTCCGGCTTCCCCATTCTGTGACAACTGACGCACTTTTGAGAGATGAGTAAGAGGTTGTCAGCCAGAGAAGACAAAACAGTGCTGTCCCCATTTGACAAAGACGGAAACTCAGCTCCAAGGCACACCACTTAAGTGTGCCTCGAGTGACACTGTGACGACCTCTCCATGTTTACTTCCAGTTCATTGTGGGTGGCTAACTGGCCCTCAACTCTTCAATCAAGACCCTGAATGAACGGCACAAAATGATGCTTAAGAGCATTAAGTCAGAGAGCTATGAACCCAATCCACACTCAGCACTTTTTAAACTGGGTGACCTGAAGCAAGCCACATAGTCTCTCTGAGCCTGTTTCTTCATCAGTATAATAGGGACAGGGATGCTGACCCCACAATCGTTTTGGGGATTAAATAAAATAAAGTACTTAGCAGAGTTCCAGAGAAATGGAAAGCACTCAATATGTGGTAGATACACATTTATCACAAATACACAAAAACCCATTAGTTTCAAAAATGGGTTGCAAGCCAGGCACGGTAGCTAAAGCCCCATCTCCTCAAGAGGCTGAAGAGAGAGGATCACTTGAGCCCAGAAGTTTGAGTCCAGCCTAGGCAACACGGCGAAACATAGTCTCAAACAAAAAAAAAAAAAAAAGGAAAAAAATGGGTTGCAATGTAACCTGTGCTTATACAACAGTCCAGCAACTCAGTCCCTTGATGAGAAAGTGAAATTGCCTGTTGGATGTAAGCAGCAGTAAGCTCGTTGAGAAATTCAAGCACAAATATGGCATTCACCTGAAAAGCTAGGGCAGCTAAGGTCGCACATTAGAATCACCTGTGCGCACTCCCAGGGAGTATGTTTTCATTGGACTGGAGGAGGCTCAACTGCATTGTTTTGTAAAGTTTTCCCAGGCGATTCCATAGGCAGCTAGGGGTGAGAGCGCCCCAGAGAATGGGAGGGAAGAAATTACTCTGGGGCAGAGGTTCTGACAGAGGGCAGGAGCCGGTAATGACCTGGTAACAGATTTATGGATGTCCACTTGAACTAATGCTCATCACAACACCTTCCTGTTTCATGCATTTCTTTTTCTTTTTTTTTTTTTTTTTTTTAATTTGAGACAGAATCTTGCTCTGTCGCCCAGGCTGGAGTGCAGTGGCGTGATCTCAGTTCACTATAACCTCTGCCTTCCAGGTTCAAGCAATTCTCCCTGCCTCAGCCTCCTGAGTAGCGGGGATTACAGGCGCCCACCACCATGCCCAGCTAACTTTTGTATTTTTTAGTAGAGACGGGGTTTCGCCATGTTGGCCAGGCTGGTCTCAAACTCCTGACCTTAGGTGATCTGCCCACCTTGTCCTCCCAAAGTGCTGGGATTACAGGCGTGAGCCACTGTGCCCAGCCTGTTTCATGCATTTTCTATGTGAATATTCTATATCATCATCTTAGGTTTTTACCGTGGGGAATTTGAAACATATACTAAGTAAACAGTATACTGTGTACTGTGTCTGCCTGGGTCGTGACACAGTTCCCCATACCATCAACTCACAGTCATTCGTGCTGTGTCCAAACGTCAAGACTTTGTCTAGCTCCACCAGTATTTTAAAACAAATGCGAGCATGAAATCATTTTATCTCTAAGTATTTTCATGTGTAACTCTAAAAGAAAAGGGTTTTTTTTTTTCTCTGAAACAGAGTTTCATTCTTGTTGCCCAGACTGGAGTGCAGTGGCAAGACCTCGGCTCACTGCAACCTCTGCCTCCCAGGTTCAAGCAATTCTCCTGCCTCAGCCTCCTGAGTAGCTGGGATTACAGGCACCTACTACCACGCCTAGCTAATTTTGTATTTTTAGTAGAGACGGGATTTCACCATGTTGGCCAGGCTGGGCTTGAACTCCTGACTTCAGGTGATCCACCCACATCAGCCTCCCAAAGTGCTGGGATTACAGGCATGAGCCATCGCGCATGGCCAAAAGGGCTCTTTTTTTTTTTTTTTGAAATAAAACCTCCCTATCACCTAGGAAATGAATAATTCCTTAATATCTGCAAATGTTCAAATCTCAAATTATCTCATAGATAACTTCTTAACTCTCTCAGGATTTAAATAAGGTCTGCATATTGGCATTTGGCTTCTTTGTCTTCTAAGTCTCATATGTATGTTCAATTTCAGTGCCTCTCACACATCAATATGCATATGAATTCCTGATGATCTGGTTAAAATGCAGATTCTAACTGAGTAGGTCTGGGGTGGGGCTGGAGTTCTGTATCTCTGACACATTCCCAGCAGATGATGCTGTGATGCTGGTGCATGGACCATACCCTAAACAGCATAATTCTACTTCATGATAAACGAAAATCTTTTTTTTTTTTTTTTTTTTTTTTTGAGATGGAGACTCACTCTGTTGCCCAGGCTGGAGTGCAATGGTGTGATCTCAGCTCACTGCAACCTCTGCCTCCCGGATTCAAATGATGATCGTGCCTCAGCCTTCTGAGTAGCTGGGATTACAGGCATACACCACCATGCCAAGCTAATTTTGTATTTTTAGTAGAGACAGGGGTTTCTCCATGTTGACCAGGATAGTCTGGAACTCCTGACCTCAAGTGATCTGCCAGCCTCGGCCTCCCAAAGTGCTGGGATTATAGGAGCAAGCCGCCATGCCTGGCCCACAATAAAAGAAAATCTTCTATTAAAAAAAGGAATGTTGACATCTTGTGGTGGTAGGGGGCCAGCTTGGTATAAAATCCTGGAAGGCAAGCTGCTGCTGGCTGGGAAGGGGCCTCGCCTTCCCCTGAATTGCAGTTGCTAATCACACCTGCTATGGGTATTTAAATGTAAAAGGCAACACCTGACCCTCCAGAATTGGTACCTGACACCCTGGCCACTCGAGAGTTTATCCCTGCAGGGTCTGGCCATCCCAAAACCAGAGGCCCCCTTGTCAAGATCCTCAGAACCTCTGGAAGTGCATTGATTTGTTCAGTTTCTGGCAGGCAGACAGAAACACAAGCTGCAGAAATAAGGCAGTTACCTTTTCTCACAGTTATAGGTTTAATTAAAAAGCCCCATGCTGCCAGATTCCAAGCACCCTCCACTGATCTGCGAGACCTATTGATTGCCTAGCTCTCCCTGCGAGACTTAGCAGAGAGAAGACTTTATCTTCCTTTAATCAGACCTGCTTCCTTCCAATCTGGCTCCAACAGGACTGCTGAGTTCTTGTGTAGAACGCTTCCATGGCCCCACCTTCATCCAGCCCCGAATACAGTGGGTAGAGCCAGCATCAGCTACAGAGAGCTGTGATCTGTGCTCGCAGTGTAGCCGGAGAGATGGCATCATCATCATCATCACCGTGGCCAGCACAAATGGAACATACACCACGTACCAGGTGCCGAGCTGATACTTCAAATACATTCTCTCGTCTTATGCATCAATATTGTTCATTTCTGTCTGTATTATTACCTAATTGCCCTATTTAATGTCACCTGCACCAGGCATTTGTTCCCTTTCATATCACCTGTACTATTTTCTTCATTGCCCTTAGTATTATCTGAAACCGTTATTTACTTATCTGCCTCATTATTCATTGTCTCTGCCCCCGAACTGTAAACTCCAGAGGGGCAAGGATTTTGCCCTTCTCATTCGGTCCAGCATCCTGGCACCGAAAATGGCCCTGAGCACATCAAAAGTTCTCTACAAATGTGTGTTGAATTTGATTTGTCACATTTACTCTTCCCAGCACCCTAGGAGCTCACTGTCTTACATGCATTTTACAGTTGAGGAAACTGAGACTCAGGAAAGAAAAGGAATTTACCCAAATGCACCCACACAGGAAGCTATAGAGCAGAGATTGAAACCCATGTCTAGCCTGGGATGGTGGTTTATGCCTGTAATCCCAGCATTTTGGGAGTCTGAGGCAGAAAGATCACCTGAGCTCAGGAGCTCAAGACCAGCCTGGACAACACAGTGAGACTTCGTCTCTACAAAATAAAAATTTTTAAAAAGCCACAAAAAAGCAGGGCACAATGGCTCACACCTGTAATCCTAGCAGTTTGGGAGGCCAAGGAGGGGAGGGGGCATATCACCTGAGGTCAGGAGTTCGAGACCAGCCTGACCAACATGGTGAAACCCTGTCTCTACTAAAAATGCACAAATTAGCTGAGCGTGGTAGCACATGCTGTAATCCCAGCTACTCAGGAGGCTGAAGCAGGAGAATCGCCTGAACTCGGGAGGTGGAGGTTACGGTGAACCGAGATCGTGCCACTGCACTCCAGCCTGAACGACGAGCAAGACTCCGTCAAAAAAAAAAAAAAAACTCACAAAAAAGAAAGAAACTCAAGTCTATATAACTCTAGCAAGGGCCAGTAACCTGCAATCAATGAACTCAATGAACTCGGAAGAAAAAATAGACCTCTTAATTTTACTAACATCAAACTGCAATGTAGCAATTCTTTCCATTATGAGTGTAGGCAGCAAACTGCCGTCGTGTCAACAGAACCTGTAACTTTGTCACCAACAGGAATCACAGATATTTTCATGTCCTGTTACATTTGTTGCAAAGATGTTGGAATATCATTTACACTCATCACTGCTTTAAACTGCAATCGTAATAATGTTGCCAACCCACCATCAGATCGCCTTATTTGGTGTGTTAATAAAGAGGCATGGGTATTGCTATATCACAGTTTGGCTTTGTAATATTTTTGTAATAATTTTGTAATATTTATATCAGCTGTATTTCCATATAATCAGTTGTCTTCACAAGCCTTTGGATTTCATATTTAGAAACATTGCTCAGAGGCTGGGAGCAGTGGCTCACACCTGTAATCCCAGTGCTCTGGGAGGCCAAGGCAGGCAGATCACTTGAGGCCAGGAGTTCAAGACCAGCCTGGCCAACATGGTGAAACCCTATCTCTACTGAAAAACACAAAAATTAGCTGGGCGTGGTGGTGCATGCCTATAGTCCCAGCTACTTGGGAGACTGAGGCAGGAGAAGCACTTGAACCTGGGAGGCGGAGGTCAGTGAGCTGAGATGAAGCCACTGCACTCCAGCCTAGGTGACAGAGGGACACAGGGACACTCCGTCTCTAAAAAAAAAAAAAAAAAAAAAAGGCCGGGCGAGGTGGCTCACGCCTGTAATCCCAGCACTTTGGGAGGCCAAGGCGGGTGGATCACCTGAGGTCAGCTGTCTGAGACCAGCCTGGCCAGCATGGTGAAACCCCATCACTACTAAAAATACAAAAATTAGCCGGGCGTGGTGGCAGGCACCTGTAATCCCAGCTACTCAGGAGACTAAGGCAGGATAATCACTCGAACCCAGGATGTAGAGGTTGCAGTGAGCCAAGATCATGCCACTGCACTCCAGCCTCAGTGACAGAGCGAGACTCTGTCTCAAACAAAAAATGAAAGAAAAGAAAAGAAAGAAAAGAGAAGAAAAAGAAACATTGCTCTGAGAAGGGTAATAGGCTTCCCCAGATACCAACAGGGCCCACAGTGCAGAAACTATTCAGGACTGGGCTCTAACGCCCATGCTCAGACCACAGGCTGCAAGTAACGTGTGGCTCAGACAGAAGAGAAACATGAAAATGACCGCAGGTGAGTTTCCAGCTCTCCTCCCTCCAAGGGCAGGGATGCTGAGGCTCAGTGTGGGGATGTGACCTGGGAGGACACATAGCAAGGTAGAACCTGGGTCTGAACTGGACTCCGAATTGTCCCATTAGCAGCCTGGCACCTTTTCAGCTGCACCAAGCTGCCACCTAAGGACACAAAGCATTCCAAGCTCAGACGTTTGTGGGCTGTAGCCCATGGTGATGAGCCACTTGGAGGCAGTTTGTGCAGTGGAGAACGCTCTGGTTCACTGACCTGCAGTGACTGGTAGTCACTTGTTCACACAAAACAGTCATTATTCGCTCACACACTGCCAGCAGGATGTAGATCAGTTCAGTCACCTTGAAAGGCAATTGGGCAGAGCCTGGTAAAACACGGGGTTGGGTTCTTCTTTTGGCCCAGTCATTGCAACACCAACATCCCCAATGTACACCCCAGAACAGCAGGTCTCAACCCTGAATGCACATTTAGAAGCACCCTGGAGCTTCTAAAACTGCCGATGCCTACCCTGAACCATTCAATTAAGAATTTGGGGAAAGGCAGAGAGTTGGTGTGATTGTTAAAAAAAAAACGTTCAGGTGATTCTGTCTGCAGCCAAGTTGAGAACTACTGGCCTCAGGAAACACTTCACGGTAGTACACAGAGGCCTACGCGGTGCACGCACTGAAGTGCTATTTTCAATAGCAAGGCAGTAGACACAACACAAATGCCCATCAACACAGAAATAGCTTGAGAAAACAAAAGGCAATTAATAACATAGTGAGATGCTATGCAGAAGGCAGGAGGAATTAACTAGCTCTCTATGTATCAGCGAGGATTGGTCTCAGAAACACAGTGTTGAGTGAAAAAAATTCAAGTTGCAAACTATACACATAGCGTGCTATATCTTGAGGTTTTCAGAACAAAACTAAAGATGCATACAAATGGATGCAGAAGTATTTGAAGGTCCTTAAGGATACACGATGTTCATAAAAACAAGGGCTGGCCGAGCGTGATGGCTCACGCCTGTAATCCCAGCACTTTGGGAGGCCAAGGCAGAAGGATCACTTGAGGCCAGGAGTTCAAAACCAGCCTGACCATCATGGTGAAACCCTGTCTCTACTAAAAATACAAAAAATTTAGCCAGTCATGGTGGCACATGCCTGTAATCCCAGCTACTCAGGAGGCTGAGGCAGGAGAATCGCTTGAACCCAGGAGGCGGAGGTTGCAGTAAGTTGGTATCATGCCACTGCACTTCAGCCTGGGAGACAGAGCAAGACTCTGTCTCAAAAAAATAAAATAAAATAAAATAAAAAAGCGACAAGGTGCAGGAACTTGGTGTGATCACTAAAAGGACTTGAGTTTTCCTTTTTTTTTTTTTTTTTTTTTTTTGAGATAGGATCTCACTCTATTGCCCAGGTTGGAGTGCAGTGGTGCAATCATGGCTCACTGCAGCCTCGAACTCCTGGGCTCCAGCCATCCTCCCACCTCAGCCTCCCAAGTAGCTGGGACTAGAGGCATGCCCCACTAAACCTGGCCCAGTTTTGCATTTTTTTAAAAAGGCAAAATACGTATATTTTTTACAGAAGGAATTAAAATTGATTCTAAACATTAGTATTTTTAAAAATATCCCAGCGCTTTCTATGTATTATTGTACTAGGCTCAGGAGAAATGAACTGGAATGGAAGACTTCAAGAGAGATACAGTCCAGAGGAGGATAAAGACAATGCTACCAGAATACAGCATTTTAGCTGGTGATGAGAAAGAGCTGCGGAAGATCTAAGAAGCAGCTCCTAGGCCAGGTGCGGTGGCTCATGCCTGTAATCCCAGCACTTTGGGAGGCCGAGGTGGGCAGATCACTTGAGCCCAGGAGTTTGAGACCAGACTGTGCAACGTGGCAAAACCTCCATCTCTGCAAAAAATACAAAAAATTAGCTGGGCACAGTGGCATGCACTCACTGCACACAGTGGTATCCAGCTCCTCAGGAGGCTAGGGTGGGAGGATCACTTGAGCCCAGGAGGTTGAGGCTGCAGTGAGCCACGATCACACTACTGCACTCCAGCCTGGGTGACAGAATGAGACCCTGTCTCAAAAAGAAAGAGAGAGAGAGGGGAAAGAAGGAGGAGGAGGAGGAAGGGAGGCAGGGGAGGGGAGGGAGGGAGGGAGAGAGAGAGAGGGAGAGGAGAGAGAAAGAAAGAGGATGGATGGAAGGAAGGAAGGAAGAAAGGGAGGGAGGGAGGGGAAGAAAGCATCCCATGCACAGGAAATAATAAGGTCAAAATCCTAGAGTGCAAAATGAGGGCAGCAGCCCCATGGCATTCTTAGGTCACTGGTCCTTCCTTTTGCCTGGAGAAAATGGTGAACAGTGAGGCTGAGAAGTGGGCAGGGGCCAGATGGTTGTGGGATCTCTTGAGCCATGTTAAGGATTTTGGTCTTCATCCTCAAGGGAATGGGACCGCTGCAGTGTGTTATGCAGGGAACTGTCACCATTACATGTATGCTCCCGGGTAGAGGCAAAGGGAAGGGAATAAGAGACAGAGCAGAAGCTAAGCAGCGTCTGTGGTCACCAGGTGAAAGCAGGGGGTGGCAGTGGGAGTGGAGAGAAGTGGACAGAGCTGACAGATGCTTTAGAGGCAAAACTGACACACTTGGTGACAGGTTCAAAGTGAGGAGTAAGTAACGAGTCCAAGAAGATACCCCTCAACTAGGCACTTCTGGCCCCCAGGGGTCCAGCCAGACCTCTGGTGGTCCAAGCCCAGGTCTGCATCCCTCTAGATTGTCTCCGGTCCAGAACAAAACTCTGGCTAAACAATGAACCTTCCACATGCCTGTAATCCCAGCATGTTGGGAGGCCAAGGTGGGAGGATCGCTTGAGCTCAGGAGTGTGAGACTAGCCTGGGCAACATAGTGAGACCCCCGTCTCTACAAAAAATAAAAAAATTAGCCAGGCATGGTGGCACATGCCTGTAGTCCCACCTACCTGGGAGAATGAGATGGAAGGATAGCTTGAGCCTGAGAGGTCAAGGCTAGAGTGAGCCGTGAGCACGCCACTGCACTCCAAGTCTGGGTGACAGCGTGAGACCCTGTCTCAACAAAAAAAGAATGAGCTTTTCAGTCGGGTGCAGTGGCTCACACCTGCATTCCCCACTACTTGGGAGACTGAAGTGGAAGGATCACTTAAGCCCAGGAGTTTGAGACCAGCCTGGGCAACATAGCGCAGAAAAACATCATCTCTTAAAAAAAAAAAAAAAAAAATTTAAAGGGATGGAGCCTTTCGGTAAGGAGGGTCATCTGAGTTCCAGCACATCTCAAAACAAAAATCAAAATGATACCCTTGGCTCACCACATCCAAGTCTCTTGTGCCCCAACAGTCATTATCCTGTTATGGCGCCCAGTGACAATTAGTGAGAAATTGTATGGACAGCTCCCGATTAGATGTAACACCCCTGACACGCAGCATCGTGAATCAATTACTCTGAGTAACTCAAGTCTAACACTCTGACACTCCGCCCCCCAGGAAAGTGCCTCCTTCTTTCCACACACACTTCTTTCTTCCCAATGAATAAATTGAGAGCTGTTTGTTTACAGAGACAAGGTTATTTTCATTCGTGACTGAAGAAGCAGCTCTGCTCACCCTGTTAGCTGTGAGTCACAGTTGATTCCCTCAAGGATGGGACTGAGTTGGGATGAAGGGCCCCAACCTCCCCAGGTACTGGTCCCAGTCATTGCCCAAGGAGTGGACTGTCTTACCCTGGGTCCTGGGGACCCACGAAGCCAGAGCTCCTCAGAACAGGGCTCCCAACATAGCTCCAGGGAGTGAACCCCCATCCTTCATTCAAGAGCAAATCCTGACCGCCTGCTCCATACCAGGCTCGGTTCTGGAAACCCCCATCCACATGGAGGAGGGAGATACACAAGAAACAGAGATATGTAGCATGAAGATGATGAGAAGTTCTGTGGGGGAAAAAAAAAAAAAGCAAAGACATGAAGAGGCATTCCTGGGAGGAGATGGGATAGAGGGAGCATTGCAAATGTAAATGGCATCATCAAGGATGTCTGGCTGAGAAGGTCACATTGGAGAAAAGTCTCAGCGGGGCACCGTGGCGCATGCCTGTAATCACAGCACTTTGGGAGGCTGAGGCAGGCAGATCACTTGAGGCCAGGAATTTGAAACTAGCCTGGCCAACATGGCAAAACCCCATCTCTACTAAAAATACAAATATTAGCCGGGCATGGTGGCATGCGCCTGTAACCCCCGCTACTCAGGAGGCTGAGGCAGAAGGATCACTTGAACCCAAGAGATGGAGGTTGCAGTGAGGCAAGATCACACCACTGAACTCCAGCCTGGGCAACAGAGTGAGACTCCATCTCCAAAAAAAAAAAAAAAAGAGAGAGAGAGAGAGAGAGAAGCCTGAAGGCAGTAAGGGAGCAAGTCGTGGGGATGTCTGGGAAGGGCACGGAAGAGAGCAAAGGCAAGTGTCCTGGGGCAGGAGTGGCCAGCGTTTTGGAGCCGCAGCCAGGGGACCAGTGAGGCTGGGGAAGAATGAGCAAGGCAGGAACAACAGGAGATGAGGTCAGAGAGGCCACAGGGCGGGGTAGCAGGGGAGGGAGGGCAGAGGGCCTGGGGCCTTTTAGGACATTGAGAAAACTTTGGCTTTGACGCTGAAAGAATTTAAAAGATCAGCCTGGCAAGGTGGCTCCTGCCTGTAATCCCAGCATTTTGGGAGGCCGAGGTAGGAGGATTGCTTGAGGCCAGGAGTTCAAGACCAGCCTAAGTGAGACTCCATCTCTACACTTTTTTTTTTTTTTTTAACTTAGCCTGGTATAGTGGCTTGTGCCTGTAGTCCCAGCTGCTCAAGAGGCTGAGGCAGGAGGACTGCTTGAGCCTGGGAGGTCGAGGCTGCAGTGAGCTACGATCACACCACTGTACTCCAGCCTGTGTGATAGAGCAAGACCCTGTCTCAAAAAAAGAAAAGAAATCACTCCAGCTGCTATTGCTGCTGATGATAATTATGATGCAGTTGTGATGGGCTTTGCTGCTGTCACGCTGGAGTTTTGGTCTGCTTTTCTTTTTTTATGCCAGTCCAACATCTCATCTCTTCCTCTTTTACCCTGGTGGCTCCTCTGGGAGTTCCCCATTATAAACACCACAATGAGGGGATGGTGGCCTCCTCCTCCACTAGGAAACCCTCAGTGGGCTGGGTGCAGTGGCTCACGCCTGTAATCTCAACACTTTGAGAGGCCGAGACGGGTGGATCACTTAAGGTCAGGAGTTCAAGACCAGCCTGGTCATCATGGTGAAACCCCGTCTCTACTAAAAATACAACAATTAGGCAAGCATGGTAGCACGCACCTGTAATCATAGCTACTGGGGAGGCTGAGGCAGGAGAATCACTTGAATCCGGGAGGCGGAGGTTGCAGTGAGCTGAGATCACACCACTGCACTCCAGCCTGCGTGACAGAGCGAGACTCTGTCTCAGAAAAAAGAAAATGGAAACCCTAAGTGGCCAGGCCTCCCTCCCTGCACCCCAGCCTGAAGGTCATGTGGCTTGGTTGAACCAATGAGCTGCTCTCCTCAGACTCTGCATCATGAGCGGTGATCCCAGCAAGGGGCCGCAGGAGGGCCTATCCACATGGTAGCCATGGGGGTTTTAGGACCGGATTGCTCCTGCCGGGGCCTTTTCTGTGGCTGCCGCTGCTCAGATCTTCACAGCCTCCTTGGCCCCCACTCATTTCCCCAGCCTGGATCCCCAGCTTCCTGGTGGGTTTGTGGACCCCTAGAGTTTTCCAATAATTTCTGTTTTTGCTCAAGGCAACTAAGTTTTCTTTTTCTGAGATGGAGTTTTGCTGTGTCACCCAGGCTGGAGTACAATGGTGCAATCTCAGCTTACCCAAACTCTGCCTCCCAGGTTCAAGCGATTCTCCTGCCTCAGCCTCCTGAGTAGCTGAGATTACAGGCACATGCCACCACACCCGGTTAATTTTTGTAGTTTTAGTAGAGACAGGGTTTCACCGTGTTGGCCGGGCTGGTCTCAAACTCCTGACCTCAGGTGATCCACCCACCTCGGCCTCCCAAAGTGCTGGGATTACAGGCGTGAGCCACCATGTCTGGCCTGCAGCCAGGTTTTCTGTTACTTGCAACCAAGAGCCACTCTTGATGCAATAATGAAGACAGCCAGGCAGGTGCTAATGACAGCTCCCAAATCCAGCTGTCTGGCCCAGGCTGCTCTGCTGGACTCCAGGCATGGACATCTACCTGCTGACCCCACATCTCCTCCAAAGCTTACATTTCTCACACTCAACGTGTCCGCCATACTCCTGATACTCCCTTCTCAATCAGTGGCAACCTCATTCTTTAAGGTGCTGAAGCCAAAAACCACAGGTCACCCATTATTTCTCTTCTTCTCTCTCTCACCCCATCTGCACTCCTTTCAAAATACATCCAGAATCTAATAACCTCGTCACACCTCTTACTACCACTTTAGTCCAAGCCACCACCACACTTACCTGGATGACTATATGGTAGCCACCAAATTCACCTTCCTGCTTCTGACTCCCCAACCCTACCCCTACCTTCATACTATTCTCAACACCACAGCCAGAGAGAGCCTGTAGAAAGCTACATCCAGTGAAGCCACTTGGGATGGTCAATTTGATGTGTCAGTTTGACTGGGCCACGGGCTGCCCAGATTTTTTTTTTTTTTTTTTTTTTTTGAGACAAGGTCTTGCTCTGTCGCTCAGGCTGGAGTGCGGTGGCACAGTCAGTCATGGCTCACTGCAGCCTCAACCTCCCTGAACTCAGACGATCCTTCCACCTTAGCCTCCTGAGTAGCTGGTACCACATGTGGTGCCATCATACCAGCTAATTTTTGTATTTTTTTTTATAGATACAGGGTTTTGTCATGTTGCTCAGGCTGGTCTCAAACTCCTGGCCTCAAGTGATCCACGCATTTTGGCTTTCCAGAGTGCTGGGACTACAGGTGTGAGCCACCATGCCTGGCCCCCAGATATTTTTGTTCAAACATTATTGTGAGTGTGTGTCTGTAAGGGTGTTCCTGGGTGAGATTCACATTTGAACTGCAGACTGAATAGAGCAAGTCGCCCTCCCTAATGTGGGTGGGCCCCATCCAATCCGTTGAAGGCCCATATAGAACAAAAAGGCACAGTACAAGAGAACTCCTGCTGCCTGCCTGCTTGGGCTGGGACACTGTGCTTTTCCACCCTGAGACTTGAACTGAAACATTGGCTTTTCCTGCATCTCAAGTCTGCTCGCGTTAGGACCAGAACTTATGTCATTGGCTCTCCTGGGAACTCACAGGGTCTTTGGGCCTCACACTGGAGCTAAATCATCAGTTCTCCTGGGTCTCCTGTTTGCCAGCTGCCGATCTTGGGACTTCTCGGCCTCCATAATCATGCGAGCCAATTCATTATAATAAATCTCTGTAAAGAAATTAATATAGGCCGGGCATGGTGGCTCATGCCTGTAATCCCAGCACTTGGGAAGAATGAGGCGGGTGGAACACCTGAGGTCAGGAGTTCGAGACCAGGCTGGCCAACATGGTGAAACCCTGTCTCAAGTACAAAAACTAGCCAGGTGTGGTGGCGGGCACCTGTAATCCCAGCTACTTGGGATGCTGAAGCATGAGAATCACTTGAACCCAGGAGATGGAGGTTGCAGTAGGCCGAGATCGTGCCACTGCACTCCAGCCTGGGTGAAAGAGCGAAACTCAATCTCAAAATTAATTAATTGATTAATGTAGACATGTGTATATCCTGTTGGTTCCCTTTCTCTGGAGAACCCCCTCAAAATAATTAATTGATTAATGTAGACATGTGTATATCCTGTTGGTTCCCTTTCTCTGGAGAACCGTAATATGCCACTCCTCTGCTCAAACTCCTGCACTGGCTCCCCTCTGACCCAGAAAAAAAGCCAAAATCCTTCTCACAGCTTCCAAAGGCCCTGCAAACTCTAACCCACCCGTCATTACCTCTTTGCCTTCATCTCCGACAACCTTCTCCCTTCTGTACTGGGCTTCAGGCACACTGGCACTCACTCTGTTTCTTGAACCCCAAGCATGCTCTGGCCTAAGGGCCTTTGCACTGACTGTCCCTTCTCCCCGGAATTCTCCTCTCCCAGAGATCTACACGGCTGGTTGCGTAATTCCTGCCAATCTTTATTCAACAGTCAGCTTCTCAATGAGCCCTTCCCAGGCTACCCTTTCTGAAATATTAATCTCCCCACCCACCCCAACACTGAATAGTATGTCTTTCCTACTTTTCTGTTTAGCATGCTCTGTGTTGATCTTATCTGTCTCACTTACTTCCTGGCTCTCTTTTTTTTTTTTTTTGAGATGGAGTTTCAGTCTGTCACCCAAGCTGGAGTGTGGTGGCTCGATCTCGGCTCACTGCAACCTCCACCTCTCGGGTTCAAGCGATTTCCCTGCCTCAGCCCCCCGAGTAGCTAGGATTACAGGTGCATGCCACCATGCCTGGCTAATTTTTGTATTTTTAGTAGAGATGGGGTTTCACCATGTTGGCCAGGCTGTTCTCAAACTCTTGACCTCAGGTGATCAGCCCACCTCAGCCTCCCGAAGTGCTGGGATTATAGGCATGAGCCACCCTGCCCAGCTACTTCCTGTCTCTTCTGCCAGAATGTGGGCTCCTAAAAACCGAAGACTGGGGCTTGTTCACTTCCAGCTGTGTCCCCAAGGTAATGCCTGACACAGACTTAGCACTCCATAAATATGTGTGGAATTTAGCCATTCATCCATTTACTCATTCATTGCACACCTACTCTGGGCTAGGCACACAAGTAATTTTATAACAACATAGCAAGGGAGGTCTTATCATCGCCAGTTTAGATAAGGAAACTTAGATTCAAAGAGAAGGGTGCTACCCAAGGTTATCCACCCAGAAATTGCCAGAGCCAAGAGGGACACTTGCATAGCTCCAAACCACTCCTTCTGTCTTTTGTTTTCTTATCTTTTGTAAGGATGGAGTCTCGCTATGTTGCTCAGGCTGGTCTCAAACTCCTGGGCTCAAGCAATCCACCCAAAGTGATCCTCCCAAAGTGCTGGGATTACAGGTGTGAGCCCTTCACGAAGCCCAGCTTTTTTTTTTTTTTTTCTTTTTTTGAGACCGAGTCTCGCTCTGTCACCCAGGCTGGAGTGCAGTGGTGCAATCTCGCCTCACTGCAACCTCTGCCTCCCGGGTTCAAGCCATTCTCCTGCCTCAGCCTCCCAAGTAGCTGGGATTACAAGCGCCCGTCACCACGCCCAGCTAATTTTTGTACTTTTAGTAGAGATGGGCTTCACCATTGGTGAAGGCTGGTCAGGTTGGTCTCGAACTCCTGGCCTCTATTGATCTGCCCACCCCAGCCTCCCAAAGTGCTGGGATTACAGGCATGAGCCACCATGCCCGGCCTGGCTTTCCTTCTTTCTGTGTAGTCCCATGAAGTAAGATCTGAATTGAGATGGAGTCCTGCTGGCAGTAACTGGCTATGAGGCCCCAGCTGTCACGTACACCCTCTGTTCTTCAGGAAACAGGACACGGTGGCCAAACCACCACCAGGTCCCCTTCTCTCCATATCGTGAAAACCTGGTGCCATCCTGTGGCTGCTCATCAGCTCAACTCAAGGTCCTCTGACCCACTCCACATGAATGTAAAACCTTTCTCTGGGGAATATCACTCAGCTTCGGTGACTTCCAGCCTCACTCTGCAAATCCCTGCTTCCTTTGCAAAGTCTGCATTTGTCTCTGTTTTAATAAGAAAAACCTGACCTCCTTCTGGTTTTCTGTTGAAAGAGAAATTGCTGGTACTTTCCAACTACTAACCAAAATCTAGCGTTTCCTGTGGTCCCACCGAAGCACCACTTCCCTTCTCCCACCTACCCCGCCTACTCCTTCATACAAGCTGGCAGATGGGCACCCACAGCCAGGGTCCTCTCCCCCAACCAGCCTTGGGCCCGCATCTGAGTTTGGTGGTAGCCCCTGCCACTTCCTCACCCCATGGCTCCATGGGACCCAGGACCAGCTTGCAGCCCCATGATTCGGGCTCCTCTCTCTGGGGTGCTCCTCTCCCACCACTTCCCTTCTTCTAGACCAGGTATGTGGGGCTGGATGAATCCTCTACAGAAAAGAGCCCAGCACCAGGTCAGACATACATGGGTTCAAATCTCAGTTCTGACCCAGTTAGCTGTATGGCCTCAAGCTAGACACTTGACCTCTCTGAGCTGCCTTTTCTTGTTTTTTTTTTTTTGTTTGCTTGTTTGGTTTTGTTTTTGTTTTTTTTGAGATGGAGTCTTGCTCTGTCGTCCACGCTGGAGTAGTGGCGAGATCTCGACTCACTGAAACCTCTCCCTCCGGGTTCAAGCAATTCTCCTGCCTCAGCCTCCCGAGTAGCTGGGATTACAGGAGCATGCCACCACATCCAGCTAATTTTTGTATTTTTAGTAGAAACGGGATTTCACCATGTTGGCCAGGTTAATCTCAAACTCCTGACCTCAGGTGATCCACCTGCCTCGGTCTCCCAAAGTGATGGGATTACAGGCATGAGCCACTGCACCTGGCCAACAATAATAAATTTTAAAAACAAAGAATATGATATGCTGCAGGTCAGAAATATCCTACTAGGAGCCAAAGCTCTAGAGGCAGAAAAGTCAGGAGTTGACAGAAATCCAAGGGAAGACTTGAGATGCCTCAGGAATGGGATAGAGGAGGAGGAGGAAGACAGGACGTTGGGGAAAATTTTATTGAAATCAGAAGGGGCAAAAAGGGCCCCAGATGACATCTGCTTTATATTCGGAAGTAAAGGAGTGAATAATAATATTGGGAATGGGATGCTAGTAATGGATGCTACAGACAGGTGCAGAAATCTCCAGCTGGAGAGATAAAAGCAACCTTGACACTCAACAAAAGGCAGTACCGGTTATTCTCCGTGTGTGTGTATGCATGTGTGTGATATATATCAGTGTGTATGTATGTGTGTGCATAGATATGTGTGTGTGTATATGCATTTAGCACAGGTGCTCAAAAATATTTATTGGATGGATGAGTGGATTGGTAGATGGATGGATGAATGAACCCATGGACGGATGGGTGGGTGGATGGATAGATGGGTGTTTGGATGAATGCGTGGATGGATGGATGGATGGATGGATGGGTAGATGGATGGGTGGGTGGGTGGATGGGTGGATGGGTGAGTGGGTGGGTGAATGGAGAGTAGGTGGATGGATGGAGGGTAGTTGGGTATATAGGTGGGTAGGTGGATGGAGAGATAGACGGATGAGGTACACCAACTATTCCTGTCCTTCGGCCCTCAAATCAACTCTCTTTTGCCTCAAGACTGGCAACACTTCTACTTTCCTTCCTCCTCCCTCCGGCGTCCTCCTCTTCCCCACGGCAAGTAAATGCTGTACCCCAGCTCCAGTCTGGGCTTGCGCTCAGGGACCAATATTCCAGGACATTTGCAGTCCTACCCTGCCACCTACAGGGAGCTCTGTGGTACTGCAGAGAGGAGCCCCCGTTTGACTTCGATTCAGGGCAGCGTCAAGTATCTCACCCTATTCAGAAAGAGAAAGGGTAGCACTCAGAGTGCTTGGCAAGGAGTGGGCAAAGCCCACGGGGAACTGGGGGCTGGTTTCGGCTTAGAATCTTCTTTCAAAGGGTGAAAACATTGGGCTAATTCAGGTAGGCAGAACTCAGAGCTGTTAGGTAGGGAAGGCAGGCACATCAGGGAGAGCGGGGGAGGGAAGAGGAGGGAAGGGGAGGGAAGGGGAGGGAAGGGGAGGGAGCGACCAGGAGGCGCGAAAGAGCACCCGCCTGGAGTTCACGTCCCCACTCCCCTTTCACCCCTGACCGCCCATGCGACCTGGAACTGCTCACTTCTCCCCTCTCTAGACCTCACTTTGTTCAACTGAAACAGAGGCCAGAAGATTCCTTTTTTTATTTTTTGAGACGGAGTTTCACTCTTGTCCCCCAGGCTAGAGTGCAGTGGCACGATCTTGGCTCACTGCAACCTCCGCCTCCTGGGTTCAAGCGATTCTCCTGCCTCAGCCTCCCGAGTAGCTGGGATTACAGGCACCCGTCACCATGCCGGGCTGATTTTTGTATTTTTTTTAGTAGAGACGGGGTTTCACCACGTTGACCAGGCTGGTCTGAAACTCCTGACCTCAGGTGATCCACCCACTCCGGCCTCCCAAAGTGCTGGGATTACAGGCGTGAGCCCCCGCACCAGGCCAGAAGATTCCTTTAAATCATTCACCAAGCTTTTCCACTTATGTGCTGGCTTATGTCACTTCACAACAGACCTGTGAGGTGTGGGTCAGGTTAGGGTTATTACTTTAACAAGATAAAAATATCTGTAGGAAGGCTACAGTTGGCCCTCTGCCTCTGTGAGTTCCGCATCTATGGATTCAACCAACCGAGAATTAAAAAAATATTCAGGAAGGCTGGGCACAGTGGCTCATGCCTGTAATCCCAGCACTTTGGCAGGCTGAGGCAGGAGGATCACTTGAGGCCAGAAGATCAAGACCAGCCTGAGCAACATAGCAAGGCCCCGTCTCTATAAAATATATATATATTTTTAATCGACAACAAAAACCATCTGTACTAAACACATACAGACTCCTTTTCTTGTCATGATTCCCTAAACAATGCAGTATAGCAACTACTTACACGGCATTTACATTGTATTCATTTTTATGAGTAATCTAGAGATAATCTAATGTATACAGGAGGGCCAGGCATGGTGGCTCATGCCTGTAATCCCAGCACTTTGGGAGGTCGCGATGGGCAGAACACTTGAGGTCAGGAGTTCAAGACCAGCCTGACCAACATGGTGAAACCCCATCTCTACTAAAAATACAAAAAGTAGCCGGGCGTGGTGGCACACACCTGTAGTTCCAGCTACTCAAGAGGCTGAGGCATGAGAATCGCTTGAACCTAGCTGAGGCGGAGGTTGCAGTGAGCCAAGATTGCGCTACTGCACTCCAGTCTGGGTGACAGAGGGAGACTCCATCTCAAAAATAATAATAATAAATAAAAATAAAGTATACAGCAGGATGTGCATAGTTAAATGCAAAGACTACATCATTTTATATCAGGGACTTGAGCTTCTGTGGGGTTTGGTATCCATGGAAAGTCCTGGAACTAATCCCCCATGGATACCAAGGGATGACTCCATTCGGAAACTCTCAGAAAGAAAACAGAGTTGAATAAACTGGCCTTAGAAAACACAGGAGCCGGCCAGGCATGGTGGCTCACGCTTGTAATCCTAGCACTTTCGGAGGCCAAGGCGGTCAGATCACCTGAGGTCAGGAGTTTGAGACCAGCCTAGCCAAAAATGGCAAAACCCCATCTCTATTAAAAATACAAAAATGAGCTGGGCATAGTGGCGCATGCCTGTAATCCCAGCTACTCAGGAGGCTGAGGCAGGAGAATCACTTGAACCCAGGATGCGGAGGTTGCAGTGAACCGAGATTGTGCCCCTGCACTCCAGCCTGGGTGACAGAGCTAGACTCCGTCTCTAAAAACAAAGAAAACACAGGAGCCTGGACAGCTTAGAATATCCCAGAACCCAGGAACTCTCTCAGGGTTTCCACCTCCTGACCTGAAGGCAAATTTCTACAATGAGGCTCTGACGGGCCCGGCCTGGATTATGTGGCCACCTTAGAGGTAGAATCCTGTTACTGGCAGATGTCAAATAAAGGCTGGTATCCCCAAAAAAGGGATGCTAAGCAGCCCAAAGCAAGTATACAAGGTAACATATATGTTAATTAGCTTGATTTAGCCATTCCATGCTGTATACATATATCAAAATATCATATATACATATAATTTTTATTTGTAATTAAAAAGTAAAATGAGTCTCTTGTAGACAGAATATAATTGGATCTTGTTTTCTCAACCCATTCAACTTGTATATTTAGCTGTCCCCATTTCACAGGCAAGAAAACTGAGTCTCAGAGGAGTTTGATATGGGTAGTGTGTCAGTCAGATTCTTGTAAGTTGGCCAGAAACAGAAATATTCTCAGTTTACTTTATGAAAGCTGGAAGGCCAAAGTCTCACCACCCAGTCAGGGCTGCCAGAGGCTGGAACATCTTCAGGTTACACTCATCACTGACAGCAGCTCTGTAATTCAGGGGACCATCCTAGCTCTGCCCTCTAGGCTCCACCAAGATGGTGACGCAGCATCTCCGGGTCTTGGCCTATTCCTCTGCTATCTCCATGCTACTCTCTATCTCATAGTTTCTGCTGACTTGTGGCTCTTGCCACGACTCAAGTTTCTGCTGACTCATAATTCCTGTCAATTCATGGCTCCTATTCACCCATAGCTTCTGCTGACTCAAAGCTTCCTCTTATAACTTTCCTTCTCTGTGTTTCTGTTTCTGCCCTCAATACTGACTACTAATCCTTTCTCTGTGTCTCGTATTCAGATTCTTCAAAAGAAAGCAACTGAATTTTTCAGTTGGTCCTCTCTATTTGTTGGATTTTTCACCTTAGGTTCAGTGTCCACTGCTGTCCAATTAGCTGAATCCTGCACGTGTAAGTTGCAAAATGGGGTTTATCAGTGTGAATAACCTCTCAGAAGGGGCAGCAATGCAAATGCAATGGGATCCTTCAAACCAAGTAGGACCAAGATTTTGAGTCAAGGTTCTCTGGTTGCAAGTGTTTCCCACCGGAGTATCTGGGTTGCCCTATCCCACAGGATCAAAAAATAATAATTAACACTGGCTGTCAAGCACCATCCTAGCCTTACACAGACTATCTCAACTAATCCTGACCCCAGTCCCAGGAGGCGGCCTCTTTAATTGTGCCCATTTCACAGAAATGAAAACTCATTTAGAAAAGGTAAATAACAGGCTCAAAGTTATACTTCTACTAAGTAAATTATCTATCAATAATTACTTTAAGTATAAATGAATTAAATTCCCCAATTAGAAGACATAGAGTAGGTGAATAGGTTGAAAAAACAAGATCCAACTGTACTCTGTCTACAGGAGGTTCACTTTACTTTTTGTTATAAATAAAAATTATGAGCCGGGCACAGTGGCTCACGCCTATAATCCCAGCACTTTGGGAGGCCGAGGTGGGCGGATCACCTGAGGTCAGGAGTTCGAGACCAGCCTGACCAGCATGGATAAACCCCATCTCTACTAAAAATACAAAATTAGCTGGGCATGGTGGTGCATGCCTGTAATCCCAGCTACTAGGGAGGCTGAAGCAGGAGAATCGCTTGAACCCAGGAGGCGGAGGTTGCAGTGGGCTGAGATCGTGCCATTGCACTCCAGCCTGGGCAACAAGAGTGAAACTCTGTCTCAAAAAATAATAATAATTATATTTATGGTGTACATGATTTTTTGATATACGCAGTGTGGAATGGCTAAATAAAGCTAATTAACATATATGTTACCTTGTATATGGATCATTTTTGTGGTTAGAACACTTTTATTAACTAGTCACAATAGACCTCTTGAACTTTTTCCTCCTGGCTAATTGAAATTTTTTATCTTTTGACCAATGTCTCCCCAACCCTCTCACAGACACCCTCACCTTGCTTCTGGTAACCACCATTCTACTCTCTACTTCAGTGAGTTCAACTTTTTTAGATTCCACATATAAGTGAGATCATGTGGTATTTGTCTTTCTGTGCCTGATTTATTTCACTTAACATAATGTCTTCCAGGTTCATCCACGTTGTCACCAATAACAGGACTTCCTTCTTTGTTTCCTTAATTTTATGGAGATGGGTTAAGGCTGAAGAGTATATATACCACATTGGTGTATGTGTATCACATTTTCTTTATCTACTCATCCACTGATGGACACTTAGGTTGATTCTATACCTTGTCTATTGTGAATAATATTGCAGTGAACATGGGAGTGCAGATATCTCTTCAACACACTGACTCCGTTTCCTTTATTTATTTATTTATTTTTAATTTATTTATTTATTTATTTTTTGAGACAGAGTCTCACTCTGTCACCCAGACTGGAGTGCAATGGCACAATCTCAGCTCACTGCAACCTCTACCTCCAGGGTTCAAGCTATTCTTGTTCCTCAGCCTCCCGAGTAGCTGGGATTATGGGCGCGTGCCACCACGCCCAGCTAATTTTTGTATTTTTAGTAGAGAAGAGGTTTCATCATGTTCACCAGGCTGCTCTCATACTCCTAACCTCAGGTGATCCACCCGCCTCAGCCTCCCAAAGTGCTGGGATTACAGGCGTGAGCCACTGCATCTGGCCCAGGATGGCTATTTTCAAAGAAGCAAAAAGATAACAAATGCTGGCCAAGACGTAGAGATCTTTCACTATACTTCTGCCAAAAAAAGGGTTGTTATTTGTGTGTGTGTGTGTGATTTTTCTTCCCTGAGCAGCCCAGGCAGAGCACACTGGGCCCCGTGCACTGTCCTGTTACCTTCACATTTTGTCTCCACTGACTCCAGGCCCAACCCCTACTAGAGCTGCAGCTGTGCCTGTGCCCAAAGTCAATAGACTGAAGAGCAGAAAGAGGGAGTGGACTCTTACCCCATGGCTGGCGGACATTAAGATTTATCTCTAGGCCAGGCGCAGTGGCTCACACCTGTAATCCCAGCACTTTGGGAGGACAAGGCAGGCAGATCACCTGAGGTCACGAGTTCGAGACCAGCCTGGCCGACATGGTAAAACCTCCCATTTACTAAAAATATTTTTTAAATTAGCCATTTACTAAAGTATTTTTTAAATTAGGTGTGGTGGTGCATGCCTGTAGTCCCAGCTTCTTGGAAGGCTGAGATAGGAGAATAGCTTGAACCTGGAAGGCAGAGGTTGTAGTGAGTGGAGATCGCACCACTGCACACCAGCCTGCGCAACAGAGCAAGACTCCGTCTCGAAAAAAAAAAAAAAGAAAGAAAAAAAAGATTCATCTCTAGCTTGCAAAGCCAAAGTCTGCCAACTGCCATTGAGAAGCCCCTAATCCATGAATGAGGGGCTTTAGCTTCCTTCATAGCCAGACAAAGACAGAGGAAACAGAAGAGAGGAGACGGATCAAGTACCCAGAGAAGCCAGAAAACCCTCTGCCAGGGAAAATACCACTTGTAAAAATAAGAGGATTATTTGGCTGTGAAATTTGCTTAATAATTGAATAGAAAACTTATTTTGATTCCCCAGGAAAAACCCAGACATTAAGTAATGTAAATTCCTGTTCAGCCAGGAGCCAAATAAGCAGAAAATATGAATTACTAGAGTCCTCCCCAATGCCAGACCCACATTCTATTTCACAGGAAATAAACAAAGAAAAAAATTCTCTGACATGGGGATTTTTCTCTAACCAGCAAACTGTCAGAATGGGTTGGGGAGGGAACTGCCGGCATTTTCCCATCCTCCTTCCCCTCTCTCTCTCTATACCACGGCCCCTCAGAATCACTCACAGAGGACTAATCATATTCCTTGTGTCCATTTGTGAATCACTTGGATCCTCCAAGGGCTGGCGGAGGAGTGGCTCATGACCAGTCAATGTCATGAATAAGTGATCAATGTCCCAGTAGGGGGAAGCCATCAAGAAGCTGAGAATGGGCCGGGCGCGGTGGCTCACACCTCTAATCCCAGCACATTGGGAGGCCGAGGCGGGCAGATCACCTGAGGTCAGGAGTTCAAAACCAGCCTGGCCAACATGGGGAAACCCCATCTCTACTAAAAATACAAAAATTAGCTGGGCGTGGTGGCAGGCACCTGTAATCCCAGCTACTCAGGAGAATGACACAAGAGAATCGCTTGAATCTGGGAGGCGGAGGTTGCAGGGAGCCACGATCATGCCATTGGACTCCAGCCTGGGTGACAAGAGTGAAACTCTGTCTCAAAAAAGTAAAATAAAATACAATAACAAAAACAATAAATAAACAGAGAATGGGGTCAGCTCACCCAGCCGCATGTGGAAGCAGGCCAGGGCAGGATGAGGGACGGCTTGAGCAAATTTTACCTTTCACATGGTACAAAAGTGTTTTTATTTGTTCCAAGTAAATATCCAAGAGTTCAAAAAATAGTTGCAAAACATGATGTTCCCCACTCTCCTTTAAAAGTGATTGATTAAGGCCAGGCACGTAATCCCAGCACTTTGGGATTAAGGCTCACACCTGTAATCCCAGCACTTTGGGAGGCTGAGGCAGGCGGATCATGAGGTCAAGAGATCGAGACCATCTTGGCCAACATGGTGAAACCCCGTCTCTACTAAAAATACAAAAATTAGCTGGGTGTGGTGGCGTGCACCTGTAGTCCCAGCTACTTGGGAGGCTGAGGCAGGAGAATCATTTGAACCCAGGAGGCAGAGCTTGCAGTGAGCCGAGATCGCGCCATTGCATTCCAACTTGGGTGACAGAGCAAGACTCCATCTCAAAAAAACAAAAAACAACAACAACAAGTGACTGATTAGCCAGGCGCAGTGGCTCATGCCTGTATTCTCAGCCTTTTGGGAGGCTGAGGCAGGAGGACTGCTTGAGTCCAGGAGTTTGAGAACAGCTTGGGCAAGATGGTGAGACCTCATCTCTACAAAAAATAAAAAAATATATTAAAAAATAGCTGGGCGTGGTGGCACATGCTGTGGTTCCAGCTACACAAGAGGCTGAGGTGGGAGGATCGCTTGAGCCCAGGAGGTGGAGGCTACAGTGAGCTGTGTTCTCACCACTGCCTTCCTGCCTGGGTGACAAAGCGAGAACCTGTCTCAAAAAAATTTTTTTTCATGAAAAAAACAGTGGCTGATTATACAAGCACATGTGATGTTAGAGAGTTGGCGAAAGTCCCACCTGTTTGTTTGGGTTCTGATACTGACAGCAGCTGTTAGGATTTTCTGAACATTGATCCTGTGCCAGACACTGAACTAAACACTGAGCATGTTCACGCGTTTAATCCTCATGATAAGCCCATGAAGCCAATGCAGTGACTAAGACCGAAGCCAGGGTTTGAATCTGCCTCCTCCACACACTAGCTGTATGATCAAGTGACTTGACTTCTCTATGCCTCAGTTTCCTCTTCTATAAAATAGGTATAAAAATAGTACCCATCTTGGCTGGGAGCTGTGGCTGACGCCTATAATCCCAGCACTTTGGGAGGCTGAGGCGGGTGGATCACGAGGTCAAGAGATCAAGACCATCTTGGCTAACATGGTGAAACCCTGTCGCTACTGAAAATACAAAAATTAGCTGGTATGTGCCTGTAGTCCCAGCTACTCAGGAGGCTGAGGCAGGAGAATTGCTTGAACCCAGGAGGCAGAGGTTGCAGTGAACCCAGATTGCGCCACTGCACTCTAGCCTGGCAACAGAGCGAGACTCCATCTCAAAAAAAAAAAACAAAAAAACAAAAACAAATAGTACTCATCTTGTAAAACTGCTATGAAAATTAGATGAGTTATATGAACAATATCTGGAACATAGTATGTGCCATAGAAGTATGGTATCATCTTTATCATCATCGTCATCATCACCACAGGCGAGATAACTGAAGCTCAAAGGAAAGAAGGCTACACTATTTCCCCACAGTCCAGTTGACTCTCAGGCTCATCCTCAAGCCCTCCTTCCCCACAGTCTTACGCACATGGTTGCTAGGCTGCATTCTTCAAGCCCCGTCCCTTGGATGCCTTGGGAAGTGGGAACATCACCTCTTCGCTCTGCTTTTGGAGCCATCGTGCTGGAAGGACAACAGGCGTGGACCTCCTCTCCCTAGGCACCTACCCACCACCCGCAATGCAACCTCTTCACCTGGCACGAGGCACTCCTAGGAGCTCTCTCCAGCTTCCACTTGCCATATTGTGTGCTTTTCGAAGGGGATGCAGACATGTAACCCCACCCCACAGCAGCCCACAACTTGAACAACAAAAGAGAACGCATCAAGCAGTGGTTTCTCCGTGTCTTTCACCACACCTGGGCACACTAACTCAGAACACATGCCCATCCACTCAGTCCCAAAGACACGACTCTTTTTTTTTTTTTTTTAACTCTGTGCCTGTGCTTACCCAAAGACAATACCGTTCTTCTTTCTTTTTTTTTTTTTTAAACAAACAAAAAAAAGACAAAGTCTCGTTCTGTCGCCCAGGCTGGAGTGCAGTGGTGCCATCTCGGCTCGCTGCAGCCTCTGCATCCCTGGGCTGAAGCGATTCTCCTGCCTCAGCCTCTCGAGTAGCTGGGATTATAGGTGTGCACCACCACACCTGGCTAATTTTTGTTTTTTTTTTTGTTTCTTTAGGTTTTTTATTTTTATTTTTTTATTTTTTTTTTTCTTGAGACAGAGTCTCACTCTGTCCCCCAGGCCAGAGTACAATAGCATGATCTCAGCTCACTGCAACCTCTGCCTCCCAGGTTCAAGCGATTCTCCTGCCTCAGCCTCCCAAGTAGCTGGGAATACAGGCATGCACCACCATGCCCAGCTATTTTTTTTTTTTTTTTGTATTTTTAGTACAGACGGGGTTTCCCCATGTTGACCAGGCTAGTCTTGAACTTCTGACCTCAGGTGATCCACCAGCCTCAGCCTCCCAAAAGGCTGGGATTACAGGAGTGAGCCACACAGCACCCCACCTAATTTTTGTATTTTTAGTAGAGACAGGGTTTCACCATGTTGGCCAGGCTGGTCTCGAACTCCTGACCTCAGGTGATCCACTCGCCTTGGCCTCCCAAAGTGCTGGGATTACAGGTGGGAGCCACCATGCCCAGCAAAGACTGTTCTTCTTAGTGAAGAAAGGAGACAGGAGAAAGACATCTGCTAACTCAAGATAATTTTGGTTTCCTCTTCCTCTATGCCATTGTTCCCATTCCCGCAAACCCCATCACAAGGAGGAAAAAAAAAAAAAAAGAAAGAAAGAAAGAAAATTTTGACTGCTAGAAAGACCTTACCCAACATAAAAGCATTGTGGATGCATTTGTTTACTCTAAAACTTTCTTGAAGACCTAGTATATGCCAGACACTGTGCCGAGTTCAGGACTCCACCTCTGCTGATGGAGCCCTTGTGATACAACAAAGACTTCTTGTTCTCTGAGGGTTTGCTATTCATGTGATTTGAATTAATAATAGTAATAACTCAACATCTCACTGGCCCACTGCCCTGCTGGCTCTCAAGGCGCCACAACTTCTGCAAAGTGCTCTCTCTTTAGGACTTTGTCCATGGTTTCCTTCATCTCTTTGAGTATATTTAAGACAGTCAATTTACACTCATTGTCGGCTGGGCATGGTGGCTCATGCCTGTAATCCCAGCACTTTGGGAGGCTGAGGCAGGCAGATCACTTGAGGTCAGAAGTTCAAGACCAGCCTGGCCAACATGGTGAAAACCTGTCTCCACTAAAAATACAAAAATTAGCTGGGCGTGGTGGCGGGCATCTGTAATCCCAGTTACTTGGGAGACTGAGGCACGAGAATCACCTGAACCTGGGAGACAGAGGTTGCAGTGAGCCGAGATTATGCCACTGCACTCCAGCCTGGGTGACAGAGTGTGACTCCATCTCAAAAAAAAAAAAAAAAAAAGTAATTGTCTAGCCTGGCATTGTGGTGCACACTTGTAGTTCCAGCCTACTCAGGAGGCTGAAGCAGGAGACTCACTGAGCCCAGGAGATAGAGATTGCAGTGAGCTCTGATTACATCACTGCACTCCAGCTTGAGTGACAGAGGGAGACCCTGTCTCTAAAAAAAAATTAAATAAATAATTTTTTTTAAAAGTCATTGCTGGGCTGGGCACAGTGGCTCACGCCTCTAATCCAGCACTTTGGGAGGCTGAGGTGGGTGGATCACGAGGTCAGGAGTTTGAGACCAGCCTCACCAACATGATGAAACCCCGTCTCTACTGAAAATGCAAAAATTAGCTGGGCGTGGTGGCGCACACCTGTAATCCCAGCTACTCAGGAGGGTAAGGCAGGAGAATCGCTTCAATCCAAGAGGCAGAGGTTGTAGTGAGCCAAGATCGTGCCATTGCACTCCAGCCTGGGCGACAGAGTGGGACTCTGTCTCAAAAAAAAAGTCATTGCCAGTAAGACCAATACCTGGGTTGCCACAAAGACAGTATCTAGTCATTTCTTTCTTGCCACAAATGAGTGGAACTTTATTATTTCTTTCCATGCCATGAGGGTTTTTGTTGACATTTTCAATTTATGGCAACACTGAAAATCAGATTCTCCTCCCTCCCCAGGGTCTATTGTTGCTGTATATCGTGGGTTGCTGTGGTTTGCTTGTTTGGTAAATTTTCCAAACTATTATTGTAAAGTCTGTATTCTTTGTGTTTCTGTTTCTGGTTTTTTTTTTTTTTTTTCTGTTCTGTTCTTTTTGTTTGTTTCTGTTCTTTTTGCTTGTCAGTCAGCTGGTATTTTGAGAGCTACCTAAAATGGCTGAAGCCAACAAATAAAGAAGAATAAAAGGAAAGAAACAAGAAAACAGGAGAAATAAAGAGAAAGACAGAGAAAGAGAGAGAGAAAGAAAGCAGGCAGGCAGAAAGGAGAGAAAGGAAGGAAGGAGGGAAGGAAGGAAGAAAGGAAAGAAGGGAGGGAGGGAGGGAGGAAGGAAGAAAAGAAAAACACTATCCTAGTCTTTGCAAATTGGATCTGTTTGGGGCACTCTCTCAACCCTTAACCAAGCCATTTATACTCTGCCTTAGCCTTCACTTCCTGCTTGCACAGAGACTGAAGGCCAGAAAGAGATGAAAGCCCAGGGTCTTCTTAGGCCTTTTCTTTTGCTTGTTTTTGTTTTGTTTTGTTTTGAGACAGAATCTCACTCTGTCACCCAGGCTGGAGTGCAGTGGCACAATCTCAGCTCACTGTAACCTCCACCTCCCAGGTAAAGTGATTTTCTGCCTCAGCCTCCCGGGTAGCTGGGATTACAGGTGTGTGCCACTATGCCTGGCTAATTTTTGTATTTTTAGTAAAGGCAAGATTTCACCATGTTGGCCAGGCTGGTCTCAAACTCCTGACCTCAGGTGATCCAACCGCCTTGGCCTCACAAAGTTTCTTAGGCCTTTTCTGAGCTTGCAACTGACTATGGGCCTGCACACAGCTTTCTTGATTTCCTGGTTTATGTAGACACTTTTAAAAGCCTCTACAGACACACATCTCTTTTTCCAAACTTTTCCTTCCCAGGCTGCTCGGTCTGTCTATTGCTTGTCCCAAGTGTTGTCCCCTGCCCCAGGGTATTGAGGCCAATACCTATGTCTTTCAATGCTTTTGTCTAAAGCCACCTGGGAAGCCATGCCAGCCCTGAAAATGCCCTGGTTAAAAAGCTCAGAAACCTTTCTGCTAGTCCTTGGGGAAGTCGTCAGACCTATAACCCCAAATTTATTTATTTTTTTTTTTAAGACGGAGTTGCCCTGTCACCCAGGCTGGAGTTCAGTGGCACGATCTTGGCTCACTGCAACCTCTGCCTCCCAGGTTCAAGTGATTCTCCTGCTTCAGCCTCCTGAGTAGCTGTGATTACAGGTGCCCACCACCATGCCCAGCTAATTTTTTGTATTTTTAGTAGAGATGGGGTTTCACCATGTTGGCCAGGCTGGTCTCAAACTCCTGACCTCGTGATTCACCTGCCTTGGCCTCCCAAAATGCTGGGATTACAGGTGTGAGACACCACACCCAGCCTACAACCACAATTCTTTGAGAGTAAATTCTGTGTACTCCCCCTACGCTAGCAACCAGCCCCAGAAGTGCAGGCTGACATCCTCATGGTCCCTGCTGATCTGGAGTTTGGGGGGATGTTACATGAGCAAGCAAAAACGCCATCAATCACACTCTCTTATCACAGGAGAGCTTTCTTTCTTTCCTTTTTTTCGAGACGGACTTTTGCTTTCACCCAGGCTGGAGGGCAGTGGCACTATCTCGGCTCACTGCAACCTCCTCCTCCTGGGATCAAGGGATTCTCCTGCTTCAGCCTCCCGAGTAGCTGGGATTACAGGCACATGTGCCACCATGCCCAGCTAATTTTTGCATTTTTAGTAGAGCCGGGGTTTCACCATGTTGGCCAGGCTGGTCTCGAACTCCTAACCTCAGGGGATCCACCCGCCTTTGCCTCCCAAAGTGCTGGGATTACAGGCGTGAGCCACCGCGCCCAGCCTCAGAGCTTTCTTTCTCCAAATTTTCCCGTGCTAGTTATAAGTTTGTTTGTTTCCCTTTTTAAAAACTAGAAGGCTGGGTGCGGTGGCTCAAGCCTGTAATCCCAGCACTTTGGGAGGCTGAGGCTGGTGAATTGCTTGAACTCAGGAGTTCAATACCAGCCTGGGCAACATTGTAAAACCCTGTCTCTACAAAAAATACAAAAATTAGCCTGGCATGGTGGCTTGCGCCCGTGATCCCACCTACTCTGAGGCTGAGGCGGGAGGTCAAGGCTGCAGTGGGCTGAGATTGCACAGTGGCACTCCAGTCTGGGGGACAGAGTGAGACCCCATCTCAAAAAAATGAAAGCTAACAAAAAGCTAGATCCCAGAGTACTTCAGAAGTTGATTCTGACAGTTTTTGCCACCTTATTAGTTGTGTTGGGGGAGGGATGGAGCCCTGGAATTCCCTACTCCACCATTTTGGGCCGCACAGTACCTTTAAAGCGCTCCTCTGTCTCCGGGGAAATTCCTGCACTGTGAGTCTATAGATCCCCTAGGTGGAGGCCAGGACTTGTTTTCCCCATCTCCCTTGCAGCCAGTAACCCCCTCAGTTCCTAGCAAGATTGGCTCTCCATCTCACAAATGTATGATTTTTTCAATGGATTTTTCTTTTATTCTTTTCTTTTCTTTTTTTTTTTTTTTTTTTTGAGATGGAGTTTTGCTCTTATTGCTCAGGCTGGAGTGTGTACAGTGGCGCCATCTCGGCTCACTGCAACCTCTGCCTCCCGGCTTCAAGTGATTCTCCTCCCACAGCCTCCAGAGTAGCTGGGATTACAGGCGCGTGCCACCAGGCCCAGCAAATTTTTGTATTTTTAATAGAGAAGGGGTTTCACCAATGTTGGCCAGGCTGGTCTCAAACTCCTGACCTCAGGTGATCCAGCTGCCTCGGCCTCCCAAAGCGCTGGGATTACAGTCGTGAGCCACCGCACCCGGCCAAGAGTTTTTTTTCTTTTTTTTTCTTTTTTTTTTTTTTGAGACACATTATCTGTCTCAAATAGGCTGGAGTGCAGTGGCACAAACATAACTCACTACAGCCTTGACCTCCTAGGCTCAAGCGATCCTCCCACCTCAGCCTCCTGAGTAGCTGGGACTATAGACTCATGCCACCACACCCAGCTAATTTTTTCCTTTTTTGTAGAGACAGAGTCTTGTTTTGTTACCCAGGCTGCTCTCAAACTCCGGCCTCAAGTGATCATCCCACCCTAGCCTCCCACAATGCTGGGATTACAGGTGTTAGCCACCACTCCCAGCTCTTAAAAACAGATTCACTAATGACCACAAAGGTGTTCCTGTCCACTCAGGATCTTATGTTCAGTACTGGCTCAGCACAATCTGCAGCCCTAAACATCCATTTCATAACAAACACTGTTCAGGCCCCAAAGTATGTCTCATTTCTGCCCGGCGTGGTGGCTCATGCCTGTTATCCCAGCACTTTCGGAGGCTGAGGCAGGGAGATCACCTGAGGTTGGGAGTTCGAGACCAGCCTGACCAACATGGAGAAACCCTATCTTTACTAAAAATACAAAATTAACCGGGCATGGTGGCGCATGCCTGTAATCCCAGCTACTCGGGAGGCTGAGGCAGAAGAATTGCTTGAACCCGGGAAGCAGAGGTTGCAGTGAGTCGAGATCATGCCATTGCACTGCAGCCTGGGCAACAAGAGCAAAGCTCTGACTCAAAAAAAAAAAAAAAAAAACATATTCATCTCTTGTCCTAAAATCTCAAAACAAAAGGCAACTATGGCCAGGTGTGGTGGCTCACGCCTGTAATCCCAGCACTTTGGGAGGCCGAGGCAGGCAGATCAGTTGAGGTCAGGAGTTTGAGACCAGCCTGGCCAACATGGTGAAACCCCGTCTCTACTAAAAAATACAAAAATTAGCCGGGCATGGTGGTGCGCACCTGTAATCCCAGCTACTCGGGAAGCTGAGGCAGGAGAATGGCTTGAACCAGGGAGGTGGAGGTTGCGGTAAGCTAAGATCGTACCACTGCCATTCCAGCCTGTGCGGCAGAGCAAATAAATGAATGAATGAATGCAACTATTTTATGTCAAGAAGGTTTGTGGGTTGCAGCTGCTCCCAATGTTGGAGACACACATTGCTTCAGAGTATGCAAAGGACTTGAGTGTTGAAACACTTAAGTAAGAGGAAGCAGAAATTAATTCTTAAATTCCTCTTCTCAGGGAGGCTGAATGCAGTAGATTCTTGTATAACAAGTATCATTTCTCAGAAGTACTGAGAGTCCATTTTTCTGTTTCTCTTCATGTTCCAAATTGCGCCTCCAGACATACTCATGAGTTAGAGAGTAATCTGGGTCAGGCGTGTTAGTTCATGCCTATAATCCCAGAACTTTGGGAGACTGAGGCAGAAGGATCACTTGTGGCTGACCAGCCTGGGCAACATAATGAGACCCTGTCTCTACAAAAAAAAATTAAAACTTTGTTTAAATAAAAATAATAAAAATTTTTAAAAGAGACCAATATGGCTACTCACTGTAGCTGAGGAACATTTAGCCATTTAAACAATTTGTATCACTCTCTAATTTGTATATAAGATCGAGACACAAAATGTATGTTGCAATATCAGTCCTTTAGATGAGCAATTAGACTGACATTGAACACTAGAACTGGAAAGTTATTTAATAATAATATGCAATAAGATTTAAGTTTTCAAAATATTAAATATAAATTTTTCAGCTTTTATTTTTTATTTTTATGTTTTTTGAGACAGTATCTCACTCTGTCACCCAGGCTGGAGTGCATTGGCGCGATCGCACCTCACTGCACCCTCAACCTCCCCCGGCTCAGGTGATCCTCCCACCTCAGTGGAGTATCTGGGACTACAGGTGTGTACCTCTATGCTTGGCTAATTTTTGTATTTTTTGTAGAGATCGTATTTCATCACGTTGCCCAAGCTGATCTCGAACTCCTGGGCTCAAGTGATCTGTCCACCTCAGCCTCCCAAAGTGGTAGGATTATAGGCGTGAGCCACTGCGCCCACCCAATTTTCAGCTTTAAGCAATTTTTATTTAAAGCTTTGTAAAAATACAAAAATTAGCCAAGCGCGGTGGTGAGCACCTGTAGTCCCAGTCTCCTGAGTAGCTCGGATTACAGGCGCCTGCCACCCCACCCTGCTAATTTTTGTAGTTTTAGTACAGACAAGGTTTCACCATATTGGCCAGGCTAGTCTCGAACTCTTGACCTCAGGTGATCCACCCGCCTCGGCCTAAAAAAAAAATTAAAAATAAATTAGGAGGATCAGTAGTGCCGTTCCCAAATATCTCATAATTTCCACCATTTTAAAGAGACAACCCTCACATCTCCCAGGTTCAAAATATCCTAAAGTATCTTCAACCTGGGTTGAGTCAGGTGCCCCACCCCAGGACTAAACGCATGTGTCAGAGGGTTTGGGGTGGGGGTGAGTATTGAAGAACCATGTGGCTGGGCACAATGGCTCACACCTATAATCCCAGCACTTTGGAAGGTAGAGGCAGGAGAATTGCTTGAGCCCAGGAGTTTGAGACCAGCCTAGGCAAAATAGTGAGGTCCCATCTCCACAAAAAATAAAAAATTAGGCATGGTGGTACATGCCTGTAGTCCCGGCTACTAGGGAGAGTGAGGCAGGAGGATCGCTTGAACCCAGGAGGTCGATTTGCACTCCAGCCTGGGTGACAGAGTGAGACCCTGTCTGGGAAAAACAAAAACATGTGGAGGGAGGGGGGTACAGGCTGGTCATGGAAGACAGGCATGTTGACAGCAGAGGGTGCTACAGATAATCTCTTGACATCCCTAACTGACAAAGAGAAGGCTAATCCCTTTTATTACTCTAGATCCCATTCTTTTCTATTCTGCCACTGAATAAGCCCTTACTAAATATCAGAGGTTGCTCTAAGCATTTGTATCAGTCAAGATACGTTAGGTTATAAAAACGCCAAATTGCAGTTGCTTAATTCACAAAAGGGTCATTTCTTGCTGCTACACACCCATTGCTGGGTGGCTGGATCTCTGCATTGTCACCCTCACTCCTGTGCCAGGCAAATGAAGCAGCCGCTCCTGGGCATAATCGCCCATCACCATGGCAGAAAGAAAGAGGAGCCATATCCACTCTGATGGTAGTTTCTTTTGCTGTGCAGAAGCTCTTTAGTTTAATTAGATCCCATTTGTCAATTTTGGCTTTTGTTGCCATTGCTTTTGGTGTTTTAGACATGAAATCCTTGCCCATCCCTATGTCCTGAATGGTAATGCCTAGGTTTTCTTCTAGGGTTTTTATGGTTTCAGGTCTAACATTTAAGTCTTTAATCCATCTTGAATTAATTTTTGTGTAAGGTGTAAAGAAGGGATCCAGTTTCAGCTTTCTACACATGGCTAACCAGTTTTCCCAGCACCATGTATTAAATAGGGAATCCTTTCCCCATTTCTTGTTTTCATCAGGTTTGTCAAAGATCAGATGGTTGTAGATATGCGGCATTATTTCTGAGGGCTCTGTTCTGTTCCATTGGTCTGTATCTCTGTTTTGGTCCCAGTACCATGCTGTTTTGGTGACTGTAGCCTTGTAGTACAGTTTGAAGTCAGGCAGCATGATGCCTCCAGCTTTGTTCTTTTGGCTTAGGATTGACTTGGTAATGCAGGCTCTTTTTTGGTTCCATATGAACTTTAAAGTAGTTTTTTCCAATTCTGTGAAGAAAGTCATTGGTAGCTTGATGGGGATGGCATTGAATCTGTAAATTACCTTGGGCAGTATGGCCATTTTCACGATATTGATTCTTCCTACCCATGAGCATGGAATGTTCTTCCATTTGTTTGTATCCTCTTTTATTTCATTGAGGCAACCTACAGAATGGGAGAAAATTTTTGCAATCTACTCATCTGACAAAGGGCTAATATCCAGAATCTACAATGAACTCAAACAAATTTACAAGAAAAAAACAAACAACCCCATCGAAAAGTGGGCAAAGGATATGAACAGACACTTCTCAAAAGAAGACATTTATGCAGCCAAAAGATACACGAAAAAAATGCTCATCATCACTGGCCATCAGAGAAATGCAAATCAAAACCACAATGAGATACCATCTCACACCAGTTAGAATGGCCATCATTAAAAAGTCAGGAAACAACAGGTGCTGGAGAGGATGTGGAGAAATAGAAACACTTTTACACTGTTGGTGGGACTGTAAACTAGTTCAACCATTGTGGAAGTCAGTGTGGCGATTCCTCAGGGATCTAGAACTAGAAATACCATTTGACCCAGCCATCCCATTACTGGGTATATACCCAAAGGATTATAAATCATGCTGCTATAAATACACATACACACATATGTTTATTGTGGCACCACTCACAATAGCAAAGACTTGGAACCAAGCCAAATGTCCATCAATGATAGACTGGATTAAGAAAATGTGGCATATATACACCATGGAATTCTATGCAGCCATAAAAAAGGATGAGTTCATGTCCTTTGTAGGGACATGGATGAAGCTGGAAACCATCATTCTCAGTAAACTATCGCAAAGACAAAAAACCAAACACCGCATGTTCTCACTTGTAGGTGGGAACTGAACAATGAGAACACATGGACACAGGAAGGGGAACATCACACTCTGGGGAATGTTGTGGGGTGGGGGGAGGGGGGAGGGATAGCATTTGGAGATATACCTAATGTAAATGACGAGTTACTGGGTGCAGCACACCAACATGGCACATGTATACATATGTAACGAACCTGCACGTTGTGCACATGTACCCTAAAACTTAAAGTATAATAAAAAAAATTAATTAAAAAAAAAAAAAAGAAAGAGGAGCCATAGAGGTCTCCTGCCAGCCACTAAAGGCCCCCGCCTGAAGGAGGCACTTCTGCTCCCAGCTGACTGGCCAGTTAGTCACATGGACAAGGCACTCCCACCATGTGCCAACCGGGGAGAATCTGAATATTTGGTGAACAGCTCTAATGACCACTCCAGCAGGTTACAAACATTATGTATAATCTTCACAACCACTACAGGAAATGTTACTATCATCTCTCTACTAAAGACAAGGAAACTGACGCACAGAGGCACAGCAAGTGGCCCGAGATCACACAGCAAGCAACCAGTGAAGCCACTAGATTCCAAAGCCCATTCTCTTAACCCCATTTTGTTTTTTTGTTTTTTGTTTTTTTGAGAGATGGAGTCTTGCTCTGCTGCCCAGGCTGGAGTGCAGTGGTGCAACCTCAGCTCACAGGGCCAGACTGTCTCAAGGAAAAGAAAAAAAAAAGCCAGGTGGGGGATAGGTGTAGGGGCAGAACCTGGGTGTCCTGTCCATATCCCAGCCTATTCCAAGACTGATTTTTGGGTCCACGGAATTCTGTGAATGCAACACTGAGGCAGAGGCACCTAGATTGGATTATCCTTTTTTTTTTTTTTTTTTTAGACGGAGTTTCACTCGTCACCCAGGCTGGAGTGCAATGGCGCAATCTCAGCTCACTGCAACCTCTGCCTCCAGGCTTCAAGCGGTTCTCTTGCCTCAGCCTCCTGAGTAGCTGGGATTACAGGCACCTGCCACCACGCCCAGCAAATTTTTGTATTTTTAGTAAAGACGGGGTTTCACCATGTTGGCCAGGCTAGTCTCAAACTCCTGACCTCAGGTGATCCACCTGCCTCGGCCTCCCAAAGTGCTGGGGTTACAGGCGTGAGCCACCACACCCAGCCGGATTATGCTTTAAAAGGCATGCTTTCCCATAGCCATGAGGGTCAGGGATTATTTTTTTTACAGCATAGTGCCATGCCCGTGGAGAGTCGAGATGCTGGGGATACACAGGTGACTAACAGGGTTCTTGCTGTAGGGAGGCTTAGCCCTTTAGGGATTAACAGGTTCCAATAAGGGCACAGACTGTTTGTTTGTGCACCCTTGTGTCCCGTCTGCCTAACATTGTCTGGACACTATAGACATCTAATAAACACTGGGAAAGACCAGGAAAACGCAGGACGAAACACGCTAAGGGCCTGGAGAGGAGTAGGCTGAGGCTTAAAAACATTTAAATGCTCACGTGACCACTTCTTAGCCTCTTGGACAAATGGCTTTCCAATTCTGTGCCTCATCTTTTTCACCTGAACAACTGGAGCTGGGCCAGGCGCAGTGGCTCACGCCTGTAATTCCAGGACTTTGGGAGGCTGAGGCGGGCAGGTCACCTGAGGACGGGAGTTCAAGACCAGCCTGGCCAACACGGCGAAACCCTGTCTCTACTAAAATACAAAAAAAATTAGCCGGGCGTGGTGATGTGTGCTGGTAGTCCCAGCCACTCAGAAGGCTGGAGCATAAGAATCGCTTGAACTCATGCCACTGCACTCCAGCCTGGGCGACAAAACGGACTCCGTCTCAAAAAAACTGGAGCTGGTAATAGTACCCATGATGCAGGATTGCTCAGATTAAATAATATATGTAACACTCTTAGCTCCACGCCTGGCAAGCACTAACAACCATTATTAGTCTCATTAAGGCATCCACATTTTTAGGAGAAAGATGAAGTAAAACACATGTTCCTTTTGGAGGAAGATAAATGGAAGTGACATTTAACTTGGCTCTTGGGAACATCTTTGGAGAGAAAAAGGCATTCCAGGTGGGATGAACCGTGAGCGAAGGCTGAAGCGCAGCACGTATGGAGCCCTCTGAGGATTCGGGATTGCCAAGTATGTCTTTGGCAACAACGGATTAGACTGAAAAGCCAAGTGAGATTCAGAGTTTAGGTCTCCCAGAGCTTGCTTTCTCCCTGGCCAGGAGCTCAAAGTGAACTTCCTCGCCTGGGGTGAAGTCATACTCTCAGACGTTGGTCCAGACCTAGCTTCAAACTCTGCCTTGCCCAGAGACCTGTGTGCTCTTTCACCTGGCACTCCTGACCCTGAGGTGAGACAATGGCCTCTAAGTGCGGACACGTGGCAGGCACGAGTATAGATGTGTTGCTGAATGTAGGGGTCCTTGGCAGTGGTTCCCTGGTCTTTTGAATGACACATTTCTTTCAGCCTCTGGTCAGAGGCTCCACGGGGTCTCTCCATGAAAATGCACGGGTGTTAAGTTTTGCATGTCTTTTTGGACAGTGCATGATATCCCTGACACCTGCAGCTCCGAGGCTGAGCAGCGGATAGGTGCTGAGGTCCCTTTTACTATGAGCCAAAACCACCTAGGTAGGAATGGATGATCCAGATGCTATCACCCTCTCCCCACTCCGGGGTCTCTGCCTAGCAACAGCAGCAGTATGCTGGGAGGATGCTGGGATCACCCCACAGAAATACTTGTCTCTGAGCCAAGACATCCTGCCAGCACGAACCTAAATTGTCTTCAGACCCTCAAACCCTGGGGTCTAGTCCCACACCAAGCAGCCCTGGGTCATGTTATAAAGCCATTTACAGGATCTGAGGAACAAGGGGTAAGGTCATCCGCTTCCTTGCCAACATAAAAGAACACATGTTAAATCCATCAGCCACACCACTCCTTCTTCCCCTATCACGTTTCTCCCACTCCTGACCACTTCAAAGGACATAGGATCCCCACAAAATGGTGACAACAAATGGAGCCATTTTCATATCCTATTTTATTTTTGAAGTCAGTGTCCAGAAAGAAACCGACGATTCACTCAATCAACATGTAAGCGACTGAGGCATCCCTACACGCCAGGTTTGCAGGCTAGGGACCAGAGACACGATGGTTAAACAAGCCAGAGCCCTGTGATCCTAGGGCTTACAATGCTGGCATAAGAAAATCCTTCTGGACTCACTGTCCCCATGCTTGTGACTGTCATGTGCCAAGTGCGCTTTACACAATCTCATTTTTCCCTCAACTTGGGGATAGGTTTTGTATCATTCCCATTACAGATACGGATGTTGAGGTTACTGAGTGGAAGAGGAAACCTGAATTCTGCTGCTGGACCCCAAAACTCATGTTAATTACCCACAGCCTCCCAAACATCAGAGGCCCCAAACATGCCTCCCAACTCACTTCTCACAAATGGGGGCCGTTATCTGCCCCATCTCTAGGGCCGTTCTGTAACATTCTCAGCGACTTCCCACATCTTACAGAGGCAGGCCCTCCTTTCAGGAAGCTGATCCATGCCCCTTAATAAGGTAGCTTCTCTCCCCACTTGGCACACCACCTAGCTAGCCAAGGGCAAAGCAGAGACTAGGGGACAGGCCCCAGCACCGGGTCAGCACCCACTACCTCCTCAGTGATCAACAGTGCCCATTGCACTTCAATGGGCACCTGCAAGTGGCACCAGATTCTCTTGGAACAATTCTTAAGGCAGGGCGTGGTGGTCACACCTGTAATCCCAGCACTTTGGGAGACCAAGGCAGGCAGATCACTTGAGATCAGGAGTTCGAGACCAGCCTGGCCAACATGGTGAAACCCCACCTCTACTAAAAATACAAAAATCAGCCAGACATGGTGGCACACACCTGTAATCCCAGCTACTCAGGAGGCTGAGGCACGAGAACTACTTGAATCTGGGAAGCGGAGGTGCAGTGAGCCAAGATCATGCCACTGCACTCCAGCCTGTGTG
The DNA here is from genome assembly GCF_000001405.40 of Homo sapiens. Classification (NCBI taxonomy): domain Eukaryota; kingdom Metazoa; phylum Chordata; class Mammalia; order Primates; family Hominidae; genus Homo; species Homo sapiens. Next base: position 16,571,497 of record NC_000016.10, on the reverse strand, counting down.
ACAGAGCGACTTTGTCTTAAAAAAAAAAAAAAAAAAATTCCTAGCAAGTATTTATTACAGCAGTCAGTGACAAAAGCCAGATCTAAAATCCTATCTACAGAATAATCCTAGCCAGGCAAAACAAATTCATCAAAAACTAATAGAAAATACTGAAATATAGGCCAGGTGTAATGGCTCGTGGCTGTAATCCCAGCACTTTGTTCTGCCAGGTGCAGTCAATAGGTGCCTTGTCTGTAGAGAATTTAAAAAACAGTAATACAATCAACTATTAAATGCAATTTGGTATCTAAATCAAATTTTGGATCCAGGAAAAAAGGACATTGGTGGAAAAACTGATGAAATTTGAGTAAAGTCTATAGTTAATAGTGTTATATTAATATTAATTTCTTTTGACAAATGTACCATGGTGATGTAAGATGCTAACATTAGGGGGAACTGGATGAAGGGTAACTATAGGAATTATCTGTGCTATTTTTGCAACTTCTGCAAATCTAAAATTATTCCAAAACAACGTGGTTATTTCTAAAAATATATGAATTTCATACACGAGTATTATGACATGAACAAAAAGCAATTAAAGGTCATCCATTTTTATTATTACTGGCAATTCTAAACAATATTGGTGATAGAACTCTCCCACTCCTCCAACCAGGGCAACTAACCACTCTGTACCTACTCTGAGGATGGCTTTTTTATTTAGTTATTAGTTTGGAACAATGTTAATGTTCTGTAAAGACAAATATAAAACAAAATTTGAAAACAAAAACAGAAAGAGCCACAATATTGGGCATGAATAACCCAAATCTGAGCACTGTCACCACGTGCTCCTCTCAAATTCAGGGTTTTAATTTTTTATTCTTTATTACAGACAGGATCTCCCTATGTTGCCCAGCCTGGCCTTGAACTCCTGAGTTCAAATGATCCTCCTGTCTCGGCCTCCCAAAGTGCTGAGATTACAGGCATGAACCACCAGGCCTGGCCTCAAGTTCAGGTTTGAGCAGCTCTCACCAAAATCCCACTGCAGTAAAATTCACAGTGGGCTTCAAATTCAGGTCCATCTGAGTCCAGATCCCAAAAGCTTTCTGACAGGTATTCTTGAGGGTGACAAAACAGAAATAAAAGATCAGAATGGGAACTTACAGTTCCTCTTCTGTCCTTTATAGAAGTGTCAACGGGGATGCAAAGATTTCATTATCAACGGGACTGGCACTGTGCCCTACTATCAGGCGTCTGCTCTCACAGGGAAATCAACTTGGCACAGCCTCAAGCATTGAACCTAACACTGAGAGGCAGCCAGGCAGAGCAGAACGAAAGCTGAAGACAGGCCCTTTCCATCCAAGTCAACAAATATTTCCTTTGAATACGTGTACCTCAGGGTTTTTCCCAAAAAGAAAAATCCCTCCTCACATAAACCCCCTAGAAAGAAGTCATTGCTGCCTCAAATGCATGTATTCAGCTGCAAGGCTTCTATTGCTACATGCTTTCAGATTATAGCCACCATTTCTAAGCCCTGCAGGTATTTGCCCATCTTGGATCCTTTGAAACAGCTCCTTCCCCTGCCCCATTTGCTTCCAGATACCTGCACGGCTCAGCCCCTCCATTTATTTGGGCGTTTGCTCAAAGCCACCTTTTCAGAGAGGCCTTCACTCACCACCCTATTGAAACGGGGTCACACCTCCCATCTCTCTCCATTCTCTATACCTACTTTATCTCCTTAATGCTCACTACCTCTTAACATTTATTCATGTGTTCACTTGTCTTCCCTCTCTGAAAGCTCCAATGAAAGCAGGGTCTGTTGCATCTCCAGAGCCTACTATTTTTTTTCGGTGTGAACCCTAGGTGCGGATGTGGGGGTGGCTCACGCCTGTAATCCCAGCACTTTGGGAGGCCGAGGTGGGCGGATCACGAAGTCAGGAGATCGAGACGATCTTGGCTAACACGGTGAAACCCCATCTCTACTAAAAAAATACAAAAAAATTAGCCGGGCATGGGGGCAGGAGCCCGTAGTCCCAGCTACTCGGGAGGCTGAGGCAGGAGAATGGTGTGAACCCGGGTGGCGGAGCATGCAGTGAGCCGAGATCCCGCCACTGCACACCAGCCTGGGTGACAGAGCGAGACTTCCTCTCAACAACAAATATACATATATATATATATATATATATACACACACACATACATTAGGTGCAAAGGCCCTGGGGTGTAAACGTCCATGCATGCTAAAGGGGAGAAGGAAGGCCAGTGTGGCCAGTGTGGCTAGAGATGAGCTAAGGGAGGAGAGGAGGGCAGGGCCTTTGTAGACTATAGCAAGTGGTTTTATAAGGGTCTTATTCTGAATACAACAGGTAGCTGCTGGATAGTCATAAGCTGTGGGGTCCGGGTGGTGGGGAGGTTGACATCCTCTGATTATATTTATTTTAAAGATCATTCTGGTTTCTATATGAAGAATAGACTGAATAAGGCAAGAGGTAAAGCAGGAGACCGATTATAAAGGCTACCAGAATAGCCCAAGGGAGATGGGATGGTGGCTTGGATTACGGGGGTAGTGCTGAAGAGAGGAGGCTTGTGGGTGTTTCTTGGTAATTTGTGGATAAACTAGATGAGGGGCATGAGAGAAAGAAAAATGTCAAGGATGACTCCAAGTTTAAGGAGCTGAGCAAGGGAGTGGATGATAGTGGCATTTACTGAGATGGGGGTTCTGCAGAAAATACACCTTGAAAGGGGAATAAAAAGTTAGTTATGTTTTGTCCCAGAATCACAGCAATAATAAATTAGTCTTAATGCATTAAGTTTTGGGGTGGTTTAATAGGCAGAAATCGATCACTGAAACATTCTAGTAAGTACTGTTTCCTTGATTTCAGGATGCTTTTGATGGAGTAATGAGCGTCAATTAAATGCACACATCAAATGAAAAACACATCACGATTTTAGAAACCTACTTAATATCTTCTTTAGAGAAATGTCTATTAAAGTCCTTAGCCCACTTTTTAATCAGATTGTTAGAGGTTTTTTTTTTTTTTTGCTATTGAGTTGTAGAAATTCCTTATATATTTTAGAAATTAACTCATTACATAGATGGTCTACAAATAATTTTTCCCATTTTGTGGGTTGTCTTTTAACTCGATTGTTTCATTTGCTGTGCAGACACTTTTTCGTTTTACATAGTTCTCATCATTTATTTTTGTTGTTGTTGTCTGTGCTTTTGGTGTCATATTCACGAAATCATTGGCAAGACCAACATCATGAAGTGTTTCCCCTATGTTTTCTTCTAGGAGTTTTACAGTTTCAGGTTTTACTTGTAAGTCTTTAGTCCTTTTTTAGTTGATTTTCATGTATGGTGTTAGATAAGGATCCTATTTCATTCTTTTGCATGTGGTTATCCAGTTTTCCCAGCATCACTTATTAAAGAGACAATCATTCCCCTATTACATATTCTTGGCACCATTGTTGAAGATCATTTGATCACATATGTGTAGATTTACTTCTGGACTTGCTATTGTATTCCTTTGGCCTATATGTCTGTCTTTATGCCAGTACCATATTTTATTTTATACCAGTTTTAATTACTGTGGCCTTGTAATATATTTTGAAATCAGGAAGTGTGATGCTTCCAACACTGTTCTTCTTTCTCAAGGTTGATTTGGCTATTTGTGGCCTTTTGTGGTTCTATACAAATTTTAGACTCATTTTTTCTATTTCTGTGAAAAATGCCTTTTGGATTTTAATAGGGATTGCATTGAATCTGCATATTGCTTTGCATAGTATGGACACTTGAACAATATGAAGTCTTCCAATCCATGAATTTGGAATGTCTTTCCATTTGTTTATACCTTCTTTCATTTCTTTTTTTTTTTTTTTTCTTTTGAGACAAAGGCTCGCTCTGTCACCAGGCTGGAATACAGTGGTGTGATCTTGGCTCACTGCAACCTCCGCCTCCCAGATTCAAGCGATTCCTCTGCCTCAGCCTCCCGAGTAGCTAGGACTACATGCACGCACCATGATGCCTGGCTAATTTTTTTTATTTTAGTACAGATGGGTTTTCACCATGTTAGCCAGAATGGTCTCAAACTCCTGACCTCATGATCCACCCACCTCAGCCTCCCAAAGTGCTGGGATTACAGGCATGAGCCACCATGCCGGGCCACCTTCTTTCGTTTCTTTCAAGGTTTTATAATTTTTAGTATACAAGTCTTTCACCTCCTTAGTTAAGCCAACAAGTTTATGAAAAAATGTCCAATACCACAAATAATCAGTATCACTAATTGCAAATCAAAACCACAATGAGAAATCACCTCACACCTGTCAGATTGGCTAGTGTCAAAAAGACAAAAGACAACAAATGTTGGTGAAGATGTAGAAAAATTGAAACCTTTGCACACTATTATTGGCAATGCAAAATGGTACAACCACTAAGAAAAACAGTACGGAGGTTTCTCAAAAAATTGAAAATAGAACTAGCATATGATCCAGCAATCCTACTTCTGGATTTATACCCATAAAAATTAAAATCAGAATGTGGAAGAAATATTAGCACTAACATGTTCATTGCAGCACTGTTCACAACAGCCAAAATGGGGAAAAAACCTAAATGACAGATTAATGGGTAAAGAAAATGTGGTATATACACGCAATGGAATATTATTCAGCCTTCAAAAAGAATAAAATTTGGGATGGGCACAGTGGCTCACGCCTGTAATCCCAGCACTTTGGGAGGCCAAGGCGGGTGGATCACCTGAGGTCAGGAGTTCAAGACCAGCCTGACCAACATGGAGAAATCCCATCTCTACTAAAAATACAAAATTAGCCAGGCATGGTGGCACATGCCTGTAATCCCAGCTACTCGGGAGGCTGAGGCAGGAGAATTGCTTGAACGCAGGAGGCGGAGGTTGCGGTGAGCAGAGATCGCACCGTTGCCCTACAGCCTGGGCAACAAGAGTGAAACTCCATCAGAACAAGAGGAAGAAGGAGAAGGAGGAGGAGGAGGAGGAGGAGAAGTGGGGGGGAAGGGAGGGAGGGGGGAGGTGGGAGGGGGAGGAGGAGCAGGAGGAGAAAATTCTGCAAGATGTGAGAACAAGAATTAAATCTTGAGGACTTTATGGTAAGTTAAATATCTGTCAAACAAAGACAAATATTTCTTATTTCCACTTACAGGGGTCATGTGAAATAGTCAAATGCGTAGAACAAAAGAGTGTAATGGTGGTTGCCAGGGCTGTGGGGAGGAGAAAATGAGGAGCTACTCATCAATGGGCGTGAAGTTTCCGTCAGGCAAGATGAATGCGTTCTAGAGCTCTGCTGCACATTATGTACCTAGAGTCAACAAGGTATTGTGCACTTAAAATTTGTTAAGAGGGTACGTCTCATGTTAAGTGTTATCACAATAATTTTTTGAAAAAAAATCTGTTTACTATATGCCTTGACATGAAGAATATAGGTACCAGATGACGTATCTATGCACTCCAAGCTCTGTGTCTCACATTTATTTCAATCACATGTAGATAACAGCAAGAATCTTTAGACAACTCAGATTGCATCTGGCTTATCACCTGGTTTGTCCCTAAATTTATCGTTTCTACAGAGTGAGCAGACATGTCCCTCTTTCTCTCTCTCTCCCTCTCAGGGCATATTTCAATAACGTTCTCTTTTTGATGAAGTCACACAAGACGCAGAAGCAGTCCTAAAACTCAATTTATGGAAGTCAGTTGAGACCAGACTTTGGATTGAACCTCCCAAACCTGCCTAATTAATGACACACATTATGGCCCCTGCTCCCCTAACTGAATGCAGCCTCCAAACCTTGACGTGTTTTCCCAACAATAAAATGCAGTAAATGAATGAGTGTCCTGAGGGACCGTGGCAGGAATAAAGGGAAAGCCATGAAAGATAGATGATGTCTCAACTAATTTTATGATTTATCGATCTCCACTTTGCTCATTTTGCAATGCGGGAGAGCTCATTTTTCTGCCAGGCCCACAGTGGTGTCACCCTTGCTAATAGATATGATTACCATCCCCAAAACTGTGTTTGTGAAAATAAGAAGTGTGGCTTCTCTGCTGCTGCTGACCTCAGCAGTTTTCTTTTATTATGTGCTGGATCCGCTAAGAAGCAAAATTGATGTACTTATCCGGGGACTCTGTTGGACGGGCACAAGCATTTTCCTCATTTTTCTTCCAAACAAGTTCATCTTTAAGCAAGTACAGATTCATGGTTTAAATTACGGCATTGACACATCATCTGTTTTCAGTGTGTGTATTCTTACAAGGAGGATCTTTTATGTGATCAGAGAGAGGAAGAGAGGGGATAGAGGTGTCACCCACGTGCCAAGTTGAGTTTAAAGATATACATGTTAGGACACAATACAGGCTGCTTTGGATGGTTCACCAACTGCATTCAGCAAATATTGATCGGGCACAGGTATTGTGCTAAGCATGCCGGGGGTATTCAGTCATTTAATAAATATTTATTGGCAGGCCAGGCACAGTGGCTCACACCTGTAATCCCAGCACTTTGGGAGGCCAAGGCTGGCAGATCACGTGGTCAGGAGATCAAGACCAACCTGGCTAACATGGGGAAACCCCATTTCTACTAAAAATACAAAAAGTAGCCAGGCATACAAAAATAAAAAAAGGTGCACGTGCCTATAGTCCCAGCTACTTGGGAGGCTGAAGCAGGAGAATCACTTGAACTCAGGAGGCAGAGGTTGCAGTGAGCCGAGATCGCGTCACTGGGCGACAGAGCAAGACTCCGTCTCAAAAATACATACATACATACACACATACATGCATATTTATTGGTGATTTCATATATATAGCTGGAATTATAGAGCAAAATAGGCAATGTCTCTTTTATCATAGAAACTATGTCCTGATTAGAAAAGACGGAAAGTTCAAAATAATAATTATGAAGTGCATAAAATAGGGTGTGTTAGTCAACTATGCCACAGCAGTGCTGGGTAGCATACAGCCAGTAACTCCACAACAGCAAGCATGTGTACCTCATTTATGCAACTATGGTTTGTCCTGGGTTTGGCTGATCTAGGCTGGGCTTGGCTCCAGGCCATATGTTTAGTTCATGTCTGTTCCTTGCATCTCTCACTCTTCTGGGACCAACAGGTTACCCAGGGCATGTTACCCTCATGGCCATGGAAGAACTAAAGTAGGTGAGCCCAACCACTCTATCACATTTCAAATCTCTGTTCACTTCTACCCACTAATATCCTGTTGGCCAAAACGAGTCATATGGCCAAGCCCAAAATCATGTGGTAGGGAAGTAAATACCATCCACAATTGGAGCGGGGAGGCCATCAACACTTGCTGGGCAATAATCCAAACTGTTATGCAGAATGATGTGATAAAAGGGATCAGAGAGAAGTGCTGTGAGGAATGGGGATGAGTTCACTGGGATGATGTCAGAGAGGCAGGCGAGGGCCAGATCTTGCTGAGCTACGGAAAGAAATGGCACATTTGATTTGTGATTTCAAATAATCCCTTTCACTGCTATGGGAAAACTGGATTGTAAGTGGCACGAGAGCAGATGCAGGGAGTCCCAGCAGGTCGGACACTGGTTCAGTGTTCTAGGTGGGTGGTGATAGAAGGTGTGCACTTGAATAGTGGCAGTGGAGATGAAGGCAAGCGCTAGACTGAGAAACAGAAGCAAATGGACAGGGTACCAAAGTGGATAACATGTGGTCCCTGACCTTAAAGAGCTAATAACCTACTTGATGAGAAAAAGATGTACAGACACAGCCATGGTTTGGAGAGATATGTTTTTAAAATAAGGCCATACACACACACAAAAAAAAAAAAATCCAAAAAAGAGCTGTGAACTTTGTCTGAGAGTATCTGGATAATTTCAGGGAGGAGGTGATATTTGAGGTGGACTTCCAATGTATCATCTCAAATAGCACCAAGCTGATAAGCAAGAACCATCTTAATCAGATTGACTGGGTGCCACAAAGCCACACCTATGATGGACACACAGGAAAGTCTAGCAGCCAAGCAGAGGGAGGATGACTTTCCACAAAGACAAGTATTTGTGCTGTAAGACTACATGCTTTGACCCATCTGCAAAATGGGTGCATCTGCAAGAAGGAGGCCACCAGGCAATAGGCTGGGGGCCAAGTAGGTACTTCTTGAGTAGTGTCACACACTATTCAAGGAGATCTGTGACTCAATATACCCAAGAGAACCTCCAATTTGCCACCATTCTGCCAAAGGGAGACCAGAGGTTTGAGGAAAGCAGTCTGGCAAAGATAAATCCTCAGAATTGAAAGACCTAAAAGCACAGACCCATCCGTGTCCCCAACTAACTCGGTGATTTCTTTGCTCTTCAGTTTCCACAAAAATAAAATATTATTTATATAACATATGCAGATATAGGCACCAAGATACAAGGCATGCCATAGACTCTCAAATATCTGTTGAACAGATAAAGGAACATTTAACACAACATTATTTATAAATGTAAAAGCTTTGAAACTACCCAAAGGCCTTTAGTAGGCCAATAATTAAATAAACAATGGTATATTCATATCTTGGACTATTATGTAGCTATGCAAAATTTTCTCATTAGAAAAATTCATGATTAATATGTGGGAAAAACGTGGAAAACATGGAAAGATGCAAGAATAAAATAAAACACATCCCCTAGAGATAACCTCTATTAATATTTTGTAGTCTCTGCTTCCATCCTGTGTGGTACTTTTGTAGTGCATAGGCATCGTGTACCCATGTGTTTTTAGCTAACATAATTGAAATTATATTAAACATATGAATTCAAATTCTGCTTTTTTCCCTTTAATATTGTTTTATGGTGTTTTGTTTGTTTTGAGATGGAGTCTTGCTCTGTCACCAGACTGGAGTGCAGTGGTGTGATCTCAGCTCACTGCAACCTTCACCTCCCGGGTTCAAGCAATTCCCCTGCCTCAGCCTCCCAAGTAGCTAGAATTACAGGCAAGTGCCACCATGCCCGGCTAATTTTTCATATTTTAGTAGAGACAGGGTTTCACCATGTTGGCCAAGATGGTCTCGATCTCCTGACCTCAGGTGATCCACCCGCCTCAGCCTCCCAAAGTGCTAGGATTACAGGCATGAGCCACCGTGCCTGGCCTACAGTGTTTTTCTATATAAATTTTTACAAAGAAGTTTAGCAATGTAAAAAAATTGCACTGATTTTATAAGAGTGGAAACATGGAATGCAAAATCATATATCTGGTATGAGTTTAAGCACGTAAGTATTTCATATAGACAGACGTGTGTTTTGTATACGTCTGTATGAATGACTGTAAGAAAATATACCCAAGGTTAATAATGATTGTCTTGGGGTTGTGGGATTATTATGGGCTATCGTTTCATCACTTATATTTTTCTGCATCTTCTTCATAACATACAATAAGCATGTATTACTACTGCAATAAGAAAAAAAGAGAAATGTTTTTTGAACAGGAGCAATGAATTTGAAAGAATCCAAGGACGAGTGTATTAACCAACTGTGATATCTATGACTGTGGTTTCACAAATTAGGGGCATACTTGCAGCGCCAGGCTCACCTCGACCTCCTAGAGTTATGCCTCCTCCTCAGGCCAGGCCTTAGAGGTCATGAGACAGGCTGAAGAAAGAGAGGTCCAGGCCAGCATCCATGGAATCTGTCCCATTAGCTCAGAGACAACAAAAAGGGGACAGATCCAGAGGGTGGGGGGACTGGCAATGCAGGACACAGGAAAAGCTAGACTGAAAGATCCCGGGCACTGGGAGATCAAAGGGCCAAAGCGAGCAGCAGCCAGCCCTCAGACCAAAGACTCCCCAGCACGCCCCACACAGCAGGAATTCAAGAAATTCCAAAGCCTAACTCTGAGGATGTGCTCAAACCCTCACATTATTGACCATGATGGCAAGAAAAGTCTTGAGTATCATTTTCGTTATAGAAGTTAGCGGAGAAGCAGGCAGTGGAAACCCACCATGGTGATCAGAAAGGGCCCTTTGTTTGCATGAGCTTAATTATTGACTTAGAAAACTTGAGCATCCTCCTTTGCCAGAGAAAGAAGCACCTTTTTTTTTTTTTTTTTTTTTTTGAAATGGAGTCTCCCTCTATTGCCCAGGCTGGAGTACAGTGGCATGATCTCTGCTCACTGCAACCTCTGCCTCCGGGGTTCAAGCAATTCTCCTGCCTCAGCCTCACGAGTAGCTGAGAATGCAACCCTGCACCACCATGCTGGGCTGATATTTTTGTAATTTTAGTACAGACAGGATTTCACCATGTTGGCCAGGCTGGTCTCGAACTCCTGACCTCAAGTGATCTGCCTGCCTCGGCCTCCCAAAGTGCTGGGATTACAGGCATGAGCCACCAAGCCCGGGCAGAAAGACCAATTCTTTCAGCATGCCATTCAAGGCTTCCCTGGGTCTGTCTCCAACAACCAACCTACCTACCTACACACACACACACACACACACACACACACACACAGAGTTGTCCATACCTGCCAAGACTTTGTTCATCCTGTTTCCTCTGCCTGGAAGGCCTTTCTCTCATTTCCACGTATCTAAATTCTTTACAACTCCAAAGTCCTCTTCTTAAAAAGCCTTTGGAAAAAACTATTGAGTGAACAAAGCAAGGGTCTGCTCCAGTCCTGTCTGAGTGAATCAGACAGGTCTGCTCCAGTCCAGGCCCCTCTCCTTACTGGCTGTGTGACCTTGGACACGTTCAATCGTCCTTCTGATACCAATTTTCTAATTAGTAAAATTAGCTTCTAATTGAAGCTGCCTCCAAGGCTTTCTGTAAGAATTAAAGGAGAAAATTATTTCAGATATCTGTTAAAAAGTAGCCGAATTTATGGCAATAAATGGCAACAAATATAAATTTTATATCCTCTTTCCTAGTATCAGTTCCCCACTTCATTTTCTAGGTGGCATTTTGCCTACGGGTTCACCATCTTCTGTCCAAGTTTACTTTTATGCCTCCTGGAGTCAAAGGCAACTGCCGCCTCTGAGTTTAGACACAATTGGGTTGCATCTTAGCTCCGGTATCTTCTAGCTGTGTGTTTTTGAACAAATCATCACACCTCTCAGAGCCTCAGCTTCCCCATGTGAGAAATGGGTTTAATGTTTCATGTTGGGGAGTTGAGTGAGTCAATGTACATTAAGCTCTTGGAACGGGGCCTGGCACACAGCGCTAGAAGGGTTCGTTGTTACTGCCTCACAGGGTTATGGTAAAGATGGGGTGGGTTTCTGTTCGTCTGCAAAGCCCTTATCCAAAGTCCCAACACATAGCAAGCCCTCTGTAAATATCAGTCGTATAATCTGGAATTTAGTAAACAAGTCCAATGCCCCTCACTCCACCCCTGCAGCAATGTAATAGATGTCAGTCAATCCCTTTTTTGGGTCTTTTCAGAACAAAAAGCCCTGTTCTCTCCTCCAGTGGGGTCTCCCTGGGCTAACTGAACCATCCTCCTGGTCTTAAACAGGAGGATTCCTGGAGCCAAGTGGGATCCTTCTCCTGCACCACGAGGGCCCAGGGGCCAGGTAACATACTGTCTGGCTAATCTGGAGCCAAGCAGAAACTGGCACAGAGGACATCCACAGGCTTACTGCATTTCCTTCCCCTGTAAAAGAACCCTACGGTCCAGCCCAGCAAGCACCTCTCTTTGACCAGCTAATAAGGTTATAAAAAAACTTATGTATCTGACTTTAATAATGGTATTAAACCCAGTAATCTGACTTTAATAGTGGTATGCCAAGGCAAACATGGTCCTAGCAGGGACCAGGAGCGAGGGCAGGTGAGGGTACACATCTGAGGCTGAGCGACACCTCCTATATGAAGTTGATTCATGTTGGAGCAAATCCGGGCAGGGACCAGCTGATTCAGGCAGTTAAGTTATTGCTCTGCCAGTTTAATATTTCGCCATCTGCTAACTGAAGGCTCTACTGCCTGCTGGGTCCTATAAAGACTTTTATTTATTATACTACACATGGCAACATCTGCCACCAGGATGAGGCTCTACTCGGCGCCCTAATTAAACAAACACACACTTCAGTGACAGCAGAGGGCCCGGTCTCGCTGTGAGCCGAACTGTTGCTGGGAGTTAAAAACTTGGAGTGTCCCATCCTGAAGAGCCTTTGCTGAGAAAAGGTAGCATGAGTCATTCACCTCCTGGTGGCCACTAAAGATTTACAGGTGATTTAAAGCAGGCTGGAAAAAAAAAATTAAAAGGCTGGGTGTTTATCTCCTCTAACCTGCCTCTCACTCCCAAACAGAACTTGAGTTTCAGGGCTTGGTTTGGCCAACGGTCAGAATTCCTGCTTCACACTGTCACATGAGCCCCTGCCCTTCAATCTCCGTGCACACTCTCAGAAACAAGCCCTGCAGATGAAGAAAATGAATGTCAAAGTTTCCATTCAATTTTTCATTCATGCATGCATTAAAAAAATATGGAGTCATTCTACTATAAAGACACACGCCCATGTATGTTTATTGCGGCACTGGTCACAACAGTAAAGACTTGGAACCAACCCAAATGCCCATCAGTGATAGACTGGATAAAGAAATGTGACACATATACACTATGGAATACTATGCAGCTATAAAAATGGAGGAATTCATGTCCTTTGCAGGGACATGGATGAAGCTGGAAACCATCATTCTCAACAAACTAACACAAGCACAGAAGACCAAATACCACATGTTCTCACTCACAAGTGGGAACTGAACAATGAGAACACATGGACACAGGGAGGGGAACATCACACACCAGGGCCTGTTGGTGGGGTGGGGGGCTAGGGGAGGGAGAGCATTAGGAGAAATACTTAGTGTGGTTGATAGGTGCAGCAAACCACCATGGCACGTATATACCTACGTAACAAACCTGCACGTTCTGCACACGTACCCCAGAACTTAAAGTATAATTAATAAATGAATAAAGAAGGAGTATGTGCTACATAACCCGTACTCTAGCAGGTGAGCTGGTAAATAAGATAGACATTTGTGTCTTCATAAAAGCCCCATTTGACTAAGTCAAGAGGACACATAAATGGATAAGATAATTGCAGATCGTGCTGAGTGTTAGGCAGCAAATAAAGAGGGCGATATATATATATTAGATACTGGGCTGGCATACAGGTATATTAGTTTCTTATTGTTGCTGGAACAAGTTACCACAAATTTAGTGGCTTAAAACAATACAAACGTATTATCTTACAGTTCTGTACTTCAGAAGTCCAACATGGGCTAAAATTACTGAGCTGAAATCAAGGCACTGGGCAAAGATCAAGATGTCAGCAGGGCTGCTCCTTCTGGAAGCTCTAGAGAACATCCATTTTCTTGCTTTTTCCAGCTTCTAAAGGCTGCCTGCTTTCTTTGGCTTGTGGCCCCTTCCTCCATCTTCAAGGGCAGTAACATACCTGTTTCCGTCATCACACTCCTACCTTTGACTCTTCGATTCTGCCCCTCTCTTCCACTTTTAAAGATCTTTATGATTCCTTTGGGTCCAACCAGATATTCCAGGAATAGCTCCCTAAGGTCAGCTGATTAGTAAACTTAATTTCGCCTGCTGCCTTAATTGCCCTTTGCCATGTCACTTAACATACTCTTGGGTTCCAGGGATGAGGATGAATTTCAAAGTTCCCATTCAATTTTTCATTCATATATGCATTCAATAAATATTGAGTATGTGCTACATAATCCATACTGTAGCAGGTGAGCTGGTAAATAAGACAGATGTTTCTGTCTTCATAAAAACCACATCTTTGCGGGGTGTCATTATTCTGCTGAACACAGTGGACAAGAAACTACTTTAGATAGCGTGGTCCTCAGGAGGGCTTCTCTGAAATGTGATCATGAGAAAGGGTTGCAAGCAGAAGGAAAAGGAAGTATGAAGATCCAGAGGCAGGAGAGAATTTAGAATGGCTTTGGTACTGAAGGGAAACTAGTCATGGGCTTAGGAGTCAGAGAGTCATGGGCAAGGGAAAAGTGGCCCCAGATGAAGCTGAAGGGGTGAAAAAGGGAGGAATCAGATCACCTAGAGTCTTGTGTGCCTTGCAGAGGCAGCTTGGTGCAATGATCAAAAGCCCAGACATTGGAAGGGAACTTACTTTCACTTAACACCTAATTTTTACCAGACCCTGTGCCAGGACCTTTAAATAGATTATCTCATTTAGTTCCTGGAACAAGTACATGAAATATGCATTGCAATTCCCATTTTGCAGATGAGAAAGTAGTGACTTAAACAACTAAATTATAAAGACACACTGATGTGAACTCTGAAATATCTGGCTCAGAGCCCTTGCTTTCTCCACCACTCAAGGCTCCCGTCCAAATGATTTTGCCTTCCGTGCATGTGTGATTATGCAGCCAGGATCCTCTATCTTCTTTTTTCTCATTTAACTTGATAGACAGACTGCAGAACCTCAAAATCACCTGCAGTGGAGTGTCCCACTGAATTTGTGTTTTGCTTACCGCTTTATCAAGAGGTACATGAAATTCCTCTTGCCTGCTCTAAAGAGGTTGGATCATCAGTGAGACTGAACCTATAAGCTCTCCAGTCCCACTAGGGAGGATGCATGTTATTTAGGACACTGGCTGAGTTGCTGGTACAAGAGATCCAAAAACACAGTGACTCAGGCCAAGTAGGAATCTACTTCTCTTTCACAGATTGGTCCAGAGGTACATAGTCTAGGGCTGCCATAGTTTCTTTGCCCCTTGCAATCAGTCATCTAGGGATCTGGTTCCTTGCATTTTAATGTTCTTCTTTCCTCTGAAGTATTGTCCTCATCCACATGGTTGAAGTAGACTTGCCAGAACTCCGTCAAATTCCAACGTGTAGAAAGAGGAAATAGAGAATGAAAGGCAAGTATTTTCCTTTCCAGTGCTGTGACTTGAAGCTGCACGCATCCGTTCTGCTCACACCCTGGAGGCAGTAATTTAGTTGCGTGTCCACACACAGTTGCAAGAGAAGCTAAGAAAGGTAGTCTCTACCCAGATGGTCACATACAGAGTGAAAGCTTGAGAAGTTCTACTGCTAACAAAATGAAGGAGAAAATAAATACTGGAGAAAAATTAGCACTCTGCCACAAAGGATGACTGCCCTTTTGGTTTATCTAAAGTCCAGGCATTCTTTGCCTGCTGGATATGGTTTGTAGAATTTTTAGAACGAATAAATCTCTATTGTTCAGAAAAGAGAACCAAATTAATTTCTTTTCTCTCTCAGGGGCTGAAAGTAAAAATGGCCTGATCCTGGGTAGGTCTCATTCACCTGCTGTCATTGGAAAAGGCATTGGAGTTGTGGGGACCGTGGTGAGTGGATAAACAAACCTCATCCAGAACAGGACCTCTAAGAGGGGTTACCGTGAGAGTTACCAGCCCGCACTACATTGTAGCCCAGCAGCACTGGCTCCGTGTTCAACAGTGCCATCTTCTCTCAGTAGGAAACCCAAACAGGCTGACAAATACCAGCGCTTTTCCCTAATTGGGAGTACAAGTTGTGAGGACTCCTAATTATACAAGAACCCTGGAACTGGAGCAGAAAGTCTCAATAAGGTAATTCAGGACTTCTGGCCAACCTGGAAGCTGGTAACTCAAGTACTCTTGATTAAATTTGGGGAAAAATAATTTAAATTCATGATAGTACTTGCTCTTGAGGTATTAGTAGAAATGCTATTTCTGTCAATAAACAAAAGAGTTTTTTTAAAAATAAAAAAAATCCCCTGAATATATCCTCAAACGTGATGCCAAAGCAAAGATTGATAAAATGCCAAAGATCTGGCTTAAAAAGACGCAAAGAATTCATGGAAGAGCCAATGTGACCCACTAAAACCACTCTAAGTGCAATTTTTGAATAAAATCCCACTTAAATGATTGTTTACCTGAGGTCAACGGAGGACCAGGGCAGTCCCAATGAGTAAGGGACTTAACATGGGCCACGGGGGTACATATTGATGACAGGAATCGCCTGACAATCACTAAGCTGATGGCCTGTTCTCCATATGTTCCTCATCTCTCCACCTAAATTTAATGTATCCAACTTTTTGGAATCCTTCCTCTTAGTCTTGCATTCTGTATGTATATGAGGAAGGTAAGGAACTAGGGGTTGCCTAGGAGGGATGGAGAAGGATAAATGCAAAAATAACACTGAAGCGATGGCCTTGCAGCCAGATGACATTTTAGGTAGATCCGCACAAATGCCTACAAATGAAACTCCAGGGCCTCAAATGCTTCATCTGTGAAATGGGATGATTACTTGAATCACCGATATAAATTATGTGTTCTAGGAACAAACGGTGGCTCACGCCTGTAATCCCAGCACTTTGGGAGGCCAAGGCAGACGGATCACCTGAGGTCAGGGGTTTGAGACCAGCCTGGCCAACATAGTGAAACCCCATCTCTACTGAAAATACAAAAAAAGTTAGCCAGGTGTGGTGGCAGGCACCTGTAATCCCAGCTACTTGGGAGGGAGGTTGAGGCAGGAGAATCACTTGAACCTGGGAGGCGGAGGTTGCAGTGACGTGAGATCACACCAATGCACTCCAGCCTGGGTGACAGAGTGAGACTCTGTCTCAAAAAACAAACAAATAAACAGGAGCAAAAGCCTAAGCTCAGCTTTGTGGCTCAAGAATAGTGTCCCTGAGGAGGCAGCATTTGAGGACGGTGTAGAAGGAGGGGAGGGATTTTGATGGGCAGAGATGGTGTAGAAGTGTAGGAGAATTGTGAGAAGCAGATTGTGTGGAAGGCCTCCCCCAGCTTTTATCTCCTCAACAGTGAAGTGGTTTACAAGATTATTTTGCAAGTTAGAAATAATGTTTGTGGAACACACCGGACAGTGTGTGACATTAAAAAAATACATCAAGTGATTATGATTAAATTAACAACTAGTCACTGACTGTGACAAGGTTGGGGAATCTGAGACTCCCATGTAAGGCTAGTTATTTTGAAGGAAGACAATGCTGGTGGTGTCCCAGGCTCCTAATGGAGGCAAATGAAAATTCTCCCTGTGTGAAAGCATTTTCTACTTGGGTCATAAGAATTTCCATAGATTAAGATCAAGCCTCTGTGAGCTTATAATCAAAAGCCACCAAACTCATTAGGAAATAAGCCACCATGAGTGAGAATCAGCAGAATTAATAAACAACAAATTTTTACTCCCACAAACTTCAGATATTGGAACCATTGAAATAATCAGATACATAATATAAAATAATTCTGATTAAAATATTTAAACAAATAAAAGATGGAATTAGAAAAATGGGAAAATAATCAACGTTTATAAAAAAATTATGAGGTATAGTTGAAAAATGGTCAAATAAAAATTTTGGAAATCAAATATATAACTGTCGAAGTAAAAAACTCAATTCAATTAGCTGGGCCTGGTGACGCAGGTCTATAATCCCAGCTACTGAGGAGGCTGAGGCACAAGAATCGCTTGAACCCAGGAGGTGGAGGTTGCAGTGAGCCAGGATCGTGCCACTGCACTCTAGCTTGGGTGACAGAGTGAGAATCTGTCTCAAAAATATATATATAACAAAAAAGAAAAATAAAATAAAAACTCAATTCAGATTAAAAATAGCAGGAAAGAGAATTAGAAATTGAAGATATGTCTAAAGAAATTATCTAGGGTGCAACAACACAAATAGATTAGGTGATTAAAACTATTAAAGAGAAGTTAGGAGATACAGAGGACAGAAAGAAACAGACTAATGTATGTCTAATATATTAGACATAATATTAGGAGAGAATAGAGAGACTGGATAAGAGGCAATATTAAAAGTGATAATAGATAGAAATTTTGCAAAGGCTGGGCAGGGTGGCTCATGCCTGTAATCCCAGCACTTTGGGAGGCAGAAGTGGGTAGATCACCTGAGGTCAGAAGTTTGAGACCAGCCTGGCCAACATGGTGAAACCCTGTCTCTACTAAAAATACAAAAATTAGCCGGCCACGGTGGCACATGCCTGTAGTCCCAGCTACTCAGGAGGCTGAGGCAGGAGAATCGCTTGAACCCAGGAGGCGGAGGTTGCAGTGAGCCAAGACTGCGTCATTGCACTCCAGCCTGGATGACAGAGTAAGACTCTGTCCGAGAGAGAAAGGAGAGGAGGGGAGGGGAAGGGAGGGGAGGGGGAAAGAAATGTTGTAAAAATGGTAAAATACAGTCACGTACCACATAACATTTTGGTCAACAGACTGCATACATCAGTGGCTCCACAAAATTGTAATACTGTATTTTTACTGGACCTTTTCTATGTTTAGATATGTTTAGGCAGACAAAGGTTTACCATTGTGTTCCAACTGCCTATAGTATTCAGTAGAGTAACATGCTGTACAGTCATGTAGCCTAGGAGCCATAGGCTATACCATATAGCCTAGGTGTGTAGGAGGCTACACTATCTAGGTTTGTATAAGGACACTATGATATGCACACAATGATGAAATCACCTAATGACTCATTTCTCAGAACATATCCCGATTGTTAAGTGAGGCATGATGAGATAGATAGATAGATAGATAGATAGATAGATAGATAGATAATCATATACACAAACACACACATAAAATCTTCAGGTCCAAGCACAGCATATATAAGCAAGATGAATGCAAAGAAATTCATAGCTAGACATATTGCAGTGAAACCACAGAACATCAAAGACAGAGAAGACTTAAAAGCTCACAGGGGAAAGGGGCAGATAACCTTCAAAAACACTACATTTAGATCATCACCTGAGTTTTCAGGCAAAGCAACAGAAGCCAAAAGACTCTGGAATAACATCTCCAAAATTCTAAAAGAAAACAACCATCATTCTAGAATTGCGCTTCAGGCAAATGTGTCTTTTAAGAATGAGTGTGAAATGATGACACTTCCATATAAACAAAAACTGAGAGATTTTTACCACCGATAAATTCCCACTAAAAGAATACTAAAAAAAAAAAAAAAAAAATAGCCCAGAAAAAAAAATTTCGAGTGTAAGAAGAATAGTTAGCAAGTAAGCTTACAAACTAGGAGATAAATCTAAAACATTATCTATATAAAATATTAATAGTAACAATCTGATTTGTGAGAATTTAAGATGAGATTGAAACTACTGACAACATTGACATTTAAGTAATGGGGAAGTCATTGACATTAAAGTATCATAAAGTCCTTACAGTATTTGGAAGGGGAAGTTAAGATATTTATGGGCTTTCAATTTTCCTTGATACACACAATAAAATTTCAAGGGAGAGATGATAGAAAAGAGGTTTTAAATTTTTGGAATTTTAGAATTTTTAGAATCTTAATATTTGAATTTGGAATTTTAAAATTCCAACAAGTAAAGGGAAAAGCAGAGTTTGAAAACAAAACAAAAACAAACAAAAAACCTCAATTTAAAGAAAAGAAAGAAAAGAAGCATGAAGAAAAATGGAATAAATCTTAGAAACCATATAGTGTGAACAAAGCAAGTCTTAAAATATTATTTAAGGCCAGGCACAGTGACTCGCACCTATAATCCCAGCACTTTGGGTGGCCAAGGCAGGCAGATCACAAGGTCAGGAGTTCGAGACCAGCCTGACCAACATGGTGAAACCTCGTCTCTACTAAAAATACAAAAATCAGCCAGGCATGGTGGCACATGCCTATAATCCCAGCTACTCAGGAGGCTGAGGCAGGAGAATCACTTGGACCTGGGAGGTGGAGGTTGCGGTGAGCCAAGATCGTGCCACTGCACTCCAGCCTGGGCAACAGAACAAGACTCTGTCTCAAAAAAAAAAAAAAATTATTTAAGGTATGAGACCATCTTTATAAAGCTCAAAAGCAAGCAAAACTGATAAAGCTTTGTGGTAAAGCTAACAAAGCAAAGAAAGGGGATGATAAACACAAAACAGGATTGTAGATTTCCACATGGGGATAGGATGGGGGATGCAAGAGGCACTTTCCACCCAGATGGATCCAGTAGAACTGGTCATTTTAGTCAATCAGTTAGGCACTTAATGTAGTTTGGATATTTGATCCTCCAAACATCGTGTTGAAATCTCTCCCCATGTTGGAGGTGGGACCTATTGGGAGGTGTTTGGGGCATGGGAGTTGATTGCTCATGAATGACTTGTTGCCATTCTCAAAGAAGTGAGTTCTCATTTTGGGCTGGGTGCAGTGGATCATGCCTGTAATCCCAGCACTTTGGCAGGCAGAGGCGGGAGGATCACATGAGACCAGGAGTTCCAGACCAGCCTGGCCAACATGAAGAACCTCTGCCTCCACTAAAAATACAAAAATTAGCAGGGCGTGGTGGTAGGCGCCTATAGTCCCAGCTACTCAGGAGACTGAGGCACAAGAATCACTTGAACCTGGGAGGTGGAGGCTGCAGTGAGCCAAGATCATGCCACTGCCCTCCAGCCTGGGCAACAAAGGGATATCCTGTCTCAAAAAAAAAAAAGTTCTCATTCTTAGTCCCAGGAGAACTAGTTGCTGAAAAGAGCCTGGCATCTCCTCCTCTCTCTCTCGCTTCCTCTCTCACCACGTCATCTGTGCACAGTCCCTCCACTTCCCCTTCTGCCCTAAGTGGAAACAGCTTGAGGCCCCACCAGAAGCAGATGCAGTGTCAGGCTTCTTGTACAGACTGCAGAACCATACACCAAATAAACTGCTTTTTAAAATAAAGTGCCCAGTCTCAAGTATTCCTTTATAGCAACACAAATGGACTAAGACAGCAATGATTTTATGGGTCTTCATTTTGTTGATATGTTTGATAACTTACATGTTATATATATATATTATTTCTGTGTTTCAAATATTGCATTAAAAAATTTAAAAATAGGCCAGGCATGGTGGCTCACGCCTGTAATCCCAGTACTTTGGGAGGCCAAGGCAGGTAGATGGCATGAGGTCAGGAGTTCAAGACCAGGCTGGCCAACATGGCGAAACTCCGTCTTTACTAAAAATACAAAAAAAAAAAAAAAAAATTAGCCAGGTGTGATGGCCGGTGCCCGTAATCCCAGCTCCTCAGGAGGCTGAGGCAGGAGAATGGCCTGAACCCAGGCAGCAGAGGTTGCAGTGAGCCGAGATCATGCCAGGGCACTCCAGCCTGGGCAACAGAGTGAGACTCTGCCTCAGAAAAAAATTAAAAATAAAATTAAATGCAGAAAACAATAGGAGGGTAAGTTTCCTGAGCAAAACCAGAGCTTTTCTGTATCCCATCTACTGTACACACAGTGGGCCCTCAACAAATATCTGCTTACATTACAGCCAGGGAATTTGTTTACTTTAGTGCATTACAAAAGAATGAGAAAAGCCGAGTCTTCTCAAAAGCAAACGTCAATGCGGCAGACAGAGGACTAAATTACATGATAACACAGCATATAATATAGTATAATGGGCATGATACAGGTAATAATAACAGAAAAACAAATCTGTTTTTCAGCCATGAATTACACTGTGTCTGTGGCTTTGGGCAAGAAGCATGCCTGTAGTTACCCTGGGCTGCAAGTTGTTAAATCATGATGGATGATCCCATAAGGAACCAAACAAGATCAGTGGAATTCATTCATTTGCCGGGTGCCCTGGGAATTCTTTCATTTCCCCCCAGACCTGACTGCCTCCTCCTATTACTGGGGCAGCAGTTGGGCTATACCACACAGACTAGCCATGAAGCGGGAGAGAGGCCCAGAAACACAAAGCCAGCATTCCAGGTCTAGCCACAAAGATTATAAAATAAGCAGCTCTCTACATCCAATCCAAAGCAACAAGAAGGTGGTTGGGAGGAGGCTGGAAGGACACACTCAAGAATTAAAACTTAGATCTGCAACTGCTGGTTTTGTGTCCGAGAGTGGATTATTTTGCCTGCATACAGCTCAGTTTTTGCATTAGGAAAATGGGAATCATAATGTCTAATTCAAGGATTATTTGAAGACATCTGCTTGCACCAGATCTAGCACATAGTGGGTGCTCTGCAAATGTCTCCTTTCCTCAGTAAGTTTCCACACATCTTCACCTCTGACCTTCAACTTTTAAATAAAGAAGAGATTGCAATGCTGCGTGACAGAGGAGAAAAATGCTATCTAAAACTACTACTGACTGCAGCTGCTTCTGTCCCTAAGGGAGAGACATTATTTCTCTCCAGACTAAATATATTTTCTTTAGCAAAACACTTTGATAGGCAGCTTTGGTTATGAAATGTGAGGCCCCCCAGGGCACAGTTTAGAAGAAGACAGTGAAACAAAGAAGTAGTGAAATAGCTCTGCATTGTAAAAATGAACAGAGATGCCAGGGTTTGGCGGTATGCTAGGAAGCGCAGTGATAAGAGAAAGCACATTGCAACAGCAATCCCTGTTGCTGTTCTTCACCTGACAGCCCGTCCTCTCCTCTTCCACTGCTTTATAGCTGTCATTAGAAATTAATCTGGCCGAGCACTGTGGCTCTCACCTGTAGTCCCAGCACTTTGGGAGGCCAAGGCGGGCAGATGACAAGGTCAAGAGATCAAGACCATCCTGGCCAACATGATGAAACCTTGTCTCTACTAAAAATAGAAAAATTAGCTGGGTGTAGTGGTGTGTGCACCTGTAGTCCCAGCTACTCAGGAGGCTGAGGCAGGAGAATCGCTTGAACCCAAGAGGCAGAGGTCACAGTGAGCCGAGATTGCGCTACTGCACTCCAGTCTAGCGACCGAGCGAGACTCCGTCTCAAAAAAAAAAACAAAAGAAATAAATTATCGGCCGGGCGCGGTGGCTCACGCCTGTAATCCCAGCACTTTGGGAGGCCGAGGCGGGTGGATCATGAGGTCAGGAGATCGAGACCATCCTGGCTAACAAGGTGAAACCCCGTCTCTACTAAAAATACAAAAAATTAGCCGGGCGCGGTGGCGGGCGCCTGTAGTCCCAGCTACTCGGGAGGCTGAGGCAGGAGAATGGCGTGAACCCGGGAAGCGGAGCTTGCAGTGAGCCGAGATTGCCCACTGCAGTCCGCAGTCCGGCCTGGGCGACAGAGCGAGACTCCGTCTCAAAAAAAAAAAAAGAAAGAAATTATCTTCAATCTGAGGAAACCAATTTAGAAAAAGAAAAATAAACAAAATAAAGAAATTATCAGCATCTTACTTACTATATAGTCTACTTATTTACTGTATGTCTCTTCCCTCAAGAAAGTAAGTTTCCTAAGGGCAGCATTTATGTGTATTTTATTCATTGTTGTTTCTCCAGAGCCCAGAAGAGTGCTTGGAAAATAAGAGGTATTCATTATGTTTTTCTTCAATAAATGACTAAGAGGGGAGTTTTAAAGCAAAACTTCTACTGCCAAACTGCAGCTCAATGAGAATACAAAACTATTGTTTTAAGTGTGAGTTTAGGGGGTGTTTGTTATATGGCATTATTGTAGCAACAGCTGACTAATACAGATAGCAATATTGGTTGCATTCAGATATGATTTAAATCACATCAAAGTTGGAAGACTGAGGTTTGGGGCTCAGATTCTCCTGAATTTAATCCTGTCCCATTATATCAGAGCCTCTCTTTTCTCCTCTGTAGGGAATAAACCCTCCTTCTGGAGTGATGAAATGATAACCTTCTTCACAGGTCACTGTGAGAATTAAAACACCACTTTTTTCATAAAAAGCACTCAATAAATATCAGTCATTACCATCTATCTACTCAAACAATTCTGATGTTTAATGGGTTCACTTATTCTCCAGGTAAAGTCAGTCCTGCTAAAAAATGAACATAAGATTTTGATCCTGTACAGTGCTTGAAGTTAAAGGTATGTAATATGAAATAATATTTTTTGAATAAGTTAGCAAAGTCAAATTAATTATAACACTTAAAGCTTATGAAGCAAAATGGTTATTTGCACTCATTAAAAATAGGTATAACTTCCTTGTTTTTTTGAGATGTAATATGACCATATTTTATTAAGAACCATAAAAAATCTTTAGATATTTTGATCAATGTCTACCTTCTAGAATTTATGTTAAGGAAATTATTGTAAATTTTTAAAAAAATATTTGGTGAATGCACATCTTTGTTGAAGCATATTTGGTTGCATACTACTTTGAATTCAGAAATAGAAAGTCAACAGAAAATGCCATTCTCATGCAAATAATCAAAACAAATTAGATGAGCTACAAAGCTATTTGGAAAAAAGAAAACCTTCAGTGAACTAAGGACACAGAAAAATCCAAATGAACTAAATTCCACAAAGTGAAGATCATTTTAGAGGAGAGGAGAGATTTACTACAGGTCTTATCAAAAGCATGCTCTTTTGGATGTAAATATTTTTTACTTTAGTCTCTACTGTTCTTTTATACAGAATTTTCAGTATACAATCAAACATTAGAAGACGTATTAATATTTTTTTAAAGAACAACAAAAAAGTGGCCTATAGTTAAGAGTAGAAACAATCAAGAAAAACAGATCCACAGATGACTCAGATGTTGGAATTATTAGACAGGGAATTTAAAATAACTATAATAAAAATGCCAAAAGCCTAACGAAAAATATAGATAACATGCATGAAGAAATGGAAAATTTCCTAAAGACATGTTCACCAGGAAATGTTAGAAGAAAATCAAATGGGATAAGTAGCAATGAAAAATACAATATTAGAAATCAATAACATCAGATGTGCTTAACAGCACACTGGAAAAAAAACAGATGAAAGCATCAGGGACAAAAGGCAGATCAATAGAAAGTATCCAAACTGAAACACAAAAGGCAAAAATAGTGGAAAAAATACAACAGAATATTCAAGATCTGTTGGACAGTATAAATGAATCTAACATGATATCAAGTGATGTAATAGAAGTTCCAGAAAGAGAAGAGAAAAACTGGATAGATAATATATTTGATATAATAATAACCATCTGAGAACATTCCAAAATGGATGAAAGACATAAACCTGTAGAGCCAAGAAGCTCAGTGAACCCTAAGCAAGATAAATATAAAGAAAACCTTACCTAGCTATTTAACAACCAAAAATCACATAAAACAATAAACAGCAAATCTAAAAAGCAATAGGAATAAAATGACACATTAAATACATTAGAAAAAAATTTATGATGGCTAACTTTTCATCAGAATCTAGAATAAAGCCAGAAAACAATTAAATGACATCATTGAGTATGACAAGAAAAAAGAAATGGAAGCAGAGAATTCTATGTCTAGCAAAAAATATCCTTCAAAATGAAGATGAAATAAAGATATCCTTAGAGAGACAAAATCTGAGATACTTGCTGATACTTCAGGCTGAGGGAAATTATATCAGATGGAACCCCAGATGTGCAGAAAGGAATTAAAAACACCAGAAAAGGTAAATATTTGTATAAATGGAAAAGACCTTTTTTGACTTTTATTTTTACATTTATAATTTCTCAAATATTTAAGTGACTATTTACAGTGTAGACTGGAAATAATAACAACGTATGATAGGATTAATACCATATGTGTCACTGTAACACAGAATATAACAAGAGCACAAAAGGCAGGATTGGACATAAGTGGAATTATACTGCAGCATGATTTTTATACTGTGAATTAGGTTAAACATTGTTTGAAGGTATACTGTGAACATTTACATGTAGTTTCTATAGTAACCACTAAATTTTTTAAAAAGGAAATATAATCTAACTATCCACAGAGGATATAAAAGTAATATTAAGAATACTTAATTTTCCCCTGAAAAGACAAAAATGAACAAAGGAATAAAGAATAAATACCATAAATATAAAACAAATACCAAGATGGGAGACATAAGTCGAATCATATCAATAATTACCTTAAATGTAAATGGACTAACTCCTCTAAGAAAAAGTCAGAGCTTAGTAAATTGGATATGAAAGGCAACACCCAACTATAGGTTGTTTTTGAGAAACACAATTTTATTATAAAGATACAGGCCAATAGAAAGTAAAAGGAAAGAAAAAGATACAGTATGAAAACACCAAAAATAAGAAATCTGGTATGACTATGTTAATATCAGACAATGTAGCATTTAAACAAAGAGTATGACTGGATATTAAGAAGAATACCTCAAAATAATAAAAAAAGGATAATTGAGAAGAAAACAATCATGAATATAGATGTACCTAACAACACATTTCCAAAACTCACAAAGGAAAAACTGACAGAACTGAAAGGAGAAATAAAAAAAAATTCACAATCATAGTTGGAGAATGTAAACCCTCTTGGTGCAGGTTGAACATCCCTTATCCAGAATGCTTGAGACCAGAAGGATTTTGGATTTTTCCAGATTTTGGAATATTTGCATTATACTTACTGGTTGAGCATTCCTAATATGAAGCTCCAAATCCAATGAGCATTTACTCTGAGCACTCAAAAAGTTTTAGATTTTGGAGCATTCCAGATTTCAGATTTTCAAATTAGGGATGCTCAACTTATAACTGATAGAACAAGCAGATCAAAGATTCAGTAAACACTATTTGAACAACTCTGTAAACCAAACTGACATAATATTTTAAACTACTACATCCAACAGCTGCAGAAAACTCATTCTTTTAAAGTTGTCATGGAACATTCAGTAAAATAGACCATATTCTGGATCATATAAAAGTATTAATGAATATCAAAGAATGAAATCATACAGAGTAACACGATAGAATAAAATCATTCACAATAAGATATCTAGCAAATCCCCTATGTATTGGGCAATAAAACAACCCTCTCCTAAATAACCCATAGATCAAAAAAGAAATCATAAAGGAAACTGTAAAATATTTTGAACTGAATAATATGAAAATATATCAAAATTTGTGAAATAAAGCTAACGCAGTGCTTAGAAGAAAATTTATGACTTTAAATACTTACACTGGAGAAGAAAGGTATATACAACCTTCCATCTTAAGAAGCTAGAAAAAGAAGAATAAGGTAAATCTAAAGCAAGTAAAAGAAAGGAAATACTAATAGTAAAGTGGCAATACAAAGTCTTAACAACAATGGACAAAAAAAAGAGGGAAAGCACAAATTGCCCACATAAATAAAAATGAAACAGCACTACATATTCTAAAAATGTTAAAAAGGATAAATATTAAAACATTCTAACAATTCAACAACTTATATTAATTAATCCAAATCACAAATTACTAACAACTGAAGACACAGAAAATAAATAACCCCATGGCTATTAAAGAAATTAAATTTGTAAAACCTTTCTAAAAAGAAAATTTTCCACATATATGGTTCATTAGTAAATTCTACAAAACATGTAAGGGAGAAATATCAATAATGCACAAATTCGGAACATAGAGGAAGAGGTATCACTTCCCAATTTAATATAGAAGGCCAGCATCACCCTGACCCCAAAATATAACAAAGCTATTACAAGTAAAAAAAATAACAGCCTAATCCCTCACGAACATAGGCACAAAAATTCTTTTTTTTTTTTGACACGGAATTTCACTCTTGTTGCCCAGGCAGGAGCACAGTGGCACAATCTCGACTCACTGTAACCTCCCCCTTCCGGTTTCAAGCGACTCTCCTGACTCAGCCTCCCAAGTAGCTGGGATTACAGGCACCCACCAACACGCCCAGCTAAATTTTGTATTTTTAGTATAAACGGGGTTTCACCATGTTGGTGAGGTTGGTTTCAAACTCCTGACTTCGTGATCTGCCCTCTTTGGCCTCCCAAAGTGCTGGGATTACAGGTGTGAGCCACCGCGCCCAGCCCATAGGCACAAAAATTCTAAACCAAATATTTGCAAACAGAATCCAGCTCTCTCTATATATATATGTATACATATCTATATATATAGATAGATATATGTATATATGTATATGTATCTATAGATATATATTTATACATACATATAAAGAATAATACATCATGACCAAGCAAGGTTTATTCCAAGAAAGCAAGGTTGGTTTAATGAAAATCAATCAATATAATTCATCATACTATAACAGAGTAAGAGTTTGAAAACCATTTGATCGTTTCAAAATACACAGAAAAAAAATTTGACAGAAATCATTAGTTCTTTATGATAAAAACGCTCAGTGAAACTAGGAATAGATGGGACCATCTCCAATATGATAACGTTCATCTTTAAAAACCTACAGTTAATATCATACTTAATAAAATATTAAATCTTTTTCTCCTAAAATCTGGAACAACAAAAGGATGCCCACTCTCATATGCTGTGTTCAGTATTTACTGAAGTTTTTAGCCAGAACATAAGGCAAATAAAAGAAAGAAAAGGCACAAAGTTAGAAAAGAAGTAAACTCTCATTATTTACAAAAATATAATTTGTCTAAAACCTGGAAGCAAAACTAATATCCAAAAATAGATCCTTTGAATAAATTTCAGGGAATCCATTTAACAGACTATTCTGTAGTCATTTAGAGTGAGATTCTATTAACAGTGCTAATAAAATGGAAAGTGTTTGCTAAAACCAGCTGTAAAAAACATTTTAGTGGAATGGTGGGGAAACATGGACTGGTTATTAGACAATTTTAAAGAGTTATTTTTCTCTTTGTTAGAAGTGATGGTGCTATGTGGTTATGTGAAATTTTGCATTTTAAGAAACGCATTCTTAATCATTTAGACCAAAGGTTTTCAACCTCAGCACTACCGGCATTTAGAACCAGATAATTCTTTGTTTTGGAGGGGGCAGTCCTGTGCATTGTAGCATGTTTAGTAACATCCCTGATCTCTACCAGGGATGCAGGCATGCTTCCTTTTGTGACAACCAACATTGTCTCCAGACAGTGCCAAAAGTCCTCTTGCGGAGGACAAGGGTCAAAGTCAACCTCAGTTGAGAGCCACTGATTTAGGGTTTAATATCATGATGTCTGTACTTTCTTTTGAACCACTTAAGAAAAAAAATGCACAAAGAAAATATAATATTAGTGTTAATTCTAAGCAATAAATACATGGGTGTGTATTATGCTATCTTTTTTTATTCTACCTTTTACTTATGTATTTTGTTTACATACTTGTTATATATATAATTTTTTTCTTAGATGGAGTCTTGCTCTGTTGCCCAGGCTGGAGTGCAGTGGCATGATCTTGGCTCACTGCAACCTCCACCTCCCAGGTTCAAGTGATTCCCCTGCCTCAGCCTCTTGAGTAGGTGGGATTACAGGCACCCACCACCAAACCCAGCTAATTTTTTTTTATTTTTAGTAGAGATAGCATTTCACCATGTTGGCCAGGCTGGTCTCGAACTCCTGACCTCAAGTGATCTGCCTGCCTCAGCCTCCCAAAGTGCTGGGATTAAAGGCATGAGCCACCACACCCAGCCGACATACTTGTTATATATATACTTTTTATTTTATTTTATTATACTATCTACTTTTCTGTTTGAAAGTTTCATAATAAAAGTCAAAATAATTATAATATGCTATAAATGGAAAATGCAATACAATTGTATGGCACTACGATTAAAAGTATACCTAATGCTAAATGACGAGTTAATGGGTGCAGCACACCAACATGGCACATGTATACATACGTAACTAACCTGCACGTTGTGCACGTGTACCCTAAAACTTAAAGTATAATAATAAAAAAAATGAAAAAAATATGCAAAATTACATATATAAAAACTACTCAAAGGAGTATGTTCAAGAGGAGTAAGTCTTTTCAGCAGTGTGCCCCAGCCACTCCAGCGACAGTGGGGATCAATGTAGGTTGGCTGTGCCACAGTCACCTGAATTCACTATGATCATTAATCCTCTCCTCCCATCTTTTGTGCTTTACCAGCTGTATAATGAATCCTAGGATAAAGTAGAAACAAGGAGGAATCAAAGATGTAAAGAACAGTTTCTCCCCAAGAAGAACTCTGAAGATGATTCATCCTTCCACAGCCAGATCTCTTGTCGGAAAAAAAAAAAAAAAAAAAAGTGACTGGCCCAAAGCATATCCAAGAGGAAGCATTGGAATGACCAGTTGACAGCCAGGACTTCCCACTCTAGAGTTGTCATTGTCCCAGAATAGAGTGACAATTAAAATCTTGGAGGAGTCACCCAAGAAGCATTTGATTTTAGGATTAAATGAAATTTATCCCCTCAATATTGGAGAGAAGTAGCAGAACAAAGGAACACCCTCTATGAAACACTTAAGGAAAATGAGAGGCTTCACAGAGAAATTGAAGAAAGAACAATGAAATTGACCACTTGGAAAAGGAGAGTAAACAATTGGCAAAAGCGGCAGAGTACAGTATATGACAGAGGCAACCCAGAGACTGAATGATGAACCTCTGGATAACTCTGAAGCACCAGATAGTCAGGAATTTGATTCTGAAGAGAAAACTGGTGAAGATTCTCAAGTGGAAAACCCAAAAATTGGCACATGCACTGAGAATCCTGTCTTCCTCTACAGATGCAAAACCTTGCACGTAAAATTTAGGATTCACAACTGTCAAGATATGAAACCAACCTAAGTGCCCATCGACCAATGAGTGGATAAAGAAAATGTGTGGTACATATACACCATGGAATACTACTCAGCCATGAAAAAATAATGATATAATAATGTCATTGCAGCAACTTGGATGGAGCTGGAGGCCATTATTCTAAGTGAAATAACTCAGGGATGGAAAACCAAATACCATATATGCTCACTTATAAGTGGGAACTAAGCCATAGGTACATAAAGGCATACAGAGTGATATAATGGACACTGGAGACTCAGAAGAGGAGAGGATGAAAAGGGAATGAAGGATACAAAAACTACATATTGGGTACAGTGTACACTACTCAGGTGACAGGTACTAAAATCTTAGACTTTACCACTATATAATTTATAATTCATCCATGTAACCAAAAACCACTTGAACCCCAAAAGCTATTGAAATATATGTATATGTAAACACACACACACACACACACACATATGTAAGTCTTACATGTTAAACCTATTAATATTTGACTCTTGAGAAATATACCATCCAATGGGTTCACCTGGCCCCCTGCCTAGACAGAGCCAATTTAGCAAGATGGGGGAACTGCAGTGGAAAAACAGTAATTCACACGGAGCCACGTGTGCGGGAGACCTGAGTTTTATTATTATTCAAATCAGCCTTCCTGGAGCATTTGGGGATCAGAGTTTTTAGAGATAATTTGGTGGGTAGCGGCTCAGGAAGTGGTGCTGATTGGTCAGGTTGGAGATGGTATCATAGGGGGTCGAAGTGAGGTTTTTTTGTGGTCTTCTGTTCCTGGGTGGGATGGCAGAACTGGGAGCCAAGTTACCAGTCTGGGTGGTGTCAGCTGATCCACTGAGTGCAGGGTTTGCAAAATATCTCAAGCACTGATCTTAAGTTTTACAATAATGACGCTATCCCTAGGAGCAATCTGGGGAGGTTCAGACTCTTGGAGTCAGGGGCTGCATGACCCCTAAACCATAATTTCCAATCTTGTAGCCAATTTGTTAGTCCTACAAAGGCAGACTGGTCACCAGGCAAGAAGGAGGTCTTTTCAGGAAACGGCTATTATCAATTTTGTTTCAGAGTCAAACTGTAAACTAAATTCCTTCCCAAGGTTATTTCGGCCTATGCCCAGGAATGAATAAGGATAGCTTTAAGATTAGATAAAAGGTGTAGTTGGTTAGGTCTGATCTCTTTCACTGTCATAATTTCCTCAGTTATAATTTCTGCAAAGGCAGTTTCAAGTTTACCTCCAGTATAGTTCTTTAAAGCAGAACACATAACTACATAATGCAACCTCTGAGATCAAAATTCTTTGTTTGAATCCTGGGACCCTACTGTATTAAAATATAAACACTGTATATTTTTAATTTATGATGTTTTATGTGAACAGCATTTTCTCAATTGTCAGACATGACTTGTGTAATTGACTAAAGAAACTTCAATCTCCTATTGAAAAAAAAAAGACAGATATTCAAGGGGTCGTGGATGAGTCTGAGTGTAATTCATGGTTGATTTCACTTCCTGGATGTTAAAGTAATCTGTAATTATCTGCTTTTATATTGAAAAAAATTGACAAAATCTAACAGTGTCAAAATGCAATATTATTAATCATTCATGGCCTAATATTAGAAGAGAATTAGCAGAAAACACAGCAGAGACGAGAGACTTGCAGACTGGAGTTCTTCCCTTCACTACGAAGAAAGCATCTAGAGGCGGAATAGATTTGAATGGGCATACATCTGCATAATGACTTTTCCTTTGTTCTTTTCTCACTGGCTAATTGAGTAACTCCTACAACAAATATGCCTTCAGACTTCACACCAGATTAGAGCCCTTTGTAAATACAATTAAAGTTGGGAATATGCTTCCCCTAGCTGGTAAATAAATTCAGGAAGTCTGAGGTTTAGCACTGCATGCCAAGATGTCTAAGTAAATCTCAAATTCTTCCATATTTTGAAATAAACACCAAGGATTATCAAATGCCAAGAACTCCCAAGAAGAAAATAGCTCACCTCACTCTCTGAATCAGAGACCCTCTCCAATCAAAATGTCCCACCTGAAAAGTAGTCTTCTCTCCTACCCCATCACAGACATATGGATGTTACTGATGTCATGTGTGTCTGGAATATTGCCTGGTTCCTATGACAAGAACAATAAAATCTCTTAGTATTCTGCGGCAAACAGTCTCTTTCTCATTTATCCACCTCTGCATTGAACATGAGTCCCTCCTATGGGCCCAGGCATTTTTCTAATCATTGGCATCACAATAGTGAACCAAACAAAAATGCCTGTCCTCAGAGAGCTTAGTTTTTAAAGGG
Source organism: Homo sapiens (assembly GCF_000001405.40). Taxonomy (NCBI): domain Eukaryota; kingdom Metazoa; phylum Chordata; class Mammalia; order Primates; family Hominidae; genus Homo; species Homo sapiens. The sequence goes on along the minus strand of NC_000016.10, from coordinate 16,538,872 downwards.
TTCTTCCAAAATCCTAGCAGTGGTGACCACAAGCAGAGGAAAGATCCTGGGTAACCCGAGTCAGGTTATGCAATGCTTGTGTTCATCATGTCGGGATAAAAATCTTCATCTGATTTCAGACTCACCACACGGCATCGTCATAAGGTCATAAGTCATGGATCACTTGAGGAAGCACTAAGCTAAGAGGAGAAAAAGTGTCCTTGAACCTTTCTGAACCCAATGGTATCTGCCTAAGAGATGGGGAAGCTGAACTAGGTCACACCGAGATGAGAAGGGGGCTCCACCCATGATGTCCTTGTCTCAGAATAAGTCAGCCTCTTATGTTATAATACGTGGATCAAAAGAACAGGATGGGCTGGGTGCAGTGGCTCATGCCTGTAATCCCAGCACTGTGGGAGGCTGAGGTGGGTGGATGACCTGTGGTCAGGAATTTGAGACCAACCTGGCCAACATGGTGAAACCCCATCTCTACTAAAAATACAAAGAATTAGCCAGGCGTGGTGGTGGGTGCCTGTAATCCCGGCCACTCCGGAGGCTGAGGCAGGAGAACTGCTTGAACCTGGGAGAGGGAGGTTGCAGTGAGCCGAGATTGCGCCACTGTACTCCAGACTGGGCAACAAGAGCAAAACTCCATCTCCCAAAAAAAAAAAAAAAAAAAGAACAGGATGTGGGATCAGAGGAGCCCTCCAAGACAAGTGGCTTCAGTTCAAATATAAGCTCTGTCGTTTGTTCACAGTGTTTCAACAGACAAAGTACTTGAGTGTCCTGCCTCCGTTTCCCCATCTGTAAGCTGAGGTGAGCAAGAATACTTCACAGAGTTGTTATGAGAGGTAAGTGGAATGTTTCATGGGAGGCAGTAAGCACAGTGCGTGCCACACAGTAAACACTCAATAAATGTTAGCTATTTCCCACTAATACAGTATAGTATATATAATATAATAATGTTAGCTAGCTATGAGTCATTATGAACTTGGTTACTCACCCAAAGGCCCCAGTTATATCCTGAATGCACACCATGTGCCAGGCATCATGCTAACTGCTGTTTATATTTTCTTTTTTACTTCCTCCAGCAGCCTATAATGGAAGTTATCATGGTCTTTATTTTACAGGTGAGGATACTGAGCTCAGAGATGTGAAGCAACCTGCCCAAGGTCATGCAGCCAGGAGTGGCAGGGTCAAGATGCAAACCCAGGCAGAAATTACTCGAAATTCCGTGTTCTCTTCCCAACACAATCTCTGTCTTATTTCTGTCTTTCCAATGACACCAGTATTTCCAAGCTTTCACCTTACCACATTCTTTAAGCAACACATTATGCAGATTTTTTTTTAACTGGCAACCTGAGGCATGTCTCTCTTAACCGCTGTCAGCCTAAGCTCACTGCTAAAGCACCATCTCTATGTGCCCCCAGACCTTTGAGCACTATCAAAATCAGAAATGCATTCACTCTGTAACTCAGCAATTCTACTTTTGGAAATTTATCCTAGAATATACGTACACCTGTACACAATGACATACATGCAATGTTATTCATCGCATTGTGGTTTGTAATAGCAAAAGATGAGAACTTTCCCAACTGTTCATCAAGAGAGAAATAATTAAATAAGACATAATATAGCCATTATAATAGAAAAACATATAATTATAAGTAAGAATGAAAGAACTCACTATACCCTGATACAGAAAGATAAGCAGGATATAAGTTTTAAAAGGCAGGATACAGAACTGTCTGTGTAATAAAAAAAAAAGAAGTGCATATACATTTGTATTTGCTTGTACGTACCTGAAATTCTGCAAAGATAAAGAAGAAACACGTAACAATGGCTGTCTGTGAAAAGGAAATGTTCCAGGCAGAAGGGACAATTTTCACTGACTATTCTAGCATACTCTTGTTTTTAAATTTTTCAATCATATGAATTACTGGCCTGTTCAAGAAATGAAACAATTTTAAAAATACGGGTCTTAAGAGTATAGGATTAAGAGTATAGGATTTTTTTTAAGAGTATAGGATTAAGAATCAGAAATTTGAGTCCAAGTTCGGGGCAAACTTGGATACCTTACTTTATTTCTGTCAGCCTTCATTTCTTCATTAGCAAAATCTCCAAGTCCCTAAATACTGGGGACTTTGGCCAACGTTATCATCATCATAGCTACCATTTATTAAGTGGTTACTTTTGCCAAGCCCTATACTAGAGCCTCCTAAGAATTTGCCTCATTGAGTCATTGCAAGCAACCCTACGAGATAGGAACTATGATTACTCCCATCTCACAGATGAGCAAACTGAAGCTCAGTGCGGGGGTGTAACTTGCCCAAGGTCACACAGCCAGTATGTGGCAGAACCAGAATTCAAACCCAGGTCTCTCAAGCCTGTATTTGGACTCAATGGTTTGCTGCCTCCATCCACATTGACAATTTTCCTAGTTGTGTTCCCTGCCTCTTGCATAAATCCCACCCACCAGTTCCCTTCTGAAATTGCCAGCCTCCACCAGGCCTGGCCCTCGCTCATTTCCAATCACCCTTTATCCACCATAGCTTTGGAAATGGACTGTTACTAATGGCTAGTCATATGTCAGCCTAATGAATGGGAGGCAGACTTCCATTAAAATAATGAAATTAGCGAGTTTCAAATTTGGTTACATCGCATGGCACACAGCCTCAAGTAATGACCACCCCATGCTCCTTCCTACAAATTAAAGTCAGTTTATTTATTTAAGGTCTTTGGCTTGGCCATCTCTATTAAGCTCACATCATCTGTTTAGGGATGGATTTTTTTTTTTTTTTGGCCTTGTTTGTTTAAATGATGTTCGGGCTGTTCCCCTGATTAATAAAGTCGTAAACACAGTCAGGAGCAGCTTCTGAACCATGTGCAAAAGCAAAGAATGTAAGTCAAAGAACAATTCTTTGGGGGTTTGGGTTTTGTTTGTTTGGGGTGTTTTTTTTTCCTCCAAAGGATGGAAACAATAAGAAAGAAGCTCTTTGAGCTCCAGAAACTCCAATTATGCTGACATTTCTGCTGCAGAAACACACCAAGCTCCATTTTGCAGGAACCCAGTGAACTAGCTAATCAGATTTCCTTGGATAATTTGCTCCAAAGGTCAGCTGCCTTAAAAAGCACCCAGTGCCTCATTATTTGGTAAAGCAGGCTGCACGCGGGCTGCGATTTGGAACTCAGCCTCCCATGGCAAGGTAGTTTTTCTGGAATTTTTTAGCCCAGACCCTGCAGCCTTAGCTTTGGCCAAAGTCTCATCCACCTTTGTGATCAGCCCGCAGACAAAATCATTACCAGAAAAAGCACCTGAATCTCTGAGTCTGTGAGGTCTCTGTCTCCAAGACAGGTCTCTCTCGTGTCCCAGGAGCACCAAAGATGGCAGACTCATCTGAAATGTTCATGCCATTGGTCAATTTCAAGGGAGGCTTTTACTGATACTGTGATGGGTAGGCGGCCAGACCTAGGTTCTAATCACCAAGTCCAATTCTACAAAATCCCTAACCCAGTACCCCTCAAAACTATCAAGATCATGAAAAATAAGGAAAGATGGAGAAATTGTTCCATACCAGAAGAGACTACAGAGACGTGAGAATAAATGCAACATGAAACTCTGGATTGAATCCTGGACAGGAAAAAGACATTAGTAGAAAAACTGGTGAAATTCAAATAAAATTTGGAATGCAATTAATAGTTTCCAAAGTTGTGACAAAGACATTAACATTTTTTTAACATTAAAGAAGCCGGGCACAATGGCTGACACCTGTAATCCCAGCACTTTGGGAGGCCGAGGTGGGCAGATCACGAGGTCAGAAGTTCAAGACCAGCCTGGTGGTCTTGACCACCAACATGGTGAAACCTCGTCTCTACTAAAAATAAAAAAATTAGCTGTGAGGTGACGTGTGCCTGTAGTGCCAGCTACTTAGGGGGCTGAGGCAGGAGAATTGCTAGAACCAAGGAGGTGGAGGTTGCAGTGAGCCGAGATCGTGCCACCACACTCCAGCCTGGTGATCGAACGAGATTCCGTCTCAACAACAACAACAAAATTTAAGAAAAACTGAAACTGAGAAGGGATTTCTTGGAACTTGCTATAGTATCATTGTAACTTTTCTATAAATCTAAAATTATTTCAAATTTTAAATATCTGTATATACCATTAAAAAATCCATTGTGTATTAGTTATAGTTTGATGAAAATAAGTTTAAATAATACATAATTATTGTTCTATTATAAACTTGATATCCTAGTCCTGATATGATATCATAGTCTTGACATGTGATATCATAGTCTAAAAACAAAACAACAAGACCAGAGAGGAAGGTAAAGCCATTCCTACAACTGAATTTTTATTCAATCTCTTTTAAGATCCCAGCAAAGAAAAAAAGAAACAACAAAAAGTAGGACTTTGGTTAAGCTAAAATAAAATATGATGGATAGTCTCTCTCTATAAACTGACACAGGAAAATCCAAGACAAAGAAACTAGGTTTTGTTTGTTTGTTTGTTTGTTTTTACCACTCCCACCAACCTCACCACTCTGAAGGATTGTAATATCACAAGAATAGCTTACAAAGCAAACATCACTGGCTTAGCTTCCACTCTCACAGATTTTTAAGACACCCAGCTCCAATCCTCACCCTCTGATCCTTCTCATCTTGTAGAAAGAGATGCATGAAGAATCCATTGTGAACCAGGCATTGTGCTTGATGACGGAGACACCAAGTCAACTTGGACCAGGTCCTTCCCCTTAAGGAGTCTTGGAAAATTTGCTCAAGAGAGTCTCAGCTGAATCTCGAAGGAAGAAGAGGAGGTAGTTGGATGAAGAAAGAAAGGAGGCTTCCAGAAAAAGAGCACAGTGCATGCCAGGACATCTAAATCATGACACTTAGATACCTGCAGAAAGAGGACAAAATTGAGGTGGGAGGAGTTAGAAAGGGCCCCCAGGTAATGGCCTTGTGTGGTAAAGGATTTAACTTTCTCCTGAAGGAGATAAGGAGTTTTAAGCAAGCATTTTAGAAAGATTCAGCAGAGGACAGTGGATAGAGGGTGAGGCCAAAAGCAGGAAGACTATCATCCAGGCCAGACATTTCTGAATACAATGCCCAGAGACAGTGGGAGAGATTTCTCCAAGGATTCTTTGCAGGAAACAAGGGTCCCTGCAATGATGAGACCTGAGTTTCCTATTTCTCTAGTAGCTTTGTAGCTCAGCACCCATCCCAACTGCAGCTGGAAGATGTCCTCTGCTATTTCTCCATTCCATACTCCAAGTCCCTGCCCTGCAGTATGTATGTACCTTTTGCCACCCACCCTCTGACTCTGTTACATTGTATATTGAATCTTCAACCTAAAGATCTCAACTGCTTACAAAAAAGAAGAGAATTATGTGGGCTTAATAATGTTAAGGGCAGTTACCACATGAGCACTGACTATATCCAAGCATTGTGTTAGCCTTTAACCTGCAAAGAAAAATACAATTATCCCCATCTCAGAACATAAGAGGAAAATTGAGACTCCCAAGAAGTTAAATAACCTCCTATATAGCTTTTAACATGGGTGGGGATAGGATATGGATTTGAGAATGTCTGATTCCAACCACCCTTTTATGGCACCTCACTGGCTCACTTTTAATTTCACTTGCTGATTTATTACAAATCTCCCTCTCCTTCAGAATCAAACACAAACTCATTATGCTGGGCCAAAATAAAATCTGAATGGCCATACCCAATTGTTTTTAAAATGTTCAGCCTTCCCTGACAGATGTATGACATTGCAACACTACAGCTTTGGAGTGGCTGGCTTAACGCCAAGGAGTGGTTCCAAATCTCTTTTCCAGTGGAACAGTAGCACAAATTTGGTCTACCATCTAAAACCAAATAATGGCTGCCCTTTTCCTCTTCCTGGAAAAAAATGACATAGATGGGTAAATGGATTAATGAATGGATTAGATGGATAAATGGATGGATGAGTGAATAGATGGATGGATGGATAAATGGATGTGTGTGTGGATGGATAGATGGATGGATAAATGGGTAAGTAAATGAATAGATGGATAAATGGATGAATGAATGGATAAATGGATGGATGAATGAATGGATAGATGAATGCAAAGTGGATGGATAGATGGATGGATAAGTGGATGAAAGAATGGATAGATTAATGGAAAGTAAATAGATAGATGGATGGATAAATGGATGAATGGATGGATGGGTAAATAGATGAATAAATTGATGGATGCATAAATGGATCCATCTATGGATAGGTGGCTAGATAATAAATGGATGGGTAGATGAATAAATGGATAGATGGGTGAATAAATGAATACATGAATATACATTTACAATATAGAATATTTCTCAAGGGGAACATAGAAAACTATCAATAGTGGTTGCCATTTCTGTGAAGAAACAAACTGGTTAGGACAAGGATGGGAGTGGAAACTACCTTTTACTATACACTCTTTTGTATCTTTCCAATTTTGAGCCATACGTGTATAATACCTATTTTTAAAATAAATAGCAATATAAAACTAATTTCAAATACTTTTGTTAAATGTATATATGAATGGGTGGACAGAAGAATAAATAAGTCCTAAGTTTTTAAACAAATAAGATTCAACTGTTATTTTCCCCACTGATTTTTCTTTAAATCTCGGCACTAACTTCTACTTCCCTACATAAGAACATAATGTAATGCGTATCCACCTTAGCGCACAATCAACTACAAAATTTGGTTATTCAAATGGAATATGTCAATAACATTGTGTTGCTTTGCAAAGAGCACCTTGACTTCAAGGTGTGTCCGCTTACGTCTGTTCAAGGACCTCTCTGCAGGAGTTAGAGTAAGGGACAACAGTGCTGAGGCCTGGACACATGATCCCACCCAAGTTTCTTTTTCTGTTGTTGGTTTTTATTTTGTTTTGTTTTTTTGAGACAGGGTCTCACCCTATCACCTAGACTGGAGTACAGTGGCACAATCTCGGCTCACTTTAGTATCCACCTTTCGGACTCAGGCAATTTTCCCATTTCAGCCTCCTGAGTAGCTGGGACTACAGGCATGCACCACCATCCCTGGCTAATTTTTTGTAGAGATGGGGTCTCATCAGGTTGCCCAGGCTGGTCTCAAACTCCTGGACTCAAGCGATCTGGCCTGCCTTGACCTACCCAAAGTGCTGGGATTACAGGTGTGAGCCACCACACTTAGCCAAGTTTCTTTAAGCCATAATTCTCCTCTGTGCAAGACCTGCATACTGGGCTTCTGAACACTGCCCCCTGCACCATTTGGGGAACATAAGGAAGGGCTATGAGTAAGGAGACCTTGCCAAGGGAAAGATTAAAAAACAAACAACTTCCCCAGCCACCATCAATAGCATTTCCAGGAAGAAATAAACAGAACGGACTCTTGGCCATAAAGGATTTATCACTTTCCTTTCCATTGGTGTGGAAATGAAGCAGGGTTGCTTCAAAACTGCATTTTCCAGCTTTCCAAGGAGCTGTGTGGATTCCATATCCTAGAGAAGTCGACACCGTTCTAGTAAGTTGGCATGGACCCCAGGTCCTACCCTTAAGGGCTTAATACTCTGATGCAATATATAAAATATAATTTAATAAAAGACTGAGGCAGTATTTGTGTACCAAGTGTCTATAGCAAGTACCAAGGTATTTGCATGGATTGGGGGTGGTAGCAAGTGTGTGATATTCTCCTTCTAAATCCCCTGCATGTGGGGATGGAATTTTTAACAGTGGGCGATGTGATAGGACGATCAGAGATATGCAAAACCACCTTTTTAGTGGTGGGACACAGTCACAGTTCTATTCCTTCTGGGACTATTTGGAAATCACACATTTCTCATCAAGTAAGAAAATGAAAACAGAGAAAAACCAGTTGACAGTGATGGCTCAATAGCGCCATCTCGTGGTGATCTCTGTCCCCACTCCAAGAGCAGTCCATGGGCCCCACCCCTTCCGGGATGTTTTGCCCCCTCTGTATCTGAGTCCCAGAAGGCAGTGCAAAAGGGATCTGGGCAAAACAGAGTATCCTACAGATTGGAACAGTGACCAACGGCATCTTTAAGGAGGAGAAATTTGAAATGGGTTCTAAAGGAATAGATACCCAGGCATCAAAGAGAAGCAAAGACATTTTTGATGAAGGGCATAGTGCAAACCAAGGTTGGTGGCTGGAAAATGTCAGATCCTTTGAGGATATGAGGCTGGAAAGTCAGTCTGGGTTGGTGAGGACTCAATGCTGGGCTGCTGTGGGCATGAGATGTCCTTGGGGAGGTACAGACTTTCTGCGAGACAGAAAGTCAAAAATCATCTCCATTCACCTGTGGACCAGCACCGTGCTAAATTACATCACATACATCAGTTTATGTATGCATAAACATACATCAGTTTATCTGCCCTCAAGGGGTGATACTATTATGAACCTCCACTTGACAGATCAAGAAAGCAAGGCCCAAAGAAGTTAAATCGCTTACCTGAAGTGACTTAGCTAACAAGCAGCAGAGCCAGGATTTGAACCAAGATCTCTGCCCAACTTCAAAGCATGGTCTTGTTCTTCATAAAGGTGTTCTCATCTGCAGGTCTCTGCTGTTGCTTGTGGCAAAGACAGTTGTCACATATGAAATTGCTCAATCCAAAGTGCTTCTGCTTTAAATCTAAATAGTTACCAAACATTCTGCCCCCTGTAAAGCTGAAGTTTCTCCCGAAGGCTTCAGGCTTGTGCCCTAGGAATTCTTGCCACCTGGCCAGCTGGTCACAGTGTCTTTGAATGACTGGGGGACAGATGTTGGCAAAATGGTAAAGTGTGACGGTTAATTTCATGTGTCAACTTGACTGAGCTAAAGGATGCCCAGATAGCTGGTAAAACATTACATCCGGGTGTGTGTGTCTATGAGGGCATTTCTGGAAGAGATTAGCATTAGAATCTGTAGACTGAGTAAAGAAGACTACCCTCAGCCAGGTGCGGTGGCTCACGCCTGTAATCCCAGCACTTTGGGAGGCCAAGGTGGGCCGATCACGAGGTCAGGAGATCGAGACCATCCTGGCTAACATGGCGAAACCCCATCTCTACTAAAAATACAAAAAATTAGCCGGGCGTGGTGGCAGGCACCTGTAGTCCCAGCTACTCGGGAGGCTGAGGCAGGAGAATGGCGTGAACCTGGGAGGCGGAGCTTGCAGTGAGCCGAGATCATGCCACCGCACTCGGGCCTGGGCAACACTGCAAGACTCCGTCTCAAAAAAAGAAAAAAAGAAGACCACCCTCACCCATGTGGGCAGACATCATCCCATCTGTTGAGAGCCCAAACAGAACGAAAAGCAAAGGAAGTGTACATTTTCTATTTGAGCTGGGACATTCACCTTCTCCTGACCTTGGAGATCAGAGCTCCTGGTTCTTGGGCCTTCAGACTTACCCTGGGACTTAATGTCATTGGCTTTCCTCATACCCCACCTTGCAGATGGCAGAGCATGGAACCTAGCCTCCATAACTGCATACAACAATCCATATAATAAATAGACATATATATCCTACTGGTTCTATTTCTCTAGAGAACCCTAATACAGGAAGGTTGTGAGGTCTGGGATCTAAATCCCAGCTCTGCCCCTGAGTTGTTCAAGCATAGCCTGTCCAAAGCTGAGTTCCCTTGATCTTTTTCCCCAAACTCCTCCTCCTCTACTAACCCAGCCACCATCAACGCTCCTCCTCCAACCACACATTCCACCTTGCCCCTCCTGGAACAGAGATTCCCACCTCAGGACCTTTGCACTGGCTGTTGCCTCCACCTAGAACTGCTTTGCCCTCCAATATCGACACTGCTCCCTCATGTCCTTCAAGTCTTTGCATAACTGTCGCCATCTCAATGAGGCCAAGCCTGGCCACCACCACCACCCCGAACTGCACGCCCTACACCCCGTTACCTTCTCTGTATTTCTCATAGCAGTTGCCACCTTCTACAATGCCATGTAATTTACTTGTTTTGTTTCCGGTTTACTGTGTGCCTTCCCCCACTGGTATCAATGTGCCCCAGTGACTGGTAGAACCTAGGTAGTAACTGAACACGTGTTCCCTATGAAATTGGTTTAACTCTGCTGTATGTGCGAAATTTTTTGTAATAAAATATTAGGGATAATGGTCTCAAAGGCAGTCGTTTTATCTGCTTTGTTCACTGATGTATCCCAAGTGTCTGAAACAAGACCTGGCTCATAGAAGGTGCACTATAAACATTACTGAATGGAGGAATTAAGGAGTACATGTGTTACTTAGGGCAAGTTATCTTATCTCCCTAAAGCTCTAGGTGTCAACTACAAAGGGGCAAAATAGTAGCTATTTTTCATTTATTAAGTATTTATTGAGCATCTACTATATATCTAGAACTACTATATATGTAGGTACTAGAGATACAACTGTGTGAAAGACAGACCAAGTCCTCCTTCTCATGGAGCTTTCAATCCAGATAGGGAAACATGACCACAATTTCATGTAACTCCTTCATTTATTACTTATTGAGCATCTACTATATATCTGGAACTATGTAGGTAGTAGAGATACAACTGTGTGAAAGGTAGACCAAGTCCTCCTCATGGAGCTTTCAATCCAGATAGGGAAACAAGACCACAATTTCATGTAACTCCAATGCCATCTATGAGATTGCCTAATACCTGTGTGTCCCAACTCTGTCACAGGGATTCAGGGAGGACCACTCAGCTGAGTGGCATCAAAACTGAGCACTGAATCTTAATTGTTAGGATTCTGCTAATAAGAAAAATGCATCTTTATTTTGCTGAGGGCGACAATGTATCCAGCTAAAAATCATCTTTCACTAGCATCTCTTGCAGCTAGGGCTGGCCATCTGACGTAGTTGTGACCAGTGAAAAGAAGGGAGAGCGCACCTTTAGTTTTCTGGCTTGCTGCCCTCCCTTGGCTTCTATGCCTGCTGACGTGATGCCTGGAGATGAAGCAGCTATTTTGTAACCATGAGGATAGAAATTGCACAGCAGAGCAAGAAAATGAAAAAAGTGGGGGTTTCTGATGGTCTCTTTGATTCACTCTACCAACATGGCTTGCCTACTGTTTAGCTTATTGTGTAAGCCAAATAAACCCTTGCACCTTCAAGCCATGATAATAGAGTTTTCTGATACTTACAGCCGTATCTGTTGTCCCAAGCAAGATATGAACGAGGTTAAGAGGATGAAAGTGAAATGTACTAAGCCCAGGGCACAGCATGTGCAAAGGACCAGAGGTGTGAGTGAGCAAAGTCAATTCCAGCAACACAAAGTTCAGGGCAGCTGAAGTGGAGTGGGCAAAAAGCAGGTGGTGAGTGAAGAGTTTGCAAGAGCAAACAGGGATCCCACTGAAATCAAGGTTTTGTAAATCGAATTGGAGAAACAGTGAAGAGCCATAGCAAGCTGCTAAGAAAAATTTGAGTTAATTTATGGAAAGTGTCCAATGCACAGTGGGTGCCCAAGATATAAGCACCGTGAGTATCATCTTACCTTGGAATACACACAAAATTAACTCCTCCGACAAAATGAAGATGCATCACTTTTATCTGCAAGCCTGCCGGAGGTCACAGACACGTGCAGAGGGAAAACAGTATGGTGAGACGGAGAAAAACAATCCAGCCAGGACAGTTACACCGACGCTTTATTCATATCTGCCACCATCGGGATTGATTCCCACACAGTGACTCACTCACAGCACCAACCTCTTTAATCAACTGTGCTGAGCAGTGACATCCAAGCTCACCTCGGAAAACGACGGAAACTCCAAGGCAAGGTGGCCTCCCGAAGTGGCCTTTTCCCTTCCCTCCTCATCCCTGGGCTGTTTCCAGCAGACGGCAGTGAACGCCTAAATGAGGGTTTGATCAATGGAGGCCAAGCTGATATTGACAAAGCAGCTGCAGTTTCCGCAAATCACCCAGCACTCATAGATACTGAAGATTAATCTTTACAAATACGGGGCAAAGGGGGAGAGAAAAAACCAAGTCGATTTAGTTTCCGATTATTACTTTCTCCAGAAGGCACTGAAGAGTCAAAAGTTTAACTGATGTACATTAGACAGGGAGACAAATCCAGAAATATCACCCAATTACCCGGTAGCTTCTAGAAGGTATTTTTCATGACAGCAGGTGGGTTTGCCTTTTCTAAATCAGGAAGGAGACAAGACACCGCTAAGAGGATGTTGACTTGGCCCAGCGCACAAGCACTAACCTCACCGGACAAATAGAAGCCTGAAAATTTGTCCTCAGTCTACACGGTCCCCATGAAAACACATTTCCACCGATTTCCTAGTTATTTCTGTTTTATGCCTCATGTTTAGAAAGTAAATTGTTCCTTCCTGGAACAAGATGGACTTTTTTTTAACTACAAAGAAATAATAAATAAGTGCTTAGCCTCCCTAGGCCTCCATTTTCACATCCAGAGAGTGGGTACAGCCCAGGACGTAATGTTTAGAGGGCACTGACACCATCTAGAGTGGATCATTCTCTACCATGCAGGGCTATTCCGCCCACTGCAGGATGTTTACTGGCATCCCTGAAGTCTACGCACCAGATGCCAGTAGCACCATTTCCTCATCCCCAGTTGTGACAACTGAAAATGTCTCCAGACATGACCAAATGTCCCTGAGAGACAAAACCACTTGCATAGTCACGAACAGATAACACGACTAAGAATGGGGAAAACGTGAATCAAAAGATGTTCCATGCTGTGTTCACATAAGCAATAAAACCAAATGCTTGAATTTGATGCTAGTTATAACCTTTTTATTCATGTCCATGTCACAGCCAAAGAACTGTTTTTGTTTTTTAGGTTTTTTTTTTTGCAGAGACAGCATTTCATTTATTTCAGGACACTTTCACAGAAGTATTCATATATTCTGGCAAAATGAAATCATATATTACACAAACATTTCATTTCCATAGTTAGTACAGAAGAGGAAAAATTATTTGTGGTCAAAATTACTCCTGAGATTCCTTTAAATCAACCATAATTTATAGAGTGTGCATGTACTTGTGTATGTAATCATTTTAAGTCATAACTATGCCCCTCGAACAGTTGGAAGTCACTGAGCTGGACCGAAGAATTCACAAAAGAGAAAGCTCTTCACAGATACTTGGGTTTTGAAACCATTCTGCCATTAGATAGCTACCTAGTCCTCAAGGTGAACTAAGCACGATGGAGGAATTCCAAGTGTGGCTTCCCACCTGCAGGGTCGACTCCACTGAGACTCTGCTGCTAACCTCAGCATACAACCCTAGATGATCTTGTCGTGAAGATGAAGGAGATCACAGACAACATCTTGCCAGGGACTGAGTTTTAATGCTGGCGTTTTAGTTATCCTGTTGGGCTACAAAAACATGTCAGGCAAGATGTTAAGTTTTGTTTAAAGCATCAAGAATTCCAGGCCCGGCGCGGTGGCTCACGACTGTAATCCCAGCACTTTGGGAGGCCTAGGCGGGCGGATCACGAGGTCAAGAGGTCGAGACCATCCTGGTTAACACGGTGAAACCCCGTCTCTACTAAATATACAAAAAATTTGCCGGGCGTGGTAGCGGGCGCCTGTAGTCCCAGCTACTTGGGAGGCTGAGGCAGGAGGATGGCGTGAACCCGGGAGGCGGAGCTTGCAGTGAGCAGAGATCACGCCACTGCACTCCAGCCTGGGTGACAGAGCCAGACTTCGTTTCAAAAAATAATAATAATAATAAAGAATTCCAAAATCAAGTACAAAATCAAAAGGCAGATTTTCAAACAAAATCTTTGAAAAGTGGTTCTGGCCGGGCACAGTGGCTCACGACTATAATCCCAGCACTTTCGGAGGCCAAAGCGGGCGGATCACGAGGTCAGGAGACGGAGACCACCCTGGCTAACACGGTGAAACCCCGTCTCTAGTAAAAATACAAAAAAAAAAAAAAAAATCAGCGGGGCGTGGTGGTGGGCGCCTGTAGTCCCAGGTACTCGGGGGAGGCTGAGGCAGGAGAATGGCGTGACCCCGGGAGGCGGAGCTTGCAGTGAGCCGAGATGGCGCCACTGCACTCCAGCCTGGGCGACAGAGCGAGACTCCATCTCAAAAAATATATATAAATAAAAATAAAAGTGGTTCTGTCCTGCTTACACCCTCTTCTCACGCTTTTCAGGCACAAAGAAGGGCCAAGAGCAAGAGAGGATTTCTTTGGAGAGAGTCTGTTGAAGACACGCCTTCATGTTACAAGATCTTGAAACTCATGGGCACCATGGTCTGGGATCTGAATCCTGCAGCAAAGCTCTTCCAGGCTTCCTGCTATGCTGCCTGGGGTAACTGCACAAGGCCCCATAATTAGACGACCCCACTGTGATGCTGGCATTTTGAAATTCCTATAATTTTTTTTTTTTTTTTTTTTTGAGACAAGGTCTTTCTCTGTCACCCAGGCTACAATGCAGTGGCATGAACATGGCTCACTGCAGCCTCAACCTCCTAGGCTCAAGCGGTCCTCCTGCCTTAGCCTCCCGAGTAACTAGGACCACAGATGTATACCACCATTCCCGGCTGATTTATTTATTTATTTATTTTTTAATTTATTCATTTTTTTTTTTGTAGAGATGCAGTTTTGCCATGTTGCCCAGGCTGGTCTCAAACTCCTGGACTCAAAGCAACTCCCCAGCCTCAGCCTCCAAAAGTATTGGGATTACAGGTGTGAGCCCCTGCACCCAGCCAGAATTCCTATAATTTTCATAACAAGAATCCCCACATTTTCGTTTTGTGCTGGGCCCTGAAAACTATGCAGCCAGTCCTGCCCAGGATGCTTATTTTATTTCATTTTCCCAGCTTTAGAGGGGTAAAATTGACAAATAAAAATGGAATACATTTACAGTGTACAATGTGATCTTTGGAGATATATGTATACACAAATTGTGAAATGATCACCATGAACCAGCTAATTACCCTATTCATTACCTCCCATAGTTGTCTTTGGATGTTTATGTGATGAGAACACCTAAGATCTGGTCTCTTAGTGAAAGGATGGTGATTACCAGAGCCTGGGAAGGGTAGTGGGCTGGGGAATGTAGGGATGGTTAATGGGTACAAGAAAAATAGTTACAAAGAATGAGTAACACTTACTACTTGGTCAGGTGTGGTGGCTCACACCTGTAAGCCCAGCTCTTTAGGAGGCCAAGGCGGACAGATCGCTTAAGGCCAGGATTTCAAGACTAGCCGGGCAACATGGCAATACCCCATCTCTACTAAAAATACAAAAAATAGCCAGGCATTGTGGGGCACACCTGTAGTCCCAGCTACTCAGGAGGCTGAAGTGGGAGGATCACTTGAGCCCAGGAAGTCGAGGCTGCAGTGAGCTGTCATCATGCCACTGCACTCTAGCCTGGGTAACAGAAATGAGATCTTCACTCCAAAAAAAAAAAAAAGACCTACTACTTGATAGCACAACAGAGTGACTATAGTCAATAATTTAATTGCACTTTTTTTTTTTTTTTTTTTTGAGACAGAGCCTTGGTCTGTCACCAGGCTGGAGTACAGTGGCGCGATCTGGGCTCACTGCAACCTCTGCCTCCTGGGTTCAAGCAATTCTCCTGCCTCAGCCTCCCGAGTAGCTGGGACTACAGGCATATGCCACCATGCCTGGCTCATTTTTTGTATTTTTAGTAGAGACGGGGTTTCATCATGTTGGCCAGGATGGTCTCAAACTCTAGACCTCGTGATCCACCTGCTTCGGCCTCCCAAAGTGTGAGGATTACAGGCGTGAGCCACCACGCCTGGCCTAATTGTACATTTTAAAATAACTGAAAGAGTGTATTTGGATTGCTTGTAACACAAAGGATAAATATTTGAGGGTATAGATACCCCATTCTTCATGATGTGATTATTACACACCACATACCTGTATCAGAACATCTCATGTACCCGTAAATATATACATTTATTATATACCCACAAAAAGTAAAAAAAAAATTTTAAGAGCTGCTCTCTTAACAAATTTCAAGTAAGCAATATGGTATTGTTAACCATAGTTACCGTGCCAAATATGAGATGCCCAGAACTTATTCATCTTATCACCGAAAGTCTGTACCCTTTGAGCAACATTTCCTCCTAGCCCCTGGCAACCATTCTAATTCGACTCTCTTTTCCTCTGAGTTCAACATTTTCAGATTCCACAGATAAGTGAGATCACACAGCATTTGTCTTTCTCTGTCTGAATTAGTTCACTTAGCTAATTCTACTCTTTTTGTATGAGTTCAACGTTTTTAAATTCCACAAATAAGTGAGATCACACAGCATTTGTCTTTCTCTAAGTCCACTTAGACAATCAGAGGTGCTTGTTTTAAACTCAGGTTCCTGGACCCCACTGTTTTTAACAGTTCAGCTTGATATCCAAGCCTGTAAGAGACACTTTGATTCTCTGGATTAAAATGAGAGACAGTGAGAGGAGAGGAAGAAGAATAGAGGAGGAGAGCTTTCTCTCTAAAAATCTAAGGGATTCCAATTAAAAATCACCTCTCATTGTACATGCAGAAAATGTACAGTGAGACACAAAGATGGGCTGGAAGACAAAACTCTGAAACTAGTCTGGGAGGGTTAAATGACTTCATGGAAATACTAAAATATCAAAATGCTCTAAACTTTCCATTTTTACTTCTAAATGTGCTGAGAAAAAAATCTGATTATTTGACAGGAATTTTAAAAAGAACAATTTTTATAAAACTAAAATCACATTCCTGAACACTCAAATGCTTAGCATAGGGGATGAAATTGACCTGGAATTTTCTTTGTGAGAGGAAGGACCAAGTTCCCAATGTGGATACATTACCAGTTAGATTTTCCAAGCACAGTTCATACTGCAGAATTCACCTAACTTGATTTAGGTTTCTCCTTTATAATCAGTTTCCACTTGAACTTCAACTACCACGAAAAAGTAAGTAAGTAAAGCAAAGACGTAAATTCTTGGGAACTTTGTTATGAGAGGAACTTTCTAGACTGCACTTAGTTGTCTTATTTAATTAGCTACCAGGGAAACAAAACATATAGTATGTCCAAGGAGTTGACTCAATGGAATGCTGTCATGCTAAACAGATCTAACGTCATGCTGGGTGAGACACACAGTCTATTTTAGAAAGCCAAACAGGGCCGGATGCGATAGCTCATGCCTGTAATCCCCAGCACTTTGGGAGGCCTAGGCGAGTAGATTACCTGAAGTCAGGAGTTTGAGACCAGCCTGACCAACATGGAGAAACCCCATCTCTACTAAAAATACAGAATTAGATGGGCGTGGCGACGCATGCCTGTAATCCCAGCTTCCCAGCTACTCTGGAGGCTGAAGCAGGAGAATCACTTGAACCTGGGAGATGGAGGTTGTGGTGAGCCGAGATCACGCCATTGCACTCCAGCCTGGGCAACAAGAACAAAACTCCATCTCAGAAAAAAAGAAAGAAAGAAAGCAAAACAGAAGCAAAGCATGCCAGAGGTTTATTCCAAGCCTCTGACAGTAGGAGTCCTGAAATCCACCTGGTGGATGAAGGAGGAGACAAAATTTAGAGGACTTGGCAGAATCACAGAATGTGGGGAGATGTTTCCAAAGGGGACCTCATCTCATGCTGCAAACGTTTTGTCTGGAGAATACCAAAAAAAAAAAAAAAAAAAAAAAGTTTTGTCTGTGTCTTGTGTCTTAGGTTGTTTTGTTGTTGTTGTTTTTTAACGTCATCAATGAGGCGTTCCTTGTTCTGCTGAGGCCCTAGAAGCATTCAGGAAAGGAAATGCAGAGGTGGGAACTGGAGAGAAATAATGTGCTCAATAAAAGGAGTAAGGTTTTGGAGCCAGACAAAAAAAAAAACGAGAAGCAGAGCTGGGGAAAGAATAGAGGGTTCTAGAAGCCTGAATGTGCCAGAAAATCATCCCCTCCAGAATCCCCCAGTCTTCAGTGAAGCCCTATGAACTCACTAGCTGAGTAGGTTTCCTGCAGGCAATGGGAGACGCAAAGTTCTGCACTTAAGCTCCTGTAGGGGAAAAAGCAGAGCCAGCGTGGGTTGGGGGCACCAGGGCCAGAGGCAGATACGACCTTGAGAAGGTCGCCCTCCCCAGATTAGCAGGAAGTAGCCTGCATAGAAGATCTTACCTAGATCTTTGAGGATTCAGGGGACCCCAGCTGACATGTCGGTTTTTCTACTTAATTATAAAATGTTTGAGCAGGGCACAGTGACTCACACCTGTAATCCCAAGCACTTTGAGAGGCGGGGACAGGAGGAATGCTTCAGCCCAAGAGTTTGAGACCAGCCTGGGCAACACAGTGAGACTGTCTCTACACACTTTATTTTTTTTGTTTTTTTTTTTGTTTGTTTTTTAAATTAGCCAGGTAGGATGCTACAGGCCTGTGGTTCCAGCTACATGGGAGGCTGAAGTGGGAGGATCACTTGAGCACAGGATTTTGAGGCTGCAGTGAGCTATGACTGTGCCACTGTACTCCAGCCTGGGCAACAGAGTGAGACCCTGTCTCACAAAATAAAAATAAAGGCCAGGTGCGATTGCTCACACCTGTAATCCCAGCACTTTGGGAGGCTGAAGTGGGTGGATCACTTGAGATCAGGAGTTCAAAACCAGCCTGGCCAACATGGTGAAACCCCATCTCTATAAAAATGCAAAAAATTAGCCGGCATGATGGCAGGTCCCTGTAATCCCAGCTACTTGGGAGGCTGAGGAGGGAAAATCACTTGAACCTGGGAGGCGGAGGTTGCAGGGAGCCGAGATCATTCCATTGCACTCCAGCCTGGGTGACAGAGTGAGATTCCATCTCAAAAAAAATAAAAATAAAAATGTTTGGCCATTTCCAACCTTGCCTTCAGACTATGGGTTCCTGGAGGACAGGTGCACTTCTCAGCCATCTCTGGATGCACTGATGTGGCCATCTCTGTTAGTGTACTGGTATGGACCAGTAGGGTCCATACTTGCACAAATCCCAACAATCGGTATTTACATCTCTTTGCTTGGCCAGGGCCCACAATGCCTGTGCACAGGACAGGTCGGAAGTCCTGGAGAATTAACATACCTCCTGCATTAGGTCTTCACCAGTGACTAACTGGAGGGATGTATAAATATCCCAGCTCCTTCACTCCTCCAGGGGGTGATTCTGAGCTACATGCTCAACACTAGGGTTGGCAAACTTCTTGAAAAAGGGTCATATAGTAAATATTTTATGTTTTGCAGGTCATATTGTCTCTCACAGATGCTCAACTCTGCTGCTGTTGTATAAAAGCTGCCATGGGCTATACATAAATGAAAGGGTGTGACTGTATTCCAGGAACATTTTATTGAAATAACAGGTGGCAGAACAGGTTTGCCATGGGCCAATAGTTTGCAAATCCCTGCTCTGTGTCATTTTCCAGAGTTCCCCAGAGAGATTAAACTGTGATTCCCCACACTGGTAACTGACATGATAATGCATCTTTCTTGCCACTTCCCTCCCTTGCCTGTCCCCTTTCCCCCACCTCCTCAAGCTTAATAAACTATTGGCACTCAAATCCTTGCCTCAGAGTCTACTTCAGTGAGCATCCAAACTAAAACAGTTGATTAGGACTTTTTTTGTTTTTTTGCAAGAGATGGAGTCTCGCCCTGTCACCCAGGCTAGAGTGCAGTGGCGGGATCTTAGTTCACTGCAACCTCTGCTTCCCAGGTTCAAGCGATTCTCCTGCCTCAGCCTCCTGAGTAGCTGGGATTACAGGTACGTGTCACCACGCCTAGCTAATTTTTTATTTTTAGTAGAGACAGGGTTTCACTATATGTTGGCCAAGCTAGTCTCAAACTCCTGACCTCAGGTGATCCGCCTGTATCAGCCTCCCAAAATGCTGGGATTACAGGCGTGAGCCACTGTGCCCAGCCTGATAAGGATACTTTTGACTGCAAGCAACACAGAGTTGAACTACAGGTGATTTAAATATTAATTTTGCACCAACCTATAATCCAGATTTATTGTATCTCCCACACAAAATCCAGGCGTAGGTGGTCCAGACAGGTTAATTCAATAATGTCATGGCTTTGTGGTTTTTCTGATCCTTACTAGCTCACTACTGAGAACCAGGTCATGTGCCCAAGGCTAAACCAGTCAGCAGTGAGAGAAACAAGATGAGCATGCCTGGCTTGGGCCAACTGAGTTCCATGCCTAAGAGCATGAGGAAGGAAGGGGCTCCATTTCTCTGGGCATATTGCCAACTGATGCATGAATGAAAATGGGATGGTCTCAGCAAAGAAGAAGAGAAAAGGGTTGCTGGGCAGGTAACCAATACATACCCAGCAGCTGGTGCTTAGAAAATGCTGCTGCAGTCTATGAATGCATGAGCCACTGGATGTAAACAATGGATAGCAACTTTCTAGAAGAAAGATAAAGTTGAAGGAGTCATCCTGGACACACAAGAGTGGTGCAAAATAAGCACTGAGTGGCCAGGATGCTCAGGGGAAATCTCAGAGGCTTTAGGGAGCATGGTTACCTAACTCAGAACCATCAGTGCCAACTAAGGAAGACACAAGGTACATTGGTTAAAGTCAAGGACAATCATGTTCTTCCCCTAGTTAATAACAGACACGGCATTTTACAGTTCATAAAGCTCTTGTCCATTCATTAGTCTCACCATTCAGTCAATGAAATAAACCCAGGTAATAATCAGGTCAGGTATTATTCTTTTAAAATAATTTTATCCCCATTTACTGTGAAAAAAACTTCTTGAGACAGCTTGCAATAAAAGGTACACCCAAAGGGAAACCAAAAGAAAAATTATTTATTTATCAAATACATAAGAAAACTCATTTAATATGGTTATTTTGATTGCGTGTGCTCTTGGGTTTTAGCTCCCTAATAGCCAGAGCAAAAGAAAAAGAAAACATAAAGGACACATGAATATCATCATTTAACAAAGGGAAGTATAGCTGTTCACAGGAAAGGAAATGATTTTTCTTAGAATAGAATTCAAAAAAAATTCCATTTGGATCCTTACATAAGGCAAATGTAACTAAATGATGGATAATGTCTCCCATGATGGTTTTGCAGAAGATATGAGAATGTCCTCATTCATCATGACATCTGAAGTAGTCCATTCTCACACTGCTAATAAAGACATACCTGAAACTGGGTAATTTATAAAGAAAAAGAGGTGGACTCACAAATGGACTCACAATTCCACATGTCTAGGGAGGCCTCACAATCACGGCAGAAGGCAAAGGAGTAGCAAAGTCACATCTTACATGGCAGCAGGCAAGAGAGGGCTTATTATTTTTAGTAGAGACACGGTTTCACAATATGTTGGGCAGGCTGACAACTGGCCAAGAATAGCATGGAAAAGACCCCCCATCTTGATTCAATTACCTCCCACTGGGTCCCTCCCATGACACATGGGAATTATGGGAGCTACAATTCAAGTTGAGATTTGGGTGGGGACACAGACAAACCATATCAATATCCCTACCCATCAGCTTTTCATACAAAGCCAAAGGTTTCTCCCTGTGGATGGTATCATAGCACTGATACCCATAAGCCTCACTTCCATTCCACATTGTCCTGGATATCCTAGCTAGTGCAGTTAGACAGGGGGGAAATGTCCAGAAAGGAAGAAATGAAACAGTCATCATTCCTAGGTGACTTGATCATATACATAAAAATCCAAGGAAAATTGTTATGGACTGAATGTCTTTGTCTTTCTCCACCAAATCCACACGTTGAAGCCCTAGCCCCCAGTGCAATGGCATTTGGAGGAGGTAATTTGGGTTAGACGAGGTCACGAGGGTATTACCCCCATGATGGGCCTAGTGTCTTTCCCCAGAAAAACAATATCCTTTACCATATCCCGAAAATTATAACAATACCAGTTTTAAGTACTTACTATGCATGCACCAAGTGTTTACAGGTTTTGATTTACTCATTGAAACCTCACAGCAGCCTATAAACCCAGCTAGTATGTGGCAGAGTTGAGACGCAAACAGAAAAGCAGTACTCCAGATCCCCTTGGATCCTTACATAAGGGAAATGTAACCAAATGATGGATAATGTCTTCCATGATGGTTTTGTGGAAGATATGAGAATGTCCTCATTCATCATAATATTTGTATTAGTCCATTCTCACACTGCTAATAAAGACATGCCTGAGACTGGGTAATTTGTAAAGAAAAAGAAGTTTAATGGATTCAAGTTCCACATGTTGTCATATGCCACACTTCTTAGGGATGAATGAACATCACCATGATGCCACACTTCCTAGGGATGAATCAACGTCAGAATTTTTTTTTTTTTTAAGTTCTGGGATACAAGTGCAGAATGTGTAGGTTTCTTACGTAGGTATACATGTGTCATGGTGGTTTGCTGCACCTATCAACCCATCATCTGGGTTTTAAGCACCACAAGCATTAGCTATTTGTCCTAATGCTCTCCCACCCCTCACCCCCCACTCTCCAACTGTCCCCAGTGTGTGTTGTTTCCCTCCGTGTGTCCATGTGTTCTCATTTGAACATCAGAGCTTAAAGAAGCATTCCTGCTTTCTTCTCTCCCAGCTGGGCTGGGCTTCAGGTGCCTCCTATATGCTTCCTCCATATCACCTCCACCCTTGCTTGTCATTGTCTGGGTTTGTATTCATTTCCTGAGACTTTTGTAACAATGATCTCAAACTAAATGGCTTCAAACAACAGGAATTTCTTCTCTCCCAGGTCTGGAGGTCAGAAGACTGAAATCGGTTGCAATAAACTGAAATCAAGGTGTCAGTAGAGCTCGTTCCCTATAGAAGTGCTAGGGGACAGTCTGTTCCTTGCCTCTTCCAGCTTCTGGTGGCTGCCAGCATTACCTTGCTTGGAGTGGCATCACCCCAATCTCTGCCTCCATCTGGATATATCAACTTCTTGTCTTCTGGGTGTAATATCTCTCCGCCTTTCTCTTATAAGACACTTGCAATCAAATTTAGGGCCCACCTAGATAATCCAGAATAATCTCCCCATGTCAACATCCTTAATTTAATCATACCTGCAAAGACTCCTTTTCCTTATAATTTAACATATACAGGTTCCGCGGACTAGAACCTGCTATCTTTGAGTGGCCATGATTCAGCCTACTATAGGTTTCATCACTATCTCTTTATCAACTCTGAAGTCCTTGACAGCAGAGACCACCTGTGGCCATTTTCAAATGGCTGTACATTTTTACATCAAAGCAATCCCTTAGGGCCAGGCACGGTGGCTCACATCAGTAATCTCAGCAATTTGGGAGGCCAAGGCAGGCAGATCACCTGAGGTCAGGAGTTCCAGACCCACCTGGCCAACACAGTGAAACCCCGTCTCCACTAAAAATACAAAAATTAGCTGATGTGGTGGTGGGCGCCTGTAGTCCCAGCTGCTCGGGAGGCTGAGGCACGAGAATCACTTGAATCCAGGAGGCGGAGGTTGCAGTCAGCCGAGGTCACACCACTGCACTCCAGCCTGGGTGACAGAGGCAGACTCCGTCTCAAAAAAAATACAAAAAACAAACAAACAAAAACACACAACAATCTCTTGGGATCTACACCCTCTCCCTTGACTTTAATGACCTCCATGATTGCTTTGACGTATTGAATATGGTGGAAATCATACTGTGCCCTTTTCCAGTCCATGTTTTAAAAGACTATCAAGCGCTACTTCCTATATCTTGGAATACTCACTTTTGGAACTCAGACACCACTATGCTACGAGAAGCCCAAACCACATAGAAAGGCCACATGAAAGTGCTCCAGGCGACAGCACCAACTGAGCTCCTAACCAGTAGCCAATATCATGCCAGCCATGTGTCTCAGCCATCTTGGATGGCCAGCCTAGTCAAGCCTTCAGATGACTCCAGCCCCAGTCATTATCTGACTACAACTGCATAGGACTTGAAATGAGAACCACGTAGGTGAGCCCAATCAACACAGAGTCATGAGCAATAATACCAAATATTTGTTTCCAGCCACTGTGGGATCAGGCTCTTTTTTATGCAGCAAGAGATTATCTGAACATCATATTTGTTGCTGCATACCAGGTGCCTGGAACTATGCCTGGAGGTCTTGATATTCAATGAAAGTGGAATAAATCAAATAAATAAAAATGGAATAAATAAACAAAACTCTAGAAGCTATGGATTCTAGGGAGTTGAGCTGGAGATCAGGAGGAATGGATATTAGGTCTCAAAGAAATGACAAGGTAATAAGGTAGACGAAGAAGGCTGTGGATAAACAAATTTTCTGGAGCCTTAATGGTGGTGAGAAGTGGGCAAGTTCAATGTTGAGCAGGACCAAATTCAACAGACCCTCAGCAAATGTTTGCTGACTTAGCAGTACACAGATTCTGCATACATCTTCCTTCCTTTTAACCATTCCTTTAATTGTATAAGCAATATATTGAGTATCTACTGAGAGCCAGGCTTTGAGTTGGGTGAAGACTATTCAGCAGTTAAGTCCCTTTAACGCTTATACACTGTTGATGGGAATGTATATTAGTCCAGTCACTGGAAAGCAGTTTGGAGATTTCTCAAGTAACTTAAAATAGAACTAAGGTTGAATCCAGCAATCCCATTCATGGGTATAAATCCCAAAAGAATAATCATTCTACCTTAAAGATGCATGCACACATATGTTCATTGCAGCACTATTTACAATAGCAAAGACAGGGAATCAACCTAGATGCCCATCAATTGCAGACTAGATAAAGAAAGTATGGTACATATACACCATGGAATATACTATGCAGCCATAAAAAAGAATGAAATCATGACCTTTGCAGCAACATGGATGGAGCTGGATGCCATTATCTTAAGCAAATTAACACAGGAAAAGAAAACCAAATATTGCACATTCTCACTTAGGAGGTAAACACTGACTTCACATGAACACAAAGAAGGGAACAATAGACACTGGGTCCTACTTGAAGGTAGAGGATGGGAGGAGGGTGAGGATTGAAAAACTACTTACCAGGTACTACATTCATTACCTGGGTGATGAAATAATCTGGACACCAAGCCCCATAACATGCAATTTACCCATGAAACAAATCTGCGCACGTATCCCCCAAACCTAAAATAAAAGTTGGAAAGAAAATAAAAATGAAAAACAAGTCCCTTTCTTATGGAACTTAACAACCATAGAGTATTTGGGGAAACCTCAAAACCACAGGCAGGTGGTTCAAGCCCCCATCTCTGACCTTCATTACCCTGCTGTATAGCCATGATTACAAAAAAAAAAAAAAAAAAGCCAGACCATTCAATGCTATTGCTTCTCTCTTCCAAATGGGATGAAGTGCAGGCAGTAAACAAAGGAAGATGAACTTGGCCAAGTCCTTCTATTCATTTTGTGGCAGTGATGACAATTTCCCATTGTGGGGAGCTGGAGGGGCAGTCTCCTTCTGTTCAAATGACTCAGTACACTTTTGAGGGGGCATAAGAACCAGAAAGTGCAGGTGCTAGTAAAGCAGGCCTGTATTTACAGGGAGAATCAGTCCACAGACTTCAGCTTCTCAAAACCATTGTTAATGTGCTTTTACAAAATGCAAAATGCTGCTAGACAGTTCACTGGGTGGCCTTGGGCCTACCCAGTTCTTCCCTCTTTTCCCAACTCATGGTTCTTAAGAATAACTGAAGAATGTGCTAGAAATGCAACATCTTGAGATAGAGAGGGACTGGCCAGAACGACCCAACCTCTGTTTCAGTCCACCCCTAGAAACAAAATGTCTTAAACACTTTAGCCCAGCAAATCACACATCCTGGGGTATAAAACACAGAACCAGCTGCTTTCTGGGGTATCTGAGCTTCTGTGCAAGTAAGGCATGCACAGATATGACTCTACTTACCCTCAGCAGGTTTCCGGGGACTTGGAGGAATAGCTCACAATGAATCCTAGGCTTCTACCATCTCTTGCTGCCTATCTGTAAGTAATAAACCTACCTCAGGTAACTTGTTGTGTGGGAGTGTTCTGTCTCACTGGACAAGTTGGTAGCCAGTGAACAGTGAACCTGCTTCACAAATTCCTCTGCTGTAAAGTGCACCAGAAGCTCTCAGTCATGGAAGTTCTGTGCTCAAATCTTCCTTCAAGGTGAACTGCTCTGGAAGCAGAGCTAACTGACAACCTCTAGCTGCTGTACCTTTTGACCCACCGAGGTGTTCATGCTAGGCTGCACTTCCCTGGGGATTTTCCCAGCCAGTGACTGGGCACAGTGGAAGTAACGGAATTAGGTGATTCTAACCCAACTGGGAGTTGTCCAACAGAGAGAGTTGCCTTAGGAACTATTACACTGGCTGATACATTCTCAGAGTTGTGCCGAAGCCTTTCTCTTTCTAACTATCTCTCTTCCTTCCCACTCTGCTTTCAGAGGTGTCAGACCTGCATTACGGTCTGAAATCTCTCCCTGCTCCCTCCCCATTTCCCTTCACAGGCATTTTCTTCAATGAATTTCCTGCACAATTAATACTTGGTTTTCTTTCATGTTGTAAACCACTGTAGGATGACTACAGTTAACAATATGTAGTTTTGGCCAGGCGCAGTGGCTCGTGCCTGTGATCCCAGCACTTTGGGACTCTGAAGTGAGCAGACCACTTGAGGTCAGGAGTTCGAAACCAGCCTGGCAAACATGGTGAAACCCCATCTCTACTAAAAAAATATTAGTCGGGCGTGGTGGAGCATGCGTGTAATCCCAGCTACTCGGCAGGCTGAGGCAGAAGAATCGCTTGAACCTGAGAGGCAGAGGTTGCATTGAGCAGAGATCATGCTACTACAAATCAGTCTGGGTGACAGAGCAAGATTCTGTCTAAATAAAATAAAATGATAATGGTAATAATAATGCAGTTTCAAATAGCTAGAAGGAAGATACTGAATGTTACCATCACAAAGAAATGAGAAACGTTTGAGATGATGGATATGCTAATTACCCTGATCAAATCACTATACATTATATATATCAAAACATCACTACGTACTCCATCAATAGGTACCATTATTTTTCAATTAAAAAATAATTTTTTTAAAAAAAAGAAATATAGAATGTTATACTTGTAAAAAGAAGAAAATGGAAACTGAGGAATCAAATTATGTAAGAGTGATCTTCCTTCTCATCAGCTATCATTTTAGAAATTTGTAGGAAAAGAAAAGGAGATAAAGGAAGACAGCAAGAGGAAGCAAATAAGCAGAGGGAGGAAAAGAGCAGAAAGTAAAGAAAGAATTAGAAAGTAAGGAGACACAACAGATCAGATCAGCTACCATAATTCAAATGCTCGCCAAAATCACTTCCTATATTTGCAATACAGAAGCTGCAGGAGACATGTTATTTAAAATTAGTAAGAGGGCCGGGCACAGTGGCTCATGCCTGTAATCCCAGCACTTTGGGAGGCCGAGGTGGGTGGATCACAAGATCAAGAGATTGAGACCATCCTGGCTAACATGGTGAAACCCCGTCTCTACTAAAAATACAAAAATTAGCTGGACATGGTGGCATGCGCCTGTAATCCCAGCTACCTGGGAGGCTGAGGCAGGAAATCACTTGAACCCGGGAGGCGCAGGTTACGGTGAGCCGAGATCGCGCCACTACACTCAAGCCTGGCAACAGAGTGAGACTCCGCCTCAAAAAAAAAAAAAAATTAGTAAGAGAATGAGAACTTCATACAGAAGTTGAAAAGTGGATTTGAAATCAGTGGAGACTGGGACCTTGTACAATTAATTCTGTTTTGCCTTCTGCTACTCAGAGGACCTGAACTGACTCACCTACCATCTAGAGACAGCTACTATTTTGTATTTCTTTTTTAGTTTCATGCATTTAATTTGCATGATTATCATTTTGCTTTATTTCTCCATTTTACATTATAATATGTGCCACCTCATGTTACTGTGCTTCATGTCTATTATCGATGCCCCATAACATTCTATTGTATGGAAGTATCATAAATATCAACTATTTCCCTTTAGTTGGACATTCAGGGTCTTTCCAGATTTTTTTCCTAATTAAATGATGCTGCAATAAATGCCTTGTTTCGCTCCTTCAGAACAGGTCATTGCAGTAAGGGCCTCTCCATTGGAGTGGTGGATTTTAGTCGTCTGGGACTTAGGGTTTTGGTTCTGATTCTGCTACATCCTAACAGCATGACCCTGAGCAAGTTACTTGGTTTCTCAGGACTCCTGTTTCCTCACCCATCAAATGGAGGTAACACCAGACAAGGATCCTTTGTGACTATCAGATTTAATCCATGGCATCATTTTGAAAATATTTTCTTTTTTCTTTCTTTTCTTTTTTTTTTTTTTTTTTTTTGACACAGAGTCTCACTCCATCACCCAGGCTGGAGTGCAGTGGCATGATCTCAGTTCACTGCAACCTTCACTTCATGGGTTCAAGCAATTCTCATGCCTCAGCCTCCCAAAAGATTTCCATGGAAGGTGCTTGCAAAGGGAAAAATAACTTGTGTGGTCAAAAAGTTTAGAAACCCCTGGTCTAAACGGCGCTAGCAGGACTTATCAGAGCCTTTATTATAACAGCACACAGTCCCAAAGGTAGATCCTTATGGTATTATCTTAGTCTATTTAGACTGCTATAAGAGAATGCCATAGGTTGTGTGGCTTACAAACAGCAGACATTTATTTCTCACGGTTCTCTCCAGAAGATCTGGGAAGTCCCAGGCAGATTCAGTGTCTGGGGAAGGCCTTCTTCCTAGTTCATAGACAGCCCTCTTTTCACTGTGTCTTCCCATCATGGAAGGGCAAAGGGGCTCTCTGGGACCCCTTTTAAAAGGGCATTGGCCAGGCGCAGTGGCTCACGCCTGTAAACCTAGCACTTTGGGAGGCCAAGATGGGCAGATCACTTGGATCAGGAGTTCAAGACAGCCTGGCCAACGTGGTGGAACCTCATCTCTCTAAAAATACAAAAAAAAAAAAAATTATCCAGGTGTGGTAGATAATTATCCAGTAGTCTCAGCTACTCAGAGGATGAGGCAGGAGAATCACTTAAACCCAGAGGCAGAGGTTGCAGTGAGCCTAGATGGTACTACTGCACTCTAGCCTGGGAACAGGGTGAGACTCTTGTCTCAAATAAATAAATAAATAGGCATGAATCCCACTTGTGGAGTCCCCACCATCATGTCCTAATCACCTCCCAAAGGCCCCACCCCCTAATACCATCCATCACACTGGGGATTAGGTTTCAACACATGGTGGGAACACATTTAGTGGATAGCAAGCATGAAGCATTAATCAAGCTTATTTGCCCATCATGCCCATGAAATTCTGAAGTCTGACAAGCAGCCTGTGAGAAGAAAGACATACAACAAGGAGGTAGGACTATGGTGCTTTGGGGTGGAGGCCACTGATGAAAAACTCACCCCTCGAAAGCATCTCCTACTTTGATACCTACGGATGCAACATCCAGGTAGAACCAGCCTCGATGTCTTCTGGAGCCCAGGACCTGATCTCCAAGCTGGCCCAAGACAACGCTCAGAGTGCCACTGTTCAAGCTCCTCTTGCTCCATAATCACTTTAAAGAGGCTGCCCCCACCCCCGGGGCTCAGAGGGCTTCCTGTGACCTGACACTATGATCGTGAGCGAGTGCCGCGCTCTGTTCCCAACTATGCTTCCTCATCTGTCATCCACGGCTTTTCTTTTAAGGAGTTATTTACGAAGAGGTGAAGCAATTTGCTTTTAAAAATGAAAAACAACAGAACTAGTATTTTTTGTAAGTCAGCTTGATAGGCAGTAAACAATCCTGCCAAAGCAAAGCAGAAAATGCTGAAAAGGTTCATGTCTCTTCAACGACTCTGACCAAGACTTCAGAGGATGCTCCAAGGGGAGAAACATGCTCAGGGCTACAGAAGCGACAATCATGGATACCCTAAGCTGGTCTTTCCCAGGAGCAATTTTACCATGCAATTTTCCCTGGATCCTTTCTCTATCGCCCCATAACACCTCTCCCATTTGGAAACAAAAATATAATCTTTGAAAGAAAAATAGAAATCACTGTCTAAATAAAAATAATACATTCCTAGCATTCATTCACCCTCTTCATCCTCCTCCCTGCCCCTGCGGGGGGGAAAAATCTCATGTATCATGTTGAATTTCTCATCTCTTGTGAATGCCATGCAATTGGGTAAATAAGTTCTGTGTTCAATCTTTTGTTTTTTTGTTTGTTTATTGCTTTATTCATTCACAATGGAAAGAAAGACTAAACTTCAGGTAGAGATAAAAGAATATAAGATGTATTTTTAACTGTCCAAGATCATGGGATCCCCGAATTCTATTCATGATAGAATGTTTGAGCATCTGTGGACCCCAGTTTGTGAACTCTTGCCCTGAAACAAAGCCTGCCAGTTATCTGTGTTCAGTCTTTTAACAGGGGTTATTCAATTTACTCAAGCCAACATGAGAGGTTTCCATGACAACCTCTCAGCACATTCAGTCTTCATATAAATGAGTTATTGCTTTTATGTTCTCATACTCTAAGACAATGGGGAAATTAACATAATGTGGTCATACAAAAAAAAAAAAAAATCAAAACAATCAAAATCCTCATATCCTCCCCAGAAACTCACAGATAGCATTCGGTGAAAAAGAACCAAAGAGAAATGAAGCCTTCACATCTGACAACACTGTTAACATTAGAGATTTCATTTCAGATGCATTTAAATGAAGCCAGACCATAATGGGGTTCAAAAAAAAGTGTATAGACATAATTAAACTGCAGAGGAAAGAGACTTAAAGTCAGGGACCCAAATTCACTTTCAGGCCATATATCCTCCAAAGATAACCACCATTCTCTGCCTCTCTTTCTGCACCCCATCCACACTAGCATTCCTGCCCCAGGACCTTCGCACATGCTCTTCCCTATGCTTGGAATGTTCTTCCCCTGCTGTTCTTCCAGTGCTGCTTTGCTTAGCTAACTCCTACCCATCCTCAGGTCTCAGCTCAGCAAAGTCACTTCCTCAGGGCAGTCAAGCTTTGCCACTCATCAAGACTAGGTAAAATTTTCTTGTTAAATCTATTTATGGATTTTCCTGGTTCTTTGTATTTTTCATCATCTTAGATAGGTTAGGTTTCCCCAGAAACAAATCCTAAGAGAAGGTGAGATGGTTTGGCTGCGTCCCTACCCAGATCTCACCTTGAATTGTAACAATCTCCATGTGTCAAGGGCGGGGGCAGGTGGAGATAATTGAATCATGGGGGTGGTTTCCCCCATACTGTTCTCCTGATAGTAAGTCTCATGAGATCTGATGGTTTTATAAATGGGAGTTCCCCTGCACAAGCCTCTTGCCTGCTGCCGTGTAAGATGTGGCTTTGCTCCTTCTTGTCTTCCACCATGATTGTGAGGCCTTTCCAGCCATGCAGAACTGTGAGTCCATTAAACCTCTTTCCTTTATAAATGACCCAGTCTCAGGCATGTCTTTATTAGCAGCATGAGAACAGACTAATACAGAAGGACTTGAAGATAAGTGGGTTGATTTGGAAAGTGAGCCCAGGAAACACTGGGATGACAATAGGGAAATGAGACAGAGAAGGGAAAGGAGCTAATCCAGGTCATGTTTATAAGCAGGCTGCTACTATGGGCAACTGGGGTTCAATCCCACTGGGGACATCTGGGAGACAGCATAGCGCCTGCCTCACCCTAAGGTATGGAAGGCAGGGCAACTGCCCTCAGCAGCTGGCTGGGGGAGATGTGCCTGTGTTGGTTTCTCTGCACTTCCAGCCTGCCCCACAAGAGCCTAGGTTATGGCAGTGAGACAAAGCCCCAGGCAGTATTGCAGATGCTTGCAGTAGGAATGGTGAGTTCCTATGCCAGAGGACATAGGCAAGGCAACAACTACATCTGCCACCTTCCCCAATGCAAACAGCATAATTATTGCTGGAGACTGGAGATCAGTGGAATAGAAGACAGAAGATTTAATTCAAAGCCATTAGACAAAAAATAATAGTCCCATTGAAGACAAAGGCATGGGAATACGGGGAAGGTATAAATCCACATGAATAGACAATTTTCAAAAGAAGATAAACAAATGGCCAACAAACATGTGAAAAAATGCTCAACATCACTAATGATCAGGGAAACGCAAATCAAAACCACAATGCGATACCGCCTTACTCCTGCAAGAATGACCAGAATCAAAAAATCAAAACATAATAGATGTTGGCATGGAGGTGGTGAAAAGGGAACACTTCTACACTGCTGGCGGGAATGTAAACTAGTACAACCACCTTGGAAGACAGTGTGGAGATTCCTTAAAGAAAAGTAGCACCACCATTTGATCTGGCAATCCCACTACTGGGTATCTACCCTGAGGAAAAGAAATCATTATATGAGAAAGATACTTGCACATGCATGTTTATAGCAGCACAATTCACAACTGCAAAAATATGAAACCAGCTCAAATGCCTATCAATCAACGAGTGGATAAAGAAACTGTGGTATATATATGCCATATACCAGCAGTATATTTATACTACTCAGCCATAATAAGGAATGAATTAATGGCATTCACAGCAACCTGGATGGAACTGGAGATTATTATTCTAGGTGAAGTAACTCAGGAATGGAAAACCAAACGTCGTATGTTCTCACTCACAAGTGGGAGCTAAGCTATGAGGATGCAAAGGCATAAGAATGATACAATGGACTCTGGGGACTCGGGGGAAAGGGTGGGAGGGGGTGAGGGATAAAAGACTACAAATTGGGTTCAGTGTGTACTGCTCAGATAATGGCTGCACCAAAATCTCACAAATCACTATTAAAGAACTTACTCACATAACCAAATACCACCTGTTCCCCAAAACCCTATGGAAATAAAAAATTTTAAAAATAAAAAATAAATTTACATGATATAAAAGACCTTGACTCTAGGCCTGGGTGACTGATTATATACTGGGGTACAGGTTTTAGTCAAAGAGCTGGAGACTATATGGAAAAGGGGTGTCTAAGGCCCTCTCTGACATTCTAACAACCCCCATCATCTCTTTTGCTGGCCAGGGGCCCACCTGGTAGGACAGTCCAATCCAGGGTAATTCTGGCTCACAGGTCACGCAATACCAATCTTTGGTCCCAAGGTTAGGAGTGGCTGCTCTCACAATGGACTTTATAATAACCTCTCCAACCTCTGTTTGTTGAGCTTAGATTCTTAAGCCTCTAAGCTTCTGATGACTCTTACTAGAGAAAGTAATATAATTACCCATCAATAGAGAAATGGCTCATTCAGCAAGGATATATCTGTTCAATCAAATATATTTGTTCAATCAAATCACTAAAAACAATGGCCGTTTAAGAGTACATATACAAAAGGTACGTGTGCAACAGTATAATAAGAGCAAACCTAAATTATGCTTGTTGTTCACTGATTGTCTCCCCACAGTAGCATGGAAGTTCAGCAAGAGCAGGGATCTTTGTTTTTGTTCAATGCTAGGTCCTCAGCACCTAGGACTGTGCCAGGCACAAAAACATCCAGCACCCACCAAGGTAAAATTTACAATGTCTGACATCCCATAAAAGTTACTTTAAAAATAGAGGCTGGGCCAGGTGCCATGGCCCACGCCTGTAATCCCAGCACTTTGGGAGGCCAAGGTGGGTGGATCATGAGGTCAGGAGATCGAGACCATCCTGCCAACATGGTGAAACCTGTCTCTACTGAAAATACAAAAATTAGCTGGGCGTGGCGGCGCGTGCCTGTAATCCCAGCTACTCGGGAGGCTGAGGCTGGAGAATCTCTTGAACTTGAGAGGTTGCAGTGAGCCGAGATTGCGCCACTGAACCCCAGCCTGGGCAACAAGAGCTAGACTCCCTCTCAAAAAATAAAAAAATAGAAGCCAGTGGCCAGGAGCTGTGACCGACACCTGTTATCCTAGCACTTCGGGAGGCCGAGGCAGGTGGATACTTGAGGTCAGGAGTTCAAGACCAACCTGGCCAACATGGCGAAACCCCATCTCTACTAAAAACACAAAAATTAGCCAGTCATGATGGCACACACCTGTAGTCCCAGCTACTCGGAGGCTGAGGCACAAGAATTGTTTGAACCCAGGAGGCAGAGGTTGCAGTGAGCCAAGACTGCACCGATGTACTCCAGCCTGGGCAACAGAGTGAGACTCTGTCTCAAAATAATAATAATAGAGGCCAGGCATAGTGGCTTATGCCTGTAATCTCAGCAATTTGAGAGGCTGAAGCAGGAGGATCTCTTGAGGTCAAGAGTTTGAGACTAGCCTGGGAAACAAAGCAAAACCCCATCCCTCCAAAAAAACTTTTTAAAAACTAGCCATGCATGGTGGTGCATACCTGTAGTCCCAGCTACTCAGGAGGCTGAGGCAGGAGGATCACATGAGCCCAGTAGTTTGAGGTTGCAGTGAGCTATGACTGTGCCACTGTACTCCAGCCTGGGCAACAGAGCACGATCCTGTCTCAAAAAAAATTACCTTAAAATAATAAGTAAATAAATATCAATTTTACAATAAAATAAAAGTGACTCAGCCTACCCTGGGTGGGGTTAAGGGCTGGCCTCTATCACACCTATCAGCTCCCAGAGGTCCTGGATCCCCCAGAAGCTGCTAGGAGGGGCTGAGGGCCATTACTCAGAAGTGCAGAGTGGAGCAAGCTTTGACCAATAAGAGACAGGAAACAGCAGGAGCTGGCAGATGACTGACTCCAGAGTTATCCCATGCTTGTGTTTCTGGGAAACTGCAACTCCACTAGGCAATATGCACTTCTTTGGTTTTGCTCTTCCTCTTTCTCTCTTTCCCTTATCCCTGCTTTCTTGAGATTGCGTGACCCAATGAAACATTCACATATTTGTATCAGGCACTGTTGGTAGGCTAAGATAACCTCCATCCCCAAAACCTATGACACATGGGGTATCTCCTGAAGGATGCCATTCAAGTTAATCCCCAAACATTATGGCTTAAAGCCACAACTGTTTTTATTATAGATCATGATTTTGAGGGTCAGGAATTCAAGCAGGACCCAGCTGGGCAGTTCTTCTGCTCACACAGTATCATCTGAGGTCACTCAGTAGTATTCAGAGGGCTTCGGGGCTGCTCTGAAGGGTCTAGTGCAGTTTTAGTGATGTGCCAGGCACCTTGGTGGGTGTATTAGTCCATTTTCATGCTCTTAATAAAGACATACCTGAGACTGGGTCATTTTTACAGGAAAGAGGTTTAATGGACTCAGAGTTCCACATGGCTGGGGAGCCTCGCAATCATGGTGGAAGGCAAGGAGGAGCAAGTCACGTCTTACATGGATGGCAGCAGGCAAAAAGAGAGCTTGTGCAGGGAAACTCCCTGTTATAAAACCATCAGATCTCATGAGACTTACTATCATGAGAATAGCATGAGAAAGACCCACCCCCATGATTCAATTACCTCCCACCGGGTCCCTCTCACAACATGTGAGAATTCAAGATGAGATTTGGATGGGGACACAGCCAAATCATATCAGTGGGACAGGATGGAAGCTGGGCTCAGAGCAACTTCTCTCCCTTTCCATGTCATCTCAGAGTCTCTCCAGGTTTCCCTCCAGCAAAAGCCCTCAGATTTCTCACACAGTGGCTCAGGGGTTTAAAACCAAGAGTTCCAAGAGGTGTAAGGCGGAAACTGCATGATCCCTTAAATGCCAGGACCAGAACCATCATGGTGTCACTTCTATGGCAATCTATTCGTCAAAGCAGTCACAGGCCAGCCCAGGCTCAGGAAAAGGGAAATAGACCCCATTTCTGAATGCATGGGGTATCAAACAGTTTGCACTCATCTTTGACCTGCCACAGATACACAAGAAACTGGGAGGAGGGGTGGGTGGAAGACTGAAGCATTAGAGTAAGAGAGGCTCCTTCATCCTCCGGTCATCATTTGCCATGTGCACGTCTGACTTTTTTCAAATAAAAACTGGGGAAGGACAAAAAGTGGGGAGGAACCATGTCAATAAGCTGAATCCTCATCTTCTATGGCACAGAGTCAATAGAAAATGTCTTAAATTGATAAATCAAGAAACAGCCACATAAGCATCTTATTTGGAGTTACAGAGATAAATAACCGAAGACCTAAAAATGGAAACAACATTTCAAGCACTTACCTCCGGGAAATAAGACTTAAGGAGGGGAGAGAGGAGAGAAGGGGCCAGGAACCGCTGCTTTCATTAGCAGCTCCTCTGTACTTTAACTTTGTACGATGTGCTCATATTACTATGATTTTTTTTTTTAAATTCAAAAGGGAAAAAAATAAGAACAAAATGATGATGGTTATTTTTAAAACTATGTAATTAAACCTGGAAAAATCTCATTTTGCTAAACGGAAAAAAAGTAGCAGGATACTAAACTATATTAATAGTATGGTCATAAGTATGTTTAATAAAGAAAGAGAAAAACATATATGGGAGGAGAAAAATCTGAAGAAATTTACTACCAAATGATAGTGGGTGGGTTTCTCTACTTTTCTAGGTTTCCCACATTTTCAGCAACGTGATTCTCATACTTTCCTAATGAAAAGAAATACATTCATTACATAAAATAAATTAACTGGGCCAGGCGTGGTGGCTCATGCCTGTAATCCCAGCACTTCGAGAGGCCAAGGTGGGCAGATCACCTGAGGTCAGGAGTTCAAAACTAGCCTGGGCAACATGGTGAAACCCCGTCTCTACCAAAAATACAAAAATTAGCCAGGTGTGGTGGTGTGTGGGTGTGTGCCTGTAGTTCCAGCTATTTGGGAGGCTGAGGCAGGAGAATCGTTTGAACCGGGGAGGTGGGGGCTGCAGTGAGCCGAGATTGCGCCACTGTACTCCAGCCTAGGTGACAGAGTGACATTCCATCTCAAAAAAAATAAAATAAAAATGGCTGGGCGCCGTGGCTCACGCCTGTAATTCCAGCACTTTGGCAGGTCGAGGCAGGCAGATCACGAGGTCAGGAGTTCAAGACCAGCCTGGCCAAGATGGTGAAACCCCGTCTCTACTAAAAATACAAAAATTAGCTGGGCATGGTGGCACTTGCCTATAATCCCAGCTACTCGGGAGGCTGAGGCAGAGAATTGCTTGAACCTGGGAGGCAGAGGTTGCAGTGAGCCGAGATTGCGCCACTGCACTCCAGCCTGAGTGACAGAGCAAGACTCCGTCTCAAAAAAAAAATAAAAAAATTAAAAAATAAAAATAAAATAATAAAATAAATGAGCCGAGCATCAATTAAATAAAATGCCAGAAGGGTCTCTGAAGAACTTTCCACAATAGAAGTGTATTTTAAGTCCCTGAGCCTTCATCTCATGCCTATGGACAGGGGACTCTTTGCACTGGTTCTGGAACGCTCCAGTCCACCATGCCCACGGATTTAGTTAGGAAACCTTCCCAGAAAGAACTTAGTCCATGTCATTTCAAAATGAATTAATTCAACTCAACAGGAACTTTTGTAAGCCTCCAATGTATGCGGTTCTGAACTTTTGTAAGCCTCCAATGTTTCCAGTTCTGAATCTGGAATGCTCATTCAGCCACAAAATAAACATTTATTGAGTACCTACTATGTGCCAGACAAATGCTACTTGCAGGGGTGACAATGATAGAGACAGGCAAAATATTCAATTCTTTGGAGCCATAGACTAATGGGAGAGGCAGACAAGTGACTAGGCAAGTGTAATACATCCTAACAGACA
Source organism: Homo sapiens (assembly GCF_000001405.40). Classification (NCBI taxonomy): domain Eukaryota; kingdom Metazoa; phylum Chordata; class Mammalia; order Primates; family Hominidae; genus Homo; species Homo sapiens. Next base: position 16,501,312 of record NC_000016.10, on the reverse strand, counting down.
CTTTGGGGAACAGACAAGGGGCTGTGGAAGGAGGCAACCTGGAGGGCTTCCTGGAAAAGGCCAAACATGGGCCAAGCGCCGTGGCTCATACCTGTAATCCCAGCACTTTGGGAGGTTGAGGCAGGCAGATCACTTGATCCTGAGAGTTCGAGGCCAGCCTGGGTAATATGACGAAACCTCATCTCTACAAAAAGTACACAAGTTAGCTGGGCATGGTAGCATGCAATTGTAGTCCCAGCTACTCGGGAGGCTGAGGTGGGAGGATCACTTGAGCCTGGGAGGTTGAGGCTGCAGTGAGTCACGATTGCACCACTGCACTCCAGCCTGGGTGACAGGGTGAGACCTTGTCTCAAAAAAAAAAAAAAAAGGCCAAATATGAGCTCAGAGCTCAGTCTCAAGGGATGAACCAGGGCAGATCAGGTTAAAGCGGAAAAGCTGTTGCCAGCACAGAGAATAGAATATACAAAGACCCAGAAACAACAGAGAAGATGGATACATTCAAGGAACTGAGAGTGATCTCAAAAAAAAGATTTGTCATGATCAGAAGAGACAGTCCCAAACCAGCACTCACTTGGGGGCTCTGGGACTGGACTCCCTAAATTGGAATCTCAGCCCCATCATGTGAGCTCAAAGTGCTTCACCTCACTGTGCCTCAGTTTCCATGTCTGTAAAACAGGGTAGAAGTAGAACTTATCTCAGAAGAGTTATAAGAATTAAACTAGAGAAGAAGTGAGCATTGTTTATATGTGCTTGTTGCTATGGATCCAAAACTGCCAGTAATAACAATAATAATAATAATAATAATAGCTTATGCTTTCGTTGAGCCCTTGCTTTGCACCTGGCCAGTGACAGGCACATTATCAGTAACACAAATGCAAGTATCTCATCTAACCCTTGCATCAACGCTCAGAGATGGGTTTTATCAACATCCCCATTTTACAGATGAGGAAAACTGAGGCAGAGCAGTTGCACAACGTCGCAGCTGTTCCTGGTGCTTCACCCAGATCCTCATTGCCAGTAAACCACTCATCATTCAGCCTTTGCTGATCTGTGCCTAATGGCTTATACCAATACTTTCTCCGGAGAATTCCTTAGCTAGCAAAAGCCATTTCACCCAGGGAGTTATGCTCTCACATGCTGAACTGGCCAATGACTAAGCGATATGAGGCGAGAGGAGTCACACAAAAGTCCAGTCCTCCTGCTTCAAGGCAGAATACACTCCAGAGACCCACGTGAGATCAAGGCTAGCCTCAGCCTGAGAGCCCATTCTTGCTTGGCTCTGTCCCCTCCCCCATCATCCTCCTTCCCTCACTTTCCTTCTCCTGAGAACCCCCACCTTGAATAAACCGCACCTACCCAAATCTCATTCTCGGGCTTCCAAGGAACCCAACCCGTCACACAACTTGCAGGGATTCGGACCAGGTTTTCTCCTTCCAAAGGGCCCCACGTGAAACCACCAAGCTGCACCAGGCTCATCTCAAAATCAGAGTCATGGGATCAAAGAACAGTTGCTGATGCCAACCCCTGCCGGCATGAGCCCACCGCTGGGGAAACAAGGCGAACCAGACATCTCAGACTAGAGGAGTGAATCCAAGGAGAGAAGATGACAGGAGGTTTATTTGTTCTCACGCTGCTAATAAAGACCTACCCGAGACTGAGTAATTTACAAAGGAAAGAGGTTGAATGGACTCACAGTTCCACATGGCTGAGGAGGTCTCACAATCATGGTGGAAGGCCAAAGAACAGCGAAGTCACATGCTACACAGGGGCAGGCAAGAGAGCTTGCGCAGCGGAACTCCCATTTATAAAACCATCAGATCTCGTGAGACTTACTCACTACCATGAGAACCGTATGCGGAAACTGCCCCCATGTTTTAATTATCTCCACCTGGCCCCGCCCTTGACACGTGGGGATTATTACAATTCAAGGTGAGTTTGGATGGGGATACAGCCAGACCATATCAGGAGAGGGCACAGCATTAGGACGCAGCCTGTGGTACTGTAATTCGGGTCGGGGGAGGTTGCTGAAATACACTCATAAGGATAGTTTAAAAAGAGCATCATCGGCCGGGCGCGGTGGCTCACGCCTGTAATCCCAGCACTTTGGGAGGCCGAGGCGGGCGGCTCAAGAGGTCAGGAGTTGGAGACCAACCTGGCCAGCATGGTGAAACCTCGTCTATACAAAAAATATAAAAAATTAGCTGGGCATGGTGGCACGTGCCTGTAATCCCAAGCTGCTCGGGAGGCTGAGGCAGGAGAATTGCTTGAACCTGGCAGGCGGAGGTTGCAGTGAGCCAAGATCATTGCACTGTTGCACACCAGCCTGGGCAACATAGCAAGACTCCGTCTCAAACAAACAAAAAAAGGGGGAGGGGCGGGGCTTTAGACAGATCCAAGCTCAACCCTGCAAGTTGCCGGGACTCCGTTTCTTTATCTGTAACATGGAGATCACGATGTTCACCTCGCGGAGTAGATTAAGCAGCTGGCATGTGTGAAGTGCCCAGCACTGTGTCTAGCATATGCTAGGTACTTGGCATGTGTTTCTTTCTTTCCCTCCCTTGTTCAAGGCCACATAGTCCATGACTGGCAGAGCTAGAAGCCTTCTCATTTATCCAAAATCAAAGAACTTCTACAAAATAGAAACAGCCCCCTGCCCCCTCCTGCCCCCGCCCGCCTGCTACCTTAATAGGTTGTTTCCCAGTTATTCAATGCAAGAGACTTAGCCCAGCTAAAGTTATTCAAAATCGACCTTGAGATCAGGAACAAATTGGCTACAGCAGTCAGCGATTGGCAAATGCAATCTAAATGCCCCAGGCGGCATTAGAGCCTTCCACGTTGACAGGAAGAGTCAATGTGCATCTTGGAAAAATCTGAGAAAAAAAAATTAAAGGTCACCGCGTTTGTAGGCAGAATGGGTTTTCTTGAGACCATTACAAACAGACTGCCTAAATTGCAAAGATTCCAGGCTTGACAGCTCCCGGAGGACTCCAGATGGAAAGAACACCACCCCCATCTCTTATACATCCAGGCTGCTGTCTGTGGATGTCCGAAGGTTTTCCCACCACCCATGCTATTGTTGAAATTCCACAATCAACCTGCAATGCCCCAGTGAACCATTTTGCTGGGATGGGAGGACCAACTTAGGGCCAACCCTGTGTTCCAAGGGGCTGACCAGGCAGGACAGCCAAGGAGGCACAAGTCTGTAAGATGGGTCCAAACATTTCTGTAGGAAGGGGGTCTTGAGCCAAAGCAGGAAAAATCAAACCCCAACACAAAGTGTAGAGAGAGTCGGATCATAAATCACACACAGACAGGGTCCGAGAAACATGGGCTGGGGACCAGCAGACGACAGGCTAGGATAATTGATCATTAGAACATCTGTGCTGTTTTTGTTGTAAGAATAGTATCAATATTAATAACAACAGCAAATATATATTGAGTGGCTTCTGGAGCCAGGCACTGTGGTAAACTTTTGCACGTATCCTCTCACTTAATCCTCACAGTGCTCTACAAAGTGGGTACTGGTTTCATGCCCATTTCACAGAGAACATATCTGAGGCTCAGAGAGGCATCTACAAGGTCAACCAGGTAATCAGGAAAGCCAGATTTCAAGGGCTTGTCCACATCACTCTATGACATGTGGGGAACTCAAGTGTGTGTTGGCTTAACTCAAATAAATAGTACAAGTTAGGCTGGGCACGGTGGCTCATGCCTGTAATCCCAGCACTTTGGGAGGCCAAGGCAGGTGGATCACCTGAGGCCAGGAGTCTGAGACCAGTCTGGCCAAAGTGGCAAAACCCTGTCTCTACTAAAAATACAAAAAATTAGCCAGGTATGGTGGTGGGCATCTGTAATGCCAGCTACTCAGGAGGCTGAGACAGGAGAATTGCTTGAACCCCGGGAGACAGAAATTGCAGTAAGCCAAGATCGTGCCACTGCACTCCAGCCTGGGCAACAAGAGCGAAACTCCGTCTCAAAAAAAAAAAAAAAAAACCAACCAACCAACAAACAAAAAAACAAATAAATAGTAAAAGTTACTTCTCAACACGAGCCAGTCATTTTTTAAAGTATCTTACATTTTTCTTTTCCTTTACTTATTACTTTTTGAATTGACAAACAAAAATTGTCTATAATTATTGTGTACAACCTGATGTTTTGAAATATGTATACATTGCGGACTGGTGAAATCAAGCTAATTAACAAGTGGTGGGGATGCTTCAAATTTACTCTCTTAGCAATTTGCAAGAATACAAACACTTTTATTAATTATAGTCACTATTTTCCAAACAAGGAAACGAATGCCCAGTAAAAGTACAAAGTAACAGAACTCCTCACTGAAGCTGGGGTCATGGGTGAAAAAGATAAATATAGGCTGGGCGCCGAGGCTTATGCCTGTAATCCCAGCACTTTGGGAGGCAGAGGCAGGTGGATCACCTGAGGTCAGGAGTTCAAGACCAGCCTGGCCAACATGGTGAAACCTCATCTCTAGTAAAAAAAAAAATACAAAAAAAAAAAAAAAAAAAAAAAAGCTGGGTATGGTGGCAGGTGCCTGTAATCCCAGCTACTCGGGAGGCTGAGGCAGGAGAATTGCTTGAACCCAGGAGGTAGAGGTTGCAGTGAGCCGTGAACGTGCCATTGCACTCCAGCCTGGGTGACAAGTGCGAAACTCCATCTCAAAAAAAAAGATAAAATACAAATACATCCATATATAATTAAAATATGATAGTGGTATGTTTTCCTGTTTAACAAATATTTACTTCCCTCTCATTCCCTTCACCATGGGAAGAACAGAATCCTCTGCCCTGTTAGTGATGGGTTTGTTTTGGCCAATGGAACATGAGCAGAGCTGACGGTGCACCAGTTCCCAGCTTAGGCCTTAAAAGGCATTGAGTATTTCTGCTCACTCCTCTCTGGAAGCTGCCAACCTTCACCAGGTACCACTGCTTCTCCAATCTGGACCTCAGAAATAAATGTAAGAATCAGACTTGAACTCAACCCACAGCCTAAAGCAGAATCTCTCCAGCTAAACCACAGACCTATGAGCAAAAAATAAGTGTTTATTTTTATAACCATGAGGGTGGTGTTACTTGTTACACAGCTACAGGTAACTGATACATTTACACGTGAATATGTGCACATACTATACATGTGCATATTATATAGGATACATATGTGTGGCCGTGTTACATGGAAATAGATACGTATAAATCCTTAAAATGTATCTCCATATGTGGGATATTTATACATATCTATTTGGGAGATAGTAAATGGGGTAGAATTTGGAGACTGCTAAATTTGCATTCTTGCGTTGACACAAGCTGTGCATTTTGGGGGAAATTACTTGACATCTCTGAGCACATTTTCTCCTTTGTAACATGGAGATAAAGATGAAGCTTATCTCATAGGATTACTGTGAGAGTTGAGTAAAATAATACACGTAATGGGCTTAGCAGGGAGCCTAACACACACTCGCTCACACCCATTCATTCAATAAATGTTATTGAGTAACCACATTTGCCAGGCCCTCTTATTGGTGTTTAGAACACAGTTACTAGCTGTGGAGAAAAAAGCAAAAATAAAAAGGATAAGGAGAGCCAGCAGCCCCGGAGGAGGAGGGAGGGAGGCATAGGATGTGCCTGTGCCTGGCACGTAGTAAGTGCTCAATTATTGGTAGCCATTTTTATTCTCAAAGTGATTAACGTGAGAACAAGGGGGTCAACTGGAGATTTAAAAAATAATAATCAGTCTCTCTGCTCCGCAGCAGACCCCTGAGACCCTTGGCAAACCCCAGCAATAGATCAAGGACCTTCAGTAGGTGAATACAGTCGCAGGAACTGCTAGAGCTGACACATAGTCCCTGCAACTCCAGCCAGACGCCAGCACCAGCTGCCACTGGGAGATGTGAGCTTGGCTTCTCCATGAAAGAGAAAGATTCCTGGGGCCTCAGCCGTGCCTCAAACCCCCTGATAACATCAAACACACATTGCTGGGGGGAGCCGGCCAGGTGCTCAGAAGCTGCAGGGTGACCCTGCGTGTAGGTGTCGGGAAGTCAGCAGCGACTCGGGGGTGGAGAAACACCCACGCCTTTGCAAACACTCTTAATGTAATGCACTGCCCTTGAGGCCACCTCCCGTTTTTTTGGCCCTAATTGGCATGTTTTTCTATCTCCTCAGAAACAGCCACGGGAGACAACATTCCATAGCAGTTAAAAGTGTGGTCTCTGGGTTTGCAACCAGACTATTCCCCACCAGCTGCAACCTTGGGCGAGACACTTAACCCCAGGAGCTTCCCCTCCCGTGGTTGTGATGATTAAATGAGATAACCAGATAACCCCTTAGATGGCAAACACTCAGCACAGTGCCTGATGCTCATCATTGTGGCTTTTATTACGGACTCATTTTATAAACGAGGACATCAAGGCCCAGACAGCTTAAGCCATTTGCTCAAGGTCAGAAGGTCACTCTAACCTTGCCATCAAACCTTGGGATTTTCTTTTTCCTCCATCACACCATCCCCAACTGATCTACTCCTCAAGTGAATTTCAGAAATCCTCCAAAGATGAATTTTGATCTACCTAGAGCTGTGCTGACTTAACTGGAGCATAGCACATATTTTCAAAACAGGAGGAAACTTGACCACAGCTTTGAGCCATGTGGATGATAAAGTCATCGTAGGTGAACTTGAGACTGGGATTCGGCCCTTGTGTCAATTGTGATTAGCACAGAGTGAAGCAGCATCATTCTCTCGGGGGTAATACCTGAGATTCGTTGCCTCATACCAAAAACATTAAGGACACAGACACACACAAAGAGTGAGTTTAAAAGCAGAGGTTTAATAGGCAAAAGAATGAGAAAGGAGAACACTGTCTCTCTTCCGAGAGGGGGGCACCCAGTGGGACTTCTGGCCCAAGTCAGAGTGCACCAGATTTTACAGGGTTGGGGAGGCGGTGCCTGATTTACTAGGGCCCAAAGATTGGTTGCACCAGGTGTGACATTTACATAGCGCATGGGGAAGTTGGCCGCCCCACCCTAGTGTTATTATGCAAATGGGGTCTTTGCCTGGCTGGCTCCTTGTTGCCTGCTCCTTACTGTACACATGGCTGGCAAAGAGAAGGGAAGATGGAGCTGCCCTGTTGGACGTGCCTAGCCCCAGCTAGCCTTTTCTTATGGGCGGAGCTGCCGGCATTCACCCGTGCAAGCTTCCAGCTTGCTTGCCTATGTCTGCAGCTTGATTTTACAGGATGCTCTCCGTTAGAAAAGAAAAATGATTTGGGGACTGCTTTTCATTAAAAGGAAAACCTTACTGAGGACTTCCTTACCCTCACTATCTGCCTAAATAATCTCTTCTTAACTCTTACATCAGTAATATGAACTCAACAGACTGAAAGTAACAATCAGATCACAAACACAGATGTCTACAGAGTCTGGAGGTTACTAGGGTGACTATCCATCCTGGCTTGAGCACTGCAAGTCCCACACTCTGGGAATCCGCTCAGGCCTGGGCAAACCAAGACAGCTGGTCACCCTCGCCGTAACATAAGTGAGTAAAGGTATAAAAAGCTGTGCCTGTCTCAGCGTTTTCCACTTCTGAGAAGCAATCATGTATGGTGGTTAAAAGCAAGGACTCTAGAGCCAGACTCACTTGGTCTATACCCCATCTCCATTGCCTACCAGCTGCAGGACCTCACACAGGATTACCCAACCTCACCATGCTTCCGTTTCCTCACATATAAAATAGAGATATTAGAGCCCCCTACCCTAGGTCAGCCTCAACACCACTGACATTTTGGACCTGATCGTTCTTTACTGGGGAGTCTGGGGACAGCCCTGTGCCTTGTAGGATGTTTAGCAGCATCCATGGCCTCTACGTACTGGATGACAGTAGCACAGTATACCCTAGTTGTGACAATCAAAAATGTCTCCAGACATTGCCAAATGTCCCTTATGGGGATGGAAGTGTCCCCAGTTGAGAACCAGTGTTGTAGGCAGTGTTGTGAGGATAAGGGAGGTGGTACATGCAAAATGCTGAGAAAAAGCCATGACTTGGAGAGTCTGTTTCTACAGGAACAGCCAATAAAGCCTTAGAGATGGAGCAGGAAGGTGGCAAGCCAAGAGCTGAGCAAGCAGGACCTTGGAGGGACCAAGGGCAGGGCAGCCAAGCCACTGTGAAATGGAACAAGCTCTGCAAACGTAGGCCAGCCCGGCCACCCTCCCCCTCACCTCTCACACAAGATTGGGCTTCTATTTCACCCCAGGTGCAGAAAGTGGAGTGAATTACTCCTGAGTTTCTGGCATCACCACGGTGCAGTGCAAAACCCCCTCAGCTGAGGTATTCCTCTTCTCTTGAATGTGTGCGCATTCTTGTGAAGTGCATTTGCTCATCAAATATTGAGTGTTCAGAATGTGGCAAGAAGACAACGGTGAACAAAATAGACAGAAATCCCTGCCCTCTTGTAGCTTTAAGCATACTGTCTTGTGTACAAATACATTTTTAACCAATAAAAATTGTGTCATACTATGGTCTAGATATGGTTTGTTTTGGCCCCTGCCAAGTCTCATGTTGAAATGTGATCCCCAGTGTTGGAGGTGGGGCCTGGTGGGAGGTGTTTTGGTCGTGGGGGCAGATCCCTCAGGAATGGCTGGGTGCCATTCTCTCAAGAGTGAGTGATTTCCCACTCTTAGTTCCTGCAAGAACTGATTGTGTGTGCGTGTGTGTGTGTGTTTCAAGATGTAATCTCACTCTGTTGCCCAGACTGGAGTGCAGTGGCACGATTTCAGCTCACTGCAACCTCTGCCTCCCGGATTCAAGAGATTCTCCTGCCTCAGCCTCCCAGGTAGCTGGGATTACAGGCACCCGCCACTACATCCAGCTAATTTTTGTGTTTTTATTTTTTTCTATTTATTTATTTATTTATTTATTTATTTATTTATTTATTTATTTATTTTGGGACACAGTCTCGCTCTGTCGGCCAGGCTGGAGTGCAATGGCAAGATCTCGGCTCATTGCAACCTCCACCTCCTGGGTTCAAGTAATTCTCCCACCTTAGCCTCCCAAGTAGCTGGAGTTACAGGCAAGAGCCACCATGCCTGGCTAATGTTTGTATTTTTAGTACAGAGAGGGTTTCGACATGTTGGCCAGGCTGGTCTCGAACTCCTGACCTCAAGTGATCCACCCACTTCGGCCTCCCAAAGTGCTGGGATTACAGGCATAAGCCACTGCATCCGGCCGAGAACTGATAGTTAAAAATAACCTGGAACCCTCCTCTGTCTCCTATTCTTCCCTGTCTCCTTCTTCCTTCTCTCATCCTCCTTCCTCATACCCCTCTTATCTCCCTCTCTCTCTCTCTTTTTTTTTTTTTTTTTTTTTTTGAGACGGAGTTTCGCTCTGTCGCCCAGGCTGGAGTGCAGTGGCGCGATCTCGACTCACTGCAAGCTCCGCCTCCCGGGTTCACGCCATTCTCCTGCCTCAGCCTCCCGTGTAGCTGGGACTACAGGCGCGTGCCACCATGCCCGGCTAATTTTTGTATTTTTAGTAGAGACGGGGTTTCACCGTGTTAGCCAGGATGGTCTCGATCTCCTGACCTCGTGATCCGCCCGTCTCGGCCTCCCAAAGTGCTGGGATTACAGGCGTGAGCCACCGCGCCCGGCCTCTCTCTCTATCTTACCATGTGATCTACACACACCAGTTCCTCTTCACTTCTGCCATGAGTGGAAGCTTCCTGAAGCCCTCATCAGAAGCAGATGTTGGTGCCATGATTCTTGCAGAATGATGAGCCAAATAAACTTTTTTTCTTTGTAAATTATCCAGCCTCAGGTGTTCCTTTATAGCAGCACAAACAAAGACACTTGCTATAAATTGATTCTATTGCTCACTTTTTTTCCCCTTGTGCTTTGTTTTTAAGATCCATCCAGGCCAGGCACAGTGGCTCACGCATGTAATCCCAGCACTTTGGGAGGCTGCGGTGGGAGGATCACCTGTGGTCAGGAGTTCGAGACCAGCCTGGCTAGTATGGTGAAACCCTGTCTCTACTAAAAATACAACATTAGCCAGGTATGGTGGCGGGCGCCTGTAATCCCAGCTACTCGGGAGGCTGAGGCAGAATTGCTGGAACCCAGGAGGCGGAGGTTGCAGTGAGCCAAGATTGCACCATTGCACCCCAGCCTGGGCAACAGAGTGAGACTCCATCTCAAAATAAATAAATAAATAAATAAATAAATAAAATAAAAGATCCGTCCATACTGGCATGTGAAGATCAGACCTGTTTTTCTAACTACCACAGTCATATCCCACAGTGAGTATCTGTCATGCTTTGCTTATCTATCCCCTTCTGATGCGCACAGCAGTGGCTTCCAATACCCCGCTACCACAAACCCACCTCCTTGAACATCCTTGGGTGAAACTTTCTCTGGGGTATAAATCCAGGAGGGGAATTGCTGCTGCTCAGTCTTTAATATGCACAGGACTCACCCAGGGATCTTGTTAAAAGGCAGATTTTGACTCAAGAAGTCTGGAAGGAGACTCGAGAATTTCCATTTCTAACAAGCTCCCAGGTGATGCTGATGCTGCTGGTCTGGGACCACAGAGAATATGCAGCCTTCATTTGCTTTAGTGTCAGATCTCTCTAGAATGACCGCGCCAGTCCACAGTCCAAGGGCTTGCTTTTAAATGGGGCCAAACCCCACTGGCCCCCCTAACACGGTGTAGACTTGCAGGGCTCTGCTGAGAGCCACCATTAACCACAAGCATCATGTCTGTATTGCTACCGTTCGTCAATACCCTTGACCCTCTTGCCTTAAGGAACCCTCTATTTCCAAGCACATCTCCAAATCAGAGCCCCACCCCCTCCACAAGGCAAAGTGGGACCATCTAGGAGAACATCCAGCCCAACCTCCTGGCTTTATAAAGGGAGAAACCAAGACCGAGAGACTTGCAAGAAATCACAAGAAATTCCCGTTTCTTTGCATCTTACTCCTCCAGAGCCCTCTTTGAGTGATCAGTAATTCGTCCACAATTTATAGGACTTAGTTCACTTTACCCATCTTTTTCCATCTCCCTGCCCCACCCCACTCCACCCTCCCCATCCCATATCCCCCAGCCCACCCTGCTTTTTAATCCTTGCTAGAATCATCCATTTTGCGACCAAGTATTGACTTCAAATGATATATGAGACAATTGACATTTCAAATATTCCAGGCAGGATACAGAATTCTGATCACGGCCCAGTCTGAAACATCTCCTCCACATCTCTTTCCTTATTCCTTCTGGGCAATAATTGTCCCCCCACCAGCCCACCCCCCTCCCAACCTCGACATTAATTTCCCCTGATTCATTTTTCATGCCTTTGAATTCTGCCTTTTCAAAGCAGAATATGTTTCTGTAGCTGTTTCTCATACCTCCCTTCCCCTCATGAATATTTCAAATGCAATAGTGATATGATCGTTCAACCTTAAGAGGCACACCAACTTTATCTTATTTATCTTACCGAGCTGCTTCCGATCCCGGGATTAAGTCCAAAACATCCTTTGAGAGTTTGTTTGGGTTGTTTTCCCCCAGGCTGTTGCTGCTGTGTATGTAAATTACAAAGAGAAGCAGCCTCCCCCTCCCCTCAGCCCCAGCCCCGGGCACCAGCCCCCGGCCCGAGACGCCCGCCCTCCCTCTGCCAATCCTTCCTGGGAGATGCAAGACGCGCTCCTCTCAAAGCCAATTGGCAGGCCTCCGGACGGGTCCCTGCCAGGGCATGTCTCCCTGACTTCCTCCAGTGGTCTCTTAGAAGCCCAAAACTCACCATGCGACCTTGGGTAGGGCGTTCCGCCACTCAGGCAAGTTTCCCCATCTACAAACAAGGGGAATAGACACGGCGACCCTAAAGTCCTTTCAGCTCTGAGACTCCATGTGACGTGATGTAATGTAACAGACACAGCCCTACCTGGTTCCAATCCAAGCTCTACTACTAAACGAGTGATGAGATGGCTCACCAACTGTACCTACCACTGACTAGCTGTGTGACCCTTAACTAACTGTACCTACCACTGACTAGCCGTGTGACCCTTAACTAACTATACCTACCACTGACTAGCGGTGTGACCCTTAACTAACTACACCTACCACTGACTAGCCGTGTGACCCTTAACTAACTGTACCTACCACTGACTAGCCGTGTGACCCTTCACTAACTGTATCAACCACTAAACTATCCATGTGTCTTTTAATTGTCTACCATTGACTAGTCTTGTGACCCTTAACTGTCTGCCACTGACTAGCTGTGTAACCCCTAACTAACTGTACCTACCACTGACTAGCTTTGTGACCCTTAACTAGCTGTACCTACCACTGACTAGCTTTGTGACCTTTAACTAAATATACCTGCCTCTGACTAGATGTGTGGCCCTTAACTAACTGTATCTACCACTAAACTATCCATGTGTCTTAAACTATCCATGTGTCTTTTAACTGTCTACCATTGACTAGCTGTGTGACCCTTAACTGTGTCTACCACTAACTAGCTGTGTAACCCTTAACTAACTGTATCTACCACTAACTAGCTGTGTAACCCTTAAATCTATCACTAACTGTGTGACCCTTAACTGTGTCCACCACTGACTACCTATGTGACCCTTAACTAACAGTATCTACCACTGACTAGCTGCACAACCCTTAACTATGTCAACCACTGACTAGCTGTGTGACTCTTAACTGTTTCTACAACTAACTGACTGTGGGACCCTTAATTGTGTCCACCACCGAGTCGGTATGTAACTTGTTTCTACCACTAACTAGCTGTGTGACCATGATGCGAGTTACAGAAGTTCTCAGGGTCTCAGTTTCCTCCCCTGCAGCATGCATTGGTTAATAGCAGCTGCCTCTGGGGCTGTAGTAGGGTGACCAGCCATCCTCTTTGGTTTATCTAGGACCGAAGTGGTTCCAGGTATAGGGAACGCTCAGTGTCAAATCCAGTAAAGTGCTAAAGCCAACACAAGTTTGTCACCCAAGGTTGTAGTGAGAACTAAAGGTGAATGAGGTGACATGGATAAAATCTAGCACATCAATATAAGTTAGTGTCATTACTGTTGCTATTGCTATTGCTTTTTGTTTGTTTGTTTAGAGATAGAGTTTCACTCCTGTCACCCAGGCTGGAGTACAATGGAGCGCTCTCGGCTCACTGCAACCTCCGCCTCCTGGATTCAAGTGTTTCTCCATACTCAGTCTCCTGAGTAGCTGGCATTACAGGCACCCACCACCACGCCTGGCAATTTTTGTATTTTTAGTAGAGACGGGGTTTTGCCATGTTGGCCAGGCTGGCCTTGAACTCCTGACCTCAGGTGATCCACCCACCTCGGCCTCCCAAAGTGCTGAGATTACAGGCGTGAGCCACCATACCCGGCTGCTATTGTTAACGGTTCTGCTCATGGCTATAAAGGAATTTTTTTTCACTTCTAATTTTTTCTAGAATTTCAGATTTCTCTTTATCAAAGCAGTACAAGCAAATGATACAAATGACTTGAAATGGAAAACAAAGCTGTCTTACCCCAGCCCTTCTCCCATCAAATCCCTCTCCCCAAAGGCAGGCAGTTGAAGTCCTTTTTAGCGACTGATCTTTTAAGGCTGACTCTGCCTCAGTCACCCTCTGTTCCCACTACTTCAGGCCCTCACCACATTGGCCAGGCTGGTCTTGAACTCCTGACCTCGTGATCCTCCCACCTCAGACTCCCAAAGTGTTAGGATTACAGGTGTTGAGCCACCGCACCAGGTCCATCGGTTTTCATTACCACCACCTGACAGGTGAGCAGGCTGGTTCACACTCTGGTCACCTGGCATGGCTTGTCACATACTGGTGAAGCTGTCACCCGCAAAATCCAGACCTGGGACTGAGGAAAGAGCTAAGCGATCCTAAAGAGATACAGTCTCTCAGGTGGCCCTTGATGGGGGCAAAGAGAGGAAGGGACAGTTCCTCTTTTATTTGTCCATTCACACATGTTGGGAGCCAGGCATTAAATTTGCAAGCCAGAAAAGGCAGGAAAAACCAAGTTTATGGCTTTTCAAGTTGGTTCAGAAATTACTGTACGGGCCCTCCAAAAGGTTTAATGTCTCTGTGGTGTCATCCCAAAGAGAAGCACAGAGAAGCAAGAGGATCTGCAGCTGGAGAGCCCAGAGGCAATGAACACTCACCTTGACTCTCTTCTCATTTCTGAGGCTCTATCAGTTAAGGTTCTTAGTTTTCAAGCAACAGAACCAAATCTTTTTTTTTTTTTTTTTTTTTTGAGACAAAGTCTCACTCTGTCGCCCAGGCTGGAGTGTAGTGCACGATCTCGGCTCACTGCAAGCTCTGCCTCTTGGGTTCAAGCGATTCTTCTCCCTCAGCCTCCTGAGTAGCTGGGAGTACAGGCACACGCCACCATGCCCAGCTAATTTTTGTATTTTTAGTAGAGACGGAGTTTCACCATATTGGCCAGGCTGGTCTCAAACTCCTGACCTCGTGATCTGCCCACCTTGGCCTCCCAAAGTGCTGGGATTACAGGCGTGAGCCACCATGCCCAGCCAACAGAACCAAATCTTTACATTAAAAAGCGGGGAGCTTACAGGATCAGAGAAAGAATAGAGTTCCCAGACTTGAGGGGGTTCCAGTTGGACCATCTTTGTATGGTGGTGGATCTCAACCCTCACTGCAGCCAACAGTCAACCAAAGAGACTTTTAGAAACCACTGATGCTGGGCCCTCACCCTCAGAAATTGAGATTTAAGCCGGGCATGGTGGCTTATGCCTGTAATTCCAACACTGTGGGAGGCCAAGGCAGGCAGATCACTTGAGCCCGGGAGTTCAAGACCAGCCTGGGAAACATGGCGAAACCTCGTCTCTACTAAAAATACAAAAATTAGCTGGATGTGGTGGCGCATGCCTGTAGTCCCAGCTACTCAGGAGACTGAGGCAAAAGGATAGCTTGAGCCCAGGAGGTGGAGATTGCAGTGAGCCGAGATTGTACCACTGCACTCCAGCCTAGATGACAGAGTGAGACCCTGGCAGGGCAAGGCAGGGCAAGGCAGAGCAAGGCAAGGCAAAAAGGAAAGAAACTGAGATTTAACTGGCTCAGGTCTGTCTTGTTTCACACCTCCCCTAGGTGATTCTAAGGTGAGGTTGAAAAATGAGATTCACTACTCTCGGGATGCAACTGCACCGTGAGTCCAGAAACCAGCAGTACTGGCATCACCATCTCCAGTAGAGCTCGTCAGAAATGCAGACTCTCTCTCAGAACCACCCCAGACCTTTCGAGTCAGAATCTGCCCTCGAACAAGATCCTCCAGTTAGCGTTAAGCAGATTAAAGGTTGAGAAGCACTAGGCTGCAGGGTCGTGGAATGACCGGACTCTAATCACTCTACATCCTTGATGATCTCTCCTTAAGATGCAAATTCCCAGAAGGCAGGCATTTGATGGGCCATGCTTTTGTCACACCATGATAGAAGATCTGGGCATAAGAAATTCTGCAGAGTGGTCCCACCAGACCCACAGGCAGGAGAAGGGCCATCCCTGAACGGAGTGGGATGCGGGGCTGATAAATACTACATAGGTTAAGCACAGCGACCTTCACAGTTCAGAGATAGTGATGCCAACTACCACTTATTAAGCACCTACTGTATGCCAAGCACAGTGCCAAGGACTCAAATTACTCATGGAATTCCCCCTATAACCATGAAGCCAATATTATTATTACTGCTACAGCTACTACTACTATTATTTTATAAAGGAAGAAACTAAGGTTTAGAGCAGTAGATCCAACTTTAGCACGGATCAGAATCACCTGGAAGATTTGTAAACTCACAGACTTCTGGAACCTACCCTCAGAGTTGCTGGTTCTGTAAGTCTAGGGTAAAGCCTGAGAATTTTTATTTCTAGCAAGTTCCCAGATGATGCTGATGCTGTTTGTCCATTCACACATGTTGGGAGCCAGGCATTAAATTTGCAAGCCAGAAAAGGCAGTAAAAACCAAGTTAATGGCCTTTCAAGTCAGTTCAGAAATCACTGTACGTGCCCCAAAAAGGGAATGCCAAACATTAGGCAAGTCCCCATCTTCACAATGAGAACTTACCCACCTCAGAGAGATGGTTTCCCCAGGAAACAAGTGCAGATGGCATTTTGCAGAAAGTGCACATTGAAAGAAAGCAAACTGGCTTAGAAATATGGTTAATGGGAATTCTTTGGAATTCATAGCATCAGGAGAGAGTCGTTTCCTTCTACCACACACCTGTCTGGGAGGGTGACAATGTCCTTAGGAGGGAGAGACTGGGAAACATTAATACCAGAGCCCTGACTATTATTTGCAATGTATAGCAATGTTTTTCCTCAAGGTAGATCTTTGGTGATCTGTACACAGTAAAGCTAGCCATTCAGGTGGAATTACATCCAACTAGTCATCTCCGTCATACTAAAACAGTAAACAATGCTTGAAGAAGTCAGATGCCTGGCATCAAATCTAAGATCCACCATTTACTGGCTGTGGTCATTAGGCAAGATGCTTAACGTCTTTGTACCTTATTATCCTATTTTGTAAATGGGGGAATTATAATAATACCTAATCTCTAGGTTACTGGATGGACTAAATGAAATAATGTGTGAAATTTTTAGTAACATAGCTAGAATATTACAAGCTCCCAATAAGTCTATTGTATTAGTCCATCCTCACACTGCTATAAACAACTGGCCAAGAATGGGTAATTGATAAAGAAAAGGGGTTTAATTGACTCACAACAGGTCTGCATGGCTGGGGAGGCCTCAGGAAACTTACAATCATGACAGAAGGAGAAGCAGACATCTTCACAAGGCGATAGGAGGGAGAAGTGAGAGCACGGGAAAAAACTGCCACATTTAAAACCATCAGATCTCATGAGAACTCACTCACTATCATGAGACCAGCATGGGAGAAGCCACCCCCATGAGCCAATCACATCCCTCCTTCGACACGTGGGGCTTACAGCTCCCTCCCTCGACGCGACACCTGGTGATTATAATTCAAGATGAGATTTGGGTGGAGACACACAGCCAAACCATATCACCTATTTTATTTATCATACCATTATTGTTATTATTATTATTGGTGGATGTGCTGGTGGTGTTAATATTGTTGGCAAAACTGGAACTAGCTGGATCTTTATCAATAATTGCAATCATGATTCTGACATCTGACCCTTCCATGCCACTGGTAGGCATGTAAACAGGCACAATTTTTCTGGAAGGTCATTTGGCAATATGTATCAAGAGCCTTACAAATACTCACCCATTTTGACCCAGAAGGTCCACTCCTAGAAATTTATTTTAGGGGAGTACATCCAGTTGAGGACAAAGATGTATGCCCAAGGAAGCCATCACATTATTGCAAATGGTAAAAAATGAAGTGTCAACCAACAGAAAAATGTTTCTGAAATTACACTATGTTCGTACAATGAAATCTTCTTCCAATTATTAAAATAATGTTCATGCCTTTTAATTGGGGTGATTGTATAATTTTATATCTTTATAAAAATATATGTATGTAAGACTTCATATAGATGATGAACTCAATTATGTAAACATATGATAGAAAAAGAGAAGGGAATAATCCAAAAGCCATCTGCTCTGGGTCTTAGAATGGGAATTCTTATGGTTTTGTGCATTTTTGCAGCTATTTCTCAATAGTCCCCTTTATAATCAGAGCAGGCTGGGTAGAATCTGGTACAGGAGATTGTGGCAAACTAGATAATTAACCCAGAGAACATTATTTCTGTCTGGGTATGCCATTAAGTTACAAAGACCTTTTGTAAATGTGGGTAATAATGAAAAGAGGGCTATAGTGTTGGAAAGGAAGACAGGAGATAAGGAGGAATGAAAAGGAGTAGGTATTATTTCTACAGAGTCTTGAAAGATTAAGAAAAATGAGGCAGCCAGATGCAGTGGCTCACACCTGTAATCCTAACACTTCGGGAGATCAAGGTGGGAGGATTGCTGGAGCCCAGGAGTTTGAGACCAGCCTGAATGATTGAGTAAGACTCCCCTCTCTACAAACAAAATTTAAAAAACTAGCCAGGCATGGTGGTGTGCACCTATGCTCAGGAGGCTGAGGTGGGAGGATCACTTGAGCCCAGGAGGTTGAGGCTGCAGTAAGCCGTGATCACACCACTGCACTTCAGCCTGGGTGACAGAGCAAGTCCCTGCCTCAGAAAAAAAAAAAAGAAAGAAAGAAACAAAAGAAAAGAAAAGAAAAAATGAAGCAAAAGATACCAGCAGCATTGGCTGAGCCCTAGAGGTAATGGGAAGGGTTGATGGGGCAAGATCAGAGACTTCTGTGATGTTTCCATTTGATGAGACAAAACTCAGCATTAGCAGAATTAAAGTTACCTAATCTCTAGATTAGGAAAGGGAACAGAGAAATACCTCATGGCAACACATGGCCTTTTTGAGTTGCAAGTTGACAGAAACTCAAGTCAAACTGGCTTCACTGAGAAATTCACTCTAGGTGAGATCTGTCATCAGGTTGGAGGGGATACAGGCTGTTAGACAGTGTGATCGGCTTTCCTTCTCCTCTCTCAGCTCGGCTCTCCTGTGATTTCCTTCTCAGGCAGGCTCTCCCCCAGGGTGATGAGATGACCACCAGCAGCTCCCGGTTTCCACCCTACCAGGTTTGCAACCCCAGCAAAAAGAGAACCCCTCTTTCCCTATCCACCTAACAGAAGTCCTGCCACTGATGCTCTTTGAACCACCTTAAAGGCAGGTTTCTGAATCAATCACAACAGCCAGGAGAATGGCATTCTCCCATCTGCCAAACCCAGTCTCTCGAGTCACCCAAAACACATGGGCTGAGAATGGAGGAGAGGTCCCACCTCTCCCTGCAAAAAGTGAGATACTGGTCTAAGAAACAGAAAAACGAAGCTTACATGGGCTAAATGAACCCAGAAGCACTATGTGGAGTTTTTCCTTCCAGAACATGAACCAAGTACTCAAGTTACCCCCAGATGGTATCAGAAGGAAGGATTCAACAGTGCCCTTAAAAAAGGGCCATGGTTCTCATCCAGGGGTGATTCCTCCTCCTCCCCTCAGGGGACATTTGGCAATGACAATGGGGCAGGGGGTTGTGCTACTGGCATCTAGTGGGCAGAGCCTAGGGATGCTGCTACACACCTTACAGTGCACAGGACAACCCTCACCCAAAGGATTATCTAGCCCAAAATGTCCACAGTGCTGAGACTGTGAAACCCAGAATTAGGATGACCTTATAAGTTATCGCCCAAACCAGAATGCTTTCGAGACAGGCAAAACCAGGAAAGCAGTCGTAACAGGGACTGTTGCAGCAAATGAGGACATATGGTTACCCTACTCTCAACACACCGTCCAAACAGCAGGCAAAGCCATTCTCACTGAAGGCTGTGATTCAAGGGAAACGTTTCAATGCTCCCCACCCCAATCATCAATTACAGGACCACAGAGATGCTCTTCCCAGCCGAGGCTTGTCTTTGACCCCTTCTGCTCTCTCCCACTTCCGGCATGGCTGACAGTCCCTCCCATCTACTTCTAAGAGGTCACTAAAAATCGACCAGGGCTTGCCAGCCTAGTGGGGTTGCCCAAATGTCTGCCCACAGATGCCGCTTCGAAAAGCTGTCTCTGGCATGGCCCCTACTGCAGCGGCGCGTGACAGACTGCCTTGCTTGGTGGAAGGAATCCCACCCCGATTAAATTGCTGGAGCCCTGCTGGGAAGGAGGTGGAGGCAGGAGGAGAAGGAGAGTAGGGAGCCAGGCAAGCCACTCCTGCCTCTCCTTTTTCATCTTGGAAGAGCCAATTTCAAGCTTGCCTCGGGTCATAAAAGAAATTAATTTGATTCTCTCAACCTTGCTCAGAGTGGACACACGTCTTCGGCTGGAGCATCTGCTGCTGCTGGATCCAGAGCGAGGAGACCATCCCCTCGAAACGATTCCATTTCTGTTGCAAGGCAGGGCCAAAATCATCTGCCTGGAGCTGGAGAAGCAGCTGCCTGGAATACCCTGGGCTGTCATTTTTGCTGGTAAGATCGAAAAACGGTTCTCACAGCTAAGGTGACTCCCAAGTTGCAGGAGGTTTACCCAGAGAGATACTCATGGGTAGGGCTGGTTCTTGGAAAACTCCCAAACAGAATTTAGCACTGGCAGCTGCCTAACCCACTTCATATTGATCAGCTTGATCACACTGAGTCCTCTTAACTGTCAGGCACGGCCCCTGGGCTGTATTCCTGATTGCACACAGCTAAGGTGACTCCCTTGTACAAGCCTCCCCGCCTGAGAGAGGATGGAACTTGTGACCTGCTTCTAATCAACAGAATATGGCAAAGGTGCCAAATGTCACTCCCTTGATCATATTTCACCAAATAAGATTTCCCCTTAGGAGACTTAGGGACTCCCTTGCTGGCTAGGAGGAAGTAAGCTACCATGTTGTGACAGGGCCATGTCAAAGAATGCAGGTGGCCTCTAGAAGCTGATAGAGGTCCCCAGCTGACAGCCAGCAAGAAAACAAGGCCTCAGCCAGGTGCAGTGGCTCACACCTATCATCCCAGCAATTTGGGAGGCTGAGGCAGGAGGATCGATTGAGCACAGGAGTTAGAGACCAGCCTGGGCAACATACAGAAACCTCATCTCTACCAACAATTTAAAAATTAGCCAGGCGTGAAGGCATCTGCCTGTGGTCCCAGCTACTTGGCAGGCTGAGATGGGATGATCCCTTGAATCTAGGAGTTAAAGGCTGCAGTGAGCTACGACTTACCACTGCACTCCAGCCCGGGTAACAGAACAAGAGGCTGTCTCAAAATAATAATAATAATAATAATAATAATTATTATTATTATTATTATTATTATTATAATTTCATTTAAAAGAAAAAGAAAACAAGAACCCAGCTTTACAACTACAAGGTAAGTCACCAGCAACTGCCATGAGGACCCATTGTCTAAACCTTTTAATGTAAAATAAAACTACATTAGAAACCACACCAACCAAATGTGTAGCTT
Organism: Homo sapiens; assembly: GCF_000001405.40. Lineage (NCBI taxonomy): Eukaryota > Metazoa > Chordata > Mammalia > Primates > Hominidae > Homo > Homo sapiens. The sequence goes on along the minus strand of NC_000016.10, from coordinate 16,480,318 downwards.
CTTCAGCCTTTCCTTATTTTTCTAAGGTTGTACAAAACTATTGTATTTACAAAAATGGCACAAAAGTGAATTCAGGGCCGGGCGCGGTGGCTCACGCCTGTAATCCCAGCACTTTGGGAGGCCGAGGCGGGCGGATCACGAGGTCAGGAGATCGAGACCATCCCGGCTAAAACGGTGAAACCCCGTCTCTACTAAAAATACAAAAAATTAGCCGGGCGTAGTGGCGGGCGCCTGTAGTCCCAGCTACTTGGGAGGCTGAGGCAGGAGAATGGCGTGAACCGGGGAGGCGGAGCTTGCAGTGCGCCGAGATCCCGCCACTGCACTCCAGCCTGGGCGACAGAGCGAGACTCCGTCTCAAAAAAAAAAAAAGTGAATTCAGCAGTCAATTCACATGCATACTTCCCTCACATCTTCAACAACAAAAGGTATTCTAACTCTAACTCTACAGAGCTTGGCAGTTTTCAGGAGTACTGGGGACGGATTTTGCAGGATATATCTCTGTATTAGTCCATTTTCATGCTGCTGATAAAGACATACCTGAGACTGGGCAATTTACAAAAGAACAGGTTTATTGGACTTACAGTTCCACGTGGCTGTGGAGGCCTCACAAATATGGTGGAAGGCAAGGAGGAGCAAGTCACATCTGATGTGGATGGCAGCAGGCAAAAAGAGCTTGTGCAGGGAAATTCCCATTTTTAAAAACCATCAGATCTCATAAGACTAATTCACTATCACGAGAACAGCACGGGAAAAACCTGTCCCCATGATTCAATCATCTCCCACCAGGTCCCTCCCACAACACGTGGGAATTATGGGAGCCACAAGATGAGATTTGGAACACAGAGCCAAACCGTATTAGCCTCCATTTGAGTTTGTCTGATTTTTTTCTTTTTTCATGATTAGACTCAGGTCATGAGTTTTTGCAAAGAATACCACAGAGGTGAAGTGCCCTTCTTTTCCAAGCTTGTCACTCATCCATGGTGTGGTTCAAACTTTCCCTTGTCTGTGATGTTCCTGCAACTAGTTCTAGATTTTTAGACTGCAATAATCTCATTATAAGGTACAGAGCTCATTCAAGAAGGATAAGGGGCATATTGATTTCCTAAGGATGATTAACAAAACAGCACAAACGAGGTGGCTTGAAACAAGAGAAATTTATTCTCTCACAATTCTTGAGGGAAGAAGTCCAAAATCAAGGGGTTCACAAAGCTGTACCCCGAGCCTCTGGGGAAGATCCCATCCTTTCCTTTCCTGGCTTCTGGTAACCATAGGCATTCCTGGGCTTGTAGCAGCTTCACTTCAATCTCTACCTTGTGCTCGCTTCGGCAGCACGTACATTAAAATGGAACTTCAATCGCTATCCCCATTGTCACAAGGGGGTCTTCCCTGTGGGTCTGTGTCCAAATTTCCTACTTCTTCTAAGGACAATCTCGTATTAGATTAAGGGCCCACCCTACTCCAGTATCACATCTTCGTAATTACATCTGCAATGACCCTGTTTCCAACAGAGGTCACATTCTGGGGTACTGAGATGTTAGGGCTTTCAACATATCTCTTTGGAGAACACAGTTCAACCTATTAAATAAAGCATCCCACAAAACCAAAGTCAGAAAGCACAGCAGGGTTTTGGGATAGAAAGATAGCAGGAGTCAACACAGCCTGTCTCTGTCTTTCTGGGAGCTCCCGGTCTGTCCTTCCTAAGTCTGTATTGTGTTCTCAATCTCTTCTTTCTTTCTCTCTGTCTCTCTCTCTCACTCTCTCTCCCCCATCTTCTCGCTCCCCATCTCCCTCTCTCCCTCTCTCTCTCTCCGCCCCCCCATGTATTAGTCTGTTTTCACAATGCTAATAAAGACATACCCAAGACTGAGTAATTTATAAAGAAAAAGAGTGGTCACGGACTCCCAGTTCCACATGGCTTTGGAGATCTCACAATTATGGCAGAAGACGAATGAGGAGCAAAGTCATGTCTTACATGGTGGCAGGCAAGAGAGTGTGTGCAGGGGAACTCCCCTTTTTAAAGCCATCAGATCTCGTGAGACCTATTCACTATCACGAGAACAGCATGGGAAAAACCCGCCCCACGATTCAATTACCTCCCACCATGTCCCTCCGATGACATGTGGAAATTATGGGAGCTACAATTTGAGATTTAGGTGGGGACACAGCCAAACCATATCACCCTGCATATCAGTTTTTTCTATTGCAATTGTCCACAGGCCAAACATGACTATATTGTCACCAACTTTCTATCCCCCTCTAGTTTCAAGCACCTTCCAGAGATAAGCTCAGAGATTTTCAACTCCAAATTTCTGGGAGAGAGTCCACATGGCCTGGCTGTAATCCCATATCCAACCCCTTGGTACACAGCCATGGCCAGAGCCAAAAGAATCCTATGGGGTTCTGGGTCTCCTAGGGCTCTGGGAAGGGCAAGTTTCTGAAGGAGGAATGGGGGTGGACAAAAATTATTGGCTGAGAAAATAGCTGGTGAATGAGACATTATTTCTGGTAGGGAATGAATGCAAGAGGCCACTATGTTCTGGAGCACAGAGAAAACTCCCACTGGATTCTCAGGACCGTCTGAGAGGAGAGGAATTTGAAAGCAGCTGAATTATCACAGGAGAAACAGAATGGAGTCAGAAAAATTCTGCTTTGTGGCACTTAGATCAATTCTACGTCTCATATCTTTGGGAGCATGGGTGGTTTCCCCCACCCTCCCTTTTCCTCTTCTCTCTGAACAAAAGTTTTAGTTTGTGAAGTCAAATCTCATCTTTTTTTTTTTTTTTTTTTTTTTGAGACAGTCTCACTCTGTCACCCAGGCTGGAGTACAAGTGGTATGATCTCGGCTCACTGCAACTTCCGTCTCCAAGGTTCAAGTGATTCTCCTGCCTCAACCTCCAGAGTACTGGGATTACAGGTGTGCACCACCACACCTTGCTAATTTTTATATTTTTAGTAAAGACAGGGTTTCACCATGTTGGCCAGGCTGGTCTTGAACTCCTGGCCTCAGGTGATCCACCCACCTTGGCCTCCCAAAGTGCTGGGATTACAGGAATGAGCCACCACACCCAGCCCAAACCTTGTCATTTCTGAAATAGAGTGTCAGGGTAGTGTCTTAGTTAGCTTGAGCTGCTATAACAAATTATAATAGACTGTGAAGCTTAAACAACAGCAATTTATTTCTCACAGTTCTGGAGGCTGGGAAGTCTGAGATCAGGGTGCTGGCATGGTCAGGGTCTGGTGAGGACTCTCTCCTGGCTTGCAGATGGCTGCCTTCTCACTGTGTCCTCATGTGGTGGAGAGACGGGTATCATCTCTCTCATATCTCTTCTTACAAGGGCACTAATCCTATTCATGAGGGCTCCACCCTCATGATCTCATTACTTTCCAAAGGCCTCACCTCCTGATACCATCACATTGGGGGTTAGACTTCAGCCTATGAATCTGAGGGCAACACAACCAATGTCTGTTAGTTCACGGCAGACAGTGAAATAGTGGAAAGGAGGGTGTGATTGATTCTGGGAAGGGCTGGTGTTGAACTCTGACTGCAGGATAAAGCCCTCATTGGTTCTCTGGGCCCCGGTAACTGCCCATCTCCCCAAGAGGGTTCCCACATCCATTTCCTCCCACTCTGGGAGTGAGCGCAGCCCAGCATTTCATCAACAACTGATCTCAGGAGCCAAAAGACACAGGGAGAGTATGGTGATCAGGGAGCTGAGGAAGAGGGTGAAAAAAGGCAAGGGGTGCCAAGCAACTCAACCAGCACTTCCCCTCCATCTTCTGCTGGATTTGCTCCTTTGTCTCCCCAGCAGGTAGGAGGGATTTTCCAAGACAAAGCATTGGTTACCATCTTTCTGTGCCAAGGCTCTGGGAGACAAGACTGGATTGCGGTCCTCCTTCCTTATTGTACTTATTGTCTAACCTTAAGGTACTTCCTTATGGTACCATTTTCACACGCTGATAAAGACATACCCCCACACCCCAGACTGAGTAATTTATAAGGAAAAATAGGTTTAATGGATTCACAGTTCCACATGGCTGGGGAAGCCTTACAGTCATAGCGGAAGACAAAAGGCACATCTTACATGGCAGCAGGCAAGAGAGAATGAGAGCCAAGCAGAAGGGGAAACCCCTTATAAAACCATCAGCTCTTATCAGACTTATTTACTACCATGAGAACAGTATGGGGGAACTGCCCCCATGATTCAATTATCTCCCACTGGGTCCCTCCCATGACACATGGGAATTATGGGAGCTAGAATTCAAGATGAGATTTGGGTGGGGACACAGCAAAACCATATCACTTATTCTGTAGGAAGAAATGACTTCCAAGGCATTCTCCACCCCTGTCTACATCTGACAGATAGAATTATATTTAACTATATGTTAGTATATTACTATGACAATAATAACTCATTTATTCCTCACACCAACCCTGTGCTATCCCCGTTTAAAGATGAGAAAACAGAGGCACAGAAGGTTTGAGTATTATGCCCAAGATCATTCAGCTGATAAATGCCATATCCATCTAACTCCAAATCCCTTGTGGTTGTACAGTCAGCTGAGCTGGCTTTTGGATAAAATTGGTTGGAGGTGAATAGAGAGAATGGGTTGGGGGAAAGTGGTGGATGCCCCCAGCAGGTGTCTCAGAAATAATGTGTTGTCATTTTCACTGTGAATATCTCAGGCTCAAGAATAAAATCACTTTTCTATATAATGATTTGCAATAGTCATGATTCTTTATGATGAAAATATAACCCAAATCAAACTTGCCTAAGCAAAAAAATATATATATAACATAAAATTCACCTTCAAGGGATGGGGCTGGAGTTACCCCCGGAAGCAAGAAGAAAAATTATGCAGAGCGCCTGGTATATCCATCAGAGACCACCAATGTGTTCCTGTCACCCCAACAGGAAGCAGAGAACCCAAGGCTGTGTTGGCAAGTAGAAGACCCTAGGGACCCAGAGGGCCCAGAGAGCCCAGGGATTCCCAGTGCAAAACCTCAGATGCCTTGGTGCCTTAAGGAAAAACACACCAGCCTCATGCTGCCTAACTTCAGCAAGAAAAAAAAGGACCATTCCCTTAATACAAGCCTCAATTGCCCTGATGCCTTATGGCTGTTATTTTAGAGAATTATAATGCCACCTATGATTAATACCGCAATGTGGTCACACAGCAAACGCTCATTAAGTAACCTCCCAGCATAAATACCAAGAAAATCCAGACTTACCACGGCTTCATATACATTTTAGATTTTTGCTAAATTGGCCCTTGATAAAGCGTGTGGCCACCTTCATCACAGAAATCAGCTTCCTTCCCAGGCCTAAAATTAGAAGCCCCAACTGCCAGTCGTTAGGTACAGAGCTCAATGCCTGCTGAGATTCCCCTCTCATTTATCTTCTGCGGGGAGCATTTCAAGTTATCGCCAGCTCTCGTATCAGCTGGCCCGGGGAAGGGCAGCAGGCAGCGAGAGGGGCAGCTAACATAGGAAGAGGTCAGCAGGTGAGGGGTGGCTCTGGAGGCGGTGGAACTGGCTGGTCCCTGGAAAGCTTCCCGCTGCAGGTCTAGAGTGGAGAACTCGGACTCCAACAGGGAAGAGTGTGGCTGGGAAGAATTACAGACCAGATCCATGGCTGGATTCTGAATTTAGATGGGGCCCGTAACAATTTGCCTAAATGATTTATTTCAACAATCAACACATCCATATGCTCAGCCACTCAGAATGATGACTGAAATAAAAATGAAAGGTAACAGGCCAGGCATGGTGGCTCACACCTGTAATCCCAGCACTTTAGGAGGCCGAGGTGGGAGGATTGCTTGAGCCCAGGAATTCAAGACCAGCCCTGGCAATATAGTGAGACTGCATCTCTACAAAAAAAAAAAAAAAAAAGGAGCGAGAGAAAGAGAGAGAGAATTGGATGCATGCTATAACAGCCTATGATGGTAGATCCAGCTGGTCTGGGGAAAGAGGAGAGTATCCAACTGGGCTTCCCCAAGGTCATGAATTTTTTTTTTTTTTGAGACAGTCTCACTCTGTCACCCAGGATGAGGTGCAATGGTGCAATTACAGTTCACTGCAGCCTCGACCTTCCAGGCTCACATGATCCTCCCACCTCAACATCCTAAGTAGCTGGGACTACAGGCATGCAGCACCACATGCAGCTAATTTTTTGATTTTTTTTTTCTTTTGGTAGAGATGGGGTCTCACTTCATTGCCCAGGCTGGTCTGTAACTCCTGGGCTCAAGCGAACCTCCCACCTCCGCCTCCCAAAGTGCTGGGATTACAGGTGTCAGCCATCAGGCCTGGCCAGATGATGACATTTAAGCTAAGACTAGGACAATGAGGAGTTATCCAGGTGTCAAGTGAGAGGAATGCATTTATACAGAGATAGTAACATGTGCAAAGGCCCTGGGGTGAGAAGGAGTTCCATGTGTTGAAGGAATTGGAATGTTGGGAGGAATGAAAAGGGTGTGGCAAAATATGTGGGCTGGGGAGGGAGGCAGGGGCTAGCTCAGGCAGGATGAGATAAACTCTGCTAAGGATTGTATGTGCTCACAGAAACTCATTAACACTTCACTGAATGCTAATATTTATTTATCAGGTTTCAGAGTCTGTTTGTTTGTGAGGGGAGGGTTTTCCATCTTCTCCACTTGAATATAAACTCCTTGAAGGCAATGACCTTTGGTTCACAGTTCTATCACCAGCACCTAGAACAAGAACTAGAACAAAGGCAAATAAAGACACCCTTATCAGGCACAATGCTGCAAAGACTTAGTGGTTATCTTCCAGGAGCCAGTGAAGGGCCAGACCTTTCTTAGGAATGTGCAGGATTTGAACTCCCCAGACCTCCTGAGTCAACTCTTTACTGCAGGGGACCATACAGAGATGAGAAAGATGCGACATTCTTTCACTTCTGGGTAGCAGAGTCAACAAATGGAACCAGGGTGCCCCCAACGCCCGTTACCTATGACATCTTCCTCTGAAATAAGCTCAACAGAAGATGGTCCCTGGCTACAGTGACTTTTGTCAGGGATCTCCAAGACCACCCTCAGGCCCATTGATTTGCCAGAAGGACCCACAGAATCAGGAAAGCCATTGTCCCCATGAACATTGTTTATTGCACTAAAAGGATACAGATTAAAATCAACCAAGGTACAAGATGCATAGGTCTCTCCAAGAGAGACCAGGGGTAAGTTTCCAGTAGTTTTCTCCCAGTGGAGTTAGAAGGATAGCTCCTAATGCTCTGTATTAGTCTGTTTTCATGCTGCTGATAAAGACACACCCGAGACTGGGTAATTTATGAAAAAAAAAAAGAGGTTTAATGGACTCGCAGTTCCACGTGTCTAGGGAGGCCTCACAATCATGGCAGAAGAGCAAGGGAGAGCAAAGGGATGTCTTACATGGCGGCTGGCAAAGAGAGAATGAGAGCCAAGTGAAAGGGGTTCTCCTTATAAAACCATCAGATCTTGTGAGACTTATTCACTGCCATGAAAACAGTATGGGGGAAACCACTCCTGTGATTCAATTACTTCCCACTGGGTCCCTCTCACAACACGTAGGAATTGTGGGGGCTACAATTCAAGATGAGATTTGGGTGGGGACACAGCCAAGCTATAAGAGACAATTAGCAATGTATACAAAGTACTGCCAGCCACAGCAGCTCCCCCAAGCCTTGGTGTCCAGGGGTTTTATCAGCATTTCATCACCCAGGCATGGAGCACCTGCATGGGTGACTTTTGTTACTCAGTCTCCAGCCCCTCTAGAGGTCAAACTGACACATACAAAAACAGGCACTCACCATAAATTGCATTGTTAGCATGGACTAGCTAGCTCAGCCTGAGGCCATAGGTAAACAAAGACACTCTTATCAGGCAGAATGTTCCAAAGACTTGGCGGTTATCTCCCAGGAGCCAATCAACGGCCAGAGCTTTCTTTGGAATGTGCAGGATTTGAACTCCCCAGACCGGCTGAGTCAACTCCTTACTGCATGGGGACCATATAGAGATGAGAAAGATGCCATATTCTTTCACTTCTGGGTAGCAGAGTCAACAAATGGACCAGGCTGAACGAAGACAGTCAGGTAGAACCAGAAACCACCTCCACCTGCACCCCTGCATAGGACCTAAAAAAATGTCATAGGACCATGACAACTTTTTTGAGACAGGGTCTCAGTCTGCCACCCAGGATGAAGAGCAGTGGTGCAATCATAGCTCACTGCAGCCTCAACCTCCCGGGCTAATGCTATCCTCCCATCTCAGCCTCCCAAGTAGCTGGGGGCATGCACCACATCTGGCTAATTTTTTGACTTTTTTTTTTTTTTTTGGAGAGATGGGGTCTCACTTCGTTGCCCAGGCCGGTCTCTAACTCCTGGGCTCATCAGGAGTTAGATGATCACCCAGATGAACAACAGGGACCTCATCCCTCCCCAGGGGTCCTGGGGTAGGACCCTCAGCAGATGAGAGGAGTAGCTCTCCTGGCCCATACCCATGCCCTGTTGTGGTGTTTATAAGCCTGTCATAGGTCAGGTTTCTAGAGAGACAAGCTGTGGGATGGAGATCTGGGTGCAGGGGGTTTACTGGGAGGAGCACCTGCTGGAAAGCAAGGAAGCAGCATTGGGCAGAGAGGGGAGTGGCACTGTGGAACAGTCGCCAGGACCCCTGAGACACCCCCTGTGATGGTTAATACTGAGTGTCAACTTAATTGGATTGAAGGATACAAAGTATTGTTTCTGGATGTGTCTGTGAGGGTGTTGCCAAAAAAGATTAATATTTGAGTCAGTGGACTAGGAAAAGCAGACCCACCCTCAATCTGGGTGGGCACCATCTAATCAGCTGCCAGCATAGCTAGAATATAAGCAGGCAGAGCAGCATGGAAGGGCTTGACTGGCTGAGTCTTCCAGCCTTCATCTTTCTCTCGTGCTGGATGCTTCCTGCCCTCGAACGTCGGACTCTGAGTTCTTCAGCTTTGGGACTCTTGGACCTTTGACCACAGACTGAAGGCTGCACTGTTAGCGTCCCTACTTTTGAGGCTTTGGGATTTGGACTGGCTTCCTTGCTCCTCAGCTTGGAGATGGCCTATTGTGAGACCTCACCTGGTGATCGTGTGAGTCAATACTCCTTAATAAACTCTGCTTTTTATATACATCTATACTATTAGTTCTGTCCCTCTAGAGAACGCTGACTAATACACTCCCATACAGAGGGGCAAGGGACAGAGCCTTTGTAACCCTCCAGGATTATGGGATGCCTAGGAGGGGAGGAGGATTTCCCAGCACTAGGTGGCTTCCTACAGGTGCCTTCTTGCCAGAGGCAGGACTTTGCTATGAGCTGTTAGCAGCCAGGTCTCCCAGCAGCTGGGGGGACAGAGGGCCTCGGTGGTCCTGCACAGAGGTCTGAGTGGTGCAGCACCCACAGCGAAGCCAGTGACCAAAGTGGAAAGATAAAGATATGAAAATCTTTCAACTAATTAAGATTTAAAACTCAGATTGATGTGAGAATCCTGAATTGACTGTTTACCAAAGAGACTAGGTTTTAAATGAGAAGGGTCTGGGTTTACATTGACTTGGCAAGACTGAGTGTCCTATCACTGGAGTGACAAGGGAGGCTGGTGGGGATGGATCCAGGGAAAAGAAGCAAAGTATGGAACAAAGAAGTTTAGAATAAAGAAAGTGGCCAAGGCTGGGCGCCACGGTTCACACCTGTAATCCCAGGGTGGCCAAGGCAGGAAGATTGCTTGAGCCCAGAAGTTCAAGGCTGCAGTGAGCTATGATCATGCCACTGCACTCCAGCCTGGGTAACAAAGCAAGAAAAAAAAAAAGCAAGAAAGGAAGGGAGGGATGGAGGAAGGAAGGAAGGGAGGGAGGGAAAGAGAGAGAGAAAGAGGAAAGAAAGAGAAAGAAGAAGGAAAAAAGAAAGAAGAAAGAAAGAAAGGAAGGAAGGAAGAAAGAAAGAAAGAAAGAAAGAAAGAAAGAAAGAAAGAAAGAAAGAAAGAGACAGAAAGAAAAAGAAAGAAAGAAAGAAAGAAAGAAAGAAAGAAAGAAAGAAAGAAAGAAAGAAAGAAAGAAAGAAAGAGGCATCAAACCTCACAGGTTGAGGTAACTGTAAATACACGGTAGTTTATCCCTGAGCACAAAATCTCAATGGCACAGTCAAAGCCCCAAAGAAGTAAGAAACAAACATCATTTCCACCTTTTGGGCCTGAAGAAGCAGGTACATTAGAGAAGGGCAGCCACAATATCTGTGAACAGTCATTAAGCTCTCAGACACAGCATCCCACCTTCACCAATCTGATCTCCTTGACGGGGGTGATGCTCCCTCCAAGATAACAAAGAAAACCTGGCCAGGCACGGTGGCCCACGTCTGTAATCCCAGCATTTTGGAAGGCTGAGGCAGGAGGATTGCTAGAGCCCAGGAGTTCAAGACCAGCCTGGGCAACATCGTGAGACCCCCGTCTCTTAATAAAATAAGAAAAAAGAAAAGAAAACCTTCCCTTTACATGAAGGCATCATACTTTAAATGCACATCCCATCTGCCCAGGAGGCTCACCTCTAGATTTGTATCCTACTGATGAACACACACCAAGATGGACATACTAGCATAAATTGTGGAGAATGACAGAAAATATCCTGAATGTCCACCATGAGGGAACTGATTAATTTATACACATCCGTATACTGGAATACTACACAGCTGATAAAAAGAATAAGGAATGTCTATATGGACTGCTATGCAAAAACCTCAAAGATATATTGTTGAATGAAGTCAAGATGCAGTGTAATATGTACAATGGGCTATCATTTATAAAACCGGGAGGAGACATATATACATATGTTTTTCTATATAAAGATTGTATCTCTGGAAACTTTCAAGAGAAGCCAGCAACACTTGTGACCTTGGAGAAGAAGAACTGGTGGTTGGGATGGAAAACAAACTTAATTTTCACTGTATACTTTTTCTGGTACTGTTTAATTTTTTTTTTTTTTTTACCATATGCACACGTTTTCTATTCAAAAGAGAATTTTTTTTTAACTGGAAACAATGAAAAATCTTATAGGCATACAAACTAAATTAATTAGCCATCCCTATAGCTTCAACATGCATTTCAATTTGCAAGCACCCTGGCCTCCAAGATTGATTGATTGGCTGTAAATTGAGAACCTCAGCAATTTCCTTTCACAGGGACAGATGTTGACATTATTCCTGTGATTTTTCACAGATGTTTGCCTTCCAGCATCTTTAAAATCGAGTTTTCTGTCAATTTGGAAATCCCAAATTTCTCATATCAAATCGAGATGACAGGAAAATCAAAACCATTATCACATTTTGAAAGAGTTTATGGATGGCAAATGACACTGGGAAGGGAGATGTTTAAGGAGCAGCCGACGTCTCTTAACCCTTTCTCATCACTTCCTGCCTCAGTTTACCTAAGCCAGAAAAAGGGGAAATTTGATTCAATATACAGACAAGGGCTTTAGAGTCTGCGTAGCTGTGCGATCTCACTTTGGCTCCAACTCTCTAGCTGTGATACTTTGAACCAGTTCATTAACTTGCCCAGCCTCCTCTCTCTCATCTGTAAAATGGGGATAATATCCCCAGCCTTGCAGTGTGATTTTACAATTCACTGATGCAAAAACGGAAAATGTGTGGCACTTAGCACCACCTAAATGTTTTTTTCCTTTTATTTTTCCCTTTCCCTCCTCCTTCACCAATCCTCCAAGCAGCTTTTCTTCCTTCTTCACGTCCACATTTTGCTCACGAGATTCCAAGATTTACCCACTGAAGCTCTCATGAGATTCCCAGATTTACCCATTGTTGAGAAATCAGAAACATCCCCCACCCCCTAGAATTCTCCTGACCTGTGTCCCCTCCCCTTAGGACTCTGCTCTCCCTCAGTGACAACAGGCAGGAATATGATCTACTCATACAAACCAAACCTCTGCTGTTTATACATCTTAGCTAATAATGCCCAACACGCAGCCAACGTTTACTAAGTCAGGCTCTTGAGAGCCACTTCATCTGCATGACGCCACAAAATCCTCTCAGTTATTATTTCTGTTTTAGAGATATGGAAATGAGCACCAGAGGTAGATGTAACTTGACAAATATCTGGGTGGTAGATCTGGAAATCAAAGAACCCTGAACCCCAACCACAGACACATCTTCAGTTCAGGCTGGGTCTCTACGCTTTGTTATTTTTAACGGGGCATTATGCTCCCTGGATGGCTATGATGCTGTGGTTAACTCTGCTCTTGTGGATGAATGCAATTATCTGGGGAGCTCGCACTTATAAGATGTACAGCTATGGGCAACCTAAGGCACATCGTGGAGTCTTAATTTCCTCATCTGTCAAATGAGAATAGCAAGGATGGCAGGGAGGGATTAAGGAGCATTTTTGGAAAAGGAAGTGCTATGAAATGAACGTTTGTGCCTCCACCCCCAAACTGATATGTCGAAGCTGACACCCTAATTACCAGTGTTACGGTATTTGGGTATTTGAAGATGCGGCTTTGGTGATTATGTTTAGATGAGATCATAAGCCTAAGGTCCTGGAGATGTGATGTGTCCATATTAGAAGAGACACCAGAGATGTCTTTCTCTGTCTCTCACTCTTGCTTGATCTCTCCCTCTCTCTCTTGCACTCTCTCATGCTTGCGTGCTCTCTCTCTCCCCTGTGAGGATACAACAAGAAGGCTTCCAACTGAAAGCCACAAAGAGGGCCCTCACTGGAGAAACAAATCACCCAGCACCTTGATCTTCGAATTCCCAGCCCCCAGAATAGTGAACAATAAATGTCTCCTGTTTAAGCCACGTAGTATGTGGTATTTTGTATGGCAGCCTGAGCAGACTGCCACAGTAGATGGTTGGTCCTTCCTCCAACCAATAATAGATGGCTTGTCCTTTCCATCGCCCACCTTGGGCAAGGCAAACAGGACAGTGAAGGCAAGCACATCTCACAGACACCAGCATTCATGTGCTAATGAGGCTCACTACTAGTATTGGAAAGATGGGAAGTCAAACAGAATTATGTCCTTGCGAACATACAATAACTTGGAAAATTTATTGAAAGACATTAAGTTTGCATACACACAAAAATGAGTGAAGAGTTTTTTGTTCCATTGAATAATTTAGAGGACATGTAAGAGAACACAAGTTTGAAATCTTATTATATTTTGTATAATGATACATAATAATTTCCATGATAAAGCTGATGTGTATTGAGGAGATCATATGTGCCAAGCACTCACTGTGTGTTAAGCATATTCTATTCATTGTATCATTTAATCCTCAAAATATGATCACCGCCTGTATTGACTGGGGTTTTCCAGAGAAACAGAACCAATGTCTAAACAGAGAAAGAGATTTCACGCAATTATGGAGGCTAACAAGTGCTGTCATCTGCAGGGCGAGGCAGCAAACTGGAGACCCCAGAGAACTGATGGTGTTAGTTCCAGTCCTAAGGCCAGCAGGCTCGAAACCCGGAAAGAGCAGTGTTTCAGTCTGAGTACAAAGGCAGAAAAAAGCCAATGGTGCAGTTTAAAAACCTTCAGGCAGGAGGAATTCTCTCTTACTTCGGAAAGGACCGACTTTTGCTCTATTCAGGTCTTCCGTGGATTGGATGAAGTCCACCCACATTAGGAGGGGCAACTGCTTCCCTCAATCTGCCAATTTAAATGACAGTCATCCCAAAACGCCCTCACGAACACACCCAAAATGATGTTTAGGCAAATAGCTGTGCACCCTGTATCCCTAAGAGTTAACACATAAAACCTACCAACCCATCACTCTTTCCAAATAGAAAAAGTGAGGCTCAGAGAGGTTAAGTCACTTCCCCAAAGTCACAGAGCTTCTTATAAGTGGTGGAGGGTTTGACTGAGGACCCATGCTCTATTGTAATCATAGAAAATCCTAGTGGAATTTTCCAATAGAATAAAACACCTGCCCAGCTGCAGCCAAACGTTCCATAGACAATGTCTCTGGGCCTTTTGTGGCAGAAAAACCAACATAAGGAAAAGAAGGCTGGAGATGCCAGTTTTATCAAACTCCCATAAGGTAAAGGGAAATATCTTTCTGGGGAAAGGAGACTAAAGGAGAAAATTAACAGCCACTTTTCAGGGAGAGAGAAAGAGCAGGGACCCAGCCCCTCTGAGACTGTGGGCTGGGTGTGGCCTGAGCTGATTGGCAGCTCCACTGTAACTATACTGTAAAGGAATGACTCTACCGAAACTGAGCTAAAGGAGAGTTTGAAGCATTTTTAAAAACTCTGCCCAGGCCAGGCATGGTGGCTCATGCCTGTAATCTCAGCACTTTGGGAAGCTGAGGCAGGCAGATCATTTGAGATCAGGAGTTCAAGACCAGCCTGGACAACATGGTGAAACCTCATCTCTACTAAAAATACAAAAATTAGCTGGGTGTGGTGGTGCACACCTGTAATCCCAGCTCTTTGGGAGGCCAAGACAGGTGAATCACCTGAGGTCGGGAGTTTGAGACCAGCCAGGCCAACATGGTGAAATCCCATCTCTACTAAAAACACAAAAATTAGCTGAACATGGTGGTGGACACCTGTAATCCCAGCTACTTGGGAGGCTGAGGCAGGAGAATCACTTGAACCCAAGAGGCAGAGGTTGCGGTGAGCCAAGACTGCGCCACTGCACTCCAGCCTGGGTGACAGAGCGAGACTCTGTCCAAAAAAAAAAAAAAAAATTCTCAGACAACCAGCACTGATACAAGAGATAAAAGGCATCTGGCTTTACGCTGCAAACAAAACGGAAACAGGAAGTGAGAGAGCAGTTGGCCTCTAAGAAGCATCCATTTATTTTACCCTGCCAGGTGCCTACAAGGTGATGGTTTTGCCTCCCAAATATAATCAGGGGCCCAATCTCTGCATTCAAAGAAGTATATTTCAGCAACCCATAAGTAATCCAAAAGCAGTTCCCCACACATCAGCTCAAACAGTGTTACAGGGCAGGCATTCTTGGTGCCATCAGATCCAATGTCCCATGTTTTAACCAACCAATTGA
This sequence comes from Homo sapiens, assembly GCF_000001405.40. Taxonomy (NCBI): domain Eukaryota; kingdom Metazoa; phylum Chordata; class Mammalia; order Primates; family Hominidae; genus Homo; species Homo sapiens. The sequence goes on along the minus strand of NC_000016.10, from coordinate 16,465,301 downwards.
AAAGCCCTCTTTTTTTTTTGAGACAGGGTCTCACTCTATAGTCCAGGCTGGAGGGCAGTGGTGGGATCTTGGCTCATTGCAACCTCCACCTCCTGAGTTCAAGCGATTCTCGTGCCTCAGCCTCCCGAGTAGCTGGGATTACAGATGCGTGCCACCATGCCCGGTACATTGTTTTTTTTGTATTTTTGGTAGAGACAGGGTTTCACCATGTTGGCCAGGCTGGTCTCGAACTCCTGACCTCAAATGATCCACCAGCCTCAGCCTCCCAAAGTGCTGGGATTATAGGCGTGAGCCACCATGCCCAGCTGAAAAGCTCTCTTTTCTACCCTGAAAAAAAAAAAATGTGCTGATCCTATAACCCATCTACTCTTCTAACCAATCACAATTGTGCCCTAATTATAATAAAAAGGAGAAATGAAATGATGAGGATTTCTAATGAAATAATATATAGAGAAATGATTTGGGTTTCCACCAGGAAAGACGGAGCGAAGCAGTCAAGTGCTCACACACGTGTGTGTAGAATAACCAGTGACAGTCACAAACGCAGACAGCGTGGTGTGTTGTCGCATCGGCTTTACTGAGAGTGCCATGTTCTTCAAAAGAGTGGCTCTTTCTTGATAAATTCCCATACCAAACAGAGTCAAATCTTCTCTTGATTTACACCATAGCTGCTACATTCTTGGAAACATCAGTGTTCATTCAACACTTACATGTAAAATAGAACATGTAAACATATAAAATAGAATAGGCAGATAAAATAGAAGAAGGTTGGACCGGGCGTGGTGGCTCACACCTGTAATCCTAGCACTTTGGGAGGCCGAGGTGGGCCGATCACAAGATCAAGAGAGCAAGACCATCCTGGCCAACAGGGTGAAACTCCGTCTCTACTAAAAATACAAAAATTAGCTGGACGTGGTAGTACCCGCCTGTAGTCCCAGCTACTCGGGAGGCTGAGGCAGGAGAATCGCTGGAACCGGGGAGGCAGAGGTTGCAGTGAGCCGAGATGGCACCACTGCACTCCAGCCTGGGTGACAGAGTGAGACTCTGTTTCAAAAAAAAAAAAAAAAATAGAACAAGGTTATAGACTCTGATAATCATGGTTCTTCTAACCCATATGAATTTGGGATCTACACATATATATATTCAAAAAACTACCCCACACCGTAATGACTCCCCCATCCCTATCATTAGGGCAACCAAAAGCTCTCTGCAGATTTAAAACACACACACACAAACACACACACACACACACACACAAACACACACACACACAAACACACACACACAAACACACACACACACACAGACACACACACACACACACAAACACACACACACACACAAACACACACACATGGGACAATTCAGTCCCCAGTGAGAACCTCTGTAATAAAAGGTCCAATTCCTAACCTGCAATAATACTCTTTTTTTTTTTTTTGAGACAGAGTCTCGCTGTCGCCCGGGCTGGAGTGCAGTGGTGCGACCTCAGCTCACTGCAAGCTCCGCCTCCCAGGTTCACGCCATTCTCCTGCCTCAGCCTCCCGAGTAGCTGGGACTACAGGCATCCGCCACCATGGCCGGCTACTTTTTTGTATTTTTAGTAGAGACGGGGTTTCACTGTGTTAGCCAGGATGGTCTCGATCTACTGACCTCGTGATCTGCCCGCCTCAGCCTCCAAAGTGCTGGGATTACAGGCGTGAGCCACCACGCCTGGCCCACAATAATATTCTTAAAGTCCCCTTTCCCGCCTCCTCAGTTCTCCCACAATTCCCAGTTTCCCCAGAACAAACCCCAAGAGATTTCTCTGCCCTTCCCCCACCCCCAGGCAGCGATGTCTTCCAACTCTTCCCCAGCACTGTAACTCTCCACTCTGGTCAAGTGGACTCCACCTTGGGGAAAGAATGTTTGTACCGGGCACCAAACTAGACTTTGGAGATACACTAGTTCTTAGTATCTGCTAGTATCTGCTACTGTGATAATTAAGGTAATTATTTAGACCAGGAATCTGCAAAATACAGCCTGAAGGCCAAATCCGAGCTGCCTGTTTTCCTATGGCCTGAAAGCTAAGAAAGAATGGTTCTTACATTTTATATTATTATTATTATTATTATTATTATTATTTTGAGATGGAGTCTCGCTCTGTCGCCCAGGCTGGAGTGCAGTGGCACCATCTCAGCTCACTGCAACATCTGCCTGCCAGGTTCAAGCGATTCTACTGCCTCAGCCTCCTGAGTAGCTGGAATTACAGGCACCTGCCACCACACCCAGCTAATTTTTGTATTTTTAGTAGAGACAGGGCTTTACCATGTTGTCCAGGCTGGTCTCGAACTCCTGACCTCAGGTCATCCGCCCACCTCGGCCTCCCAAAGTACTGGGATTACAGGCATGAGCCACTGCGCCCAGCTAGTTCTTACATTTTAAATAGTTAGTGGGAAAAAGACAAAAGGAATAATACGTCATTACATGACAATTATATGAAATTCCAATTTCAGAGTTTATAAATAAAGTATTGTCTGTGGCTGCTTTTGCACTACAACGGCAGGGTTGCATGGTTGCAAGAGAGCACATGGCCCCCAAAGCCTCAAATAATCCACTATCTGGGCCTTTACAGTAAGGTTGTCAGCCCCTGGCTTAGGCACTAAACAAGTGCTTTCAAGCACCTACTATATGCCAGACACTAAGGTAATAGAGAGGGGAGACAATCAACAAGAAGCATTCTTTCTCAAAAGTTTTAGGCTGGGCACAGTGGCTAAAGCCTATAATCCCAGTACTTTGGGAGGTCGCGGCAGGAGGGTCAATTGAATGCAGGAGTCCAAGACCAGCCTAGGCAACATAGTAAGACCCCGTCTCCTCAAAAAATGCAAAAAAACAAAAAAAAAAATTAGTTGAGCATGGCAGTGTGTGCCTGTAGTCCCAGGTAGTTGGGAGGCTGAGGTGGGAGGATCACTTGAGCCCAGGAGGTCAAGGCTGCAGTGAGCCAAGCCATGATGGTGCAATGGCACTGCAGCCTGGGAGACAGAGTGAGACCCTGTCTCAAATAAATAAATAAGTAAATTAATTAATTAATTAAATTAAAAGCATGTTATTCAGAATCACATAGACTTGGGCTCAGCTCTTCAGCCATAAGCATGTTTCTTTTCTCTTTTTCTTTTTTTTTTTTTTTTTTGTTGACACAGAGCCTTGCTCTGTCACCCAGGTTGGAGTGCAGTGGCACAATCTTGGCTGACTGCAACCTCCACCTCGTGAGGTCAAGCGATTCTCCTACCTCAGCTTCCTGAGTAGCTGGGATTACAGGCACGTGCCACGATGTTCGGCTAATATTTGTTTTTCTTTCTTTTTTTTTTTTTTTTGAGATGGAGTTTCGCTCTTTTTGCCCAGGCTGGAGTGCAATGGTGCAATCTCAGCTCACTGCAACCTCCTGCCTTCCGGGTTCATTCGATTCTCCTGTCTCAGCTTCCCGAGTAACTGGGATTACAGGTGCATGCCACCACACCTGGCCTAATGTTTGTATTTTTAGTAGAGACAGGGTTTCACCATGTTGGCCAGGCTGGTCTCGAATGCTGTACCTCATGATCCGCCCACCTCAGCCTCCCAAAGTGCTGGGATTACAAGTGTGAGCCACCGCGCCCGGCCCATGAGCATGTTTCTTGACCTCAGTTTCCCCTTCTGTAAAGCATGGTGTGGATTGTTCACCTCACATGGGCATGTGAATATCAAATGAGACATCCTGTGCAATGTGCCTCAGACAAAGAAAGGAGATCAGCAAATAATATTTCCTTTCTAGTTCATCCTCTCTTCCCATGTATGCCAAGAAAGCAGGCGAGATTGAGTGAGGGAGGTCATATCCTCTTTGTCTAAATGTTTTCTTGTTAGAGAACATCTTTCTTCTTAACATCCCTTCCTACATAAAGAATCTCTGTCAGAGGAATATTAAAAGGCCCTAACCTACAGTTAGATGGAAGGCGAGACTCCGATCTCACAGCTGAATCACTTTAGTCTACCTCTCTACCCATCTAATGTTACCCCCTTCAAAAATAATAATAATAATATGAAAGTTGGGAAGTGGAAAACCATCCTCTGGAGTTTTCAAAAACTAATTCCGTTGTAATCATAGAAGACTGAAGGCAGGATTCATGACACATTTCTCTTCCTCCTGGGCAGATGAATCTACAATTTGTATTTGATTTTAAATGTGATTCTCCTGCATCTTCAGTGGGTTTGATTGATAGAGCACATGGGGCCACTCAGTAAAATGATACAGTGGAGATCAAAGCCTGAAAGATAATTTTTGCCAAAATGTCTGCAGCCGACAGTGAGTTATAAGCCTTTGTCTCCCACTTTACGGAACACAATTTTATTTAAAGCCGAAATCTGTCCTTTGGTATTGTTTATTGAAATGCATCCCATACCACGGTCCCGTGAAGAACAACGTCAAGTCAAAAGGTAAAAAAATCCAATGGTTACAAACAGCCCAGGACCATATAAAGGAGGGAGAATGCTTCCAATCTGCATAAATATTACCCACCAGTGATGCATTTGGGGCAAGCAATGAAGTCATTCATCTGCAAAGTAAATATCTGGCATTGTCAGAGGTGCCTGACACAGCCCCATAAACCCAGTGAGTTCTGTTCCATTCAGCAGCTCACACATCTCTATTTGATAACTTTGCTTTATTTATGGGTCCACAATGGGAGTCATAACTGGGTTTTTATCTTTGCACAACTTTTTTATTTTTTGAGACAGGGTCTCACTCTGTCACCCAGGCTGGAAGTGCAGTTGTGTGATCACAGCTCACTGCAGCCTCGACCTCCTGTGCCCAAGCAATCCTCCCACCTCAGCCTCCCAAGTAGATGGGATTACAGAAATGCACTTCCACACCTTGCTAATTTATATTAGTTTTTGTAGAGACGGGCTCTCCCTAGGTTGCTCAGGCTGGTCTTGAACTCCTGGGCTCAAGTGATCCTCCCACCTAGGCCTTCCAAGTAGCTGGGACTACAGATGCACACCACCATACCCAGCTAATTTTTAAATTTTTTATAGAAAAGGAGTCTCACTATGTTGCCCAGGCTAGTCTCAAACTCCTGGCCTCAAGACATTCTCCCACCTTGGCCTCCCAAATTGCTGAGATTACAGGTGTGAGCCACTGTGCCCAGCTTGCACAGCTTTTTTAAACCTTTTTTTTTTTTTTTTGCATTCATTCACGCTTTTCATACATCATGATTGAGGATCTACCCTGCAGACTGTATGGAGTTATCTAGAAGGCAGGAAGGCAGAGAACTAAAACCTTTGGTTAAAATATCTGGGGTTGAGCTCAGTGTTTCCTGCTCTCCAGCTATGTGACCTTGATCGGGTCTCTTCACCTGTCTGAACCTCAGTTTCCCCACTGCAAAGTGGAGAGCAAATGAGACCATGGACTTGGAAATGCTTCATACATTTCTGAGTGCCTCACAGATATGAAGCCCAAAGATAGCACCATTCTAGGCTCTGTCAGGACAATGAGGCCAAAGTTGTCACTGATGCCATAAAGTTGTCTCTACAGCGAAAGGTCCCTGGAATTAGCAGGAGGCTTTTGTGGAGCAAATGCCTCCTTTTCTGCGTAGAAAGTGAGATGCCTCAATCACTCTGCCTAGATGCCTCTAGATGCCTCAATTCCTCTGCCACCAACAGACTCTGTGACATTGGGTCACTTTTGAGATTCCTGGGTCCTGCCTACTTCACCAGAATGTCATGTTCTGGAACCTTCTCAGTCTCCAACCTCATCACTCACAAGCTTTTCTTATGCTTTGATAGATGCTACGATTGCTTGTCAAAAAAAGAGCCTCTCTTCTCCGTTGCTAAGAGAACCCCAATTTTTAAAGTATTGAACAGTCACATGCTTTAGGAGAAGTTGCCCTTCTGAGCCTCAAGGAGTGAATCTTGACTGACCTAAACTAATCATAGTAATACTGACCCCCTGTCTAGTGATTGCTTTCGAATAGGCACGTGACCCATTGTGACCAATGAGAGTTGATGGAAATTTCCTCCTTGCTGTCAACAATGGACACAAGGAAGACACATTTTCTCCTCTGACCTTTGGACATTGAACGTTATTGTGTTAGGATGTGATGTAAGGCACTGTGGCACCCATTTTGTGCTCATTAGAGGAAAAGACTGGAATTAAGCCCTTGCTCTGTAAGTCAGAGCACAAAGATGGCAAGAGCCCAGGTCTTTGATGATACAACTGAACTACTGAATAAACCAACCCTAGACTCACCTACCCCCAAATTCCTTTTAATGTGAGAGAATAATGTCCCATCTTGTTTAAGCAATTTCAGGTTTCCATTACTTACTAATGAATATATTTGGATTCCAAGTTGTTATTTCCTTGCATGGAATGCTTCTGACACAACTCACCCTTGCTAGCCTCAAGGGTGGTGGCCGAACTGGGGAGGGTCCAAGAGGAATTGCAAAAAACAGAGCTGCAAGGAGCAGCCTTATCTCTGACCGCTGTGGTGAGCCCTCCACTTTGTATACCCTCCCCCAACCGTGTGACTCTGGATCAGCCAATCAGGTGATCTCTCTTGGCACCTTGACTCATGATGCAAGAACACAGGCCCTATTGGGTTTCCATGAATTCTCTGCAGGGAGAGCAGGGGTCCCCAGATCAGCCTATCCCTAACGCATGCCCTTGGAGGAGTTGCCGCTATAAAGCTATCTGGAGTCACCTTGTATGGGGTGTTTTCCAAGGCTGGGCCTTCAGCAATGCCTTCGGCATGTTCTCTTTCTTTGGTAAGAGTCAGTTTCTGGGGTGAACAACTGAGAACTCAGGGACATAGACAAGAAATCATGTCTCATTCTTAAAAGCCTCAGCACAAGTCCTGGCATAGAGTAAGTGTTGATGGGAGGTTGGATGAATGAATAAAGGAGTGAGAAAGTTAATTGCTTCCCTTCTCTGGGCTGCTGTATCAATCAAGGTTGTGGCAGGAAATACATAGTAAACTCAAATGGGGTAACTAAAAAGAGTTTAGCAAAGGGCTATATATAGCTGTATAAGTGGGATTAAAAAAAACAAAAACAAAAAGGGAGGTTGCAGTAGCCCTAACTAGCAGCAGTGAGGAGCCATTTCTACCCCTAGACCTGGAGGAGAAATAGTTATGGAACCCAAGGAGAGTAGCCACAGTCTTCAGGGAAAGACAGCTGCCTGGCAGGAGCTTCCAACCTATGGCAACCCAACAGGAAGGAGCCACAGAAATAAATATCCGAATCCCTCTCTCCTCCCACCTTCTAGTATTCTATGATCCCCACCCCATTGGCCAAACCCAAGCAGCCACAAGAGGATGGGAGACCACATGTGATGTAGTCCATAGAAGTCAGCCTCCTGGGGTACAAAGCAGGAAATGGGGGTGGACAGTGGATGTAAAGGAGCAAATACAAAATATCCGGCACAGATATTGCTATGGTTTGCATGTGTTCCCCAAAGTTCAAGTGCTGGAAACTTAATCCCTGATGCAACCGTGTTGAGAGGTGAGGCCTTCAAGAGGTGTTTGGATCATGGGGACATCATCTTTCTGAATGGATTAATGCCTTTATCATGGGAGCGGGCTGGTTTTCACAGGAGTAGGTGCTCTCTCTCACCCTCTCTCTCACCCATGTGATGCCTTGGGTCACACCATGATGCAGCAAGAAGGCCTTCACCAGATGTAAGCTCTCAACCTCGGACTTCCCAGCCTCCAGGACTGTGACCCAAGTAAATTTCTATTCATTGTAAATTACCTGGTCTGTGGTATTCTGTTATAGCAGCACAAAATGGACTAAGACAGATAGTATCTAGTGATAGGATAGACTACAAGAATCTCTTTCACCCAGATCCTGCAGCCACAAAAGGGCCAACGCTCTTTGGAGAGTTTATCTCTCACCCAAGCAGCCACCAGCATCATCAGCAAACAGCAATGTTCCTCTACACGCTTGTGTGTTTCCTTCATTGGTACAAGTTTCCACCATTGTTTTGCTCATAAGAGAAACCATTCTCCAAAGCCCAGAGTAATTATAGAGCCCAGAAGTCTTGGGGCTTTCTGAATTTGAAGCAGATTCAGGGCTCAAGAGAGCCAAGAAGTCATATCAATGCCAGGAATCTGGACCCCAGGCAGACAGCGTGGATAACCTACCCCAACAGAGGTGCAGGCTCTCTTCCTTTCACCCAAAAAATAGCAAACACATTTATTGATCACCGTGGGCCCTTTCCTTCCACCTGGAGGTTAGCAGGAACTTTCAAAGGTTTAGTGTCATCCATATCCCATTGTCTTCTTCATGCACAGAAAAGAGAAACTTCTTCATCTCTGGAAAGGAGACATGGACTCACACTCCCCTTATTCTGAATTTTTGCCCACTAAGCCATTTCACAGGAAGTTAGCCATGGTTTGTGGATTTTTAAATGCTTCTGGGAGGAGAAGGATTTACTAGTGATAAGAAATAAAAATGCAAATGTTTTACTGATGAGATATGCATGTAAAGTGCTTGATATAATGCCTGACATGGAAAAAACACTCAATAAATGTTAGTCATCAGTATTTATATCATCATTCCTTTTAATACACGCCATCGACTGGGTGCAGTGGCTCACGCCTGTTATCCCAGCACTTTGGGAAGCAGAGGCGGGAGGATCACTTGAGCCCAGGAGTTTGAGACGAGCCTGGGCAACATAAGAAGACCCCATCTCTATAAAAGAATCTTTAAAAATTACCTAGGTATGGTGGCATGTGCATACAGTCCCAGCTACTCAGGAGGCTGGGGTGGGAGGATCAATTTGAGCCCAGGAGGTCAAAATGAGGCTGCAGTGAACCATGATAGTACAAAAAAATAGTTAGAAAGAATGAATAAGGCCGGGCGCGGTGGCTTACTCCTGTAATCCCAACACTTTGGGAGGCCAAGGTGGGTGGATCACGAGGTCAGGACTTCGAGACCAGCCCGGTCAATATGGTGAAACCCCGTCTCTACTAAAAAATACAAAAGTTAGCCGGGCGTGGTGACAGGCGCCTGTAGTCCCAGCTACCCAGGAGGCTGAGGCAGGAGAATTCCTGGAACCTGGGAGGCAGAGGTTGCAGTGAGCCAAGATCGCACCACTGCACTCCAGCCTGGGCGACAGAGCAAGACTCCATCTCAAAAAAAAAAAAAAAAAGAATGAATAAGACCTACTATTTGCTAGCACAATGGGGTGACTATAATCAAAAACAATTTAATCGTACATTTTAGAATAACTAAAAGAGAATAATTAGATTGTAACACAAAGGAAAACGCTTGAGATGATGGATACCCCATTTAGCCTGATGTGATAATTACACATTGCATGCCTATAATATCTCACGTAACCCATAAATATATACACCTACGATGTAGTCACAAAAACTAAAACTAAATATAAAACAACAAGCATTTATCATCTAATTGTCTGGATTTGGAACCCACAAGCCAACTCAGCTAAGTGCTCTGGCTTAGGGTCTCCAATGAGGCTGCAGGTAAGATGTCAGCCAGGACTGCAGTCATCTGAGCGTTTCTGGGGCTGAAGACTAGGCTTCCAGGCTCACTGTGTGGTTGTCTCTATTCCTTACTGGCTCTTAGAAACCTCAATTCCTCACCACGTGGGCCTCTCCGTAAAGTGCCTTAGTGTCCTCAAAACATGGCAGCTGGCTTCCTCCAAAGCGACTGATCCAAGAAAGAGAAAGAAAGAGCCAACAATGGAAGCTGCAGTCTTTCATGACGTAATCGCGGAAGTGACATAACATCACTTCTGCGGCATTGGTCACACACGAGCCCCAACATGGATCTTTCCAGCGTGGGAGGGGACTAAACAAGGTGTGAATGGCAGCAGGCAGGGATTGTTGCGGGCCATCTTGAAAACTGGTTCCCTCAGAGGAGAGCTGGAAGGCTGGGGACAAGGACACAAGAGAGGCTTTTTTATTTTTTTATTTTTTTGAGACCGAGTCTCGCTCTCGCTGCCCAGGCTGAAGTGCAATGGCGCGATCTCAGCTCACTGCAACCTCCGCCTCCCGGGTTCCGGGAATTCTCCTGCCTCAGCCTCAGCAGAGTTCCCCAAGGGTGCCTGTTGGCCTAGTTTGAGACTCTTGGCTCTGTTAGTGGGAGTCTCAAACTATGCTCCAGGCTGCTGATTGTTCTGAGGGATTTCTCTCTCTTTCTTTCTAACACTAAGAAATAGGAACTTGGCCTCCCAGAGTGCTGGGATTACAGGCGTGAGCCACCACGCCTGGCCTGTCTGTAATCTTTAAAAGTAATAGCATATTAGCTCTGAGGGTCGGTTGGATTTTTTTTTTTAAACAGTTGGCAGTCATTTGTAGCCAAGTCAGGTGAAAAGGGTAGGTGATCAAGCTCATTACAATTTTTATTGAAATAAAATTTATCTTTAGTAACGAGATTGATTTTTTGTGTGTGACTCCGGAGGGCAGTTTGCCCAGAGCAGTGGTTTTCAGACTCTTAACAAACTATCCCTGAGAGGAAAAGAGAATGAATTCATACTCTGTGGAGTGTAGCCCAAAATAACCTCTGCAAGGGTGAAATTTTCTTTGAAGTCTTATTTTACCTTAGGTATTTGTGAACTCTGCGTTCTATTTTGTGCCACATGTGTTTTAAGTTACTATTACTCTACTAAAGTTTATTCATCCTCCAGGAAGATGATGATGTTTGTACTGTAGTTTTTTATGTCCCAGGGATACAGCAGGGTTCCCCAAGGGTATCTGTTGGCCTAGTTTGAGACTCTTGGCTCTGTTAGTGGGAGTCTCAAACTATGCTCCAGGCTGCTGATTGTTCTCAGGGATTTCTCTTTCTTTCTAACACTAAGAAATAGGAAATATAGTTTTCAGTTTAAAAATAACATAATTACAAAGTGTAGAAAAGTCTCTCTTGGCCGGGCACGGTGGCTCACGCCTGTAATCCCAGCACTTTGGAAGGCCGAGGCGGGCGGATCACGAGGTCAGGAGTTCGAGACCAGCCTCACCAACATGGCAAAATCCCATCTCTACTAAAAATACAAAAATTAGCTGGGTGTGGATGCAGGCGGCTGTAATCCCAGCTACTCGGGAGGCTGAGGCAGGAGAATCGCTTGAACCCAGGAGGCGGAGGTTGCAGTGAGCTGAGAATGCACTACTGCACTCCAGCCTGGGTGACAGAGTGAGACTGTCTCAAAAAAAAAAAAAAAATTACAGGCAAAAGAGGTTGCCCATGTTCTCATCATTGGCAGCAGCAGCATCAAAATATGGCACCCACTCCAGTGATGCCTTTCCAGAAGGAGCAACACTCATGTGAAACCACCAGCTTTGCTTTGTTTTTGTTTTTGTTGTTGTTGTTTTTTCAGAGAGAGTCTCACTCTGTTGCTCAGGCTGGAGTGCAGTGGTGGGATCATAGCTCACTGCAGCCTTGAACTCCTGGGCTCAAGCGATCCTCCTGCTTCAGCCTCCCCAGTAGCTGTGGCTACAGGTGCACACCAGCACGCCTTGCTAATTCAAAAAAAGAAAAAAAAGAAAAAGAAAAGAATTGTAGAGATGGGGTCTCGCTATATTACCCAGGCTGGTCTCAAACTTCTGACCTCAAGTGATCCTCCTGCCTTGGCCTCCCAAAGTGGCAGGATTACAGGCATAATCCAGCCATTGTCCCTGGCCTGGCTTTTTTTTTTTTTTTTTTTTTTTAATGTAGCTCACGACCACAAACGGAGTTTGGTTTCCTTGCTCTCTCTTTTTCCCATTTGGTACTTTTCTTTCTCTCCCATGCACTCCTCTTCAAACCAAAAGTGAATCTTGTTATTTCTTGAAAAATGTGTAGATGTTGAAGGGATGAAAAACCTGAACTCTAACGTCTGACTATCTGAACCCAAATTCTAGCCGCCCCACTCAGTTGCTGTGTGACTGTGAGTAAGTTCTTACCCTCTCTGAGCCTGTTTCTTCACTTGGAAAATAAAAGTATACATATATATAGCTGTTAGCCAGAACTCAGCCTAGGGTAACCTTTCAATAAATATTAGCATCATCAAGGAAATCGCTTGACAAATTAATTTTCATTAAGCAATGAGGGTCTATAACAGTGATGACTTCTGACCAACCAACCAGCCCAATGGCTGACAAAGGACTGATAACACTTTACATTTTTATAATTTCCCTAGATTTCAAATTCTCCATAAGGAGCAAGTACAGTTTTTATAATCAGACATAGAACTCGCGTTCACTCTGCTCATCCTGACCCTAGCCACTGGCCACCAATTTCTGGGTTGGCTGCTCCAACCTGAGAGCACAGCTACTGGAATCAGAGGCAGAGGAGCTCCTCTTGCGTTTCGTTGCTGGTTTCCCTTGGTTTTGTAAAAATAAATAAATAATAAAATAGGGATACACCCTTCAGACAGCAGGTAACTTCCTAAGCTAAGATGAACAGGAGGAAATTTAAATGTCTTTCTCCGGTTCAAATCCCCTACCCTCTCCCATCTGCCTACCCTGGGCTCCAACACTCGGGAGAAAGACCATAAGTCGTTCAGATGATGCTTTGGAGCTGGACAATCAATCGTGATCAAAAACAGGGGCATGGGAGCCCGGCTAACGTGGAGGGATGGGAGAAAATCAGGCTGAATTAGAGAAGGGTACATTGTGGAGTGTGTTTTACAACGCCATTAGTTCTAAGCACATAAGGATTTCAAATCAAGGAGCATCCACACACACACAAACTCTTGGATTACTTAAGAGATAAGGCGGATCCAAAATTAGCATATAGATCAGAGGCATGCAGTTGAGTGCTGCTAAAGTGGGCTATAAATGCTTGGGGGAAAATAAACTAGTTGTTTTTCTGAAGAAAGCTTTACAACGTTCCAAAATCTTGTCCAGGAAGTGTGAACTCTAAGTCCAATGGACTGAACTGTGTCCCCTCAAAATTGATATGTTGAAGCCTTAACTTCCATTATGTTGGTATTAGGAGGTGGGCTTTTTTGGAAGACTATTAGTTTAGATGAGATCATGAGGATGAGGTCTTCGTGATGGAATTAGCATCCTTACAAGAAAAGACACCAGACGGCTTGCTCTCTTGCTCTGTCTCTCCTCTTCCCTCCCTCCCTCTCTCTCTCCCTCTCTACCTCCGCTCCCCCCACCCCCCACTTCCTCCGTCATGTGAGAATGCAGAGAGAAAGCAGCTTTCTGCAAGCCAGGAGGAGGGTCCGCTGGGAGCTACATCAGCCAGATTGTGGCACTTCTCAGCCTCCAAAACTGTGAGAAATAGATTTCTGTTGCTTAAGCCATCCAGTTTATACTATTTTGTTATTGCAGCCTGATATGGTTCGGATTTGTGTCCCCGCCCAAATCTCGTGTTGAATCGTAATCCCCAGTGTTGGAGGAGGGGCCTGGGGGAAGGGGATTGGATCACGGGGACAGACTTGCCCCTTGCTGTTCTCATGACAGTGAGTGAGTTCTCACAAGATCTGGTTGTTTAAAAGTGTGTAGCACTTTCCCCTTTGCTCTCTTCCTCCTACTCCAGCTATGTAGGACATGCCAGCTTCCCTTTCACCTTCTGCCATGATTGTAAGTTTCCTGAGGCTTCCTCAGCTATGCTTCCTGTACAGCCTGCAAAACTGTGAGCCAATTAAACCTCTTTTCTTTATAAATTACCCAGTCTCAGGTATTTCTTTATAACAATGCAAGAAGAGACTAATACACAGCCCAAACTAACTAAGACAAACCCACTCTGACCCATTCTGACACCCAAACTAACTAAGTCCTGGTTTGAACCCTTCACTATTGTGTCACCTTGGGGCAAGTCACCCAACTTCTCCAAATGTTTGTTTCCCACCAGGAAGATGGAAATGACAGTACCTCTCCTTCCTACCCCGCAAGCCTATCAGGAGGATCGAAAGGGACATGGCAAGCAAATACTTTCTAAACTGTAAAGTGCTGTGCAAACGCAAGACAGCATTACTCTCTTTTTATGGAGTTATTTATACTCTACCTGGTTACAGCAGAGGATTTATGGTAGATGTCAGTAAGGCTCTTTATTTTGAATTTTAAGAGAGAAATAAGAATCTTTGTTATCTGTAGAGAAACAAATATAATTTCCATGGGGCACTAATATAATATAATATAATATAATATAATATAATATAATATAATATAAATATACCTTACCGAATAAACCCTTTGCTCAGACGTAGTGAAAAGGTAAATTCCCCTTCAACCTAATGAAGTTTCAGTCACTCACATTTTCTGAATTTGCCGAACAGAAATGCGATCAGGTGCCTACTAAGTCCAGTACCCAGCACGATGTCTAGCATTGAAACATACAGTGTATACACCAGCACCTCCACCAAACCCATATCCAGCATGCAAAACATACCCTTTTCAAGTCGGAAGCACATAGATAGATTTTTTGGAGTTCAAAAGGTCTTAATGCAAACTGGCTCCAATTCCTTTTTTTTTTTTTTTAAATCTTTGAAACATTGGTTAAGTCTTCTCAGAGCTATCATTTTGCACACATGGAAACTTTAGACCATCCATCCTTCAAGTGTCTTGGGGTAATTAGAGATACTGAAGGTTAAGGACCTAGCATACTACTAATAGATTTTCAACAAATGGTAGCTACTGTTATTTCTCATCATTGCAGATTTAAGAGTGCCAATTCTCAGAGCACTTCAGATAAAAACCCTACCTTTCTTAAGGCAAAAAACAACGGCATTAACTTTTTTTTTTAATTAACCTAAGTTCCCATTATGTTTAGAGAAGAGATCACAATGATAAATGCTTGCCCTGTCTCTCTTTTTTAAAAATTTACTGTTCTTACATGTGACATATACTGTGGTACTTAGTGTCACCCTACAAAGAATAAATTTAAATTGAAGAAACAGAAACACGGGAGAGTCCTTGTTTGGGTTTAATTTGTATCTGACTACAATAAAATTCTATCCTGGAAGCTAGAGTCATAAAACTAAAAGTCAGGAAGGAAAAGAATGGCTAATTAAGCTCTGAAACTAAAAGCTCTTTCTTTATTGCTATTTCTTTAAGTCCTAACAATTGGTCAGGCACAGGGGCTTAGCTGCGCCATTCTAGTTAATGGTCGGTTACAAATTTCCACCATAAACTCATCTTCCTTCTAGCAACTTAAATCTCAGGCACTGGGATGTAATAAGGAGAGAAAGCTCTTAGGCCCAGGGCAATCTCTCTCTCAATCCCAATCTCCCTTCCCCTCATCCCTATCCCACCACAATAACTGTTAGTAAGAGCTTTTGGTTGCATGCCCAGAAATCTAACTCTGGCTAAATTAATCAAGAAACGAATATACTGGTTTATCCAGCTGAGGTCATTTACGGAAAGGGAATGCTAAGGTTTGAACGTGTCTCCTCCAAAATTCATGTTGAAACTTAATCCTCATTGCAGTGGTATTAAGAGGTGAGGCCTTTTAGGAAGTGATTCAGTCAGGAGGGCTTGGCCCTTAAGGAATGAATTCATGCCTTATAAAGGGGTAGAGGGAACTAACTTAGGCCCTTTTGCCCTTCCAACTTCCACATATGAGGATACAGCATTCATGCCCTCCAGAGGACACAAGGTACCACCTTAGAAGCAAGGAACAGAGCCCCTTACCAGACACAAAATGTGCCTGTGCCTTGACCCTGGACTCCTCAGCCTCCAGAACGGTGAGAAATAAGTTTCTGTCCTTTATAAGTTATCTAGTCTTGGGTATTTTGTTACAGCAGCAAAAACAGACTAAGACAGGAAGAGAAAAGAACCAGAGCCCCAGGGACTAGAAACAGGACTCACTGCCTCAAAGTACATGTATACTCTCTCTCTCTCTCTCTCTCTCTCTCTCTCTCTCTGTCTCTGTCTCTCTCTCTCTCTCTCTCTCTGTCTCTCTCTCTCTCTCTCACTCTCTCTCTCCCTCTCTCTGTCTCCATTTCTCTTCACTGTTTGTCTTTGCTCAGCCTTATTCTCCATCTCTCTCCATGTGGGAGGGCAAGTAGAGGCTGGCACCTCCAGATATATATCCTCTCTGTTCAAGAACCACAATAAGTTAATCCCCAGGGAAGATTCTGATGCCTGTGCCACTCCAAGGTCCAACACTGCTGGGTGGATAGATCCTGATGTTTGACCAGATATGTGCCACTTACCAACCATAGCAGACACTGGCAATGGCCACCCATGTCCCTTGGACCCTCCCCATCCCATACAAGCTGAAGGCATCCCTCTGCAAGCACCTGCAACTCCCCACCTGAAGGCCTTTTCTTGGCCTCGGCAAGACAGGCCAGAAGTTCAAGGATGTCAAAGTCCCTGAGAGCATCCCTTGGTCAATGTCAGATGAGTGATGAAAGATAAATATCTCAGTTTTCTCAACACTCAGGTGGGACAATTTGAGGTGTGTTCCATGCCATCAACCAAAGCCCATCAAAAGGACCAAGCCCCGGCTGCCCATAGAAGTAACTTACTCATTACCTTGCTCTATTCTGGTTTAGATTTCCTTGTCTCATTTTGCCCTGTGATGGTTAATTTTATGTGTCAACCTGACTGGGACGCTGAGTGCCCAGATAATTGGTAAAACATTATTCTGGGTGTTCCCGTGAAGGTGTTTTCAGACGAGATTAACATTTAAATGGGTAGACGGAGGAAAGCAGGTTGCACTCCAGATGTGCATGGTCCTCATCCAATCAGTTGAAGGTCTAAATAGAACAAAAGGCCAACCCTTGCCTGAGTCAGAGAGATCTCCTCCTGCCTGAGGGCCTTCAAGCTGAAACGTCAAAATTTTCCTGCCTTTAGACTCAAACTGAAACACGGCTCTTTCTGGATCTCAAGCCTGCTGGTTTTCAGACTGGAACTACACCACTGGGTCTCCTGGGTCTCCAGCTTACTGACTCATCCTGCAGATCTTAGGACTTGTCAGCCTCCATAATTGCATACACACACACACACACATATATATAAAAGTGCATATAGATACATATATGTATGTGAATGTATGTATATAAAAGTGCATATAGATACATATATGTATGTGTATATATATATATACACACATACACACACATATGTGTGTGTACATATACATGTGTGTATATATACACACATGTATATGTGTGTATATATACACACATGTATATGTGTGTATACACACACACACACACACACACACACACATATATATATATATATATATATATATATGGACCATAGAGAAGTCTCTAAGCCAAAGCTGGGGACAGGGGAATCCTGTGTCTCCTGGGGAGAGGTCTGCTTTAGTGTCCCTGCCATGCTCAGTCATTAGCCAGGAGCACCTCATGGAAGGAAGCATATGGATTCCCCATATGCTTATATATGTGTGTGTGTGTGTGTGTGTGTATGTATATGCATATGTGTGTGTGTATGTGTGTGTGCTATTCTATTGGTTCTACTTCTCTAAAGAACCCTGACTAATACACTCCCATTCTCCTACTGGTGCTTCCCAGAGTCACCCTACAAATAAACCATTACATGGAAATCCTCATCACAGGATCTGCCTCTGGGAAAACCCAGCCTAAGACATCCATGACTTTCATAGGAGAAGAAAGAGCTCTAGAATTGGCAGCCTTACTGAACCATGTGGAAGAGGAAAGGAGAGCACCTAAACAAAAGGGTATTAACCAATTAAAATAACCTAAACCCACACTTGTCCAAATTGCTGAGCAAGTGGGATGGAATGGAACAACTTTCAACCAGTGTCCAAATATTGCTGTGACTCCTAGACTGGCTTGACACAAAGGCAGTGTCCACCAGCTCTAAACATCCATCTCAACTAAGATTTCTCCAGGAAGGCTAGAACTGACACCCTCTGCTTAGGTTCTCAGTGACTTCACCCAGCCAGCAAAGGAGCTCTTAGGAAGGCAGACAAGCCCTGAAGTCTGTCTGCTCAGACTCCAGCTACCTGCTCTATTCCTGCTTTATCAACCTCTAGCTTAGTCGCTCAATCTCCAGCTTTGCTCCTTCCCATTAGATTCTATGGCTGAACCTGACTGCCATAGTTTGTTTCTCAGATGAATTTAAGGCAAGGGTTGCAAACTTAAATGCACACATGGGCAGACAAGTAACACAAATGAGTGAAGAGTACAGATTAGGGCAACTGGGTCTGGTGGAGACTGTGGCAAACTAGAGAGCACACACCTTATCTAAGGAGGCAGCGAGGACTCAATTTTGCAAGATTTGTGGAATGGACTCCCAATGTTGCCAAACTGCCACTATTTTTTAAAGAGAAGCAGGAAATCCAGGGGTTTTTAAAGATGTAAAATACACAGTTTGTTGAATGCTGGCAACTGATTTTTT
This sequence comes from Homo sapiens, assembly GCF_000001405.40. Classification (NCBI taxonomy): domain Eukaryota; kingdom Metazoa; phylum Chordata; class Mammalia; order Primates; family Hominidae; genus Homo; species Homo sapiens. The sequence continues at coordinate 16,447,011 of NC_000016.10, read as the reverse complement.
TTTTTTTTTTTGAGACAAGAGTCTCACTCTGTTGCCCAGGCTGGAGTGCAGTGGCATGATCGCAGCTCACTGCAGCCTCCTCCTCCCACATTCAAGAAATTCTCCTGCCTCAGCCTCCTAAGTAGCTGGGATTACAGGGGTGCACCACCATACCCAGCTAATTTTTGTATTTTTAGTAGAGATGAGGTTTCCCCCTTGTTGGCCACGCTGGTCTCCAGCTCCTAATCTCAAGTGATCTGCCTGCCTTGGCCTCCCAGAATGCTGGAGTTACAGGTGTGAGCCACAGCACCCAGCCCTGATTTTTTTTAATGTAAATACTGTATGAACCCAGACAAATGTTCTGCCAGGCCACTGCTGCATGGCTCACCATGTGGTGGCCCTGAGAATGGGCCTCATCGACCTCCCTCTACTGGGAGTGTAATTAACCAGGGCCCCAGCTGCTGCGCTGGGGAATCCATATGCTTCCTTCCATGAGGTGCTCCTGGCTAATGACTGAGCATGGCAGGGACACTAAAGCAGACCCCTCCCCGGGAGACACAGGATTCCCCTGTCCCCGGCTTTGGCTTAGGGACTTCCCTATGGTGTTCGCACCCTAACTTTTTTCTCCTCTCTCTTTTACTCAGAGTCAGACTTGCATTACTGTCTCAGGTTCTCCCAGCTTTATGTGGCACCTTCTTTGCTTTCTCTCAAGGGCATTTCCCTTAATAAAAATCACATATGTGTAATCCTGTATGGGAGTTTGTTTCTCAGAACTGGGCTGACACACCATCTTGCAACTCTGCTTTCGGCATTCAGCTCACACTTACTTACACCCTCCAAACTCCAACTATTTAGGGCTAATTCCATTCCAGCTCCCACCCCTTGAATCCCTTCCCCCCTCCCCCCACTTCCTCCTCCCATTCTGCTTTCCTGGAAACAGCATTTCCACTTACTTTTGAACAATGGTCCTTCCTTCACTGTTCATTCATGGAGTTTGGATAGCACCATCTTCTAAAGCTAGAGCTGAGCACATGATCAGGACTGACTAATCACCCTCTTCTACTTCCTTAGCCACAATAATTCGTTCAGAGATGGGCACCTGACTCTTACAATGCAATGAGAGTCAGCTTCTTATGCCAGTGCTTTTGGCAAAGGTAAGTTCATTTTCCCCTGGGATTACTAAGCTGGTAGGAGGTAAGTCAGCAGCTGCTGATGGCATAAGAAAAGGGCCTGATAATGAAGCCAACATGGATGAAAAGAGAGCTGAGAAGTAGAGATCAGACAGATTTCAAAGCATATCATTTAAGCATCTGGATCCAGCCATACTTGAAGTCCAGTCTATCTGTGGGCTTTGAAGTTGCATGGAACAATAGCAAGATGTAGCTGAGAGAGTTTTGGCTAATATACCACCTCACCTCTCATTCAGTTTCATGGAATATAACAGACATTGCCAACTAAAATTTACAAACAGCATTGATATAAAAGCTCCGCCATTTAAAAAAGGAAACTTTCTATTCTTTCACTGTGTGGCCTTGGGAAATTTCTAATCCGTTCTGAACTTCAGCTTTTTTCCCTCTCAAATGTAGCAAATACAACATAACTTGCTTGCCATGGAGGGAAATCAGATGCCCTTATCTAGGAAAGTAAAGATAGAGGTATAAAACATTGTTATTTCAAAAAAAAAAAAATCCAGCACATAAGTCTAGGAGCATTGAACAAGGGTCAGATTGCATGGATTCAGATTCCAGCTCCATTACTAACTGGCTGTGTGACCTTGGACAACTCAATTGACCTCTCTGGCCCTCAGTTTCCTTATCAGTAAGACGGAAACTCCAATCGTATCTATTGCACGGGATAGTTGTAGAAATTAATAGATACATAAGTGCTTAGTGCAACATGTGGCACTCAAAATATGTGTGGTATGATTGTTATTGACACAATGGTTGACCCATGAATGACTGTGATGCCAACCCCCTCACAGTTGGAAATCCACCTATAACTTTTGACTCCCCCAAAACGTAGCTACTAATAACCTATTGTTGACCAGAAGTCTTACCAATAACACAAACAATATACACATATGTTGTATTTTATATGATTATACACTGTATTTTTACAATAAAATAAGCTAGAGAAAACAATATATGATTAAGAAAATCATAAGGAAGAGAAAATGTATTTATTATTCATTAAGTGGAAGTGGATCATCATAAATGTCTTCATCCTCATTGTCTTCACATTGAGGAGACTGAGGAAGAGGAGGAAGAGGAGGAATTGGTTTCGCCGTCTCAGAGGTGGCAAAAACAGAAAAAAATCCATGTATAAGTGGACCCATGCGGTTCAAATCCATGTTGTTCAAGGGCCAACTGTATTTATATTACAATAAATGCTGTTAATGTTGTCACTGTTGACCCTTCTAGTCCATTCCCAACATCACTTCCTATGCCCAGTGGAAAATTCCATCTTAAAATCACCCAGCCCAAGCCCTCTTCAGTAGACTCAGATAGATGGCTTGTCAAGGGCATGACTTAACTTCTCCAAACACAACCAGCCCAGTTTCAACTGCCATTTGGGGAACTTTCCCAATTACCACATTTCCGCACATCAAGTATGAATTACTTTAATTGCCCCAGAAGAACGCACTGTTGAAACATTTGACTTGCCCAGAACTAATTGTCTGTCAAAAAGAGATTTTGCAGCCAAGCTGATCTCTTCATTGGACATCTAATTTAACTGAAAACCTTTTTCCCTGCTTGTTTTATGCTTTCTTCTCCTGTTTTTGCCAAATTCTGGATGCTGGGCACTGCTTTCAGAAATAATTTATCTTGTTATTTTCTATTATAAATGTAATACATGTTCATTATAGAAAAACTGAAAAAAAAAAATTCCAAATGAAGAAAAACAGTTGATCCTAGACTCATTGCCCAGAGGAAGACTATGAACATTCCACATGAAGAAAAACAGTGGCTCCTAGACTCATTGCCCAGAGGAAGACTATGAACATTCCACATGAAGAAAAACAGTTGATCCTAGACTCATTGCCCAGAGGAGGACTATGAACATTCCAAATGAAGAAAAACAGTGGCTCCTAGACTCATTGCCCAGAGGAAGACTATGAACATTCCACATGAAGAAAAACAGTTGATCCTAGACTCATTGCCCAGAGGAGGACTATGAACATTCCAAATGAAGAAAAACAGTGGATCCTAGACTCATCGCCCAGAGAAAGACTATGAACATTTTAGCACGTCTCCCTCCCAGGTTTCCTAGAATAGATGTCTGTACATAGTTAATAAAAACATATATTCAAGTTTTGCAGCTTTTTGTTCCACTTTACATTTTAAGTTGAACGTTTACACTTCCCATTCCAAGATCTTCAGAAACATGTTTAGAAACAGAAGAGTATCCCAACAACAGTCTGTTTAACCTCTTCCCCTAATGCTGAACTATTGTTGCTTTAAGAATACATTTTCTGTGTGTGTTTCAGATGTAGTTTCCTTAGGAAAGATTCTCTATGCTGTGCAACAATTCCCCATGTGTCTCTTACATTTCTGCACATCTTGTGTCAGCTTTTGTTCTAGACCGTCTTTATAAGGATGTTTGTATAGCTAATAGCATTAGAAGATAGGGCTAGTATAGTAGAAGACAGATTTATTTGCTGATTAGGATTATAATAATAATATCTCCGGACCAGGCGCAGTGGCTCATGCCTGTAATCCCACCAATTTGTGAGGCTGAGGCAGGCAGATGACCTGAGGTTGGGAGTTCGAGACCAGCCTGGCCAATATGGTGAAACTGCCATCTCTACTACAAACACTTAAAAAATTAGCTGGGTGTGGTGGTGGGCGCCTGTAATCCCAGCTACTTGGGAGACAGGTGGGAGAATTGCTTGAACCCAAGAGGCAGGGGTTGCAATGAGCTAAGATCATTCCACTGCACTCCAACATTGGTGTGACAGAGCAAGACTCTACCTCAAAAAAACAAAAAACAAAAAAAGAAGAAGAAAAAGAAAAAGAAAGGATTATAATGACAATGTCTCCCTCCATCCAGGGTAAAGGTTGAAAAGACCAAGATTCCTAAACTTGGGGTTCCTCAGGTGTGATGCAAATCCACTGCAGGCACAGATTCTACCTGGATCCATCCATGTATTACTCATTTCTCACACTGCTAATAAAAACATACCCAAGGCTGGGTGTGGTGTCTCACACCTGTAATCCTAACACCTTGGGAGGCCGAGGTGGGCAGATTGCCTGAGCTCAGGAGTTTGAGACCAGCCTGGGCAACATGGTGAAACCTCATCTCTACTAAAATACAAAAAATTAGCCAGGTATTGTGGTGCACACCTATAATCCTAGCTACTCAGGAGGCTGAGGTGGGAGAATCGCTTGAACCCGGGAGGTGGAGGTTGCAGTGAGCCAAGAATGCGCCACTGCACTCCAGCCTGGGCGACAGAGTGAGACTCTGTCTCAAAAAAAGAAAAAAAAAAGGCTAGGCATGGCTGTAATCTCAGCACTTTGGGATGCTGAGGTGGGCAGATCACCTGAGGTCAGGAGTTCAAGACCAGCCTGACCAACATGGAGAAACCCCATCTCTACTAGATACACAAAATTAGCTGGGTGTGGTGGTACATGGCTGTAATCCCAGCTACTCAGGAGGCTGAGGCAGGACAATTGCTTGAACCTGGGAGGCAGAGGTTGGGGTGAGCTGAGATCCTGCCATTGCACTCCAGCCTGGGCGACAAGAGTGAAACTCTGTCTCAAAAAAAACAAAAAAACAAACAAATGAAAAACATACCCTAGACTGAGTAATTCATAAAGGAAAGAGATTTAATTGACTCAGGGAGGCCTCGGGAAACTTACAATCATGGCAGAAGGGAAAGCAAACATGTCCTTCTTCACATGGCGGCAGAAAGGGGAAGAATGAGCAAAAGAAGAAAAAGCCCCTTATAAAACCATCAGATTTTGTGAGAACTCATTCACTATCATAAGAACAGCATGAAGATAACTGCCCCCATGATTAAATTACCTCCCACTGGGTCCCTTCCATGACACATGGGGATTGTGGGAACTACAATTCAAGATGAGATTTGGGTGGGGACACAGCCAAACCATGTCAACCTGTGTCACCCTTGAGGGACTTGGGGGTCAAAGGGAACTGGTGCAGACATGAAGCTCAAGCTTCCTGTTGTGCCATGAAAAATAAAGTCCTTTATCTCTCAATCCAGAGTCTCATGTCTTCTGCCCACATCCATAAAACTCACTAGCCTCCATGTAGGATAATATCTTAGACCAGCACAGTTCTTGACACTCTAGAAGTGAATTTGTTGGATCAAAAAGCATGAACAATTGCTAAAACTCTTAATATGTCTTGTCAATTAGCTCTCCAAACAAATGAGTCATTGCCTGAAATCTCTTTTGTCCTCAGGAAGGGATAGAGCTGCTTGACTCAGATCTCCCAGGTGGCCTTAGACCGTAATGTCTTCCTTTCGTGCAGAGCTCTTACCATCCTAAGCCACTACTCCTACCTAATATTCTATAAAAAGCTTTTTCTCCCTACCCAGTGTCTCCAATGAGCTGACTTTCTTTTCTGGATTACTCTTTTATGTAATAAAAAGTAGACATGAGGGTCAAACAGAAAGGGAAAAAGGGGAATTTGTTTAATTTCTACCAAGTGCCAGGCATAGTACAAAGAACATTTAGATAAGGCAGAAGGCATTAATTATTTTTATCTACCCAGAACCCCCTGCCCCACCTAAGCACCCCAGCCCCTGACCTGGCCACGTGGGTGGCTATGTGACCTGAGCTGAACCAATCAGAGTCCTTCCCTGGGATTTTTTTCACATCATAACCACATGAGAAGGTCTCCCATTATGAAACAGAGAAGCTTGTTGGCAGCCATGGTTCTAGCCAAGGATGGAAAAAACAACCAAAAAAAGAAAAGAAACAAAAAAAAACCCACCATGGTAAAAAAATACATATATAAAAATAAAAAAGATATGACAGACAGACAGACATGGGGAATGGTCTCTTTCCAGTTGCCCCTGCCACTCAACTGCTCTCCTACCTTCCTGGATTTGGTTATGAGAGTCAATAAATTATCCCCTTTTATTGCCTAAATGACTTCCATATGAGTTTCTGCTCCTTGCAACCAACATAATCTTGACAATTAATAGTAGCTAGCATTTTGTGAGTGTTTACTGTGCCATGCCCATTAATACACCTAATCCTCTCTACAATTGGACAGGTAAGGTGCTTTTAGTAACCTCCAATGTACAAAAAGGAAAACAAGTTGGGTGAAGTGAAATGACTTGCTCACAGTCGCTGGGCTAACAAGGGGGCAGAGTCAAAGTTTAAACCCAGAGCCCATACTCTTCCCTATTGTATAACACAGACATGCTGTCTCTGTTCCCAGTGCTGGGGAATGCAGAGAACTGGGGACTGAAGGAAGAGCAGGCGTTCAGGTAAGCATTAATCAGGGGACCTTCCACAAGGGAAAAGGGAGTACTGGCCCAGTTGAAGTCCAGCCAGCACTCAGCATGGTCAAGGATGGGGTGGTGCTCTCTCCAGCCATTCAAGGTGCTGAGAAAAGAACAGAACTTTCATCTGAGGAATACAAGCCTTTTAAATTATTAGGCCCAGAGAGGCAATAGAATGAGATAGCAATCATGTCCTACATACCCCCTTTGAGCTCGGTATTCATTTCTTAAAACTGCTTGCCATTGCCACAAGTAGCTATAAATTAATCTAATAATGCCCCACTGGATGCTATAACCCACACCTCATAGCTTAACAATGTATAGCCAATCACTCGTCAATGTTATTTCTGAAAACCAGTGAGAATTCCTGACAACCAACTGTGTACCAGCCCACTCCATGTCCCCCTTTTTTGCCTTTATAAATCCACTTGTAACTGCTGCTAATTGGAGTGTATATTCAGGGAAACTTGAATCTACGCTCCCTGGCTACAGTCCTCAAGCTTGGCCCAAACAGAGTCTTTACTTACATTAATTTTGCCTCAGCTTCTTCCTTTTAGGTTGACAGTGCTACAGGCTGAATTATGTCCCCCTAAAATTCAAATTTGAATAAATGTTCAAATATGAATTTGAGGCCAGGCACAGTGGCTCATGCCTGTAATCCCAGTACTCTGGGAGGCCGAGGTGGGCAGATCATCTTAGGTCAGCAGTTTGAGACCAGCCTGGCCAACATGGCGAAACCCCATCTCTACTAAAAATACAAAAATTAGCCAGGTGTGGTGACGCATGCCTATCATCCCAGCTACTTGGGAGGCCAGGATAGGAGAATCACTTGAACCTGGGAGGTGGAAGTGGCAGTGAGCCAAGATCGCACCACTGCACTCCAGCCTAGGCGACAGAACGAGACTCTGTCTCTCTCTCTCTGTCTCTCTGTCTCTCTCTCTCTCTCTCTCTCTCTCTCTCTCTCTCTCTCTCTCTCTATATATATATATATATATATATATATATATATATATATATATGAATTTGAAGCCCTTCAACCATATGGATCATATGTTGAAGTCCTAACCCCCTAGCACCTCAGACTGTCATTGTATTTGGAGATAGGGGCTTTAAATAGGTGATTAAGTTTAAACCTATTTAGCTCATTTAGGGTGAGCTCTAATCCAATCAGACTCGTGTTCTTATAGGAAGAGGAGATTAGGACACACAGAGAGACACCAGGGATGGACAGGCACAGAGGAAAGACCATCTGAGGACACACCAGAATCGACCATCTGCAAGCCAAGAGGAGGTCTTCGGAGGAACCAACCCTGCTGACACCCTGATCTCAGACTTCCAGCCTCCAGAATTGTGAGAAAATTAATCTCTGTCATTTAAGCCACCCAGTCTGTAGTACTTTGTTATGGCAGCTCCAGCAAACTATATCTACAGGAATCCATCACCACTTATGACAGGCTCTGCCACATAGTAGGTGTGTGTGCACACACCACACACAAACATGTTTAGAATATGAAATCTGTGAACCCTACTCCCACACTGATAACAGTTCAGGAACAGTTGATTTTCCCTCAGGGAATCTGGTTTGTTTTCCTAGTTTCCATCCCATCAAGACCCCTTCCCACCTGCTGGGAAATACTTGCCTGAACCCCTCGTTCCTTTCACAACACACACCTGATGGTAGGAAGAAGCTTCCAACTCTGATATTGACAGGGTGCTTGTAACCTAGCACCCTTTCTCCTACCTTGTTATGGAAAAATAAATCCTTTATCCTATTTCAACTACAGTCTTGGCAAAGGAAAAAACAAAACAAAAAAGGAAACCAGCCTAGAAATGGAAACCAAAGATCATGAACAGTGCTATGCTGAGTTACAGCTAAGGGTTGGCCTTTCTGGAGCTGGCTGCCTTCAGATGGCAGGGCTCTGAGAGTGTGTGTGTGTGTGTGTGTGTGTGTGTGTGTGTGTGTGTGTGTGCCAGAAGCACAAGATGACACACCCTGTGGTGGGGTCAGGCAAGCTGATTGTGGGAAAGGTGGGAACAGAATATTTTACAACAATGTTGGAAAAATGGGTTTACGTTCTCTGAGAGGAAGATACCCAAAGCTTCAAGCTCACCTCAAGGGAAAATTGAGCTAGGTTCCCATGCTCTCCACTTGGATCTCACGCACATGAACACACATACAACCTTCTCCTCAATATTCACAAGAGGCCTCTGTTGTCTGCTTCTCCAGAGAGCGGAGGTGAATTTACCTGAAGCTAATGAGGCTTGGGCTTCAGGGTCTTTTCCTTGTACCTGTCTCTTTAAATGCTGGACTTGGGGAAGGCTTTAGGTGAGAAGGGAAAGCTGGGTTTCAATAATGAAGCACCTCTATGTTCACATTTCTGATTAATTGCCTACACAGATCCCAGAAGAATGGAATGGAAATAGCTAAAGGCTCCAGAATTTTCTCTTTTTATTTTTTTGAGACAACATCTCACTCTGTTACCCCCAGGCTGGAGGCTGGAGTGTGGTGGCAAGATCATCGCTCACTGCAGCCTCCAACTCCCTGGCTCAAGCGATCCTCCCACCTCGGCCTCCTGAGTAGCTGGGACTACAGGCACACACCACCACACCTGGCTAATTTTTTGAATTTTTTTTTTTGTAGAGATGGGGGTCTTGCCATGTTGCTTAGGCTGGTCTTGAACTCCTGGGCTCAAGAAATCCTCCTACCTTGGCGTCTCAAAAAGCTGGGATTACAGGCATGAGCTACCATGTCCAGGCAGCTACAGGAATATTATACTTAATTTCTCATTCCAAAATAACATTCTCTTTTGTGCCTAATTTTAAATTCATAATTTTGTATTCTTTTTCTTAAACAGAGATCCCCATATTATATAAGCTTCAGTCCCCACAAAAACTGGATCTGGTTCTGCCAAAATGATATATCCTTTATGATATTTATAGAGACGTTCTGATTATTTCTGAACATCTCAGACTTTCTGGAACCAAGACAGGTTCGATTATGAACATCTGTTGTCTAATTTTAAAGACCAAGGGGGAAGCCGGGTCCTTATGAAGGCCATAAAGGCTCCAAGCTAGATGGATATTGGGGGAGTGGGTTGGCAGAGATGTCCTAAAACAATGTATTACACTAATGGGAAGAACAAAAGGTAAGTCTAATCACAGATGTCTTGGTTTTCAAGCTAGTCAGACTTCAGATAACTGTCAAATCTTCAGCCATAAATCAAAAGTGGAGGAGAATTAAAGACCCATCCTTGTTTGCTTACAGAATTTACTTAATTTAGCCACTCTATCCTTAATTGATAGCAACAGGTTTTTTCAAAATAGCCAAAGTAATCTATGCTTTGCTACATAATAGCAAAAGTAATAGCCAACATACATCAACACCTACTATGTTATACCCTTGACAGGGTTTCCTATTTTAGTAGTCAAAGCAATTTCATGGAGTAGCAATTACAGTTGTAATTTCACTAGTGAGAATGCAGAGTGAGGCTCAGAGAGGTTAAGGAACTTACCCAAGGTCACACAGCTAGTGAGTGGAGAGTTGGAATTTCATCTCTCTGATTTTAAAGTCTGGGCCCTTTCCTCTACTGCCTCTCTCTGAACTCAATGACACATCCTAAGTAAGTAAGGGCTTCTACACAGGATGGGTTAGACTATGCTGCAGTAACAAACAACCCCTGGATCTCAGGAACTTAAAACAAAATTTCAGGCTGGGTGTGGTGTCTCACACCTGTAATCCCAGCACATTGGGAGGCCAAGGCCAGTGGATCACTTGAGGTCAGGAGTTCGACACCAGCCTGGTCAACATGGAGAAACCCCATCTCTACTAAAAATACAAAAATTAGCCAAGCATGGTGGTGGGTACCTGTAATCCCAGCTACTTGGGAGGCTGAGGCATGAGAATCACTTGAACCTGGGAGGCAGAGGTTGCAGTGAGCCGAGATCACACCATTGCACTCCAGCCTGGGCGACAGAGCGAGACTCTGTCTCAAAAAAAAAAAAAAAATTCTAGAAATAACTCCAACCTTATTTTCTTGAACACGACTCATCCTGACCCTCCAGCACTCCATTGATCTGGGCTAAATATATGGAATCCTGCAGATGAAGACACCAGCACCCAAAGCTAATGGGACACAGAAAACAGAGGCCACTCAAATAAATGTCAGCACTCCTAGTTACTGAATACTCTGTGTCTGGCAAGTTTCATCATTAGTCAGTTATTCATTCACTCAATCAACAACTACTTACTGAGTTAATATAGCAGCATGGTTATGAGCACAGACTCTGGAGCAAGAGGTCCTAGGTTCAAATCCCAGTTACCCTGCTTATCAGCTAAATGACTTCTCAGTGCCTTGGTTTCTCCACCCAGAAAAATGGGGATTATAATTAATAATTGCCTACCTCATTGGGTTAAGTGGATAAACTAAGAACAGTGGCATGCCCATATGACATGCTCTATAATTTTTATTATCACTGTGTGCCAGGCATTATTCTATATGATGGAGGATGCAGCTATGAATAGGGCAGACAAGGTGCCTGTCTTTACAGAGCTTCTATTCTAGTGAAGGAGAGAGGCTTTATTAGCGAGTAATCCTTGATCGAGCCATACCTGAAGCTAACTACACATCCTTCAACCTTCCAATTTCCCCAGGCATTAAGTTCTTTTTTCTTTTCTGCCTAGGCTAGCTTGCACTGAGTTTCTCTCCCTTGTGAACCAAAGTGTCCTGACCAGTACAGAGGTCTAAAGCCTAAGCTCTTTCCAGTCTGCCCCTTGCCCCTTTCCAGCTGAAGCCCTATTCATTTGCACCCAACATCATCATTGTGTCCAGTGCCTCACCACTTGGTGAGACCCTTGAATATTCAAACCAGCGTGTAAGCAGAGAGTTAGGAACTATAAACAGTAAATTATAACAAGCATGAAGTGGAAGCCTGCTGCTGATCATTCGCAAGAGAGCAATCAAATCTGTCTTGGTGCCTACATGTTTTATGGAAAACATGTCTATGTTTTAAAAGTGTTTTTGAAATAAAAAATAATTTACTAACTAAATTAGATTTCCACATGTTTTATCTAGTTAACCCATCCCTTATCATAAGAAACGTAACTTCTTTTTTTTTTTTTTTTTTTTTTTTTTTTTTGCGATGGAGTCTCACTCTATCACCCAGGCTGGAGTGCAGTGGTGTGATCCCGACTCACTGCAACCTCTGCCTCCTGAATTCAAGTGATGCTCCTGCCTCAGCCTCTCAAGTAGCTGGGATTACAGGTGTGCGTCACCATGCCCAGCTAATTTTTATAATTTTAGTAGAGATGGGGTTTCACCATATTGACCAGGCTGGTCTTGAACTCCTGACCTCAAGTGATCCCCCTGCCCCAGCCTCCCAATCATGGTGGGATTATAGGCTTGAGCCCCTGTGCCTGGCCTAGAAGGCTAACTTCTTAATTGCAAGCTACTTTCATCAATATAATGCATTTGTCTCACTCCTTAAAGGACTCCTGTCACAGTGTATTGGCAAAGAACTGGTCAGACACAAGAGGCAGTGGAGTATTAGTAAAATACACGTGGATTTGGAGTCAGACCTTCCTAGGTTTAAATGCTGGTTTTATCGCATACTAGTTGTATGCCTTCATCGGGGTTTCCCAAGAATCAGACCCTGAGACAAGACTCCAAGAGTAAGTCATCTATGTGGGAGGTAAATGAAACATGACACAGGAAATGAAATAGGTCAGGGAGGCAGCCAGTAAAGGGCATATTATAAAACAAGTTACCACTTGGGACAATAACTGGAGCTTAAACTTGCTGGAAAACTCTAGGATACACTGTAGAACATCTCTAGCAATGTGCTGGTAGATGTTTAACAACCAACACTGCAGAAAAATATTAAAAGCCCAGATTTGTAGTGTCTGCCCATATCCATGGTGTAAATCCTCCCACCATGGCTGATTTCACACTACCTTGTCCCTGAACAAGGACTTGGGGAAAGATGCACATACCAGCTCTTGCTTCATAGTTATCTGACCTAAGGGGTGAGGGAGATGGGGTAGTTATCCACATACACCAACTCTCATCAGTTCCTGGTGGAGGGATGCTCCCAGGGCAGGTGTTGATTCCTCCAAGACTTCCAAGCCATCATACGGGTGGGCAAAGACAGTACAACCAGAAAAAGACCTCAGAAAGAGGGCCAGGCATGGTGGCTCATGCCTGTAATCCCAGCACTTTGGGAGGCCAAGACAGGTGGATCACCTGAGGTCAGGAGTTCGAGACAGCCTGGCCAGCATGGCAAAGCCCCACATCTACTAAAAAAAAAAAAAATAGCTGGGCATGGTGGTGCATGCCTGTAATTCCAGCTACTCAGGAGGCTGAGGCAGGAGAATTGCTTGAACCTGGGAGGCGGAGATTGCTGTGAGCTGAGATCACGCCACTGCACTTCAGCCTGGGCGACAGAGTGAGACTCCATCTCAAAAAAAAAAAAAAAGAAAAGAAAAAGAAAAAGTCCTCAGAAAGAGAATGCAACTACATTTGGATGGGTCAGTGGATGCTTAAGAGGTAAAGGGTTAGAAGATACAAGGGAAGCACTGAAAGCATCTGTTACTCTGTGCAATTGTGAAAACGTTATTTCATTTCTCTAGGCTTCCAATATTGCATTGGTAAGATATGATTCATTGAATCTTCCAACAAATATTCATGGAGCACTTAGTATATACCCGGCAATCTTCAGGCCACAGGAAACAGAATGTTGAGTTACCATGACAAAGTCACTGTCACAGAGCCAGTGGGGAAAGCAGCCTCTAAACATGCCACCCAGTAAGTAACAAAGATCATTTCAGGAATGGTGAGGACTATGATGTTAGAGAGGGTGATGGGAGGGAGAATAATGTAGCGGAGAGGACATGAACGGGAAAATCTTTCTGAAAGGGTAACGTGTAAGGTGAGGCTCAACAGATGAGAGGAAATGTGTTGTAAAAAGATCTGGGAGCAGCATTCCAGGTGGAGGAAACTGCGTGTGCAAAGGCCCAGAGGTGGGAAGGAGCTTGGCTTGTTCATGGAAAAGAATGGAAGCCAGTGTGTCTAGATCAAAATGAATCAGGCAGAAGGTAACCAGGAAACAGAGTGGAGGGGCAGGCAGGAATCAGTGTCTGCAGTGCGTGCTCAGCATCATAAAGGGTTTGGGTAGTAACACAACCCTGAAGAGTTGTTAAATGAGCTCCCATGCATGTAACTGGCATTACTCATGTTATTAACCTGGGAAACTGTCACGTCTCTTACTTTTCCATTTAATCTCATGCCCATCCTCTTTGCTCACAGGAGCCAAGAAGTCCAGTATCTCACTCCACATCTGCCTTCTCGTGGTCCAACACTCTGCCGACTCAGTTAATCCAAAGATCACTTCCAAACTTCAGGCTGATGGAAACCTGAGGAGTCGCATCCATTCATAGGCAGCCCCATTTTCACCTTCCCTTGTCCCCGAGGCTGCCATTAGGTTGAAAACCAGTCTGGTACTGTCAGCGTGTCTTTGTCTACAGCTATGAAAAAGTCCACATAGTCCAGTCTCTACATAGGGCACAATGATTCTCCTCTACATCTCAGCTACCAGGTACCAGCTTGTCGAACACACATGCAAACATTCAAACCCTTCTCAGGTTCCCCTCTAGGGCCTTCAGGGACTTATCCGGCATACCTGAGGTTGGGGCCATTGCAATCTATTCTTAGTCTAGTGTTAAGCCGGGTCAACAGCGGAGATGCTCCTTCTCCTTGAACTAATTTTATTTCCAGAGTTTCATTTTCCTTCACTGCAACATTAGGCACCATTTGGGGATATTTTTATCCATCCATATGGATTTCAAAATCTCATAAAGAAGGAGCTGGGAGAAGAATGAGGAATCACTGATTTTAATGACTGTATTTGTTGATCTCTTACTCCATTCCTGGACCCATGTTGAATAACATAAATATATATGCATGTACACATGCTATACATGGTATCTAGATGCTATATGTGTTATATATAACATACATGTTATAATATATGTTAGATATGTATGTCATACATATCATAATATATAATTATACATTGTATATTATATATTATACTATTACATATATAATTATACATTGTATAATTATATATTATACTATTACATAGTATAATATATACTTATGTTTATATAATAAAATATAATGTATATGAAATATACATAATACATATATGATATATAATTATATCATATAATATATAATTATGTATATTTCATATACCATATATTTTATCATACATAAATATATAAGTTATATATAATATATAATGTCATATATTATATAAATTATAATTATTATATATTATATAAAACATGTATTATATTATATATAATACATGGTTTATATGTTATATAACATATATAACAAATTATATATTATATAACATGTTATATAATATAACAAGTTATGTAATATACAATATATGTTATTAAAATAGATATTACATAATATATTAAATAATATATGTTTTATATATTATATTATATATGTTTTTTATATATTATATAATATATATGTTTTATATATATTATTTTTGTTTTTTTTGTTTTTTGGGGGTTTTCTTGAGACAGAGTCTTGCTCTATTGTCCAGGCTGCAGTGCAGTGGTATGATCTTGGCTCACTGCAACCTCCGTCTCCCGGGTTCAAGCAATTCTCCTGTCTCAGCCTCCCAAGTAGCTGGGACTACAGGTGCCCACAACCAGGCCTGGCTCATTTTTGTACTTTCTTTAGAGGCAAAGTTTCACCATGTTGGCCGGACTGGTTCTCAACTCCTGACCCCAAGTGCCCCGCCCACCCCATCCTCCTAAAATGCCGGGATTACAGGCATGAGCCACTGCATCCAGCCTATATATGTTCTTTCATCATCACCACATCATCTAATTTTACAGATGAGAACACTGAGGCTTGGGGAGATATTAAATGTCTTATCCAGATTGCATGCATGTAAGTGACATAAGCATGATTTGAAACTAAGCAATCCAACACGAGAGTCCTAGGTCTAGAGCCTCTCTGACCTGCTTTCTACCTAGAAATTATCTGAGTTCTTTATGCAAATTGATGCACTTTTTCATCTCAGAAATCCCTTTGGTCTCTTGAAGTGGCAGCTTTTGCTGCACCCAGTTCTCACAACAACTTGCAAAGAGGATCAACACACACGACTGATCACGAGATAAAGGAAGTCTGAAGCAGTCCCCACCAAACATGCAAATTCAATGAATGAAGATCCATTTCTTGCAGCTTTCTGCTTTGCATAATAACATTTGGCTGTGATGATCTATTATGACACTAATCCTTGCACAGCCCAGAGAAGATGGGCAATAGTTTTCTGGATGTCAGTGGGACTCTGGCACAAGGGCCAGCCAATTTTGGTGAGCGCAACAGGAAATTCTTTGCAATGTCCTTGTGAATCTGAGGTTACAAAGACTGGCTCAATCTGTCACAGGAAGCATGCTGGAATGCCTTTGTCCTTCTTTCTAGTTTTTCTTTCTTTCTTTCTAATAATTCTCAGTGTGGGAGAATATTATTCTTTCTAATAATTCTCGGTGTGGGCTTACATCCTTTGCTTTGGGGAAGGTTTCTATCATTAGACCTCTCTTTTCCCCCAACCATCCAGCTGTGAAGCGGTTCACTGCGGACCCAACCTCTGGCATGACTGTGGATCAGCAGCACCAATGCCATGAAGACTGCAGACACACTGGAGAACCAAGGCTAATTCCCTTAGCCATTGAGCCTCCGCTTTCCATCCATGAAATGGCTCTCAAAATGCCAGCTTGGGCTATTGCTTGCTTCAGAGCACCTAAGAGCATCTGAACAAAAGGAATATCTTTTTCACAGATGTAAATGAGGAAAGCGAGGATTATACAGTAGAAGAAGTGCTCTATAAGGCTGCTGAAGATCACAATTTTTTTTTTTTTGAGACAGTCTGGCTCTGTGTCCCAGGCTGGAGTGCAGTGGTGCAATCTCGGCTTACTGCAACCTCCGCCTCCCAGGTTCAAACGATTCTCCTACCTCAGCCTCCCAAGAAGCTGGGATAACAGGTGTGCGCCACCACACCTGGCTAATTTTTGTATTTTTTAGTAGAAACAGAATTTCATCATGTTGGCCAGACTTGAGGTCAGGTCTTGAACTCCTGACATCAAGTGATCCACCCGCCTTGGCCTCCCAAAGTGCTGGGATTATAGGTGTGAGCCACCGTGCCCGGCCTGAAGATCACAATTCTTATCTAACTCTGCTATTCATTGGCTGGGCCACCTTCGGCATGTCCATTAGCTTTCTGGTTCTTAGGACCCTCATGTCTAATAACAAGGTCTTTCCTACCTGCCCCACAGGGCTGTTGTGAGGACCAAATGAGATCAAGAATGCAAAAGCTCTCTGTCAACTGTGAAACACTACCAGGAGTAAAGATTCACAAGGCATGAGTTGCCACAAGGCAGTATAGCATGGTGGTTAGGAGGTTAAGCTCTTAAACCAGATTATTTGGATTCCAGTATAACCCCAGGATACTTAACTTTGTTTTATGGTGTTGTTGTTTTGTTGGTGTTGTTGCTTGGTATTTTGTCTAATTTTTAGAAACAGGGTCTTGCTCTGTTGCCCAGGCTGGAGTGCAATGGGCATGATCATAGTTCACTGCAGCCTTGAACTCCTGGGCTTAAGCTATCCTCCTGCCTCAGCCTGTGGAGTAGCTGGGACTACAGGTGTGCACCACCGCACCTGGCTAATTTATTTAATTTTTGTGGAGACAGGGTCTTGCTTTCTTGCCTCAGCTTGTCTCGAACTCCTGACCTCAAGCAATCCTCCCATCTTGGCCTCCAAAAGAGCTGGGATTATAGGTGTGAGTCACTGCGCCCAGCCAATTTAAATTCTTTAAGTCTCAGTTTTTCCATTTGTAAAATGGGCATAGTAATAGTACATTTGTCACAGAGTTGGTTTGTGATAGGATAAGGTGATGCATGTTCACTAGAAATGAAGAGAGAAGGGTTATGATTCATTGAAAAGAAAGAAAAACCTAGGCTGGGTGTAGTGGCTCACACCTGTAATCCCAGCACTTTGGGAGGCTGAGGCAGGAGGATGAATTGAGGACAGAAGTTCTAGACCAGACTAGGCAACATAGTGAGACCCTGTTTCTACTAAATAAATAAATAAATAAGCCAGGCATGGTGGCATGAACCCTGCAGTCCAAGCTACTCAGAAGGCTAAGGCAGGAGGATCACCTGAGCTCAGGAACTTGAGGCTGCAGTGAGTTATAATTGTGCCACTACACTCCAGTATGGGTGACAGACTGAGATCTTGTCTCTATAAAGAAAAAAAGAAGAAGAGGAGGTAGAAGAAGAAAGTCTGAACTACTCCCTGCAGGAAGAGTAGACAAGGTAAAGAGCCCTAGAAAAGATTCGTCCCCGTGCTTTCCTCTAGAATGAGGACTCCAGTAATTTATACCAGTGCTGGAGCACAGGCTTGACAATGGCTGGAGCTCAGCCTCCACAGTATCTGTTGTGATTAGTGCTCAAAAGCATAAAGCATAAATGGAACTAAGAAGAAACAAGATGCTCAAGGTCTCCCCTTCAGCCTTCCTTCCAAGTAACAGAATCATGATTTGATGATTTGACCCCTTCTTCTACCACCTCAATATTGAAATCTGTTTCCAATTCCCGTTACCTTAGAGAACACCGTCAGATGTCCATTGTATATCTCAGATTCATTTCTTTCCAAAAACGAATTTAACTTGCCTTCCAAATAATTTTACTCCTAATTTTTAGCTCACTTTCTCCATGAATATCATCACCATTCACCCAGTTACCCAAACCAAGAGCCTGAACAACATCTTTGAGTCCTTCTCCATCACACCCTACATTCAACCAATTGCCACCTTCTCTTTTATATACCTCCTTAAGTCACGGCCTTAATTTGGGAATGATCGTTTCTCATTTGGACTTGACTTCATGGTCAAATATGGCATCCAGAGATCTAGCCATTGCATCCTAATTCAAGACCAACAACAGGAAAAATGGGCAAAGAAATATATGGTCCTCATTCTGAGAAAATGTCCATATTACTCTTCTCTTTGCATTCCTTGGCCAAAGCTAAATCACATGGCTTGGGTAGCTTCATGAGAGATTGGGAAATTAGAGGGTTTTGGTTTTGTTGTTGTTGTTTAAAGCAGAGTCTATGTCACCCTAATTAAAATCAGTGTTTCATCTTTTATTCTTCCTCAAATATTCAGTGTTAAAGTCACTAAAGGGCACCAACCAAAGTAAGCATCAACGAGAGGGGATAGGACAGAGATCTGGCATGGGGTGTTGAAGCCTAGAATTGGTGCACGACCTAGTTCTAGTCACGAAAAAGCATCAGACAATCCCCAATTGAGAGCTCTTATACAACATAAATGGCCTGTATCTTCAAAAGTATCAAGGTCAAGAAAGTAACAAAGAGACTGATGAATCTGCCGGAATAAGACGTGACAATTAAATGCTATGATAATCTTGCCCTGCAAGATTATAAAGGACATTATTGGGATGGTCAGTGAAACCTGAATGGGGCCTTTGGATTAGATGGTGGTAATGTATCAATGTTATAATAATTTCCTGACTTTAATGGTCGTATTATGGGCATATAGGAGAAGGTCCTTATTGCAAGACACACACAGTAAAGTATTGGGAAACGATTCGAGGAGAGGGAAAACTTAATTGTACTGTTCTTCCAACTATTGTCTCAGTTTGAAATTTTTCCCCCGAAAATAAGGTGTTATTTCAGAGAAGAAAAGGGAATGTAGATGTTTCAATATGTAAATAGTAGGCTCCACCACAGATGGTATTTAAATAATGTATCAGAAGAGGTCATCCCAAGGGAGTAATATTTAAATCCAGAGCCAAAGATAGAAAGCCATCCACGTGAAGAGCAAGGAGACAAAGTTTTCAGGCAGAAGGAACATGTGAGAAGTAGCTGAACTTGTTTTCAGAGTTATAACCCTAGCAATATGGTGGAAAATAACAAATAACTAGCAATATGGTTGAAATAAACAAACTGCTATTCCTTCAGAAACATGAGTAAGCACCACTGTGTGCAGGAACTTGCAGCAGTCAGCTAGATGCTGTAAGACAAACAACCCCAAATCCCAGAAAGAGCTTATTTCTCTGCCATGCCCGTATAGCTTGGCTGGAGCAGCTCTGCTGGAGGTTGCAGGTCTGAAGACATGCTGGGGCGGCTCTGCTCTAGATGCATCTCATTTTTCTAGGACCAGCAACCAACTAAGTCATGTTTTTCTCATAGAGAAGGCAAAAGCACAAGAAGGCAAACTCATCACACGAGAGCATTTCAAGCCTTTCATAAGGGTTATGTCCTCTCACATCCCATTAGCCAAAGAAAGTTAAGCTCAACTCAACAGTCGAAGGGTAGGGAAGTACACTATGCCATCTCTCAGGGAAAAGGAAGTCACATAGCCTAGCTGAACATCAATGATGTAATAGGAGAGGGAACAAATATTTACTAAACAATAGTCTCATCTACCGTAAAGCTCAAATACTTCACAAAAGAGCCACCCTTAGAAATAGCTTTTATCTCATCTATTTTATGGGTGAGTGGGGAAGAAGGATGACAAAGCCCCTTTAAGAATTTTATATACCCTAGACACATTCACTTTTGGAGGTCTCACCAGAAAGCATTTGAAACATGCTACAAATTTGCCTGTATCCTACATTAAATGGATTTTTGGCTCTAAACATTTTTTGAGAAAATTTTAAAATTCTGCTCCTGAAATTATCTGGCAATAGGTGATTTATTTAAATTTAGATTGGATGTGATTTCTTGGTAATTGTGCATATTCAGGAGGTCTAGAAAGTGGGAAATTCTAACTATCCACATTTTTCAGATGTAATGAAATCCCTAGGAATGTTAAATTTAACAATTAGTGATATTGACAAAGCAGCACAATTTGTAGGTAATTTTTTTTTTTTTTTTAGAAGGAGTTTCACTCTTGTTGCCCAGGCTGGAGTGCAATGGCATGATCTCGGCTCACTGCCACCTCCACCTCCCAGGTTCAAGCAATTCTCCTGTCTCAGCCTCCTGAGTAGCTGGGATTACAGGTTTACAGGCATGCACCACCATACCAAGCTCATTTTCATATTTTTAGTAGAGACAGGGTTTCACCATGTTGGTCAGCCTGGTCTCGAACTCCTGACCTCAGGTGATCTGCCTGCCTCAGCCTCCCAAAGTGCTGGGATTACAGTCGTGAGCCACCATGCCCAGCGTAGGTAATTTTTAAGATATTCATTAATTTCAATTTTGTCATTTTCTCTTTTGCATTTTTAAGCCAATGTGTGTGTGTGTATGTGTGTTTGTGTGGTGTTTTTTGTTTGTTTGTTTGTTTGTTTGTTTTTGGTCTCAAACATTTCTGTAGATCTTGAAAAACGTATAGGTCCCGGGAAGACCCTATGCCTAACGGATTAAAAATGCACATGTTGCCTGGAATCAAAGCTAATTATTATTGGTTGGGAAATGGATACCCTCCCACTCCAGACTCCTCAGCACAGGAAAATAAGAGCAGCTAACTCCAACAGAACCCAATTCATTTAGGAGGCTCTCTGCCTCTGCATAAGGGTGAATGGTTTGGGATTGCTGCGCAGCAGAGCCCTTCATCTCATTCACGAAGCCATTCACACTGTATCCAGTCCATTTGTAAGGCAAATAAAAATGTCGTCTTCCAATCTTGGCTCATTTCATCTTATAAGAAAAGTCTCCCGTCCGATGCCTAGCCAACATTTCCCTGTTGTGATTAAAGAAACAGCAGGTAATAAAAGCTGGACTAGCGGTTGGTCCTCTAAGGACCAAAATATGGTTGAAGAAGCAATAACTTACCCCAGTGCCCCCAAGGCAAGTTGTCTCAATAATGTAACAAAGCTATACTTAATGGCAACAGAGCACGTTTCACTGATACTACACCATAAACTGCCCGCTTTCAATTAGTTGCATATGTATTAAAGGGAGTCAACATATATTTACAGCAATCATTTCTATGTATACAAGATGCCACAAAAATGTAGCTTTCTGCTCCTTCTGGTCATTTGGCCACATAGGAATAATCACCAACCATAGATGCAATTCTGGAAAAGTCATTAATGCTCATCTCTATGGTTGCAAGAGATTATTGGGCTTCTATTTCATGCCAAGGCACTTTACATATGTAAATAATGGTGCATGCTTTGAATGAAGTCATGTTTTTGTGACCTACAATCCCCACTGGCTGCTGCAGCACCTGGCACATATTAGCCACTCAAGAAATTCTCGTTGAGTGAATAAATGAAACATTCAATGGCTCTGAGACCCTACCTTTCAGATTATCAGCACCGTGACCCTGCTTTTGAGACCCCTACTCTCTCTCCCTTCCCTATTATCTCTTGGTGAATATTGGGGAATGGCTCACCTGAACTGCCCCACGATTTCATGCCTGTTTTCGCCATTACCTGTCACCTTACCTGGCCACAGTCATTCCTTCCAAAGCCACTATTCACATCTCTATCAGATGCTCTGCAGTTCTGGGGCTCCTGCCTCTTGGGACAAGGCTAGTACTGTCATACCAGGTGTGATGGTTAATATTGAGTGTCAACTTGATTGGATCGAAGGAGGCAAAGTATTGATCCTGGGTGCGTCTGTGAGGATGTTGCTAAAGGAGATTTACACTTGAGTCAGTGGACTGGGAGAGGCAGACCCACCCTCAATCTGGGTGGGTACCATCTAATCAGCTGCCAGCGTGGCTAGAATAAAGCAGGCAGAAGTTGGAAAGAACAGACTTACTGAGTCTTCCGGCCTTCATCTTTCTCCTGTGCTGGATGCTTCCTGCCCTGGAACATTGGACTCCAAGTTCTTCAGCTTTTGGACTCTTGGACTTACACCAGTGGTTTGCCAGGGGCTCTCAAGCCTTTGGCCACAGAATGAAGGCTGCACTGCTGGCTTCCCTACTTTTGAGGTTTTGGGACTCAGACTGGTTTCCTTGCTCCTCAGCTTGCAGATGGCCTATTGTGGGACTTCACCTTGTGACCGTGTGAGTCAGTACCCCTTAATAAACTCCCCTTTGTATATACATCTATCCTATTAGTTCTGTCCCTCCACAGAACCCTGTGTAATACACCAGGCCAGCAGAAGGGAGACATTTGCTTTCCTGGACATTTTCTGTTCATTTTACATTTGCTCAATGAAAAAAATCAGGTTGCAATACATATATAAATAGAAAACACAGAGAGACATAAATATTTTTTAAAAAGAATCAGAAACATATGCCCCAAAATGCTAATATGATTACATCTGGGTGGTTAATATTTATTTTCTGTTTCTATTCTCTTTGTGTTTCCCCAAATTTGCTTGTTGACAGCACATGTGCATTGCTTTTGGCCAATAAATGTTTGGCTTATTTAAAGAGTTATCTTGATGATAGCCAGGTGTGGTGGCTCACACTTGTAATCCCAGAACTTTGGGATGCCAAGGTGAGCAGATCACCTGAGGTCAGGAGTTCCAGACCAGCCTGGCCAACATGGTGAAACCCCATCTCTATTAAAAATACAAAAATCAGTCTATCTTAAAAAAAAAAATTAGCTAGGTGTGGTGGCACGTGCCTGTAATCCCAGCTACTCAGGAGGCTGAGACATGAGAATTGTTTGAACCTGAGTGGCGGAGGTTGCAGTGAGCCAAGATCATGCCACTGCACTCCAGCCTGAGCAACAGAGCGAGACTCTGTCTCGATTAAACACACAAACACACACACACACACACAGTTATCTTGATGGCAGTTCAGGAAATTGGGAGATGAGGGCTGTTCTCCTGAAACCCTATAAGAACCCTCAGGTGGGTTATGCCACCCGTTCACTAATATCCCATTTACGGGTGAAGGGAAAGGTGGAGGAGACCAACCAACCCACCAGCAGTGGCCTCAGTCTCAAATAAAACTTAGTCCCTGAGTTAGAAGCCAACTTAACCATGGAGAGGAAAGAGTTCATCAGATGGGACTAAACCTGCTCACTTCCTTCCAAGAACCACCCCAAGGGTTCATTTCCCAGGCACCAGGAGCCACCCAGCTCCAACATGCTGTTTTCTGTCTTCTGGTGACTTATCACTTGTTGTTTCTTCAAGAATAAGCCTTCGTTGTTCCAAGTAAACATCTCAAATGCACACATTCTTAAAGTAGTAAGTCATGTATCCACCTGTGCATCCAACAAATTATTATGTAGTGAACACCCATGAGGGACGTGCTGCTGTGTTCAATGCTGGGGACACCACAGGGGGCCACCCACGGACTTGGTTCCTGCCATCATGGAGCTCTCGGTCCAGTGGAGGAATTAGACATGAACCAAATAAAACACAGTCATGAATGTAAAACCAGAAACTAGAGTAAGTGCTCTTGAAACTGCCTTAGCAAAATTATGACTGAGACAGTGAAAGAGATTTAACTTGATCAATTCCATCTTGCTTCTAACCTCCAAGCTGTCCTTATTCATTCTTGGGTGTAGGCTGACCTAACTTTGGGAGAAACTGAGTTCATGGTTCATAGTTTGTAGTTTAAAGCAAAGATGATAACAGCCCTTTCCCAAAGCAGACCTCCTTCTTGCCTGGGGACTAGATTGCCTTTGTTAGGACTAAAATCAGCCACAAGATTAGAAACTATGGTTTAGGAGTCAGGCGGCTGGAGGTTACAAGATTCTGACCCTCCCTAAACTGTTCCTAAGATCAGTGCTTGAGATAATTTGCAGACCCTGCACGTGACGGGTCAGGTGGCACCACCCAGATCGATCAACTGGCTCATCTGATCTTGTGGCCCCAACCCAGGAACTGACTCAGCGCAAGAGGACAGCTTCGACTCCCTATGATTTCTTCCCTGACCAATCTGCACTCCTGGCTCACTGGCTTCAACTAACCACCCCTACCAGGCTGTTCTTAAAAACTCTGCTCCCCAAATGCTTGTGGAGACTGATTTGAGTGATAATCAAACTCCAGTCTCCCACAATGCCCCTCTGCATGAATTACTCTCTCTGTATTCCAATCCCCCTGTCTTGATAAATCAGCTCTGTCTAGGCAGCGGGCAAGGTGGACCCAATGGGCGGTTACACTCTGTCGAGAAGGAACACAGGGAGCTGCGGAAGGCTTCCAGAGGAAGTGCCTGGGCTTTGAAGAATGAGCAGGCATTAAGTGGGCAAAAGAGCATGTGCGAGGGTACTGTGTAATGTGTCACCACCCAGGGAGAGAGGAGAAGTGGACTATGAGGCTGGGGACATAAACACGGTCCTGGCCATGGAGGGCCTTGTAAACCCCATGAAGGATGTTTGCTCTTTATCCTAGTATCAACATGAAGTGATTAGAAGGTAGCAAGCCCTTGATTAACCAACAATTCTAGATCCTTCTCCAAACTTCTCTTTTAGGGAAAGGAAACCTAGAAGTCAAAATATAAGGTGGTGGGATTTCAGTTGAAAAGGTGCCCAGGGTCGGCCTCGGGTCAGTCTATCTTTGGGTCTATCACAAACACTATATTAATTGCCCCTATTAATCTTTCATCATGTGCCAGGCATTGTGATGATGTATACTTTATATCCATTGGCACATGTAAGCCTCACCACAAGATTTAGGGCCTATCATTATGCCCATTTCACAGATGAGGAAACTGAGGTTCAGGGGGGCTTGTAACATGTCCCAAATGGTGTAGCTAGTAAGTGGCAATGCCGAGGCTCAAATCCCTCCAAAGATTCTCTCTCCAAAGGTCATTTTCCTTTCCCTAAGCCATGCTGGTGCATCTGGGGTCCTGGAAACTAGGAGATGATTTTCAGAATTATAAGACTTAGGTCGTGCAAGCTTCTTAATCATCAAAGAAAGTCTGGAAAGAGAAGAAGATGTTTGCAGGAAGCTGCCACAGAAGAGAACATTTTAGACAGAGGAACAGCATGAAGAACCGAACACACGTGGCATCCCCTAGGGGCCATGAATATAGCAGGGAGGCAACCACAGAGTTGGGAAGATCCAGAGAGAGGCGGGACAGATACAGTGGGTCCTGAAAGTATGTTAAATAGAGTCACAGTGACACGGCAACCAGGAGTGGCAAGGGAGCCACAGACACACATGATTAGACACAACAATCATGTTTTCAAGGCACAGCCCACTTAGAGATCACAGCAAGATGCTTTATCCAACCTCCACCGGCAATCAGAGCTTGAAAAAGGAGCATTGTCATCAATCAACTTCCCTTTGGGCAAAAGACACAGGCAAAGGAGAAGATACTTCACCCACCTTTTAATAAATGTGTCTTGAGGAGAGAGTTGGCCCACATAGTACAGTCTCCAAGATCTAAGACTCCACATGGGTAGTGGCAGGGGAGACAATGGGACCAACAGGACATTGGCTGGAATCACAAGTCACACCTTCAGTAAACCAGAGGAGTCATTTCTCTCTCCCTTATTGACTCTGGGCCCTGGAGAAATGCCACAGAAATTCATGAGAAGAGGAGTTGAAGGTAGATGGCACCTGGACATTATTTCTGCCAGCCCATTTGAGTTCATCTGGTAAACATTTTGCATTTGGAAGTTGACATCGTTTAATAATAACTGTCAATGTCAATGATCAATGCCATCATAATGGCACAAATACCCTTGTGGGCTTGGGGTTGGGAGGGGTATGGTGGGGACTGACTTCTTTGTCTCCTGTCCTTTCAATGGTTATAAATAATGATGATAATAATTTCTATTTGTGTAGCTTTGTGATTGCAGAGAGCTTTAGGCTTCCTGAGAGCTTTCACCTATATTACCTCAGCTGATCCCTCTACAATGTGCAGTATCTATTTTGGTCCCCTCTGGGAACCTGAGGCTTGACAAGGTCAGGAAAGGCCACACCATGGCCTGTTCCTGAAACAGGAACCACAAATGAAAATCCTTGTAGAGAGTCCAGGCAGATAACATAAGTGAAGAAAGGGAGGAATGAGAAGCAGTAGGGAATGGTGGGGTCTGTGGTGAATTGGAGTGCATGCCCCATTGAAAGACGGAGGTAGCTGCCTATCTTGTATCCACCAACTGTCTCCACGTGGGAACATGGGCCCAATGCTGTCAGAGCTTCTAATAAATTAAGAGAAGCTAAAAGCCAGATGCTATGTCAGTCTCCCAGTTTTTAAATGATCGCAACTGGGAGTCTTGCAACTCTGTCTCCCAGGCTGTAAGGCAGTGGCACAATCCTAGCTCACTGCAGCCTCGAACCCCTAGGCTCCAAAGATCCTCCTGCCTCAGACTACCGATTAGCTCAAACTACAGGCATCTGTCACCATGCGTGGCTAGTTTTCACAATGTTTGTAGAAATGGGGCCATCTCACTATGTTGCCCAGGCTGGTCTCAAACTCCTGGGCTCAAGCATTCCTCCCTGCTCAGCTTCCCAATTAGCTAGAACTACAGGTGTGCACCACCACACCTGGCTACAAACTCTCCTTGTCACCCCCTGTTGACAGGTCTCTTTCCTTCACAGGCTGAGACAACTCCAATTCAACTCTGAATCCCCAATACAGGACCTGCCCAGGGAACAGGGCTCAGACATTTATGCTGGGAAATACTCAGCTTTTGGGGCTCAGCGTCCTTTTCTGCAAAAAGAGTTCCCCTCCCAAGAGGAAATCCCCTAAGCCTAAGGACAGGAGGTGATGGAAAGATGGATGGACGGGCAGATAGATGGATGGAAAAAAAATGGACAGTTGGAAACAGACAAGCTTGGTGGATGAGCAGAAATAAGCCTCATTCTCGCCTGACAACGGGACAGCCTGGGGGAGGGGCGGGACACACCAAGGCTCCCAGTTGAACCCCAGCAATTGGACAAGAGAGTTTATAAACCAGCATCGGGGTTTTAGGAGCATTGTAAGCTGCAGAGTGCATGGGGTCTTCAGTGGGAAGCATCTCCTTCCCCATCCCTGTTCTCTGTCCTGGGGTTGCCCATCAAGCTAATCACATGTCCACCCCTGGGGTCCCTCTGGCCTCTGCCACTCTTCACCAAAGTACAGTTAAACTCCAGGGGCAAATGATGTGTTGGGGGTGTGCCAGACAGGGATTGTGTCTCAGCAGAGAGGGCACAGCACTCACAAAATAGCTTCAATAGTTCCAGGGTCAGTAGATGTGCGCGAAGAGGAACCCCACATCGCAAGTGGCCTAAGCCTGGGGTAGGGTGAGCACTGCTCACTCCTGCCCAGAGGAGTAGCTGAGGGGCCTAAGCTCTAGCTCTGAGCCCACCAGCCATTCCATCCACCACCCACCTGAAACTGTTCTGTTGACCCACAGCAACTGGTCCTGGTGCCAGGCACAGAACGGATGCTCAAAAGATACGGTTGATCCTGTCTGGGTGCAGTGGCTCACGCCTGTAAACCCAGCACTTTGCGAGGCTGGGATGGGAGGATTGCTGGAGGCCAGGAGTTCAAGACCAGCCTGGGCAACATAGTGAGATCCCCATCTCTATAAAAATAAAAATTAGCTGAGCATGATGGTGTGCGCCTGTAGCTCCAGCTACTCGGGAGACTGAGGTGGAAGGATAGTCTGAGCCAGGAGTTCGAGGCTGCAGTGAGCTACGATCATGACACTACACTCCAGCCTGGGAGACGCAGCAAGACCCTATTTAAAAAAAAAAAAATGGTATGGTTAATCTGCCTTTACTGATTACAAATCAATAAATTTGTATTATCGTAATAAATCTGTCTTTATTGATTACAAGGCACTTTCTCATCCCCCATCACCTAAGACAACTGCATAAAGACCGCATGAGCTATAAAGACCATTTCCTTGCCCCAGGTCACACGGAGGAAAAGAGACAGAGCCAGGATTTAAACCCCTGCCCCTGGCTTTCATTCCTTTGCTGTGTCCCTGCAGACCCGAGGCCCACCTGGGTGAAGAACAGGTGGGTGGACATTGGCAGTGTTCACCAGGGGAAGCATGCCAGGTGCAAGGAAACATGTGAGCACCTGTCCGTGCCCAATGGGTCTCTGTTTGTCTCCCTGCATCTTCACCCAAACCAGCTTCTCACACCCCCACGGCCACCACCACCACTCCAGGCCTCTACCTGGGCCCTTTAATGCCCCTTCCCCATTCCTCAAGAGCCCACTGGGGTCCCTTCCCTGATGGCCTGCTGGCCTCCTGCCTCCCTCCCTGACCTCAGCCTCCTCGGATTTTCAACAGCCTGGGGTTGCAGGCTGAGCTCAGCATCTGGCAGGGGCCTGGAAGAAATGACCTCTAGAGGGCCCACACTCTCTGGGTGTCATATTTTGGGGCTATTATCACAAAATACCTTAGACTGGGTAATTTATAAATGACAGAAGTGTGTTGCTCACAGTTCTGGAGGCTGGGATGTCCCAGATCAAGGCACCTGCAGATTCAGTGCCTGGTGAGGAGGGCTCACTCTGCATCATAGGTGGTACCTTGTTGCCGTGTCCTTATATGGCAAAAGAGGCAAAGGCGCTTGCTCAAGCCCCTTTTATAAAAGGGGGCACTAATCCCATTCATGAAGGTGGATTCCTCATGAATTAGTCACTTCCTAAGGGGCCCCTCTTACTACTATCACATTGGGTATTAAGTTCCAACATATGAATTCAAGGGGAACAATGACATTCAGACCATAGCACCAGACGTCTATCTGGGGAAGCCCCCAAATATTTGTCTTTTTTTTTTTTTTTTTTTTTTTGGAGGCAAGTTCTGCCTCTGTCATTCAGGCTGGAGTGCAATGGCACAATCACAGCTCACTGCAGCTTTGAACTCCTGGGCTCAAGTGATCCTCCTATCTCAGCCTCCCCAGTAGCTAGGACCACAGATGTGCACTACCACATCCGACTATTTTTTTATTTTAGTTTTTTTGTAGAGACAGAGTCTCACCATGTTGCCCAGGCTGATCTCGAACTCCTGACCCCAAGCAATCCTCCCACCACCTCAGCCTCCCAAAGTGCTGGGATCACGAGTGTGAGCCATCATGCCCAGCCAGCCCCCTCATATTTGATCCAGGCATTAAGCCTCCTGGCAAGACCAGCAGCTCCCTGCACCTGAGGCAGGGCTGAGTTTCAGAAGCTGCTTTTCATTCTCAGACTATGCTGAGCCTGGTACTGTGCACACAGCACATCTGAACTTTGTTCAACATATCCCTGCACCAACCTGGCAGGACGGCCTCAGGCCAGGGAGGAACCGGGGAGATGATGTGGGATGAGAAGAGAGATCAGACAGAGGCTGTCTAGACACAGTTTCCTGGCAAAGTCACCAAGAGCCCTGCGAGCAGCTGTCCACACCTCCTGGCACTCTCTGTATCTGTCCCGTCCCTGCCAGCTCCCCACCCGCCCAGTGCTTCACCAGCTCACCCCTCAGACACTGTCCAGGTGGGAACCATTCCCCTCAACTCCCTCCAGAACAACCAGATGGCACCTGCCAGCAGCCCTGGGAGCCAGAATCCCACCCACCTGACCCAAGGGCTCTATCTGATCTCAGCCTAACCCATGAATCAGGCCCTTTGGAGAGCCAAAGGAAAATTGGGCTTCCCTGCCAGCTGACTATGTGACAGTTCAGATGTCCCAGAGCACAGGAAAGAGGCAGAGACAGGGTCGTGAGGAGCCCTTGCTTCTCCTTCAACATCTCCCATAAACAGCTGGAGAGGGGCTCTCACAGGGTCCATGGGAAGAGACCAAGGAGGGGCATGGAGGAGAGGGGAGGGCTGAGAAGACCAGGGTGAAATGGATGAGGAGAAGGAAGCAGATGGCAGGGACCCTCCCATCTCCCACATGGGCCCCCTTAGGTGCTACTGGCCTTGTGCAAATTTGCACACTCACATTCACACATTTCTGTCTGCATCTCTCCAATCTTTCAGATACCTAGCACACACCCCAGCCTCTAGAATCAGGTAGTCAGTCTAGCAGAGTCTTTAGCATTTGACTTCTGGGTTTAAATCCTGGCTTTAGCACTTCCTAGCTTCACGGCCCTGTTTAGGCAGTTTATATGCCTCCCTGAGCTTCCCAAATTTTGGGGAGGAATAAATGGCATAGCAGATGGGGAACATCTAGCACTGTCCTGCTATATCATAGACTGTGAAAGATCACTGTTTTTGTACTATTGGCCTTGCTTTGTAGTAATTATCATTAACTTTTTTTTGAGATAAGGTCTCACTCTGTCTCCCAGCCTAGTGTGATCATAGTTCACTGCCACCTCGATCTCCTGGGCTTAAGTGATCCTCCCACCTCAGCCTCCCAAGTAGCTGGGACTACAGGCACACACCACCACACTTGGCTAATCTCTCTCCTTTTTTTTTTTTTTTTTTTTTTTAGAGACCGGGTCTCATTATGTTGCCCAGGCTGGCCTCCCAAAGTGCTAGGATTACAGGTGTGAGCCACTGCACACGGCCTACTTTGTAATAATAACAAACAATACAGCCGCTACTTTTTGGTAGTTTCAAACCATGATCCCAGAATTTTTTGATTCATCAAAAGGTAGAACCTATGTCATCTACCGTTGAATCCAGACTGTGCGATTGCTTGACCAATAGAATATAGAAGAAACGTTATGCGACATCCAAGGCTACATCATAAAATGTGACAGAGCTTCCACTGGGTTCTCCTTGTCTTAGAGCCCAGCCACCATACGATGAGGAAGCCCAAGTAGCTGAAGAGAGGAGAGGCCCAAACAAAGGAACCAAGTCCCCTGGACCACAGCCTAGCTGAGCTCCCAGCCAACCAGAAAGCGCCAACTTAGCAACCGCTAGAGGAGCCATCTCAGAAATGAATTCTGCAGCCCCCTGGTGAGCTCCAGCTGATGCCACGTGGAGCAGGAACGAACTGTCCCCTCAACATCCTGCCCAAATTGTGGATGTGTGAGCAAAATAAATGACTGTCATGTTTTAAGCTACTACATGTTGGGTGGTTTGTTGCACAGCCATAGACAACTGGATGACAAACACATATCTGACGCTTTATCCGTCATTGCCATGCTAAGCTGCAGATATTTTTGTAATCTACACGTTTAGACCTTTTCCAGCTTTTAGAGCTCACACTTCCCTTCAGTACACCTGCAAGCTCCCTGAATTCATTTTCATGTAATCCTCCACTTTTTTCCTTCAGCCGGTTCATGTTAGGTTTCTCTCATAGCCCCTAAACACAGTGCTCAAATACCAATAACCTGGATCCCATCTTGCAGCTCTGCAGGAAGCTGTTTTTGCACAAGGTTCTTCCACATTTCTGGGAACCCAGGAGATGTCTACTTCAGCTACAATCTCTCCTGCTCGTCCCCTGTCCCCTCGGGAGGGTCTGGCTCAGAACAGATTTCACTGTGGGACCCAAGCCAACCTGTTAGCCACTCCTACCCCAGGACGGTTGAAACAGTCTTTCAGTAACAAGACTTACTTTTGAAGGATGGAATTACAATATGGAAAAAATACAACTTCACAAGGTACACGTTCAGTTCATAGCAGCAGCCAAGACTTTGAAGGAAGAGTTCAAGTCGCCACAAAAACATAGCAGAGGGAATAGTACGGATTTTAGAGCCAGATAGTACTGGAGACTTGGAGACTGCAGGGCTGGGAGGGTCACAGACAGTCCTGAGTTCAAATCTCCACTCCACCACTCATTGCCCACGTGACCTTGAGCAAGTTATTTAACCTCTCTGAGCCTCCATTTCCTCAAAGGCAAATTGGGGATAATAAACGCAGTGTTTGTGAGGATAGATAGGATGCATATTCTGCTCGTGGTTGTGCCAACCAAGGACACATTCAGAGTAAATTCAAGACTCTTCTTGAAGAGTCACGAGCACAGTGGCCCATGGCAGTAATCCCAGCACTTTGGGAGGGTGAGGCGGGTGGATCACTTGAGGTCAGGAGCTCAAGACCAGCCTGGACAACATGTTGAAACCTTGTCTCTACTAAAAATACAATAAATTAGCAGGGCGTAGGCATGCCTGTAGTCCCAGCTACTCAGAAGTTTGAGGCAGGACAATCCCTTGAACCTGAGAGATGGAGGTTGCAGCCGCTGCAGTCCAGCCAGCCTGGATGACAGAGAGAGACTGTCTCAAAATACAAATAAAATAAAATAAAAAAAGAATGAGACTCTTCTTACTGCAAAAACTGACCTCTGCGGGGTGGAAACAAACAAACAAATGAGCAAAAACCATTGTTCTTGCCTAGCTGTTAAAGAATATTGCGTTTTCTCATAACTTGACACGATACAGAAACATACAATGAAGAATCTGGTGGGTATTGAACTGTCAATTGCAAAATAATTATTCATCACTGCAGGTCCAGCCTGTTCTCCGGGAAGGACTGTTTGAATGTCCTGGGCCTCCAAGCCAAGCTCCCAGAGCCCAGACCATCTCTTTGGCTAATGCTGGCTCTATCTCCTGAAGAAAATAGTTTGATGCAAGGAAGAACTTTCATTATCTTTTGCCCTGGAGCACCAGTAACTGTCTACAAAGAGCAGAGCAAGGGAAGAAGGGCAGTGAGAAATTAATCTTTGAGTTTCCTCCTTGGTGATTCATCCATTTAGAAATGGGTAGATTCAGAGAAGTGTTTCTTCATCCGGTCCCTCTGTTCCCATGATCTCAAAAATGAAAAGGCAGCCAACCCTGATCACCACCCATCAGTCAGCCTCTTTTCACAAGTGGGAGGCATGGGCTGTGCTGGACCAAGTGCAAATGCAAGACATGTCTCTAACAGGCCTTCTGGAACCAGGGGAAGCTGGTGGCTTGGATGCACCCACTGTGAGGTAGAGTGTTATACTGCAGCCCCCATAACCCTGCACTTCTCCAAGTCTATGATTATTTGACTCTGGAATCTGGTGTAGCACATCTGCTCAGTTGCTCAGTCATTACTTACTGAGCACTTACAATGTGCCAGGACAGGCAGGGTATAAAGGATTGAGAATTGAACAAGGTAGTCAAGGTAGTATGATCCCTGCCCTCAAAGAGCTTGTTTTAGTATATAGGGTTTCTCAACTTTGGCACCATTGTGGGCTGAATAATTCTTTGTTGTGGGGCTGTCCTATGTACTATAATTTTTTTTTTTTTTGAGACAGAGTCTCGCTCTGTCGCCCAGGCTGGAGTGCAGTGGCGCTATCTCAGCTCACTGCAACCTCTGTCTCCTGGGTTCAAGTGATTCTCCTGCCTCAGCCTCCCGGGTAGCTGAGATTACAGGCACCAACCACCACGCCTGGCTAATTTTTGTATTTTTAGTAGAAACGCGGTTTCACCGTGTTGGCCAGGGTCGTCTCGAACTCCTGACCTCAGGTGATCCACCCACCTCGGCCTCCCAAAATATTGGGATTATGGGCATGAGCCACCACGCCCGGCCCACTATAAAAACTTTAGCAGCATCCATGGCCTCTATCCACTAGATTCCAATATCACACCCTTTCTCCCAATTATGACAACCAAAAATGTCTCCAAGCATTTTCAAATTTCACCCGAGGGTCAAAATTCACCGCACCCCACTCCTACCATTCACGATTGAGAACCTCTATTCCAATGAAAGAAGCAGGCAGCTTAGTGGAAAGAGTGTGAGCTTCGGAGCCAGGTGGGCCTGGGTTCTCCCTTCCACTTTATTAGCTGCGTGATCTTTGGGGAATCACTTCTCTCTCTTACGCATACGTAGATTATTTGAAAATTATGGGTAGCAATCATATTTTTACAAGGTTGTTGGGTGAGCTAAAGATCAAATGTGTAAAGAACTGTGGCAGGCTGGGCACGGTGGCTCACACGTGTAATCCCAGCACTTTAGGAGGCCAAGGCGGGTGGATCACCTGAGGTCAGGAGTTCGAGACCAGCCTGGCCAACATGGTGAAATCCTGTCTCTACTAAAAATACAAAAATCAGCCAGGTGTGGTGCCACACGCCTGTAATCCCAGCTACCCGGGAGGCTGAGGCAGGAGAATCGCTTGAACTCAGGAGGCAGAGGTTGCAGTGAGCTGAGATCACGCCACTGCACTCCAGCCTGGGTGACAGAGCGAGACACCATCTCAAAAAAACAAACAAAAAACAGGGGCAGACACTGTCAACACCAAAAGTCATCCTCTTGTCTTAATTCTTCTTGCTAACAGAACCCCAGTTCTTTCAAGGGTCCCTATCTCAGAAGTTGGGCTCAGTCCCTAGAGGGGGTGGGCATGCAAACCAGGTCTAGTTAATGAGCTATTTGAGGGAGGGGGCCCTCTGGGGGTAGAAGGTTAATAAAAAGTTTGGTTATTTTATTTTTATGCTTTTATTTTTTTAGAGACAGGACCTTGCTCTGTTGCCCAGGCTAGAGTACAGTGCCACAATCATAGCTCACTGCAGCCTCGAACTCCTGGGCTAAAGGAAGGTGGGGACTAGAAGATGGATAAGCACTCCACACTTGTTAGCTATCTATTATTGCTGTTAGCACTGTCATTATCAGTATTTTTTTTTTTTTGACGGAGTCTCGCTCTGTCACTCAGGCTGGAGTACAGTGGTGCACTCTCGGCTCACTGCAACCTCCGCCTCCCAGGTTCAAGCAATTCTCCTGCCTCAGCATCCCAAGTAGCTGGGAGTACAGGCGCCTGCCACCACGCCCGGCTAATTTTTGTATTTTTAGTAGAGACAGGGTTTCACCATATTGGCCAGGCTGGTCTCAAACTCCTGACCTTGTGATCCGCCCGCCTCGGCCTCCCAAAGCGCTGGGATTACAGGCGTGAGCCACCACGCCCAGCCCTTTTTGTTTTTTTTTTTTTTTTGAAACAGGGTCTCGCTCTGTCACCCAGGCTGGAGTGCAATGGTGCAATCTTGGCTCACTGCAACCTCCACCTCCCAGGTTCAAGCAATTCTCCTGCCTCAGCCTCTCGAGTAGCTGGGAGTACAGGCACGTGTCACCACGCCCAGCTAATTTTTGCATTTTTAGTAGAGATGGGGTTTCACCATGTTGGCCAGGCTGGTCTTGAACTCCTGACTTCAGGTGATCCACCCACTTTGGCCTCCCAAAGTGCTGGGATTAGAGACATGAGCCACCGCGCCTGGCCCAAATTTCATTTTTTTTTTTTAGACAGAGACAGTGTCTTGCTCTGTCACCCAGGCTGCAATCAGTGGCGTGATCATAGCTCACTGCAGCCTCAAACTCCTGGGCTCAAGAGATCCTCCTGCCTCAGCCTCCTGAGTAGCTGGGACTACAGGTACATGCCACCACGTCCGACTATTATTTTTATTTTTTGTAAAGATGGGGTCTCATTATGTTGCCCAGGCTGGCCTCAAATTCCTGGGCTCAAGCCATCCTCCCACCTCAGCCTCCCAAAGTGCTGGGATTACAGATGTGAGCCACCACACCCAGCCCAAATTCCAATTTTCTAAAGAATCTGGGGCTCTCTGTGTTTTAAGACTATTAGACTCTCCCCAGTTTCAGGGGATGAATCTTGAGCAGTCTGATGGAGGGCTGGCAAACCATTGCCTAAACCCGGCCCACCACCTGCTTTTGTACGGCTCAGGAGCTGGAAATGGCTTTTACATTTTTAAGTAGTTAGAAAAGATCAAAAGTGTAATAATATCTCCTAACACATAAAAATTAGGTGAAATTCAAATCTCAGTCTCCATAAATAAACCCATTCACTTATTTATTATCATCTATAGCTGCTTTCACACTGCAACAGCAGAACAGAGTGGTTGCTACAGAAACTGTGTGGCCACAAGCCTGAAATATTTATTCTCTGGCTCTTCAGAGGAAAAGATCTTAGGAAACCAGAGGTTCTCAAACTCAGTGTCCATCAGAAACCCCCGGAGGGCACGTTTAAACATAGACTATGGGCCGGGCGCAGTGGCTCACGCCTGTAATTCTAACACTTTGGGAGGCTGAGAGTTTGAGACCAGAGCATTGTTTAAGCCAAGAGTTTGAGACCAGACTGGACAACATAGCAAGACCCTGTCTCTACAAAAAATAAAAAAATTAGCTGGGTGTGGGGGTGCACACCTCTAGTCCTGGCTACATGGGAGGCTGAGGCAGGAGGATCGCTCGAGCCCAGGAGTTGGAGGCTGCAATGCGCTATGATAGTGTCACTGTACTCCTGCCTGGGCAACAGAGACCCCGATTCTAGTAAATAAATAAATAAAAACATAGATCCCACCCCCAGAGTTTCTGATTTAGTAGGTCTGAACTGGGGTCTGAGAATTTGCAGTTCTTAAAATTGCCTAGACATGGCAGATGCTGCTGGCCTGGGGATCTCACTTTAAGAAGCACTGGTCTAAGGCAACCTTGGGAATTCCATTCCCTTGCCAGCAACTGGCTTAGAAAAGGGCACGTGATACATTTCTGACCAATGCGATGAAGGAGAAGTCAGCTGGCAGCTTCTGAGAAAATGAGAAAATGATCATAAAAAGGGACAGATGGGCTGGGCGTGGTGGCTCACATCTGTAACCCTAGTGCTTTGGGAGGTTGAGGCAAGAGGATCACTTGAGGCCCAGAGTTCGAGACCAGCCTGGGCAACAGAGGGAGACCTCATCTCTAGAAAAAACTCTGAAGTTAGCTGGGTATGGTAGCATGCACCTATAGTCCCAGCTACTCAGGAAACTGAAGGAGGATCACTTGAGCCTAGAAGTTCAAGGCTGCAGCGAGCTATGATTGCACCACTACACTCCAGTCTGGGTGACAGAGCGAGACCCTGTCTCAAAAACAAGCGGGGAACAAGTGGAAGAAGGCTCTCTTCTCTCTTGTCCATATTATCTTGAGACCATGATGGGGTGTGGCTGAGGGCAAGAGCCAGCTGCTAAGAATGGAATAGTGGAAAAGTGGAAGGAAACAAGGCCCACCATTCCACAATGGAGCCACTGAATCAATTAACCACATGGCCCCCTGCAGAGAAACAATAACTTCCATTAGCATCTACACCACTTCCAGTTGGGTTCTCAGTGATTTGAAGCCAAACACAACCTACCTGGCAACCCTACAACTTCACCCCTCACCACTGTTTGGACACTACCAAACTTAGGCCATGATGATTAAGGCCAGGCATGAGCTCCACCCTCCCTGCCACCCTATGAGGAATAAAGCAGATATGGGGAAGGTGAAAGGGCATGATTTAGGGATCCATAAAGCCCCAGATTGGAGCCTTAGTTCTACAACTCAATAATGGTGGGCTAGAGCTCTATGCACCCCATACTCTAGGATGGGGACTCATACCTGCATGGTTGACTAGTGCAGTCATGTCTGTGCATCTGAGCAGTTATTTTCTTCTCTGGACCATTATTAACCATTAGAGCTAGCATTTGTCCCCAGGTCCCGGGCACTGTGCAAGTCTTCACCTACATTATCCTACTACCTCATAAGATAGTTTGGATGTGTGTCCCCTCCAAACCTCATGTTGAAATGTGATCCCCAATGTTGGAGGCGGGGCTTGGCGAGAGGTATTTGGGTGGTGGGAGCAGATCCCTCATGAATAGCTTGGTGCCCTCCCTGAGTAATGAGTGAGTTCTCACTCTTTTAGTTCACGGCGAGGTCTGATTGTTAAAAAAGTGTTTGGCACCCTTCCTGTCTCTCTCTCACCCCTCTTCTCACCATGTGACACACCTGCTCCCCTTTCATCCTCCACAGTGAAGAAAAGCTTCCTGAGGTCTCACCAGAAGCAGATGCTGGCATCATGCTTCTTGTACAGTCTGCAGAACGTGAGCTAAACAAACCTCTTTTCTTATAAATTACTCACCCTCAAGTATTCCTTTATGGCAACGCAAAACAGGCTAAGACACCTCAATGGACTAATACATAACAGCCCCATAAGGTGAGTGCCACCATCTCCCCCACCTTACAGATCAGGAAACAGGGGCTCTGAAAAACTGTGGCTCACTCAAGGTCATACCGCTTGTTAAGTGCAGAGATAGGATTCCAACTCAGAGGCATCTGGCTCAAGAACCCATGTGTCTGTGTTTCAGGTTGCAATGCTGAGGTTAAACAAGAGGATGTGTGCTAGGAGCCCCAGCACACCACAGGGGCTGGGAAACGTTATTGCATCGAGTTTGAGTCCAACACACGGTCTCATTCCTCCACCCACCACTCAGCCTAGAAAAAGGGTCGGAAGGTTGACTCCACTTTCAGAAGCTTGCCAGCTCCAGCCAGTCAGCCAGAGTGAAGCTGACAAGAGCAATGAGGGAAATACGGAAAGATAAATCCAGATGTGGACAATGAGACCGTGTCCCCTGAGAACTGTGGTGGCAGCGGGACTCAAAGGTCCAGGCCTGCTCGGTGTGGCTGCGGCTCAGGTTCCTGGGCCACAGGGCTGCCTTACCTGCCAGTTTCCATGCCTGGCTGACTCCCCCCACCGCCCCTCTGGCTTCCACACCAGCCCACTGATGCCACCCCAGAGAACTCGGCTGTTTGCCTTGCTCCTCTAGAGGGCAGGTGGATGCGGTGAAACGGGCAGCGATTCCAGAGCCATCACAACTCCTGGCTGAAACCAAACATGACAGATTTACCATTGGGCAGGCTGCTCCATTTATTATTTAACGCTCGCAATAAATATTTGCATGACCCAGTGCTGGAGGGAACGCTCTGTGATAACTCACTGCATTTTCCTGCCAAACACCAGCACAGTCGGATTCCGAAGCTGCAGCAGAGAATATTTTATGCTATTCTAAAAATCCAGGTGATGGCCCCTTGTTAGAAAACCTTTTCTCATCCATTTCCATAGAGGAAAAAAGGAGCAGGGAGACCTTAGCTCCGAGAAGCAACTAGAGGAGGAAGAAGAGGAGGAGGAAGATGCTGACAGGTGACATTTACTTAGCACCTACTGAGTGCCAGGCCCTAAGCTAAGGACTTCACACTCATTCATTCAACACCTCTCTCTAGAGGGTAGGGTTGCCAGACTTAACAAGTAAAAATATACGACACCCAATTCAATTTTAAATCCAGTGAAATAAGGAATGATTTTTTAAATACAAGTTATGTATCTGATGTAATACTGGAAAATTATTCAATGTTTATCTAAGGTTCAAATTTGGGTGCAATGGCACGCCCTTATATTCCCAGCTACTTGGAAGGCTGAGGCAGGGAAATCACTTGAACCCGGGAGGCAGAAATTGCAGTGAGCCAAGATCATGCCACTGCACTACAGCCTGGGCGACAGAGCGAGACTCTGTCTCAAAAAAAAAAAAAAAAAAATAGAACAAACTGGGCTACAAAGTTTTGCCAGGCATGGTGGCTCACGCCTGTCACCCCAGCACTTTGGGAGGCCAAGGTGGGCAGATCACCTGAGATCAGGAGTTCGAGACCAACCTGGCCAACAGGGCAAAAACCCATCTCTACTAAAAATACAAACATTAGCCAGGCCTGGTGGTGCACGTCTGTAATTCCAGCTACTCGGGAGGCTGAGGCATCAGCATCACTTGAACCTGGGAGGCAGAGGTTGCAGTGAGCCAAGATCATGCCACTGCACTCCAGCCTGGGGGATAGAGTGAGACTCTGTCTCAAAAAAAAAAAAAAAAAAAAAAATGTAACTGGGCATCCTGTTTGTATCTGGTAACACTCCTTAAGGTTGGACTAACTATGCGAAGACACTGAATTTAAAAGGCTTTTCTTTTCATTTATTTTTTAAGAGACGTATCTGTGTAACTCAGGCTGCAGTGCAATGGCTATTCACAGGGATGATCAGGGCTCACTGTAGCCTCAAACTCCCAG
The DNA here is from genome assembly GCF_000001405.40 of Homo sapiens. Lineage (NCBI taxonomy): Eukaryota > Metazoa > Chordata > Mammalia > Primates > Hominidae > Homo > Homo sapiens. The sequence continues at coordinate 16,406,934 of NC_000016.10, read as the reverse complement.
GCTTAAGAGATGGTCCCACCTCAGCCTCCCAAGCAGCCGGGACTACAAGTACATGACACTGCGTCTGGTGTTCAGTGGTGCAATCACGGCTCACTGCAGCCTTGAACTCCTGGGCTCAAGCAATCCTCTTGCCTCAGCCACCAGAGTAGCTAGAACTATGGGTATACAGCACCACGCCTCGCTATTTTTTTTTTTTTTTTTTTTTTTTTTGTAGAGATGGGGTCTCAATGTGTTGCCCAGGCTGATCTCAAACTCCCGGTCTCAAGTGATCCTCCTACCTCAGTCTCCCAAAGCACTGGAATTACAGGCATGAGCCACCACGTCCAGCCTCTTTTTTTTCTTTAAGGAGGCTTATTTTTTAGTGTGGGTTAGGGAAGAGCCATGTGTGAAGTTGACTCTGGAGCAGAGATGTCAAAGATGAGAAAGAGCTACCCATAACAAAAAAACGGGGAACAGGATTCCTGGCAAAGACCCCACAAAGACCCTGGGGCTGGAAACCATGTGGGGCATTGGAGGAGTCAAGGGAGGTGACACTTTTGGAGCTGAGTAATGGAGAGGAAAGTGACAGGAGCAGACTGCACAGGGCCTTGGTCACAATGAAGGATTTGGATGCTATTCTAAGTTAAAGGGAAGGCATGGGAAAGCTTTTCAGCTGGAAGTGGCCAAACTGGGGACCGACTCTGGCTGTACGGATTTCTGAGCCTGGAGATGGCACAAAGGACCTGACATTGGCAGGAAAAGAAAAGAGGAGGAACAAGAACACGAGGAATTGCCTTAAAAGGGAGCTGGTCAGGTCTCGCCAGAAAAGTTCACGCAATAACAAACCAGTCGCCCACAACAGACATCTCCACATTTTCCCAGAGCTGTCCCCCAGCCAGGCGGCCGGAGTGAGGGGATGCCGACGGTGACAATGCTATCAATTTCCATTTTGCTTTTGCCAAATATGGAAAAGGACACTTCAAAGACTTTTAAAAATAACTTCCAAACAACTCAAGGGTGAAAAAAAAGAAAGAGGTAAAAAATTACCGTCTGCCTGCTTGAGAATAGCGATAATGAAAATAAGTGATAGAAATAAGAACAGCTGCTTTTGCACACGTTATGTCATCTGCTCCTTAGCACTCTATGAAGCAGGCAGAACAGGTCATGGTATCCCCATTTCATAGATAAGGAAACTGAGACCCAGAAACATAGGATACAACAGAGAGGAAATGATCAGGTGGGTGAGAAGCTATGTTTGTCTGGCCCCAAAGCCTGGGTTCCCCAAAGCCCTCTGCAGGCTGATATGAGCCTAACCCCAGCCCGGCTCCTGGCTCTCAGCCATCTCATCCTCCCAGCCCAGCTATGGGGAGCAAGATACCTCCTACCATGTCCCTTGCAGCCTTCCTCCCTCGCCTGCAGGGGCTTCCTGCCTGGAAAGCCTGTTCCTTTGCCCTTCTTCTCCAGAGGATTCACGTACCTCAGCACATGTTCGACGACAAAGTCACAGCACTGCAGGGACACCTCCCCTGGAGAGGAACACGATGGTAGAGTGGAAGGGGCACAGCTTTGCCATTAGAATGCCTGAGTTCAAATCCCAGCTCAATCACCAACTGGTTGGGTATCCTTAAGCTCTTCCAAGGAGTGGGGGATAATCCAATCCATCCCCACAGGATCCTGGTGGGGATTAAATGAGATGCTGTATGTAAAACATCAACACAGGGCCAGGTGCCATGGCTCACACCTGTAACACCAGCACATTGGGAGGTGGAGGCAGGAGAATCGCTTGAAGCCAGGAGTTTGAGACTAACCTGGGCAACACAGCCAGACCCCTATCTATACAATAAAATGTCTTTTTAATTAGCTGGGTGTGATAGCCCATGCCTGTAATCCCAGCTACTTGGGAAGCTGAGACAGGAAGATTGCTTAAGCCCAGGAGTTCAAAGCTGTAGTGAGCTATGATCATGCCACTGAACTCCAGCCATGGTGACAGAACTAGACCCCAACTCTAAAAAAATAAAAAACATTAAAAAAAAATCAGCACAGTGCCTGGCATACAGTCAGCACCTAATAAGTAGTAGCTGTTTTTTGTTTTTTGTTTTTTTTCCATCTCTGAAAAAAAAAATTAGCCATTTTTTAAAATTAGCTGAGTGTAATGGTATATCTCTGTAATCCCAGCTACTTGGGAAGCTGAAGCAGGGGGACTGCTTGACCCCAGGAGTTTGAAGCTTCAGCGAGCTATGATTGTGCCACTGAACTCCAGCCATGGTGACAGAACAAGACCCAATCCCTGAAAATAAATAAATCAATTGGCACAGTGCCTGGCATATAGTCAGCACCTAATAAGTAGTAGCTGTTAGAATAATTACAAAAGGCCAGGCGTGGTGGCTCACACCTGTAATCCCAACACTTTCAGAGGCCAAGGAGGGTGGATGGCCTGAGGTCAGGAGTTTAAGACCAGCATGGCCAACACAGTGAAACCCCATCTCTGCTAAAAATACACACACATGCAAAACAAATCACTGGGCATGGTGGCACATGCCTGTAGTTAGTCTCAGCTTCTTGAGAGGCTGAGGCAAGAAAATCACTTGAACCCAGGATGCAGAGATTGCAGTGAGCCAAGATAGTACCACTGCACTCCAGCCTGGGTGATAGAGCAAGACTTTGTCTCAAAACAAACAAACAAACAAAAACAAAAAAAACACTCAAATCATGGGATTGAGTGTTCAATCATTCAATCAATTTTTATTGAATGCCTACTACATGCTAGGTACTTAGGGATATAACAGGAAATAAGACATACGTGATTCTACCTTAATGAAACTTAGAAGAAGGAATATACTTATGGTATAGTGAAAGAAACATATTTATTAGAAATCAAACATAAAAAGCATAAAAAGTGTTGAAGAGTGCTCTAAAAGAACAGAGGTTTCTGTGAATCATCTACTTTATTTATTTATTTATTTATTTATTTTGAGACAGAGTTTTGCTCTGTCACCCAGGCTGGAGTGCAGTGGCGTGATCTCAGCTCACTGCAACCTCCACCTCCCAGGTTCAAGCGATTCTCCTGCCTCAGCCTCCCAAGTAGCTGGGATTACAGGCACCCGCCACCATGCCTGGCTTATTTTTGTATTTTTAGTAGACACGGGGTTTTACTATGTTGGCCAGGCTGGTCTTGAACTCCTGATGTCAGGTGATCTGCCTGCCTCAGCCTCCCAAAGTGCTGGGATTACAGGCGTGAGCCACTGCACCCAGCCCAGAATCATCTACTTTAGACTGAGGCATCTGAGACGTGCTCAAAGGACATTTCAGTGGAGAACCATGGGTGTGAAGGAGGGAGTCACACGGAGACTGGGAAGGGACAGACCTTTGTAGGACAGACGGCAACACGTGCAAAGCTTGTGCTGGGAGGTGAAGGGAGAACAACTCGCTGGAGGAAGCAAGGAAGAGGAGATTTAGTTAGAGCAGACAGCCAGGATCAGAGCATGCAGGGTCTGATCATTTATTTCCAAGTTATTCTGAAATCAAAGAGAAGCAGGCTTTTAAGCTAAGAATGCAGCACATCGGCTGGCATAGAATAAGAGTTCAAAAAAAGTGTAAGCTCCCTTCCCTCTCCTGAAACAACCAAAGTAAATAAAAATGGCCCCTCTGTTTTGAATTATTTATTTATTTGTGCTTTCAAACTGTTTTCTTAAAAAAAAAAAAACTACAGAGTAGTGAGTGGGGGCGGGGGGGTAAGGGGTGGAATACTCAAAACGTGTTCAAAATCAAACGAGCCAGAAACTCCTCGCTGGAAATTTTCTCTCTAGATCTCTGCAGGAATCAGTGGAACCATGAGAGACAGAGTCGAAAGCAGCAGAGCCTGGAATTATTTCTCTAAGCAAGACCCAGACGCCAGGCAGGTAGTGAAATTGCTCCTGCCCCACCTCCATCCTTGCTGCCTATCTGAGAACAGAGTCTGCCAACCCCTCCTGATGAGAGACTGACCCCTCATAGCCACTGCAGGCTGGAAGCCATAAGCTTAAACCACTTCGATACCATGAAAGCAAAATGTATGGTTGGCAAAAAGCAAAAAAAAAAAAAAAAAAAAACTGGTTACTGGCGAGTGCAGAACCACAGTCTGGGTCGATGACAAATTATCCAGCATGAATCTTGGTGTGACTTAGGCCCCTCTTAGTCCTCTAAAATTCATCACATTTTGTTTATTCGTTCACTACCCACTTACAGTAGATGCCAAGAAATATATATAACAAGATTATAGATATAAATTTAAAATTAGGACTAAAGAAAGATAATCTAGAATAAGAGGTAAAAGCAGAACAGAGCAGGATGGAAGGTAGAATAAAGATATACAGGCCAGAAGGCCAGTTACTAAACTGGATTTGAGAACATGGCGCTGAGTTCCCTGGTGGCCAAGTCAAAAAGGGCAGTTGGAGATGTTCTCATGGTCCACAAAAAGAAACACACTTAACTTTGCAGAACAAGCACTGTCCTGCCGTGTGACCTCAGATAAGTGATTTAACCTACTTAGACTCAGCTGCCTCATTGCCAAAAAGTTAGTGAAAATTATTGAATGTTTAGGTAAAAAGTTGTAATAAAAAACAAGAATGGGAAAGGATTCCCTATTTAAAATGGTGTTGGGAAAACTGGCTAGCCATATGCAGAAAACTGAAACTGGGCCCCTTCCTTACACCTGATACAAAAATTAACTCAAGATTGATTAAAGTCTTAAATGTTAGACCTAAAACCATAAAAACCCAAGAAGAAAACCTAGGCAATACCATTCAGGACATAGGCATGGGCAAAGGCTTCATGACTGAAACACCAAAAGCAATGGCAACAAAAGCCAAAATTGACAAATGGGATCTAATTAAACTAAAGAGCTTCTGCACAGCAAAACAAACTATCATCAGAGTGAACAGGCAACTTACAGAATGGGAGAAAAGTTTTGCAATCTATCCATCGGGCTAATATCCAGAATCCACAAGGAACTTAAACATATTTATAAGAAAAAAACAACCCCATCCAAAAGTGGCCGGAGGATATGAACAGACACTTCTCAAAAGAAGACATTTATGTGGCCAACAAACATGTGAAGAAAAGCTCATCATCACTGGTCATTAGAGAAATGCAAATCATTGTCAGAGTGCTCAGAGAGGGCATGTTCCCTGGGTCTTGGTGGATTTAGAGGTCAAGGGACCATTTCTGGAAGCTCACTGTGTGCCAGGGCAGCTTATATCAGAGCTCCGCTCTTTTTCTTTTTCTTTTTTTTTTTTAAGACAGAGTCTCACTGTTGCCCAGGCTGGAGTGCAGTGGCACCATTTTGGCTCACTGCAACCTCCACCTCCCGGGTCCAAGAGATTCTCCTGCCTCAGCCTCCTGAGTAGCTGGGACTACAGGCATGCACCACCACCACACCTGGCTAATTTTTGTATTTTTAGTAGAGACGGGGTTTCACCATGTGAGCAAGGCTGGTCTCGATCTCCTGACCTCAGGTGATCCACCTGCCTTGGCCTCTGAAGGTGCTGAGATTACAGTCATGAGCCACTGCGCTTGGCCAGAGATCTGCTCTGGAAGACCCCCCAGGCTGGAGGGCACTGCCACAAGCAGACAGTATGGCGAGGGTCCCTATGACCACCTGGCAGGCAGGGTGGATTCTGGAGGGAGGTGGCCTGGGAGCAGGCTGAGGATGGGGTGAGGGCATTTGAGCAGCAGAGTGTCTGCGTGACCGGGCATAACTGGAGGGACAGTAAATGACTCTTGTGTGAGAGGATGAGGGAGGGGTGAGAGGGGCTGACTACCCCCAGGACTTGAGGTGCAGTGAGACTCCTTAGCTTTAACCAGACTCATGGGAGCCATGGAGGTTTGAGGCAGAGGTGTGGGCTGCTGGGAGAGTGAGGACTCACCATCCAGAGAGGAAGGTGAAGCTTTCAACTCTAAATGCCGTTTTATTTTCGTGTGTTTTTTTTTTTTTTGAGACGGAGTTTCACTCTTATTGCCCAGGCTGGAGTGTGATAGCACGAGCTCGGCTCACTGCAACCTCTGCCTCCCGGGTTCAAGCGATTCTCCTGCCTCACCCTCCCAAGTAGCTGGGATTACAGGCATGTGCCACCATGCGTGGCTAATTTTATATTTTTAGTAGAAACAGGGTTTCTCCGTGTTGGTCAGGCTGGTCTGGAACTCCTGGCTTCAGGTGATCCACCCGCCTTGGCCTCCCAAAGTGCTGGGATTACAGGCATGAGCCACTGTGCCCGGCCCCAAATGTGTTTTACATTTTCTTCCTATTTGATTCATCTTTGTCGTGCAACATAAATATGCTACTTTTCCACTGATAAAAAGACAAAATGGAATTTAAAATTGGCCTGGACTTCTCAAAAAAGTCAGTGTGATGAAAACATGTTCTAGATAAAACAGAAATGAGACTGGGCATGGTGGCTCATGCCTGGAATCCCAGCACCTTGGGAGGCCAAGGAAGGAGAATCACTTGAGGCCAGGAGTTTGTGACCAGCCTGGGCAACATAGTGAGACCGCAGATCTACTAAAAATTTAAAAATTAGCTGGGCATGGTGGTGCATGCCCGTATGTCTGGAGGCTGAGGCAGGAGGATCGCTTGAGCCCAGGATCTGGAGGCTGAGGCAGGAGGATCGCTTGAGCCCAGGATTTGGAGGCTGCAGTGAGCTATGATTGTGCCACTGCACTCCAGTGTGGGTGACAGAGTGAGACCCTGTCTCTATTTAAAAAAAGAGAGACAAGATGATCAGGATGAGCGCAGTGGCTCACGCCTATAATCCCAGCACTTTGGGAGGCCAAAGCAGGTGGATCACATGAGGTCAGGAGTTTGAGACCGGCCCAGCCTAGATGGTGAAACCCCGTTTCTACTAGAAATAAAAAAATCAGCTGGGTGTGGTGGGGCACGCCTGTGATCCCAGCTACTCGGGAGACTGAGGCTGGACAATTGCTTGAACCTGGGAGGCAGAAGTTGCTGTGAGCAAGATGACACCACTGTGCTCCAGCCTGGGCAACAGGAATGAGACTCTGTCTCAAACAAAAAAAAAAAAAAAAAAAAAAAAGGGATGATCAAACACAATGCGTCAACCTCCCGGAGCTGTTGTGAGCAAGATGACACCACTGTGCTCCAGCCTGGGCAACAGGAATGAGACTCTGTCTCAAAAAAAAAAAAAAGGGGATGATCAAACACAATGCATCAACCTCCCGGAGCCGTATAAACCCTAAACCTAAACCAGGAAGCAGGCAAGCCTGTGTGTGAGTTTCCACTCTATTGCTGGTACCACTCGGCTCTGGCAACCTGGAAGGCCACCTTCCCCTGTTGTTACTGTGTAAGGAGGAAGGAGCACTGGTTTGCAAGTCAGAAGCCTGGGTTGAAGCCTCTGCTTGAGTTCCTGCTGGCTGTGGGAATGTGGGGTTACCTTTCCCGGCTGGCCTCGTTTCCTACATGTCCAATGCAGGGGTTCCAGTCACATGCATTGGGCACCATTACATGTCCAAGCTGTGCCAGGATCTAGATAAATGGCTGGGCTCAGTCCAAGGGGCCTTCCTATCTGGCAGTGAAAATAAGAGGAGATACCAAGGGCCCTGAGCCTGAGTCTGGAGGAAAAGTCATGAGCACAGGGCAGTGCCAGGGCCTGGGAGCTGCCACAGAGGAGCCCACCTTGGTGACAGACACCTGTAGGCTCATATGATGCCGAGTGCCCAACACAGGGAACTGGACAAAGGTTTCATGCACGACTCTTTTCCCTCCTTGGCTACCTTGAGGACCTTGATTATAATAGTTAGCCTTTTTTTTTTTTTCTTTTTTTGAGACTCTTGCTCTGTCGCCCAGGTTGGAATGCAGTGGCAAAATCTTGGCTCACTGCAATCTTCGCCTCTCAGGTTCAAGTGACTCTCCTTCCTCAGCCTCCCTAGTAGCTGGGATTACAGGCGTGCACCACTATGCTCGGCTAATTTTTGTATTTTTACTACAGATGGGGTTTCACCATGTTGGCCAGGCTGATCTTGAACTGCTGACCTCAGGTGATCTGCCCGCCTGGGCCTCCCAAAATCTTGGGATTACAGGTGTAAGCCACTGAGCCCAGCCGGATTATAATAGCCTTTTCATGCACCAGGGGCTTTATACTCATTATCTCATTTCATTCATATGAGTTGAAGTCAGCTTATCCCCCATTTCACAGATGAGGAAACCAAGGCCCAGAGAGGTTAGGAATTTGTCCAAGGTCACACAGCCAGGAAGTAGGATTCAAACCCAGACAGCCAGGCTGTAACACCTAGGCTCCTCTCAGGCTCATGCCCTTCCCAGGGGTCTGGGAAGCCCTGACCTGCAGCCTGTCACCTTTGTTTACCCCCCAGCCTCCAGGATATTATGTGTGCACCGGCGTGGGATCCTGGAACTGGCAGGAATTGTGGGTTGTGTTGGTCCCTGAACTCCCATCGCCTATGTGAAATATGGTTGCTTTTGTGGCTTGGGAGGCCATGGCCAGCCCCGCGATGCCATTGACTGGTGAGTGCATGCCTGGGACCAGGCTGCAAAATCCCTCACACTCTGGGGTAGTCAAGGCTTATGAGGAAGTACCCAAAACTGAAGCTGGGGTTTGGTCCAGGGAGATCCCAGTGTGCAGTACTACTTTGCAGGCAGGCAGAGGCCTCTTGGATAACATGGCCAGTGAAGCCAGATCTTGGTACTAGCTGTGCCTTACCCTGGCCATGGGCTGAAAACGTTGCCTTAAAAAATTGGCCAGGAGCGGTGGCTCACTCCTGTAATCCCAGCACTTTGGGAGGCCGAGGCCGGCAGATCACTTGAGGTCAGGAGTTCAAGACCAGCCTGGCCAATATGGTGAAACCCCATCTCTACTAAAAATGCAAAAATTAGCTGTGTGTGGTGGCAGGCGTCTGTAATCTCAGCTACTCGGGAGACTGAGGCAGGAGAATTGCTTGAACCCGGGAGGCGGAGTTTGCAGTGAGTTGAGATTGCACCGCTGTATTCCAACCTGGACAACAGTGCCAAACCCTGTCTCAAAAGAAAAAAATAATAATAATATAAAGTGACCAGGTGTGTTGACTCATGCCTGTAATCCCACCACTTTGGGTCGAGGCAGGAGGATCACTGGAGCCCAGGAGTTTGAAACGAGCCTAGGCAACAGAGTGAAACCCTGTCTCTATATTAAACACACACACACACACGCGTGCACACACACACACACACACACACATACAAAGGCAGCCAGACTATGCACTAGGAACTGCCCTGGGAATCCCTTTGTGTTCTCACAACAATCCCATTTCACATGAAGAAACCTAGGCACAGAAATATTCAGTAACGTGTCCAGGTGCGGTGGCTCACGCCTGTAATCCCAGTACTTTGGGAGGCTGAGGCAGGCAGATCACGAGGTCAGGAGTTCGAGACCATCCTGGCCAACATGGTGAAACCCCGTCTCTACTAAAAATACAAAAATTAGCTGTGTGTGGTGGCAGGTGCCTGTAATTCCAGCTACTCAGGAAGCTGAGGCAGGAGAATTGCTTGAACCCGGGAGGCAGAGGTTGCAATGAGCCGAGATCACACCACTGCACTCCAACCTGGGTGACAGAGCAAAACTCCGTCTGAAAAAAAAAAAAAGAAATATTAAGTAACTTGTCTGAGGCCACATAGTTACCAAGACGTGGGAGCTGGGACTTGAACCCAGGCAGTCTGGCTGGATTCATGCCTGCAGCCTCTGCACTCCTGCTACTTACTGTGTGAGAAGCGTCTGTTCTGTGGAAGGTTGTGGGCTGAGATCTTTCCATGACTTCCACTCATTTACCCCCAAGGCTGTTCTTAAAGACGGGCATGACAGTTATGCCCATTTTACAGATGGGGCCCTGAGGCTCACAAGGGCACGCCATTCACCCATTTCCACAAAGCTATAGTTAGTTAGCAGAGGGCAGAATTCGGCCGCCTCTCCCCTAGCTTGTAGGCTGTGATTGACACAGAGGTTTTTTTGTTGTCGTTGCTGTTGTTTGTTCCTTTTTCTTTTTTTTGAGACAGGGTCTTGCTCTGTCATCCCGGCTGGAGCGCAGTGGTGCGATGTCAGCTCACTGCAAACTCTGCCTCCAAGATGCAAATGATTCTCGTGCCTCAGCCTCCCAAGTAGCTAGAATTACAGGTGTGCACTACCACGCCCAGCTGTTTTTTGTAGAGATGGGGTTAGTAGAGATTTGTTTAATAGAGACGGGGTTTCACCATGGTCTCTACTAAACCCTGTCTCTACTAAAAATACAAAAATTACCCAGGCGTGGTGGCACATGCCTGTAGTCCCAGCTACTCAAGAGGCTGAGGCAGGAGAATCACTTGAACCTGGGAGGTGGAGGTTGCAGTGACCCAAAATCATGCACTCTAGCCTGGGGTCTCGCTTTTGCCCAGGTTAGAGTGCAGTGGCACAATCATAGTGGCTCACTGCAGCCTCAAACTCCTGGGCTGAAGGGAATCCTCCCACCTCAGCCTCCCAAGTAGCTAGGACTATAGGCATGTGCCATCATGGCGAGTTAATTTTTTGTGTGTTTTTATTGTCTCGAGACAGAGTCTTGCTCTGTTGCTCAGGCTGGACAGCAATGGCGTGATCCTGGCTCACCGCAACCTCCACCTCCTGGGTTCAAGCAATTCTCCTACCTCAGCCTCCCGAGTAGCTGGGATTACAGGTGCGTGCCACCATGCCTGGCTAATCTTGTATTTTTAGTAGAGACAGGGTTTCGCCATGTTGGTCAGGCTGCTCTCGAACTCCTGACCTCGTGATCCACCTGCCTCGGCCTCTCAAAGTGTTGGGATTACAGGCATGAGCCACTGAGCCTGGCCTGGTGACTAATTTTTAAATTTGTTATAGAGACAAGAGTCTCTCTTATGTTGCCCAGGCTGGTCTCGACCCCCTGGCCTCAAGTGATCCTCCCACCTCAGCCTCCCAAAGTGCTGGGATTACAGATGGGTGTCACCGCACCTGGCCTCTGAGGAGGATTTCATTATAAACCTGCCCTGAAGGGAGGGAATCCAATTTTACGAGAGGGTGTAGCCTGGTGAGGCCTGGATGACCTCCGGAGGCAGGGGCTTGTGCCTGGGCTGAGGCCTAAGGGACAATGGGCAGACATGAAGTTGCCCCAGGCAGAGGGTACAGTGTGGGCAAAGTCAGGAAGTGGCAGGGCTTGGATCACTCCAGGAAGAGAGAGGAGTCATGTGTCACAGGAGCTCAAGACCCAGAGAGGGAGGCAGGCAGGCAGGCAGGGACCAAGCTTGGGCACAGCCAGGAAGGCAGAGGGCATGGTGGGGCCAATGGAATCATTACCCAAGACGGGGATTTTCAGGGAAACAGCTTAGATAAGGCCAGGTGTACAGTAGCTCCCACCTGTAATCCCAGCATTTGGGGAGGCTGAGGTAGGAGGACTGCTTGAGCCTGGGAGTTCGAGACCAGCCTAGGCAACATAGTAAGACCCCATATCCATAAAAAATTTAAAAAAGGAGTTTGTGTTCCTGTAGTAGCAGACTTGGGAGGTTGAGGTGGCAGTATCACTTGAGCCCAGGAGTTCAAGGCTAAAGTGAGCTGATTGAGCCACTGCACTCCAGCCTGAGCAACAGAGAGATACGCTGTCTCAAAGGAAATACAAATTAAAAAACCAGCCGGGCATGCTGGCGTGTGCCTGTAGTCTCAGCTACTTGGGACGCTGAAGTGGGAGGATCGCTTGAGCCCAGGAGTTCAAGGCTGCCGTGAGCTATGATTGTGCCTCTGCAGTCCAGCCTGGGCGACAGAGAAAGACCCTGTCTCTTAAAAAAAAAAAAAAAAAAAATCTTAGATAAGAGGATGCTGTGCCTCCCTGGGGGTCTTCAGTCACCCATAGTCCTGGCAAGAGAGGAGGGCCAGGAGAGAGCTTCACCCACCTGCTGTCCTGCCCATGTGACATCCGCAGGTGCTGCCATGGCCACGACTGTTGTTACACTCGAGCTGAGGAGGCCGGCTGCAGCCCCAAGACAGAGCGCTACTCCTGGCAGTGCGTCAATCAGAGCGTCCTGTGCGGTGAGTCCCCAGCAGCACCATGCCACCCACCCCGAGTATCCCCTGGGCACCCTGGCATAGCCAGATGACTTCCGTGCCCCTGTTGCAATAACCACTGCTTCCAAGTCTCTATAGACCACCCCTTGGGTATATCTAATGTAAGTGATATTTATTTTATTTATTTTTTGAGTCAGTCTCGCTCTGTCACCCAGGCTAGAGTGTGCTGATGTGATCTCGGCTCACTACAACCTCTGCCTCCTGGGTTCAAGCGATTCTCATGCCTCAGCCTCCCAAGTGGCTGGGACTACAGGCATGCACCATCACGCCCAGCTAATTTTTGTATTTTTTCAGTAGAGGTGGGGTTTCACCAAGTTGGCCGGGCTGGTCTCAAACTCCCCACCTCAAGTGCTCTGCCCGCCTCGGCCTCCCAAAGTGCTGGGATTACAGGCATGAGCCGTGGTGTCTGGCCCTAATGTGAGTGATCTTTAACACTGAGCACTTGAAAAAGAAAACCCTGAAGAAACCTAATTCTTTGATGTCTGGATGACAAGGAAGAAGATAGAAATGGCATCAGATAATAAACAGTGTAAATGTTTATCAGAAAGAGGCTGGTGGTCGGGACAAGTAGGAGGATTGCTTGAGTCCAGGAGTGCATCTCTACAAAAAAGTTAAAGGATTTTTTAACATTGGCCAGGCGTGGTGGCACACATCTGTGATCCCAGCTACTTGGGAGGCTGGGGCAGGAGGATTGCTTGAAGCCCAGGAGGTTGAGGCTGCAGTGAGCTGTGATCGAGCCACTGCACTCCAGCCTGGGTGACAGAGCAAACTCCAGTCTCAAAAAAAAAACAAATAATAATATTTTACATAACCAACCACTTCTAAAGATTAAAAAAACCCCTACGATTAAAAACCTCAGGTCCCTCAGGCAATCATACCAGATATTGAAACAAAGCAATAACATAAGGACTGCAGTATTCATTTTATTTTTATATTATTTATTTATTCTTCCTTAGTTTCTTGAGATTATCATCCGCTGAGGGTGGAAGGGGAGTGAGCAGACACACTCAGGAGGTGTCTTGAGATTATCATCCGCTGAGGGTGGAGCTGAGGGTGGAAGGGGAGTGAGCAGACACTCGGGAGGTGTCTTGAGATTATCATCCGCTGAGGGTGGAAGGGGATAGAGCAGGCACTCGGCAGGTGTCTTGAGATTATCATCCGCTGAGGGTAGAGCTGAGGGTGGAAGGGGAGTGAGCAGACACTCGGGAGGTGTCTTGAGATTATCATCCGCTGAGGGTGGAAGGGGATAGAGCACACACTCGGAAGGTGTCTTGAGGCTCAGGGAGTTATCAATTATAGAATGTTGTTGAGTTGGAGGAGGTGGCTGGTGGCCCATCCTGTTTTTTAAAGTTTCAGCTGTGAGGTAGGGCCAGTAGGGCAATCCTGAAGAATGACGATGCTCCACTGCCGCCATTCTGACCTGTAGGGCCAAAGGAGGGAATGTTTTCACACATATTCATTTGATGGACAAAATTACCGCCACCAACACAGTCTGCACCTTCTGTTGCTGGTGATAGATTTTTGCACCTTTCCATCCTCCAGGTTTCAAAATAGCAGTGTCAGTGTCATAATATCACCCTTCCACTGAGTACTGCCGACAGCTAGGGGGTAAAGAAAAGTCATTGGGACACACTGTTGTCTCCACATGCCACTGTGTCTGTCTGCAAATGTAGGCAGGCTGGGGTCCTGCCCCAGGGAAGACAGAGTCATAACAGAGTAATAAAGAAGCATGTTTGAGACACAGGAGTGTCTATGTCTATCCTCATTCCTCCCTCACAGCCATCACCAGAGCATGTTTCTTGCACCAGGTCAATAGACAGTAAGAGACAGTAAGAGAGGCATGAAAAGCCCATTGTCCACACATGTTGCAGCTTCTTTTTGGAGAATGTTTTCCAGGCCTTTTATGTTCTGTCTCTGATTCTCAGAACTCTGCAAGGTCAGTGTGACCACCCTGCTCCAAATCTAAGAAAACAGAGGTTTCCAGAGGAAGGAGAAATTGTGCCCAGGGTCACACAGCTTGCAAGAGGCAGAGTGGAAGTTGATTCCAGCTCTGCCTGCAGGACCCTCTCATTTCCCCTCTGTTTCCCTTCTTGACAAAGGATCTTCTTCACTCTGGAGGTGCCACCCATGAGAACAAAGAGCTCTGGAGAGATGTGGATTCCTGAAGAGCTGCAGGGGAACTGGGAGAGGGTTTTCTGACAGAACAATCTTACCTCAAGAAGTCAGTTAGGCATGGCTGTAATATTTCTTTTCACTCCCAGGTAATACCAAATTGTAAGTGCACTAGGACATAAAGAATACTTTTGTCCATGGAAAAATGAGGTGGGAATTCTAAACAAAGCAAGTTTTAAAACTGTGTTTCACTTCAAGTGTACAAGTCCCATCGCGTGTAATCATAGGACTCGGCAGCTTTTGAAGGTACAGAGGCCACACAAGAACCAGCTTAGCTGAGCATCATTTAAGGCCCTCATTTGGAATTGTCCCTGTGGGTAATAAGTTACATTCACTCTTCACTAATTTACAGTCAGGGCCCATTTGCTATTACAAATACGGAACCTCTGACACTTAGAATATTAGATGGGGGCCCCACTGGGTGGGGATGAAGGTGTTTTTGCGCAACACAGTTACCAACAGGGATGGGACTGTGATGCTTGTAGGCAGCCTTCCTCTCTGCCATCTCCCTCTGCAGGGCTTGAGCACAGAGCCGTAGGGAGAAAAATGTATCCATGTCCTGACCTGGCAGACTATGTCCAAAAGCAAGGAAAACAAGCAAACTTACCCGGTTGCAAAGAGGCTTTCTTGCAGAAGGGGTGATCTGAAAAAGCCAACACATGAGAAATTGAATGTTGAGAGAGTCTAAGGGCCGTGGCATCATCTGCATCAGCACTGAACTATCCTGCAACTGCGGGGAGGAAGCTCCTTACTTTGCATCTGTAGTAGTCCTCTGCCCGCCGCCGCAACGCTTGCGCACGTTGAAACATTTCCCTATGGATTACAATCACTTTCATCAGATAAAGCACCACTTTCAGGATGATTTTAAATAATCTGCCATGTTTCTGTTATCCTCACAACTGTACCCTTACACAATCTATCTCTACCTAGAAAACGTATTTCAGATGGCTAGAAGAGTACAGTCTGAGCCGGTCACGGTGGCTGACGCCTGTAATCCCAGCACTCTGGGAGGGCGAGGCGGATGGATCACGAGGTCAGGAGATTGAGACCATCCTGGCTAATACGGTGAAACCCCGTCTCTACTAAAAATACAAAAAATTAGGCGGGGGTGGTGGCAGGCACCTGTAATCCCAGCTACTCGGGAGGCTGAGGCAGGGGAATCACTTGAACCTGGGAGGCGGAGGTTGCAGTGAGCCAAGATCACGTCATTGCACTCCAGCCTGGGTGACACAGCGAGACTCCATCTCAGAAAAACAAAAACAAAAACAAAAACAAAAAAAACTGTACAGTCTGATCCAAACTGTTGCTATATTGATTCCTCCTCTTGCTTACTGCCTGCTGACTTCTGAGATGATAGTTTCCTTCCCCATTCTCAGTATATCCCTAATTCATCCTTCATTGAGCATCTTTTATCATAAAGCTGTATTCTCTTTGTATTAATATCTTTACCGTGTTTCACAGGGCAGAAACAGCTGGGCTTATAAACAGGCATAGTCCTTTTGAAGGATGTGGTTGATCCTACAACAACACACTTTCCTAAGGATGACAACAACTCACCCCACCCCTAGAATGGCTGGTATGAACCGAGTTTCCACACAGTCTAGCTGGCAATGGGGTCAGGAGCCGTTTTGCTACTTCACATCTTTTGGTCACTGGTAAATATTAAGGTACTTTGTTTTCTGTTTTGTGAACTCTCTCTCTCTCACGATATGTCTTCTGACCATTTGTTTCTATTTCTGCATTTACTGGGTCTAAACATTGTACAAAGGTTAAAAACAACACTCCAATGGGCGTTTCCCAAGAGGGTGGGGTTCAGTTTCTGAACTCACATGTAGGTGTGTATTTCTTTCATATCCAATTTCCCATTTTCCTCTGCCTCTGACACCTGCCTCTCCTCTTCTCTGTGCTCACGTTCTTTCATGCTTAGTTTCCTCAGACTAGAAGGGAGAGAAATGCACACACATGATCCACCAGCCCGTGTGGGATTCCCTCTGCCCTTCTGGCATCTGAAGGCTGTGATTCAAAGATCCCCCCTGCAACCTTCCCACAAATGAACCAACTGATTCTCACAACTGAAGGGAGAATGGACACCTCCCATTGAGGGATAAAAAAAATCACACTCTGGCCTGCTGGCAAGTCACCTGTCATTTCCAGCTCATCTTCATAGTTCCATAGTTAGTCCTATTCTTTAGTAAATATAAAGACTATTAAAAGCTTCTATGAGGTGCACTATGTGCGTCTCTGGGGTCAGTCTTGTGCTTGACACAGCGAAAGCTCATTTTAGTTCAGTGTGAAAAACCAGACCTCACCAATTCATCACAACTAACTCCATCGGAAGCAGAGGATTGCTCCTCATCTGACTCCTCCTGTGTGAGACCTGATTCTCAGTCAGAGGCTGATGCCGGAACTGAGACCATCAGCCATAGAGAGATCCTTCCAGAATATGGTGTCATTAACCCCGCAGTTCACTACTGCACTTTGCCATGATTCAGGACTGGAACTCTTGTCATCGACTTTAAAGATCCTGAAAAGGCAATCTGAATGCTGGGCGCATCTATTGAATTAGAAATGATCGGAATGGCTCCTAAGTCAGGGTGTTATGTCCTGAAAATAGGTGACAACGGCAAACCATCCACCCTGGTGTTGACTGACTTTAACAAGGTTCAATTCACAGAGATTGAGGGCAGAAAAAGGAAACGGCCTCAAAAGGGTAAGTTTGCTGTGTTGCCCTCACACCACTTGATTCATGGTCCTGATCCTAAGGATCTCACCTGATACTTGGTTTTATAGGAAGGATGTGTAAAATTCCCAGAACGCTAGGAAACAGGGACGAAAACACTTCAAAGAGAAAGTTAATGAACTTGTTTCTGACCACAGGGCATCCTTCAGCACATGCTGTCTGGAGTGGCCTCAAACAAGGAGTGTGTGGTGAGGTGCTGACAATGCAATGGGAGCAGGGTCCTGTCCCCACGCTAAAGAAGCTCACAGTTTAATGCAAATGAGAAGCCAGTGAGGACATCACTACTCCTGCTGTGCACTTGGGAACTAGAAACACAAAACCTGACTCTGGAGGGAAGCTAAGGAAGCATTCTACTCTTGAGTTGACATAAGTGCATCTGAAGCTTCTGATCTCCGATGAGAACAATGGGGGACACCAAACAGAATATAAAAACCATGATTGAATACATCAAATTGCTAACATGGCAGTAAACAGACATGAGGTGAAGATGGAGAAGAAGGAAACCCAGGACGAAAGTCAGCCTCGCATTTGGAACCCATTTCCCTGAGTTTCATTGCTGAATTCCAGAAGGAACTACTGAGATGCAAAGAAGCACAGCAGCTTTTGCACACATGCGTGGGGTTAGATGGAAAACAAGTGGATTGAGGGTCTGCCAATGAAAGCGATCCATACTGAAGTCCACTGGCTCTGGTTGAGACCCAGAAGAGTCATGCATCAGAATAGAGGTGGACAGGAAATACCCTGGCCTTTGTAGGGACTGAGCCTGCAGAGACGACCTCAATTGCAGCCTGTACGGAGGACCCCTGACCATCCCCCAGAAGTAGACTCCCATCTCTTCTGCAGCAAGATAACATGCTACTAGGCCTCAATGCATTGTTAAATATTTTTTAAAAAGTATCTCACATTTAACAAAAAAAGATCAGTCATATGGCAGCAAAATACAATGTAGTATGACCAAAACATGAAAGACTGTGAAAATGAATCTGGAGGTGACCCAAGCATTGAATTCAACAATCCAGGCTGGGTGCGGTGGCTCACACTGGGAGGCTGAGGTAGGCAGATCACCTGAGGTCAGGAGTTCAAGACTAGCCTGGCCAACATGGTGAACCCGTCTCTACTAAAAATACAAAAATTGGGCTGGGCACGGTGGCTCACGCCTGTAATCCCAGCACACTGGGAGGCCGAGGTGTGCGGATCATGATGTCAGGAGTTCTAGACCAGCTTGGCCAATATGGTGAAACCCCGCCTCTACTAAAAATACAAAAATTATCTGGGCATGGTGGCATATGCCTGTAGTCCCAGCTACTCAAGAGGCTGAGGGATAAGAATCGTTTGAACCTGGGAGGCGGAAGTTGCAGTGAGCCAAGATCATGCCACCGCACTCTAGCCTGGGTGACAGAGTGAGACTCCGTCTCAAAAAAAAAAAAAAAAAAAAAAAAAATTGGCCGAATGTGGCGGCACACACCTGTAATCCAAGCTACTCGGGAAGCTGAGGCAGAATTGCTTCAAACTGGGAGGCAGAGGTTGCAGTGAGCCAAGATTGCACCACAGCACTCCAGCCTGGGCGACAGAGCGAGACTCTATCTCAAAATTAAAAAAAAAAAAAAAAAGGCTGGGTGCTGGGTGTGGTGGCTCACGCCTCTAATCCCAGCACTTTGGGAGGCTGAGGCGGGTGGATTACCTGAGGTCAGAAGTTCGAGATCAGCCTGGACAACATGGTGAAACCCCATATCTAGTAAAAATACAAAAATTAGCTGGGCATGGTGGTGGGCACCTGTAATCCCAGCTACTTGGGAGGCTGAGGCAGGAGAATTGCTTGAACCCAAAAGGCAGTGAGTTGAGATTGTGCCATTGAACTGCAGCCTGGGCAACAAGAGCAAAGCCCCATCTCAGGAAAAAAAAAAAAAAAAAAGAGAGAGAAAGGAAAACCAATGCAGTACTAGCAACTCCTCTTCCCCTGAAAAAATGACAAACAAGAATGTAGGAAGGGAAAGGAATTATACAGCTTAAACTAATGAAGCAGAAAGGACAAACTCAATTTTGAACCCACTGAATTTGCCACAAATATTGTCGAAAATATTCTCAAGGACTTTACAGTTGTCTACTTTGATTGGCACATGGTTCATACAACAGTATTTGTGTCAAGGCACATCTTACTGTTCTTTGGCGGTCTTCCTCTTTCCATTGATTTTGTCATGACGGTTGACTTTTGTTGTCACCTTCATCTTACGGATTTTAGCTCGAACTTTGGTTTCCACCTGTCTCCATAAAGTAAAGATGTCTTCCAGGACAATTTTAATTCCTGGAAAGGAAGAAACTCTTTTCTTTGTGTGCATACAAATGGACTTCAGCCCTTGGTGAGAGTGAGGAGAGGAGAAGGTGAGAAACCTGAGGGCAAGAAGCTGTTCTTTCCCTTTCCAGGGCAAACTCATTTCCACACTATGGGGACTCCAACAGAGCCATACCTTCCTGTCTACGGCGGTTGGACCTCCTGGCTCTCTGCTGTACATCCGTGGATCCATCATGTCCATTTTGAGATGGGAAGATAGTCTTCAGGAAAGACACCTAGGAAATAATAATATAAGAATGACGGCTGGGCACGGTGGCTCATGCGTATAATCCCAGTACTTTGGGAGGCCGAGGCAGGTGGATCACGGGGTCAGGAGTTCAAGACCAGCCTGGCCAAGATGGTGAAACCCCGTCTCTACTAAAAATACAAAAATTAGCCGGGCATGGCAGTGGGCGCCTGTAATCCGAGCTACTCGGGAGGCTGAGGCAGAGAACCGTTTGAAGCTGGGAGGCGGAGTTTGCAGTGAGCCGAGATCACACCACTGCACTCCAGCCTGAGCGACAGAATGAGACTCTGTCACACACACACACACACACACACACACACACACACAAAGAATGACATGAGGCTGGCAGGGTGGCTCACTCCTGTAATCCCAGTACTTTGGGAGGCCGAGGCAGGCGGATCACCTGAGGTCGGGAGTTTGAGACCAGCCTCACCAACATGGAGAAACGCTGTCTCTGCTAAAAATTCAAAATTAGCCAGGCATGGTGGTGCATGCCTGTAATCCCAGCTAGTCGCGAGGCTGAGGCAGGAGAATCACTTGAATCCAGCAGGAAAAGGTTGTGGTGAGCTGAGATTGTGCCATTGCACTCCAACCTGGGCAACAAAATTCAAACTCTGTCTCAAAAAAAAAAAAAAAAATAGGCCAGGTGCTGTAGCTCACGCCTGTAATCCCAGCACTTTGGGAGGCCGAGGCGGGTGAATCACAAGGTCAAGAGATGGAGATCATCCTGGGCAACATGGTGAAACCCCGTCTCTACTAAAAATACAAAAATTAGCTGAGCATGGTGGCCCACGCCTGTAGTCCCAGCTACTCGGGAGGCTGAGGCAGGAGAACTGCTTGAACCCAGGAGGCAGAGGGTGCAGTGAGCCAAGATCCCACCACTGCACTCCAGCCTGGTGACAGAGTGAGACTCTGTCTCAAAAAAAAAAAAAAAAAAAAATGACATGAATATACTTCACACAACTGAACTGTACACTTCAACACGGTTAGATGGTAATTATCATCTTGTAAGTATTTTACCACAGGTTAACATGTTTCACAACTTGAAAAGGAAGTAATTACCTTCAGCTCTCTGAGTTCTAGAATTTGTAACATTTCACCCCCTGCTCCTTCCTGATCTGCACTGGAGCATCTTTCTTCTGTCCCTGCTCTACTCAGAGTTCACTTTCCCTTCCCTCACATCAGCTTCGTTGAGGCTGGTTTGAACTTAACGCAAAACATTCTCACTAATGACTGAATTCCCACCAAGATTTCCATATTATCACAGTATGCTTTTAATCTTCGAAGATATTAAATATTTGTTCTCATCATAGCTAAAATGCAATGCAAATCCCATCTCAGATGTGGGTCAGATACCTATGAATCTCCTGAGGTAGTCATTGAAATGACTTTTTTCTTGAGACGGAGTGTCACTCAACCATGCTGAAGTGCAGTGGCACTACCTTGGCTCACGGCAACCTCCACCTCCCAGATTCAAGCGATTCTTGTGCCTCGGCCTCCCAAGTAGCTGGGATTACAGGTGCCTGCTACCATGCCTGGCTAATTTTTGTCTTTTTAGTAGAGATGGGGTTTCACTATGTTGGCCCATCTGGTCTTGAACTCCTGACCTCAAGTGATCCACCTGCCTCAGCCTCCCAAAGTGCTGGGATTACAGGCATGAGCCACCACACCTGGCCTGAAATAATATCTTTCAAATTCTTTGTAGAACTTGTTTTTTCCTGATTTCTGCACATAGGATTAAAAAAAAATCATGTACTAGGATTTCAAGAGAAGCAATGGGTAATCTAAAAAGATGAAAAGAGCAACCACGTCTATCCCACAGCTACTGCTAGATTTCATAGGAAAGGTAGCTGGCCCAGTTTGGAGCTAGGAGAAATGTCAAACACATGAAGAAATGAGAAGCAAAGAAATGCCATCACACATGAATGCTTCATGGCACCCATGATGTCCCTGCTTAGGAGGTAATGGTATAGATGACTAGATGACAAGGACAAAGATGAGAGGTGCAAAGTTGTCCAAGTCCAACAGCTCAACTGAACTTTCCTAAATGGAATTGTTAAAAAGTGGTAAATTTAAAAACTTCCCCTGGCTCACGTGGTGACTCACGCTTGTAATCCCAGCACTTTGGGAGGCTGAGGCGGGTGGATCATTTGAGGTCGGGTTTTGAGACTAGCCTGGCCAACATGGTAAAACCCCGACTCTACTAAAAATACACAAATTAGCTGGGCATGGTGGTGGGCACCTGTAATCCCAGCTACTTGAGAGGCTGAGGCAGGGGAATCACTTGAAGCCAGGAGGTGGAGGTTGCAGTGAGCCGAGATCACACCATTATACTCCAGCCTGGGCAACAGAGGGAGACTCCTCTTGGGGGTGAGAAAAGAAAAAAAAAAAAGCTTCCTCCAATTTATACCGAAAATTCTCTGTTCAGGACTAAGTGGCATAGAGAATGTTAAATGTGCCTAGATATCTTCATAACTCATATATTTTCTGTTTTCTACATATCTTGAAAGGCAGTGCCAAATGACGTGTAATTATCTAGGCGGTAAAACTGAAACATACTTCCTCTTCCCTTGAATATAAAAAAGCATTGTGGTTTAGTACTTTTATCTTGGATCATTGTTCAGAAGGAGGTTCAGCCCCCACACAACCACATTTTTATTGTCATGAATGGCAAGACAAAATGTAGAGCTCAACTTACGCAAAGGATAAAAGGCTCAAAAGACAAATTATGGCACAACTTAGCAGCCAAATTCTTACCAAGTATAGACTTTTGACATACTGATCTCATTCCAGTTGCAAGTGGGAACATGCACTTTGAATGATGTCATTCAAAATTACCCTGCCCAGACACACTTTTCATTGATTCTCTTGGAGGGCAGTTCTAAGAGATTCTGTGGGGCTTTCTCTGCATCATGAGACGCAGTGCAGTTCTGCCCTTCACCTTCCGGCAGTTTGTCACCTCGTCCCTATGACCTCAGAGGAACTTTGTCTCAGGCCAACTGTTTGTTCCTTGGGCTCTTTCATTTCCCCTAAAAATCATTTGCTGCCCCTCTAAATGGCCTACATCTCCATCTATCTCCCTCTACCCTCAGAAGAGGGTGCTCTTTAAGCATCAACCATCCAGCCCTTCTAGCAGTCTCATTTTTCAGCTGGTTCCCATGTTTATGCCTGTTCTATGTTTTTCTTTTCCTGTTAAGCTGTCTGTTGTCAGCTCATTTCTGCAGTGAATCTTCAGAGAGGAGATTGGAAGCTTTCCTTCCACCCATACGATAGAACTATAAAGCAGAAGAGTTTAGAAAGACTTTCCCATTTAAGTGACGAAATCTCATACTCCATTTGTGACAAATAGCACAAAGGTTAAAAAAACTTATTTTTGACCAAAAGCTCTGTTGACATTCTATTAAACACCGACCTATTTAATTTTCATAATGTAAATGGCAGATATTTTCATAATTCTTATGCTAATAAATCATTTCCCTGATTTTTTGGGTAAAACCACATATTCATAATGAAGTCCAGAAACGTGAATTGTTTCATATAATTTATTCTTATTTGTGATTACAAGTATACCTCTACAGAAAGTTAGTATACTCACACAAAGGTAACTTGTGCAGAGGGAGATGGCAAATTTATAACTTCTCAGAAACACAGTAATGATAAGTAACCAAGGACTTCCACCAAAGTCAGTCCCACGATGACGATGGTCAGCCAGAGTATTGATAACCTGGAATAATAATAGTTGAAATAATGAAAAGGTCAATGACACTGACAATATTTCACTCAGAAAGAATCATCCTTAGAAACCGTCAACCTCCTCCAAAAGGTAACCACATCCCTCAGATATCACCGTGGGATTCCACTGCTACAAAAAAGAACAGAAGTTAGAGAAGTCTCATGTTTTTCAGATGGCTGGTAGTGTTTTTAGGCATTGCAAATGTGGGGTGTTGTCTTTCTTGGTATAAAGCAGGGATATCCAATCTTTTGACTTCCCTGCCTATATTAAAAGAAGCAAAGTTGTCTTGAGCCACACATAACATACACTAACACTAACAATAGCTGATGATCTAAAAAAAAAAATTTTTTTTTTTTTTTTTGAGACAGAGTTCCGCTCCACTCAGTCGCCCAGGCTGGAGTGCAGTGGTGCAATCTCGGCTCACTGCAACCTCCAGCTCCTGGGCTCAAGCCATTCTCCTGCCTCAGCCTCCCGAGCAGCTGAGATTACAGGTCTCTGCCACCATGCCCGACTAATTTTTGTATTTTTAGTAGAGATGAGGTTTCACCATGTTGGCCAGTCTGGCCTTGAACTCCTGACAGGCGATCTGCCTGCCTCGGCCTCCCAAAGTGCTGGGATTACAGGTGTGAGCCACCGTGCCCGGCCATTTTTTTTGTTTTTGTTTGTTGTTTGTTTTTGAGATGGGGTCTCACTCTGTCACCCAGGCTGGAGTGCAGTGGTGTGCTCTCGGCTCACTGCAACCTCTGCCTCTCAGGTTCAAGTGATTCTCCTGCCTCAGCCTCCTGAGTAGCTGGGAGTACAGGTGCCTGACAGTGCACTCAGCAAATTTTTGTATTTTTTGTGGAGATGGGGTTTTGCCATGTTGGCCAGGGTGGTCTCGAACTCCTGACCTCAGGTAATCTGCCCGCCTCAGCCTCCCAAAGTGCTGGGATTACAGGCATGAGCCACTGTACCTGGCCAAAATCTCCTAATGTTTTAAGAAAGTTTACAAATTTGTGTTGAACTGCATTCAAAACTGTCCTGGGCCACATGCAGCCCGTCACTCATGGGTAAGACAAGCTAAGTATAAAGTAATTATCTTATCTTTTATTTTTGTTTTGAGACAAAGTCTTGCTCTGTCACCCAGGCTAGATTGCAGTGGCATGATCTCAGCTCACTGCAACCTCCGCCTCCCGGGTTCAAGCGATTCTCCTGCCTCAGCTACTGAGTAACTGGGATTACAGGCGCCTGCCACCACGCTCGGCTAATTTTTGTCTTTTTAGTAGAAACAGGGTTTCACCATCTTGGCCAGGCTGGTCTCCAACTCCTGACCTCATGATCCACCTGCCTCGGCCTCCCAAAGTGCTGGCAATACAGGTGTGAGCCACTGCACCTGGCCAGTAGTTATCTTTTCTTTAGTTATTTACTTGTTTTTTAAATTGATGTATAACATTGGATGCATTTATTATATATCACATGGTAAAAGAATCCCTCTAAATAATACTTCTCTCTTGGATTATATGAATCTTTGTCATTTAAAGCTCAGCATAAGTAAAAAAAAAAAAATACAATGAAGAGATTACTTCATTCACAAATAAGTATCGAATTTTAGTTCTTAAAAAGTAACAAGGTGGGCTGGGCGTGGTGGCTCACGCCTGCAATCCCAGCACTTTGGGAAGCCGAGGTGGGTGGACCGCGAGATCAGGAGATTGAGACCATCCTAGCTAACACGGTGAAACCCATCTCTACTAAAAATACAAAAAATTAGCAGGGCATGGTGGCACGCGCCTATAGTTCCAGCTACTTGGGAGGCTGAGGCAGAAGAATCACTTGAACCTGGGAGGTAGAGGTTGCAGTGAGCCAAGATCGCACCACTGCACTTCAGCCTGGGTGACAGAGCGAGACTCTGTCTCAAAAAAAAAAAAAAAAAAATTACCAAGGTGGAGATCATGAAAATGGCATGAATAGCGTGGGATTTCTCTAAGATTGTTGATATTAATTCCATTAGACTCTTATGTGAGTGAAGACGAAGACTTCCCCTGAGTAAGTTCAGACAGCTTCTGATAACATTTCTACATCGATTCCTCAGGATTTAACTATATATTCTTGAAAACATCTCAATTTTAAATGTTTCTTTCAAGATGGTGAATTAAACAGAGATAGCCCTTCAACAGGTTGAACTCAGCATATGCTGAGTCTGAAATGGAAATGATGGAGTTAGAGAACCGTACAACAATGGTAATGATTTCAGAAACATGGTGTTGAGCAGAATAAAGCAGACACAAAAGAGTACCTATGGCATGGCATGCATCTGTATACGCGAAATTCCAGAATAAGCAAGCTAAGCTATGATAAGAAAGAGACTGGCTGGGAAGAGTGAGAGTTCACTTTCTGGGGTGACATAATAGTGTAGATCTTGGCTGGGCACGGTGGTTCACGCCTGTAATCCCAACACTTTGGGAGGCCGAGGCAGGCGGATCACCTGAGGTCGGGAGTTCAAAACCAGCCTGACCAACATGGAGAAACCCTATCTCTACTAAAAATACAAAATTAGCTGGGAGTGGTGGCACATGTCTGTAATCCCAGCCACTCGGGAGGCTGAGGCAGGAGAATCGCTCGAACCTGGGAAGCAGAGGTTGCGGTGAGCTGATATTGCCCCATTGCACTCCAGCCTCAGCAACAAGGGAGAAACTGTCTCAAAAAAATAAATAAATAAATAAAATAATGTAGATCTTGAAAGGGGGTTGGTTTATGCTGGTGTATGTACTTTCCAAAGTTAGTAAACTTACACTTAAGGTTATATATTTTGGCCAGGCGCGGTGGCTCACGCCTGTAATCCCAGCACTGGGAGGCCGAGGCAGGCAGATCACGAGGTCAAGACATGGAGACTATCCTGGCGAACATGGTGAAACCCAGTCTCTACTAAAAATACAAAAAGTAGCCAGGCGTGGTGGTCTACTAAAAATACAAACATTAGCCAGGCGTGGTAATCTGAGCTACTCAGGAGGCTGAGGCAGGACAATTGCTTGAACCCCGGAAGCGGAGGTTGCAGTGAGCCGAGATCTTGCCACTGCACTCCAGCCTGGGCAACAGAGTGAGACTCTGTCTAAAAAACAAACAAACAAAAAAAAGTCATCAAACCAGATGACACAAATCAAATGACATTTCACTTTGTTTTGGTCCGTTTTGTCTGTTGGAGACAAGAGTGCAACAGCGCCATCTCGGCTCACTGCAACGTCCAGCTCCTGGGCCCAAGCGATCCTCCCACCTCAGCCTCTCCAGTAACTGGGATAACAGGTACGCACCACCAGGCCCGACTAATCTTTTTTGGAATTTTTTGTAGAGATGGGGTTTCGCTATGATGCCCTGGCTAGTCTTCAACTCCTGGACTCAAGTGATCTGCCCACCTCAGCCCCCTAAAGTGCTGGGATTACAGGCCTGAGCTGTGTAATTTCATGCCGCGTGACACAGCCCAGTAAAAAGGAAGAAACCCCGCGGGTCCAGCGTCTACTCACACAGGTGGACTGATGGCTGATAAATCCCAGCAGGAGCCAAAAGAGCAGCCACAGCACCCATCTACTCACACAGGTGGACTGATGGCTGATAAATCCCAGCAGGAGCCAAAAGAGGAGCCAAAAGAGCAGCCACCGCACCCGCATGTCCTGGTCCTTTCAGGGCGCCCTGAGGCAGCCAGGACAGAGGTGGAGGTGGCTTAGGGCAGGGGGGAGGGAAGGGGACGGGGACCGGGCCGGATCTGAGTTGGGGAGGGGGAGGGGAGGGGGAGGGGAGGGGGAGGGGAAGGGGGGAAGTAAGGGAAGGGAAAGGAGGAGAAGGGGGCTGTTGGGGAGGAGGAGGAGGAGAAGAAGAAAGGGGTCTGGGAAAGGATCCGGTTCAAATTAAGTTCTCAAGCGCTGGTGGAAGGTTTAGCTACAGGTCACGGAGAAGATCAGGGAAGCAACAGGACAGGCGGGGCAAGGGAGCGTGAGGCTTAGGAGCAATTAGAGGGAGACAAAGGTTCTGCTTTCCACCAAACCTTCTTCGGTCTGGGCCCTCCCTTAGCAACCCTGGGGCTTTAGACTCTCTCTCCACCAATCCCTGATGACCCCGGTGGTGCCTCACAATGGACATTCCAAGTAGCGCCCGCATCATCCCAATGACCCCTCCCCCATCTCAGTCCCCCACGCTCCTCCCAAGGCCAGGTCCTCTCTGGAACCTTCACAAACCTGACTTCTGGTCCTCCCCAACCAGCTCCCTGTCCCTGCTTCTGGGCGCTCCTTCCTTCCTGAGCTCCCAGGGTTCCTCAAGGTCACTTTTGGCGACAAAACATAAAAAACAAATGATGGCAGGATGGCAGGAAGAACCTCATACCCAAGCAGAGTGCCAGGTTGTACAGCCTCCGCTCAGCCATTCATATCCTAAGCAACAAAACATCAGCAGGATGCGGAAGGTCCCGATAGTAAACCATCTCCATCACATCCATGTAGCCATCCGTCCATCAACCTGTATCTCAGGAACAAATGTACATACATTCATTTTAAGCATGCATGGTACATTTACAAAAATTAACCTGACTTATTTTGTTCCAGCAAATCTCAATATATTTGAGAGCAATCAAATCACACAGCATGTTTCTGATCATAAAACTGTGCTAGAAGTCAATGATTAAAAGCTAATTCAAAATTATTATTTGCTTGGAAATTCAAAGTGCCCTTATAAGACATAAACATAAGAAAGAATCCAAAATGAAACAAGATTGCCTTTCAACTCAATGATGAGATCATAACATGGCAATAAAATGTCTCCCTCTGGCCTGGGAATTCCTCTTTGTGGCACAAGGTTGTGTGATCTCAAATCACCCCTAACCCACCTAGACATTTTAACATCCGAAACTGAGTGATGATGTCCTTATCTATGTCATCTTACTGCCCGTGTGTGTGGACTTTAAATTCTGAACCCAAATGAGGGGGAGAAAACCAAGCTGACTTTCATGACTGAGCTCTCAGGGACGTCCAAGGAATCTGTGCATTTCAAGAAACAAAGTTCATCAGCTTCTCTCCTAAGGTATTTGCCCACAATACCCAGAGGGCTTGGCCGCATCATGTGTGATGGGTGGGGAGCTCCAAGCAGGCGGGCAGGACCCAGGGGCCTGGTGACCAGGACAGACCCCCACTGTCCATCACCTTTCCTGGCCCTGTCCTCAGCTAAACTTCCCACAGGCCTTCTGCCCGATCACACAGAGTGTGCCCAAACTCTCTCAGGCCTCTGGCAGCTGAAAACCACTGCTTTAAATCCCTTTACCATTTACTATGACATAAGGTTATTGTAAACAGGAAATATTCTATTGATGCTACAAATGGAAAGCCAATGCCTTTACCATAAATAGAAAAACAACCCTAAGAAACAAGCAAAACAAAAACAAAACAGGGGCTGGGGGTGGTGGCTCACGCCTGTAATCCCAGCACTTTGGGAGGCCGAGGTGGGCAGATCACAAGGTCAGGAGTTCCAGACCAGCCTGGCCAATATGGTGAAACCCTGTCTCTAATAAAATACAAAAATTAGCCGGGTGTGGTGGTGGGCACCTGTAGTCCCACCTACTTGGGAGGCTGAGGCAGGAGAACAGTTTGAACCCGGGAGGCAGAGTCTGCAGTGAGCCGAGATTACACCACTGCACTCCAGCCTAGACGACAGAGCGAGACTCTGTCTCAAAAACAGCAACAACTACAAACAAACAAAAAACAGGATTAACAAAACTATGGAATTCAATTCTATTTATATGCTGCAGCCATGTTCCAGCCCTAGATTTGGCTGGGCATGGTGGCTCACGCCTGTAATCCCAGCACTTTGGGAGGCTGAGGCAGGCGGATCACGAGGTTAGGAGTTCGAGACCAGCCTCACCAACATGCTGAAACCCCGTCTCTACCAAAAATACAAAAATTAGCCAGGCATGGTGGCACACGCCTGTAATCCCAGCTACTCAGGAGGCTGAGGCAGGACAATCCCTTGAACCCGGGAGGCGGAGGTTGCAGTGAGCCGAGATCGTACCATTGCACTCCAGCCTGGGTGACAGAATGGAATGAGACTCTGTCTCAAAAAAAAAAAAAAAAAAAAAGAAGCCCTAGATTTCGGTTGTGTTGGTTGTAAAAGGAGAGACCCAGTAAGTGGGGGTTGTGCCGCAGATTGCTACCCACAATGGACGGGTCACTGAGCAGGTCCGGCCAACTGGGCGTTCCCTCGCTGGAGGGCCAGCACACCAGACTGCAGGTGGCGCGGGTCAGCAAGGTACCAGGGGATGTGTCACACACACAGCCCACCCCCGTCCAGTCACGCACGGACACCCTGGGCTTCCGAGCAAACCTGCTCCCACGTGGTGTGACCACATGGAGCCACAGACACCCAGCAAGGACACGCAGCCCGCACACCCCCGGTACTCCAGACACAGTGACCTGCACCAGGGCTCGAGGTTTCTCTAGGGAACCCACCTCTTAGAATCATCCAGAAACAAGTCACTCTTCACCTGTCCAGCAAAGGCCTGCTGAGAGGTGCACAGTGTCTGGAGTCCAAGCTGCGCCAAGGCGGCAGGACCCCCAGCCCAGCCCAGGACCCCCAGTAGAGCCCTCACCTCAGCGTGGAGGCCTGAGAACGTGAGGAAGGAGCTGTCCAGCACGGACGAGTCCAGGCAGCTGTCGATGTCCAGCACCTACTGCCCGGCAGGTGTGGGGCTCAGGCTCCCAGCCACCTGCAGGACGACGGCAGTGGTCAGCGGGCGGCAGCTCAGACCTGCTCAGGACAGGGATGAGAAGCCACCTCCTCAGCAGACAGGACAGAGCCCGGTGCCATCTAACAGAATGTCCTAGAATGCTGGATATATGGGACATCTGCACCGTCCGTGATGGCAGCCCCTCGCGACATGTGCCACTGAACACTTGACAGCAGACTGGTGCAGCTAAGGAACAGAGTTTTGAATTTCATTTTTTTTTTTTTTTTAAGATGGAGTCTCGCTCTGTCACCCAGGCAGGAGTGCACTGGCGCAATCTCAGCTCACTGCAACCTCCACCTCCCGCGTTCAGGCGATTGTCCTGGCTCAGCCTCCTGAGTAGCTGGGATTACAGGTGCCTGCCACGATGCCCAGCTAATTTTTTGTATTTTTAGTAGAGACGGGGTTTCACTGTGTTGGCCAGGCTGGTCTTGGAACTCCTGACCTCAAGTGATCTGCCCGCCTCCGCCTCCCAAAGTGCTGGGATTACAGGTGTGAGCCACCACGCCCGGCCAACGTTCCATTTTAATTAACTTAAATACGAGCAGCCACATGTGGCCTCTGGTTCCTGCCACGGACTCGGGAGCAACCCCTCCTGGTCGCGGCTTATGCGCCTTCTCTGTGTGCTGCTGGGGTTAGTTTGCATGTAACCTCTTGAGGACCCCACGTGTGCATTCCTAAGGGGTGCGGCCTCCCGTTTCCGTATGAATGGGAAGAGTTCCCACCTGCTGTATTCTTGGAAAGAGTCTGTGAAGGATTGGTGTTAATTCTTCCTTAACTGCTTAGAAAAATTCTATCGTGAAGGCTCTGAGCCCAAGCTTTTCTTTGTGGGATTTTTTTTTTCTTTTTTTTGGAGATGGAGTCTTGCTCCATTGCCCAGGATGGAGTGCAGTGGCGCAATCTCGGCTCACTGCAAGCTCCGCCTCCTGGGTTCATGCCATTCTCCTGCCTCAGCCTCTCGAGTAGCTGGGACTACAGGCGCCCGCCACCATGCCCAGCTAAGTTTTTGTATTTGTAGTAGAGATGGGGTTTCATTGTGTTGGCCAGGCTGGTCTCGAACTCCTGACCTCAACTGATCTGCCCGCCTCGGCCTCCCAAAGTGTTGGGATTACAGGCGTGAGCCACCGTGCCTGGCCCTTTTTAATGTTTTATATAGATGGGGTCTTGCTATGTTGCCCAGGCTGGTCTCAAACTCCTGGACTCAGATCCGCCCACCTCGGCCTCCTGAAGTGTTGGGATTACAGGCGTGAGCCACCACACCCGGCCCGGCCACTGGGAGGTTTCTAAGGGACTAACTCGGCCTCTTCACTTGCTATAGATGTACTGAGATTTTCTTCTGGAGTGCATTTCGGAAGCGTGCACAGCCGCGTGCTTGCTTCTTCTGAGTTATCTGGCGTGCTGCTGTGCAGTTGTCCGTGGCGTCTGCTTAGCGAAGTGCCCTCGTTCTTTCACGATTCTGGCTTCTGAGTCTTCTCTCTTTCTCCCTGGTCAGTCTAGCTAAGGCTGCTCAAGTGTGTTGACCCTTCCCGAGCAGCCTTTGGTGGACGCCTTTCCCTCTGGCTGCAGCACTGGAAAGTGGCGGCCCTGGGCATGGTGCCGAGGCCCAGGCTCCATTCCCAGTACTCCCGGGTCCCCAGCCCCAGCCCACCTTGCTCCGGGACATCCGGAAGAGAAAGAGGATGGCCAGGTAGACGGGATAGACAACCACGCTGGACACCAGGCCAACAGCGACTGTGTCGACGCTCAGCGGGCTCAGCCTGGACACATGCCCCGTGCTGTGTGGAGGAGAGGAGGCCACACAGGTGAGGCTGAGGGGCAGGAAGGGCTGGGCAGGAAGAGGCTGTCCCGACCCCTACGGCACCCACCTGTAGGCAGAGTCACCAACAGCCCCGTACCACACGGCGTTGGCGCCCAGGAAGAGGCAGATGAGGAGAACGCAGCAGGTGGCCCTCTGGATGCGAGTGAAACAGCTACGAGGTGGCCGGTCCCATATGGAGAGCCAGATGTGCTTGTCAAAGAAGCCACGCTGCAGCTCAGCCACCAGCAGGCGCCGGAAGCGCAACAGGGCTGCGTGACCTAGAAGGCAGGGAGGGCCGCACTGCAGGAGGCCACGGGGCAGGACCACCCTGCCCAACCTCCCACGGAGTGGGAACATGGAACGAGGCCTTACTCGCAGCCAGCACCTCCTTCTCCACCAGGCCCCCGTTGGCCTCCGTCTCCACCGAAAGCCAGTCATTGACCAGGAAGAAGGTGCTGCGTGCCGTCTGCAGGTCCCTGACGATGATGTGCTGCAGGAACCAGGCAGGGCTGAGCCCTGCAGAGGCGCGGGAGGGAGGTCAGGCTCGCAGGGCGCCCCAATGCGGGGGCAGAGGGGCAGAGCTTGGCAGGGTCCGCACAGACCTTTGTTGTCGTGCCACACTCGGATCTTCCACACGCTACCCAGGCTGTGCGGGGTGGCGATCCGGAAGATGTCCAGACTGTTGCGGTGGAAGGCTCTGTCGCCGTCCAGGTGCCGGTGGCCACTCCGGCTGTCCACCCCATACAGCATGATGCCCACGTGGGCCGTGGTACCTGGAGGGCAAGAGGGAGGGGTGGGAGGCTCGGTCTGCTGCCCAACACGTGTGGCATCCCAGGCAAGTCATCTCAGCTTTGGCCTCCGCGCACTCAAGGAGCCACACAGGCAGTCCCGGCTTTGCACGGCTCTGCCATACACGAGGAGCTGCGGTTACTGCAATTTGTCCAATAAACAGCAGGACCTCAAGGACATGATTAAGTTACACGGAAAGAACTGTAACTTGTGACATGCAAACATGGCTGCACACGCCTCAGTCCACACCACAACCAGTGACCCGCGCTGCACACCTGTCCACGCCTCAGTCACGCCACAACCAGTGACCCGCACCACACACCCGTCCCTCAGTTCATGCACAGACTGCGAAGCGTGAAGCTGTGTCACCTCCTCTCCCAGTGACAGACCCAGGTGACAGTATTTTTTTTCTTTTTTTTTTTGAGATGGAGTCTTGCTGTGTCACCCAGGCTGGAGTGCAGTGGCGCAATCTCAGCTCACTGCAAGCTCCGCCTCCCGGGCTCACGCCATTCTCCTGCCTCAGTCTCCCGAGGAGCTGGGACTACAGGTGCCTGCCACCACGCCGGGCTAATTTTTTTGTATTTTTTAGTAGAGACAGGGTTTCACCGTTAGCCAGGATGGTCTCGGTCTCCTGACCCCGTGATTTGCCTGCCTCGGCCTCCCAAAGTGCTCGGATTACAGGTGTGAGCCACCGCGCCCGGCCGACAGTTTTTAAAAGTAGGTAATCAAAAGAACTGGGAAATGAAGATGAAAGCAACACGGAAATAAAAAATGGGAACACAGCCAGGTGTGGTGGCTCACACCTGTCATCCCAGCACTCTGGCAGGCCGAGGCAGGCGGATCACCTGAGGTCAGGAGTTCGCCTGGCTGACATGGTGAAAAATTAACTGGGTGTGGTGGCGTGCACCTGTACTCCCAGCTACTCAGGAGAATCGCTTAAGGGGAATCGCTTAAACCCAGGAGCTGGAAGTTGCTGTGAGCCAAGATCACGCCATTGCACTCCAGCCTGGGCAACAGAGTGAGACTCCGTCTCCAAAAAAAGAAAAATGAAAACAAAAAGGGAATGCCAGAAGGGCAATTCCAATAAAGGAAAATGGAGGTATTGAAGAAACAGCCACGGGGAGGGTGCTGGCACCTCCGTCTGAGAGACGAGCTATGCAGTCAGGATCGCGGGTGGATGCATGGTCTCCCACAGTGGTAGCGATGCTCATGTCACTTGTGGGGCCACGCTACTGTGCAGAACGTGGGCTGCCCACCCTGACTGACTGGCACCTACTTCCAGCTAGGAGCTGTCCTAGTCCTCAGGGACAGTGAGTGCTCACGAGGTCATTCCCAGGATGAACACACGAGCCCTTCACACAGCACTGCAAAAACTGCCTTGTTCTGACGCCTGCGACGAGACTCACTCCCAGAGGGTGCAACCAGCACAGCCAGTGAGAGCAGGGGAGGCCCTGCCACCCCGCCGCGCCCCTCACCTGAGCCCCGGCCCCAGCCTGTCTTGACGAGGATCTCGTACTTGAAGCGGCCCCGCTGCCCACAGAAGGGGATGGCGCAGCCCCGGCTGGCATCCAACTGGTCCAGCTTGTGCAGGATGGCGGCCATGACCATGTAGGTCACCAGGCACACAGCACATGTCAGCATGACGATGTAGTTTACATCCGCTGTCGGCTCCTGTGAAGACACAGCCGCCGGGCCCAGGAGGTCACGTGCAAGCTGTGCCTTCTCAGGATAGAGCCGAGCCCACCCAGGCCCTCCTCGACTCTGCAGAGGCTCCCAGGAGCACAGGGTCACTCACAGGAAACACAAAGCGTACATGGCTTGGGGGCATGAAGAGGCTGGTGCCGAAGGCGGTGAGGTGGCGGGTGAGGCAGACGGCCTGGCGGGGCGAGGTCTCCTCCAGGGGCAGCAGCCCCTCTGTCCGCCACACCACATCCTCCTCGCTGAAGTACTGGCACAGGGACGTGTACAAGCCCACGGACACCTCCAGCGCCGACCAGCGGAAGTGGCTGGAGAGGTTCAGACGGTAACTCCCCACTGGGTCTCTGGTCCTGGGAAGGGAAGGGGCAGTGGACGTGAGCCCAGGCTCCGCCAGGTTGGATGTCGGAGTCCCAGAGCCCATACCCGGTCCAGTCCCCTCGCTGCCTGCCGTCCCCACGGGGCCCGTAACCCGGGCAATGCTGACCCATGATGCCCTGCCCTGCCCTGCCAGGCCGGCCCACAGAGCTCACCCCGGGGAAATGAAGAAGGTGTAGGGCCGGTGGTCGGCACCCTGGAGGGACTCTGGGCGGATCCTCCTGCTAGCCGAGCAGTTGCGCTCATTGGGCCGGGGCTCCGAGTGCAGGTAGACTGCCAGGTAGGGCTCGGGTTCCTCAGACAGGTAGCGGCCTGGGGCAGAACGCGCAGGTCACACGCCTGCCGGGAAGCTCAACCACCCGGGGGACACCCACGATGGCCCTCCTGAGCCCACCCTCTGCCACGGGCCTGAAAGGCCATAGGAGCCTCTGCACCAGAGCTGGCACCTGCTTCTCCGTGGCCCCCAGCTCCTCTCCGGCCAGGCCCCCAACAGCCCATGAAACAGCAAATTTCACCAGAGACACCCATGGAAGCCCTACGAGAAACGCCTTCCCCCCAAGAACAAGGCCAGGGGGCCGCGTGTGCCCCACCCGCTGCACACACCGTCCAGCAGCGTATAGTTGAGCTGCAGATGCAGCACGGCCACAGGGTTGCTGCTGTCCAGGGTGACCACAGCACCGACGGAGGCCTGGGGCTGGACCACAACGGAGTTGGCGGAGCTGCAGTGGCCCCGGGCAGCCCAGTCCGAGTTGTTGGGCACCTTCACGGTGATGGCGCGCTCTGAGGCCAGCCGCTCGATGGGGATCTGGGCGCCGGCCTGTGTCTGGAACGCCATCGAGGCCACCTTGGTGGAGACGGTGTAGTTGCTGATATAGCCAAAGAGAAAGGGATTGGAGTCCACCAGAAAGACGAGCTGCACCACGTCACTGAGGTTGGCCGGGGCCCTGCTGAAAGCCTAGGGGATGGAGAGGTGGCAGCCAGGCCCTGGGGCGCCGCCATAGCACAGCAGGCTCCGCGGGTCCGAGCGCTTGCCCTGGGCCATGATCTCCTCGCCCGCCAGCGTCACGGGCTCCTCGTTGAGCACGCGGGAGCGCGTGAGGATGCGCATGAGGGCAGAGGTCAGGTTGTAGGCCTGGGACGCCACCATCCGCAATGGTGACTCGGCTCCCAGCTCTGAGCGCTGCGGTGCCCGCACGTCTGAGCTGGCCAGGTGGATGAGGTCTCCTGCAGACAGGCGTGAGGTCAGTGCAGAGACAGGGAGGCAGAGGGAGGGTGGGGGCAGGCAAAAAGGGGGAGCTGGAGGGTGGGGGCTGGGAGAAAGGGGGAACCTGAGGGGGCAGAGAGCGAGGTGCAGGCAGAAGGAAGGGGGAAGCTGGAGAGAGAGTGGTGGAGGGGGAGGGGGAAGGGGATGGGGATGAGGACGAAGATGAGGGGGATGATGGGGAGAGGGAGGAAAAAGGAAGGAAAAGGGTAGAGAAAAGAGAAAGGGGAGAAGAGGAGGAGCAGGGGGAAAGGGAGGGGAAGGGGGATAAGGGGGATAAGGGAGGGGAAGGAGGATAAGGGAGGGGAAGGAGGATAAGGGGGATAAGAAAGATGAGGGGAATGGACAAAAGGACGGGGAGGATCGGGGGGGAAATGGAGAAAAGGGGAGAGAGATGGAGAAAGGGGAGGGAAGGGGGAGGGGAGGGGAGAGTGGAGGGCACAGAGCAGCATCTTCTTAGTCCCTCCCCACATCTGGGCCCCTCTTTACACCCTGGGTCCCCCGAGAGGCACCCTGCGTTCACACAGGACAGCAGAAAGGCTGAGGCTACTGAAGCAGGTCAGAGACCGAGGAACGCCACGGCAGGAAGGAGCCCAGGCTGGAGGCTCAGCTCCTCGGCCAAGCTGCCCGTCTGCCCTGGGGGGCTGAACCCAGTACCCTGGCAGGCATGCGGGGCGGGGTGAGCATGTGGGGCCATCCTACCATGCACTGGGCCAGCGCAGCAGCGATCTGCTGGATGTCATCCACAGTGTGGACCCTCAGGGACACCAGAGTCTCCGTGATGTTCTTGCGTATCTGGGCTCGGCGCTGCCGCTCGTGCTTGGGCTCTGCCGCCACGTCCAGGGCCCGCTCGTACTGGGGCAGGCAGGGGGCACAGCAAGCTGTCAGCAGGGCAGGAGGCCGGCAGGAGGCCAGCAGATGCCCACGACTCCCGGGGTGCAGTTACGTGCTAGATGCTGTGTGATGTGGGCACTGACCCGCAACACTGAGCTGTTTCTTCATGGGCAAAACAGGGTAAGCACATGGGCCCTCCTGGGCGGGGGCTGCATTGTGGAAAGCAGACGCCGGAGAGGGCCCGGTGGGTGTGGCTGCTGGGAGCGGAACGTCGGGGTGCTGCTTCAGGGTCACTGGGATTTATCTCTGGGGCCCGGGATGAGCCCTCCGCAAAGCTCCAGGCAGGGGAACAGGTCTTGGTCCCCAGCACGCATGCAGCAGATGTGAGGTCCCCTCCCAGGCTGCACTCACCTCGTTCAGCACAGTGACCAGGGCCAGCGAGTACTCGATGACGTGCTGGGGATCGGCCTGCCGCAGCAGCCCCGGGAGCACACTAGCGGTGAGCCGGTGCAGCCAGACTGTGAGCCCCATTGCGCTGCCGTTGGGCTCTGGGAGGGTGATGGCCAGAGACCTACGAGCAGAGGGGGGTGGTGAGCAGGTGGCAGTCTCGGGGGCGCCCTCCCACGGCCTGGCTCACCTGTTGAGGGCGACCACAGCGGCTCCCAGCTGGTCCTGCACCACCACGGCCAGGCCCACCTCGAAGTGTGGCCTGAAACCCGGGGGCAGCACGGCTCCGTAGCCGGAGAGGCTGCTCTTGTAGACACAGAACTCTTTGCAGTGGCCCTGGCAACAGCGCTGCAGCAGCAGGGCATACACCAGCGGGGCGCCAGCATCCTCCGCGTCATGCCAGCCTGAGGGATGGTCCCCACAGCATCACGGGAGGGCTCCGTGACCTCACAGAGTCGGGGGATCCCGCTGCTCCCCCTACGCAGGCCTGCACTCACCCGTGCATTTGAAGTGCACCTTGGTGGTGAGGGCGTGCACAGCGCCCAGTGGGAAGAGGCAGCAAGAGCCCCCCAGCGGCGGGCGGTTGGGGGACAGGGGGATGGAGGCGCAGCCCTCCTCCTCGCCAGAGCGGCCCAGCACCGTCAGCGTGAAGGTGTATCCCTCGCCGTCCCGCAGCACGCCCCGCCGCAGCACCAGTCACATGCCTGCGCTGCCCGTGGATGTGGTGGTCTCATCCAGCACCAGCGTCTTGTTGCTGAACGTACGTGCAGCCCACCGCTGCAGGCAGAAGGGATGGTGAGGGGGCGCAACCCTCTGCCCTGTCAGCCCCACTTCTGCCTGCAGGCCCCGTCCCCTCGGCCATGGGACCCATCCCCAACCCGCCCACACCCCGCTCAACACTCACCCCTCGCTTGGAGCCGCTGCTGCAATTGAGGCAGCGGCCCTCCAGGTACACGTAGGAGCTGCGGCTCACTTCGTACACGGCCTGTGCCTTGCAGGACACACACTCCAAGGACACAATGGGCACCCGGCCACTGCGGATCAGCACCTGGCGTGGGAGTGGGGTTACCTCCAACACAGGTCTATTTGGCCTGCTGGAAGGTCTGGGGGACCCGTGGAGGATGCTGCTCCCAAACTCCAGGTTTCCCAGGGGCCTGGCCACTGCCGGTGAGCTCACCCCCTCCCAGGATACTCATCCGGTTTGCCACCTTCCAACCTGGGCGGCGGAAGGGCATACACAGGGCAGAGGACACTGGGGTGTGTGTTCTGGTGTACTGGAGCCAGCTGGACCCTGGCAGGAGGCAGGCAATGCTCACTGAGGGCCCCTGGGGGGATGCGTGTGGGAACAGACGTATGTGGGGGTGTGAGGACCGCAGTTGCCACGTAGGCCTGACTCACAGACTCCTGCAGCCCTTAGCCAGGGCCTGGGTCAGGAGGCTGAGCCGGGATGGAACCTGCTCCCACACCCTCCCCTCAGACGACCCCTCTGGGCAGACCCCCAATCAGGCCCGTTGAGGAAAGCAGGGACTGGGGAACAGACACCCACTCTGGGGCACCAGCAGGCCCCGCCTGACAGCAGCAGGAGCAGCCACCACGGGCTCAGGGTCACCAAGCCTCCTGGCCGGTCCAGAGTGGGGAGCATGAGGGTGAGAACCGGCCCACCACATCCAGCAACAGGGACATGGGCTGGGGACAGTGGCTGCCTCTGGGGTGGGAAGGGGCTCTTCCTCACTGTTGGTATTGCTGGGGGACTGTGTAGCTTTTGTCACTAGAGCATATGTGGCTTGAAGACTGTATGTGGAACTGTGGCAGGTTTGGAAGGAAGCAAAGCTGAAGCAGGCTGTCGTGTTACATAGAATTTGCATCAGAAACAGAGAGGGGAGAGCGCGCGGCCTCCACCAGCACTAAAACACGGAAAACAGTAGATGAGCAGGGAGGCTGGGCTGTCCAAGGCAAGTGGCCGAGGGGCGGGCGGCACCCACCGTCTGGTTGGTGGCCTCCTCCTTGTGGCCGGCCTTCCACACGGTGAGGCTGAAGGTGTACTCCACGCCAGCTGCCAGCCGTTCCCGTGGAATGGTGACCGTGCTGCTCCCGCGGGGCCCAAAGTTCAGCGCACACCCGCCAGCCTCCCTCTGCAGGCCGAGAACAAGGGGCGACGTGGCCCGAGAACCCCATCCAGTTTTAAAGCAGAGCCCGGCCCAGGAGACAGCGCGGGAGACCCCCTCCCCATGCTGGGACGGGGCCCACCAGGCACTGAGGACGGGCCAGCCCTGGTGGCAAGCTGGGTGTTCTCTGGGCTCATGGGTGTGGACGGGTGAGGGGCAGGGAGGACGGCCCTGCCACGCACTGACCTGTGTCGAAGCCACACAGGCCCACTGGAAACTGAGCGGCGTCTGGTCGCCGTCCTCCAGGTTGGGGTCGTAGGACTCGCTCCCATCCAGCACCAGGTCCTGTGTGTCTGACCACACGCGGTAGGAGCCACCCTCAGTGATGGGCACCAGGCGCTCGGGGGCCACCGTCACATTGGCCTGGATGCTCCGTGCCAGTGGCGTGTCCCCAAATGACACGACAAACACAAAGCAGTAGTGCCCCACAGGCAGCGCCAGCCGCGGCAGCACCAGCTGAGGCCGGCTCACGTCCACGCCGGGCAGGGCCACACGCGCCGGGCACCCCGGCCGCTGGCAGCTGGCGGTGCGGTACACCTCCCAGCGGTACTCAGTCTGGTAGGTGACACAGTCGCGCAGGTCAACGTAGGCATCCAGGCAGTTGCGCTGTGATCGTCGCATCAGCACCTGCAGGGGCAGGACCACGTCCACCTCCGGCTCCCGGCAGGCCAGCACCTGGACGGTCACCGTGGCCTGCGCCACGAAAAAGCTCACCAGGTTGGAGGCGTTCACCTGCACGCGGTAGTCCCCAGGCCTCAGGTAGGAGTGCTCGGCCCTGGGCTTATCTGTGTCCTGCCCTGGGGACCCATCCCCAAAGTCCCAGTGGTAGGCCACGCGCCGGGGGCTGGGGCTGGTGGCGGCCTCAAACTGCGCCAAGCGGTTGGTGAAGCAGGGGCCGCTCCGCAGGGCCACATACTGGACGGCGTCCTGAACCTCCAGCACCAGCGTGCGGTTCTCACTGCCCAGGGCGTTGAAGGCACGCACCTGGATCTCCAACAGCCCCGCGGCCACGGCGTGTAGGTGACGTCGCGGCCCGACAGGATGAACAGAGAGTCGCCCCGGACCTTCTGCAGCGAGAAGTACCAGGCGTAGGCGACCCGAGAGCCGCGCTGCACGCGGGCTGTGAAGTTCCTCTCAGTGCCCATGGCGATGCCAGGCTCACAGCAGTTGGGCACCTGCAGCCCGCTCACGGCCTCCAGCACCACGATGCGCACCTGCGCCTGGGCCCAGCTCACGTGGTTTTTGCCCTGCACGCTCACCACGTGGTCTCCGATGCGGGGGAAGCTGTGGGAGAAACGGGGCCCAGGGAGCACTTCGGGGCTGGCCCCGCCGACCTGCAGGCGGAAGGTGACAGCTGAGCCGGCAGCCAGCAGGATCTGAAAATGGACAAGCTGCCCGGGCGCCACCACCTTGCTGCTGGCCCACAGCACCAGGCCCACGATGGGCTCCTCCACCGTGAGGTTGTACGTGGCTGAGACCCAGCTGACTGCGTTGGAGGCATTGAGCCGGATGTTGAAGGTGCCAGCATCCGGGAAGACCATGGTGACATGAGGGCCACGCTTGCTGCTGCCGCCGGGCACAGCCCAGCACCAGCTCACATTGGTGCCCGTGGCCAGCTGCCCCCAAAAGGGCACAGAGGACCCGGCCGCCACGAAGCTGCCTCCCGGCTCGCTGGCCCTGATGCTGAGGCCACTCACAGGCACCTGCACATCCACTTCCACGGTGGCGTTGGCTGAGCCCAGCGGGTTCCCTGCCGTCATGGTGACCAAGTGCAGGCCGGGTGTGGGGAAGCTGTGGGTGGTAAATGGCTCGGGGGTCTCCCAGCTCAGCCCCTCCTCCAAGGACCAAGTGTATACGACACCACTGCCACCAGCCAGCTCGGCACTGAGGGTGACACTTGTGTTGACGGCAGCTGGGTTCGGGGAGGCGGCCACCATCAGCCACCCCACAGGCTCCACGAAGTCCACGGTGCAGTCAGCCCAGGCGCTGCCCAGCATGTTGGTGGCCCGCAGCTGCACATGGTAGGTGCCGGCCTCGAGCGCAGTGAGCGAGAAGCCTTTGCCGCTGCCGGCCAGGGCCGGGCCCCTGTCCCTCCAGGCAGTCCAGCTGTAGATGTTGGTGCCATCCCTGACCACGGCCTGCAGCTGTACCGTGTGGTTGGTGGGGAAGTAGCGGCCACCGCCCACCACCTGCAGCCCCTCTATGAGCTGCAGGACATAGACGAAGATGCTGTCCTGGGCGGAGCCCACCTCGTTCTCAGCTG
Source organism: Homo sapiens (assembly GCF_000001405.40). Lineage (NCBI taxonomy): Eukaryota > Metazoa > Chordata > Mammalia > Primates > Hominidae > Homo > Homo sapiens. Next base: position 16,365,291 of record NC_000016.10, on the reverse strand, counting down.
TGACGATGATATTGAAGGTGCCCACGGAGCGGAAGGTGTAAAGAGATGGCAGGACCCCCAGAGATGGGCGTGCAGCGGTCACAGAGCACCCAGGAATAGCGCACATCACTGCCGGCCTCCAGCGAGGTGCTGAAGCTCATGCTCCCATTCAGGGGCACCACCGTGCAGCTGGCATTGACGATGAGCCCCCGCACGCGCCGCTTCACCGTCACATTGAGCCAGGCCTCGCTGCGGCTCACCTCATTGCAGCCGGCCACCCTAACGGTGAAGTCACCTGTGCTGTTGTAAGCGTGGGTGACCTCCGGACCCTCGAGCCGCCCACCGTCCCCCAGATCCCACAGGTAGCTGGCGGGGCGCCCACGGCCCACAGCAGAGAACAGGTACGGCTACTGCAGCTCCAGCCCAAGGGAGCCATTGACCTTGATGCTGGTGACCAGCACGGGCTCCTGCACCTCCACCAGGGCTGAGTCATTGGCAGCGGAGATGTTGTTGGACGCGGTGACTGTCACAAGATAGGAGCCTGGGTCTCGGTAGATGAACGTCACCTCAGGGCCCCCGACACGGGCGGGGACGGCTTCTTCGGTGCCAAAGTCCCAGGTGTAGCGGTAGGGGAACGGGGGCCAGGCACATGCCACCAGCCGGGCCTCGTCCCCGAGCTGCACAAACTGCCTCTCTGGCTGCAGGGTGACGTTGCCCACCTCTGGCTCCACGCAGATGCTGGTGAAGTAACGCGCCCTGTTCACGCGGCTGGACAGCACCAGCGCCAGGGGGAACGTGCCGCTACGCGTGAAGTTGTGTGTCACCGTCGGGCACCCCCGCATGGTCGTGTTGGAGGAGCCATCCCCAAAGGTCCAGTCGAAGAGGTAGCGGGCCGGGTTCCCGGTGACGTAGGCCGTGAGCCGCGCGTCAGGCTGAGTGGGGATGCAGGCGGCGGGCTCGACGCGCAGCACCTCCAGGACGAAGACCAGCACGTGCAGGCTCCGGGCCAGGTGGCCGGCGGGGCTGGCCGCACCCACGGTCACTGTGCAGTTCTGTGCCCGCAGGTACACATGCTCCACTGTGGCCTCTGGGCCCGACAGCACGGTGCCGTCCCCCATGTCGAAGGTCCACGTGATGTTGTCGCCCGTCTGCACCGCGGCACTGACCACCACGGGGGCGCCCTGCTCCACGGCCAGGCTCATGTCCACGCTGAGCCCGCGGAGCTCCTCAAAGACGCGCACATCCGCCTGGGCCGCCGCACCGCTCACCGTGTTGTTGACCTCCAGGCGCACGTGGTAGATGCCCCTCGAGGGATAGGTGTGGTTGGCAGCCGGCTGGCTCTGGGTCAGGACAGGGGAGCCGTCCCCGAAGTCCCACGTGTAAAGAACACCCCCAGGCGAGGGCAGCAGATGCGGGTAGAAGGTGACGGGCCGGCCGGCCACCAGGACGCCGTCACTCACACCCACAGCCTCGGAGGGCAGGGAGGCGCGCACGCTCACAGGCACCTGCTGCGTCCGGTTCTCGAAGGCATTAGATGCCAGCACGGTCAGGACGTACTCACCTGTGGGGACAGGCCCAAGTGGGGCAGCCGCGGCACCCCCACCTGCTCCCCACCCGCTCGGCAGAAGCCCCCCGCCTGAGGAGCCCGGGGTGAACGGCTGCACCTGCGGCCCAGCCTTAAGGGTCCCAGGCTCCCAAGCCACGTGCGGGACGGAGCACAGGTGCAGCAGCACTGAGGGCTGCCTGGTGAGGACGGCACCGCCTCCAAGTGCAGCTGCACTCGGGGCAGCAGAGCAGCAAGAGCCAGGCCGCGGCGGGGGGCAGTTCAGGGGGCCCAGCTTCCCTGTCCACTCCCCCCACGCCTGGCCCCTCCCTCACCCCAGTAGGGACCTAAGCCATCAGCCCAGGTGAGGTCACAGTGAGGGCTGTTGGGGAGGAAGGGGGGCAGCTTGACTGGGGGACTGGGGGTGCCCCGTGCTCAGAGCCTGAAAGGCAGTGGCCCCCTCACCCCCTCATCCCTCACCTGGGGCAGCGTAGGTGTGCGTGACATTGTGCTCCACCAGCACCTGGGCCACCGAGGGGTCTGGAACCGGGAAGGACTCGTTGTACGGAGGCTGGAACTGGTGGAGGGCCTGCTCCCCATCCCCAAAGGTCCACCTGCCGGGGCGGTGGGAGGCAGTGAGTGAACCGGGACAGGGGTGCGCAGTGGCGGGGCACAGGTGCGCGGTGGGGGGGCAGGGGGTGCTTGGGACCCAGCTGAGGCTCCACTCTGCAGTCACGCCCCAGGCCTCCATTCAGGGCCCACCCGGCTGTGCTGAGGCCTCTCCCGGCTCCCGTGCAGCCTCAGGGCTCCTGTGCACCCAGTACCTCCCAACAGATAGGGAAACCGAGGCTCAGAAAAGCAACCCCCTGATGTGGGGTCCCTCGGCTGAGGCTGGGGCCGGGACAAGAGCCTGGTGCCCACCCCAAACCGGCCCCCGAGTCACTCACAGGAAGGCCACCTCCACGGCCGAGTCCACCAGCACGCCCGCCGTCAGTGCCAGCGTGGCATTGGGGGACAGCACGGCCGGCACTGTGGAGACCCGCAGGCCCTGCATCCTGTTCATCCGCTCCACGGTGATGTTGTAGTTCACGGTGACGTTGCTCACGTGGTTGGAGGCCGTCAGCTGCAGGGATAGGCATCAGTGGGCCCAGGTGGCAGGTGAGAGGCCTGGCCCTGCTTAGCGTCCCTCCCTCCACTCACCCACAGCCATGGCAGCGTCCTCGGGCAGCATGAAGCAGAGGTGAAGGTGGAGCCCGCCCCGCCCCACCCCATCCCCTCCCCTCCCCACCCCCGCCCACCTACTGAGAGCTTGAAGACCGCCGCGCTCTGATAAATGACATTGAAGACCACGTTCTGGAAGGTCAGGGACTGCTTGTCGTTGATGGTCCACCGGAAGACCATGTCCGAGCCGGCCTCCACCACGGGGCTGTACCTCTGCGGGGGGACTGGTGTCAGCCTGGGCTCTGTGGAGGACTCTGCCCTTAGCCTGTCGCCTCCTGGACACACCTCCCGTCAGGCTGGAGAGTCCCACGCGGGGCACAGAGGAGAGGAGGTGGCCGGGGCTCTGCATGCCATGGGAGCCAAGCCCGGGCTGGGACACTGACTGTCCGGCTCTCCAGCCAGCCATGTAGTACTACTAATGCCTCAACCTCTCTGTGCCTCAGTTTCCCCATCTGTAAAGCAAACCTAGTACCAGCTACAAAGAGTCCACCTCTCTCTGAGTCTTCTCAGACCCTCCCGGGGCTCCTGCCCCAGCTCCTCAGCCAGAGAGCTCGGAGCAGTGAGGGGAGGCACACGGGCCTCACAGGGACAGCACCTACACTGGCTTACAGAACCCAGGACAGGCTGCACAGGTCACGCCATTTCTGATGGCCCCTCCCAAGGCCCCTGGTGAAGGGGCAGGTACCCGCAAGACGGAGACAGCCCTGTCCCCCATGTACCCAGCATGGTGGCACCGCGGGCAGCCCGCAGTTTCCCATCAGGGGTTCAGACTCCACCTCAAAAGCCACTCGCTTTAGCCAGGTGAGAACACAGCAGAGGGCGTGAGAGACTCACGGGGGCTCGTGTGAGGTCAGGGAGCAGAGTTTTAAATTCATTTCATGAAATGAGACGGTGGAATGAGTTAGCGGAGCCGCTGTCAGAGCCGTGACTTTCCAGGAATTTAAAGCCCACCAGGTAGCCTGAGGAGCCAGCCAGCAGGACCTGCCCGGGGCCGACGTCCCCAGTAACTGGGCTGCTGCCCTCACTGGGAAGCCAGGCCTCACGCCCTGTGTGAGCACCCTGTCTGCAGGCACCTGCCTGGGGGCTGGTGGTGGAGCCTCGGCCATACTCACCACTGGGACTCCCTGCAGTACACGGGCCTCGGGGCTGGGCGTGGCGCGGAGGCCACAGATGGGCTCCTCCGCCGTCACCCGCAGGCTGAGGTTGGCCCGGCTGGCGCTGTTTTCCACCACAACGTCCATCACGTGCTCCCCCTCACCGAGCCACGGCAGTGCTACCACTGAGAACAGGGTATCATTGGTCTCCCAGGGGCAGCCGGGCACGAAGGTGGCCACCAGGGCAGGGCAGGCATTCTCAAAGCGGGCGCTGACACTGCCCCCAGGCCAGCGAGCCGTGGCCGTGGCGCTGGCACCAGAGTCCACCTGGAGCACCGAGGCTGAGCCGTTGGTGGGCACGTAGAGGCGGCCGTCGCGGGGGGCAGGGTAGATGACCCGCAGCCCAGCCACTGGGGAGACCACGTCAAAGCTGCAGGACAGGTTGTGCCTGGACACGCCATTGCCCACCTCTGCCCGGACCTCATAGCGCCCAGGCAGCCGCAGCCCAGGGTTGGGCCTCAGGCCCAGCAGCACGGTGAGCTGTTCCGTGGCTGCAAGCAGCCGCAGGGCACAGGCAGGGCAGGCCCAAGTGCCCTCCAGCTGGGCTGGCAAGTGGGGCAGCCATGACGAGGCGTTGGCGGAGAGGTACGGGGCCTGGGGACCAGGGTGGCCGGGAGCCGGCGAGCAGTGCGGGAGGGCGCCAGGGCCAGCGTCGTGCTGCAAGCCAACGAGGTCACCAGGGAGCATGAGGACATCCTGGCCGTGGAGGGTGACCTGTGGAGAGGGAGGCAGGGCTGCATCACGTCCTCACGGTCATGGCCCGTGGACCCCTGCACGACGGATGAGGGTGGACACGCAGGGCTCCCCGCTTCGTCAGCCACACCTCAGGGAGCCTCCCCACAGTGCTCGTGACAAGGACAGGCAGGACAGTTGCAGACAGGGGGACACACGGGGAGAGGACACAGGCCAAGACCTGGCAGACAGGAAGGAGCGGCTGTGCTGGGAGAGAGGAAGAGGAGGCACAGCTCGTGCCAAGGGCCCAGGCGAGAGCTTCTCCCACTGGGAGAGGGGCAAGGGCACTGCAGAGGTCGGAGGTTGGAGGTCGGAGGTCGGAGGTCAGAGGTGGCAAGGACGTGGGAGGGGCCTGCAGGCTGGGTGTGTCTGCTGCGCAGACCCAGACCCTGGGCAGCAGACAGGAAGGTGGCCTGAGGAGATGCAGGGAACAGACCCAGGTCAGGGCCACACACCGAGTACTGCGCGGGGGGCCCCGCGGGAACGGAGAAGAGGAACTCTCTCCATAGCGCATAGGGGGCCCCGAGTAGCCCTGGCCCCTGACGTGCAGCCATTGGCGCAGGCCTGGGGTGGCAGGAGGCGTCCAGCGGCAAGCAGATGTTGGCTCCAGGGCACCAGCGTCCCCCTGGCATGCACGCGGGGGCCAGCTGGGTCCTGTTGTCCGGGGACCTGCTCTCAGGCTCGCTGCCGTTCTCCGGGGTCCCTGCGAGGAGGGGAGGGTGTTGGGGCCCTCATTCGCCCACGGGCCACCGTCAGAGATGCCCAACTGCCTGCACCAGCGAGCCTGGCCTTGCTGTGAGGACAGGTCTCCCCGCCCGGGCAGCACTCCCAGCCCAGTGCTGCGTCCCTGTCTCCGGCCAGCTGACTGACCCAGGCCGGTCCCCAGGCAGGCCCCACCCGATCCACCCCCAGGACACCTGGAATGAGCTGGTGTCTCTGGAACCCCTGCTCTGTCCACCTAAGACTGGGAACCACTCTGATGGCCACAGGACCAGCAGACGTGAGAGCTCAGAGAGGCCACCCCGAGTCCTGCGGCGCCCACCACCCCAGAGTCCCACCTGCTGTGCTGAGGAGCCGGTACACCTGCAGCCGCAGCTGGGCGGGCCGCCGGAGCTCCTGGGTCCCAAATTCGGCCGTGGTGAGGAAGGCTTCACGGCTCAGACGCAGGCCCGGGAATACCATGACCTGGTGGGCAGGGGGCCGCCTCAGCTCCACAGACCCCATCCCAGCCTGAAGCCCAGACTCCCCCCACCCGAACTTCGCAGGAAGAGGGGAGGGAAGGAGAGCGAGCCATCGGACCCCCACAGGCCTGGCTCCTGTCGCTCGAGAGGAAGACTCCGATGGAAACTGTCCATGGGGGGCAGGACCCCTGACCTGCCTTTCAGGAATAACTCACCCACACTCAGAGAAAAGGGGGTAATGTGAGTAAACGCTTTCCTCTCTGCACTCTGGATTTTCCCAACCATCTTCACTGGGCACAAGCAACATTAAGGCCCCCAAGTTTTTTGGGGAGACCCACAGTGGGCAGGGCAGGCGAGGCCTCCAGGGGCAGGCAGGAGGGCAGGTTTTAGAACGTGGGGGGCCGACTACCTCCACGGGCTCATGCGGGGCTGAGAGGCCGTACTGCCGTGCCAGAGGCATCAGGGGTCCCTGCAGGTCCCCACTGGGCGCTCCCACGAGGAGGTTCTCGGCATCCTGCACTGGGCCTGGGGTGGCAAGTGCACAGTGAGGCGCCGGGCCAGGGCCCAGGACACCAGGACGAACAGACTGGGGACCGAGCCGCCCGAGAACCCCCCCACCAGCCCCTCCTCCTCAGCCCAGGCTCCACCGCGGGCGCTCGGCAGGCCCCTAACCACAGCCAGCGTCTCAGGCCCCTGCCTGGCCCCTCGCACACCTCCAGGCCGCAGCTCGCAGACGTAGCTGTGCAGCGCTGAGCACAGGTCGGTGTTACACCACCCGGTGGGCCCGAGCCGGACGCAGTGCTCGGCTGTGGCTGGGTGTGGCTCCCCGGGCAGCCAGTTCTGGCAGCTCTCCAGGCTGAAGGCCTCGCCCTGCGGCGCTGGGCCCACCTCCACCCCCTGCACAGTCGAGAAGCCGATCCACATGTCTAGGCTCCTGGGGGCGGGTGTGGGATGGCAGGGGGCTCAGGGCACTCCTCCATCCTCCCACCCTCACAGCAGCCCACTGGGAGCCCCGTCACTGTCCCCCTTTCCAGATGGGGAAACTGAGGCTCAGAGCCCGGAGAGCAGGGCCCACCAGCCCAGGCTCACAGCAGCACCCACCCACGAGGCCTGTGGGCACTGGCAGGGATCCCCGTGCAGGCCACCTCCCGTATGGCGTGCCCAGGAGTGTCCGGAGGCTGCCCCCAGCTCGTGTCCACCTCTGCATCTGCAGAGCTGACAGGAACGGCCCCACCGGCCGGCGCCACCTGCTCACCAGGGCCGGCCCAGCTCCCACCTCCCTCCTCCTGAGACTCCCCAGCCACAGGCTCTGCCCCACTGCTTCAGAGATCTCCCAACCTATGGCCCCTCGGGGGGTGGGGGCAGGCACCTGGTGACCCGGGAGACCAGGAAGCGCTGCACGGCGGGACTGTCCACCATTGCCAGGGCGGCCCCGGCCCAGGCCCGACACTGCTCCTGCGCCTGCAGCCAGGCCGCCTTCTCCACCACCAGGCGGTAGCAGTGCCCGTTGCCAGAGAAGATCTCCGTGTCCGAGGGGCAGAGCGGGTGCACCGCTGGAGACCGGTGGGAACGAGGGTGTCAACGGTCAGTGTGGGCCCAAGACGGGGGTACCAGGCTCTGCCCCATCTGGATGGCCCTGGGGAGGAAGGGGAGTGGGCAGCAGACACTCACCTCGGGCCGGCTCCTCGCCCAGGGCCACGATGCTGTAGGCGGCCTCCAGGCCTGAACCAACACGGTTCTGGATGCTGAGGTCGAGGCTCTCGTCACTCTGCACCGAGGACGGGCACACGAGCTCCAGGGCGGCAGGTGCCGCTTCCACCTGCACGTCTGTCCCCAGCAGGGCTGAGCCGGCCCCCAGGGCCAGCACGGCCGTCACGTGATAGCGCCCAGGCAGCACATAGCGATGCGAGGCAGCCGGCCCAGCGGCATCCACCTCGGGGGAGCCGTCTCCGAAGTCCCAGCGTGTGGCAGTGACAGGGAGCGGGGCAGCGATGTGGAAGGCTGCTAGCTGGCCGGAGGCCAGGGGTCCGTGGGGCCCCACCAGGGTGGCCCCTGGGGAGGCAGGGAAGACGTGCTGGAGGAGGGTGGGGCCCCTACAGGTGGGGGCAGGAGGCGGCGGGGGGCCGGAGCAGAGGGACAGGCAGGCGAAGGAGGCACTGGAGGGCTGGGCTGACCCACACAGGCACCAGCCCTGCTCGGAGAGGGCTGCGAGGCCCTGGCCGGTGGAGAAGCAGAAGGCGCTGCAGGCCTCTGGCTGAAGCAGGCCTTCGTGGGCAGCTGAAAAGGACACTGCTGCCACGGTGCCTGAGCTGTTGTCAGGGAGGCAGGCGACATACTCCTCACCTAGAAGAGGCAGCCACTGGACCCCGGGTTCTGCTCCTCCTGGCTCCACCCCACACCCCCCCATCCGCCCGCCGCACTCACAGGCTCCCATGCTGTTCCCTTGGCCCGGAGGCCCCCCCCAGAGAGGCCTTCCTGAGCCCTGCCCAGTGTCTGCAGGGCCCAGGTCCCACCTGGCTGGGAAGGACAGAGCTGCCCCACCCACCGGCACTCACCACAGCCACTGTCCAGCAAGGGGATGCCAAGCAGAGGCTGGCCAGCCAGGGAGCCAGGCCCAGCACACGTGGCTGCCTCGGGCTGCACCACCCGCACCTGCTGCTCCTCCGCCCATCGCGGCAGCCACGCCAGGCCACAGTCACACTCAAACGGGTTCCCACTCAGGTTTCTGCGGGGCAGGGGCAGGTGTTGGGGACCAGGTCTGGTGGGAAGGGTCTATGCCAGCCCCCCACTGGCAACCAGGCCCTGGAGCCACCCTGACAGCACCGCCTCCCCTGCCCCAACCAAGCCGGCACTGGGGGGCTCCAAGCAGGTAGTGAACTGCCCCCAGGATCTGGTCTCAAGCCTGGAAGGGGACACGGACCAACTGGGAGGGCAGAAGGGATACTGGGGGCCTGGGGTCCAGCCAGGACCCCACCCAAAGAACCACAACTTACATTTCACTTAAATTAAATAAATTAGCAAATATTCCTTCTTCTAACGTAGAAATCTTGTTGTTGCTTATATCCCTGGAAGAGAGGGGGGATTCGGCAAAGCTGACGGAAGCCCCCACAGCTGAGCAGCAAGAGGCGGTGCCGCCAGCCCACCCGGAGTGAGCCCCGCATGCTGGCACGACTGGGGGACACTCACAGCTCTGCCAGTGCCGAGAGGTTCGCCAGGAGCCCAACGTCCAGCGCCCGGAGCAGGTTGTGGGAGACGTCTCTGAGGAGTGAGTGGCCGTGGGTCAGGGCCAGAGCCCTTAGTAGGCCAGAGGCCATCCCTGGGCCCATCCCACACATTTCCAGCATCCCCAAGCTAAGGCCTCCCACCCTTGAGCTCCCCACTCCCAGAGGTCAGGAGGGGCCTTTCTGATGGAAGACCCAAATGAACACTCATCTGGGGAAACCAAGCCAGGAGAGGCCTGGGGGCCTCAGCCCTCTGCACCCATCTCAGCCCTATGCCGAGTGCCACCTGGACCTGTCCACCCAGGGCCAGGAAGGGCACGGACCCCCAACCCATCCCACGCAGGGCCAAGGCCCCCCATCCCCTGTCCACAGTCCCCCACAGAGCCAAGGTCTCCCAACCCTGTCCACAGCCCCCACACAGACTCGAGGGGCCCCCATCTCCTGTTCTGAACCCAACAGGGTGGTCCCACTGTGGGACCACAACCAGGTATGACTGTGTGAGAAGCAGGCTCACTACCAGGCTACCAGGGAGCACAGGGGAGCAGGCGCCACCTTGAGGCATAAACCCAGAGAAACAAGACCTCCAAGACGGCCAGGCACTGGGGCACACGCCGGTAACACAGCACCGTGGGAGCTGAGACGGAAGGATCGCCTGGGCCCAGGATTTTGAAACCACCCTGGGCAACACAGTGAGACCCCGTATCTACAAAAAAATACACATTAGCCAGGCATGGCGGCATGCGCCTGTGGTCCCAAGTACTCGGGAGGTAGAGGAGAGAAAAATCACTTGAGCCCAGAGAGGTCAAGGCTACAGGGAGCTAAGATCGCATCACTGTACTCCAGCTGGGGTGAAACGGCGAGACTCTACCTCAAAAATAAATAAATACATACATAATTAATAAATAAAACATCAAAGACCAGCCGACCTAACTCCATCTAAAATACACAACTTCTACGCAAAATATAAATAAAATTAGAAAACAAACTACAATCTCAGAAAAGCACTAGCAACTTAGACGACATACTAAAGGCCAAAAATACCCTCCTGACACACAGCTAATAAAGAAAAAGTCAACTATTCCAGTTAAAAAGAAGAAAAGGAAACTGGCTGTGGTGGCTTATGCCTGTAATCCCAGTGCTTTGGGAAGGCCAGGAGTTTGAGACCAGGATGGACAGCATAGCAAGACCCCATCTCTACAAGGAAAAAAAGAATCAGCCAGGCATGGTGGTGTGGAGCTGTAGTTCCAACTACTCGGGGGGCTGAGGAGGAAGGATCGCTTGAGCCAGGGAGGTCGAGGCTGCAGTGAGCTATGATTGTGCCACTGCAGTCCAGCCTGGGCGACAGAGCAAGACCCGGTCTCGAAAGAAAAGAAAGAGAAAGCAAGAAAAGAAAGATGGCTGGGCACGGTGGCTCACTCCTGTAATCCCAGCACTTTGGGAGGCCGAGGCCGGCAGATCACTTGAGGTCAGGAGTTCAAGACCAGCCTGGCCAATATGGTGAAACCCCATCTCTACTAAAAATGCAAAAATTAGCTGTGTGTGGTGGCAGGCGTCTGTAATCTCAGCTACTCGGGAGACTGAGGCAGGAGAATTGCTTGAACCCGGGAGGCGGAGTTTGCAGTGAGTTGAGATTGCACCGCTGTATTCCAACCTGGACAACAGTGCCAAACCCTGTCTCAAAAGAAAAAAATAATAATAATATAAAGTGACCAGGTGTGTTGACTCATGCCTGTAATCCCACCACTTTGGGTCGAGGCAGGAGAATCACTGGAGCCCAGGAGTTTGAAACGAGCCTAGGCAACAGAGTGAGACCCTGTCTCTATATTAAACACACACACACACGCGCGTGCACACACACACGCGCGTGCACACACACACACACACACATACAAAGGCAGCCAGACTATGCACTAGGAACTGCCCTGGGAATCCCTTTGTGTTCTCACAACAATCCCATTTCACATGAAGAAACCTAGGCACAGAAATATTCAGTAACGTGTCCAGGTGCGGTGGCTCACGCCTGTAATCCCAGTACTTTGGGAGGCTGAGGCAGGCAGATCACGAGGTCAGGAGTTCGAGACCATCCTGGCCAACATGGTGAAACCCCGTCTCTACTAAAAATACAAAAATTAGCTGTGTGTGGTGGCAGGTGCCTGTAATTCCAGCTACTCAGGAAGCTGAGGCAGGAGAATTGCTTGAACCCGGGAGGCAGAGGTTGCAATGAGCCGAGATCACACCACTGCACTCCAACCTGGGTGACAGAGCAAAACTCCGTCTGAAAAAAAAAAAAAGAAATATTAAGTAACTTGTCTGAGGCCACATAGTTACCAAGACGTGGGAGCTGGGACTTGAACCCAGGCAGTCTGGCTGGATTCATGCCTGCAGCCTCTGCACTCCTGCTACTTACTGTGTGAGAAGCGTCTGTTCTGTGGAAGGTTGTGGGCTGAGATCTTTCCATGACTTCCACTCATTTACCCCCAAGGCTGTTCTTAAAGACGGGCATGACAGTTATGCCCATTTTACAGATGGGGCCCTGAGGCTCACAAGGGCACGCCATTCACCCATTTCCACAAAGCTATAGTTAGTTAGCAGAGGGCAGAATTCGGCCGCCTCTCCCCTAGCTTGAAGGCTGTGATTGACACAGAGGTTTTTTTGTTGTCGTTGCTGTTGTTTGTTCCTTTTTCTTTTTTTTGAGACAGGGTCTTGTTCTGTCATCCCGGCTGGAGCGCAGTGGTGCGATGTCAGCTCACTGCAAACTCTGCCTCCAAGATGCAAATGATTCTCGTGCCTCAGCCTCCCAAGTAGCTAGAATTACAGGTGTGCACTACCACGCCCAGCTGATTTTTGTAGAGATGGGGTTAGTAGAGATTTGTTTAATAGAGACGGGGTTTCACCATGGTCTCTACTAAACCCTGTCTCTACTAAAAATACAAAAATTACCCAGGCGTGGTGGCACATGCCTGTAGTCGCAGCTACTCAAGAGGCTGAGGCAGGAGAATCACTTGAACCTGGGAGGTGGAGGTTGCAGTGACCCAAAATCATGCACTCTAGCCTGGGGTCTCGCTTTTGCCCAGGTTAGAGTGCAGTGGCACAATCATAGTGGCTCACTGCAGCCTCAAACTCCTGGGCTGAAGGGAATCCTCCCACCTCAGCCTCCCAAGTAGCTAGGACTATAGGCATGTGCCATCATGGCGAGTTAATTTTTTGTGTGTTTTTATTGTCTCGAGACAGAGTCTTGCTCTGTTGCTCAGGCTGGACTGCAATGGCGTGATCCTGGCTCACCGCAACCTCCACCTCCTGGGTTCAAGCAATTCTCCTACCTCAGCCTCCCGAGTAGCTGGGATTACAGGTGCGTGCCACCATGCCTGGCTAATCTTGTATTTTTAGTAGAGACAGGGTTTCGCCATGTTGGTCAGGCTGCTCTCGAACTCCTGACCTCGTGATCCACCTGCCTCGGCCTCTCAAAGTGTTGGGATTACAGGCATGAGCCACTGAGCCTGGCCTGGTGAGGTAATTTTTAAATTTGTTATAGAGACAAGAGTCTCTCTTATGTTGCCCAGGCTGGTCTCGACCCCCTGGCCTCAAGTGATCCTCCCACCTCAGCCTCCCAAAGTGCTGGGATTACAGATGGGTGTCACCGCACCTGGCCTCTGAGGAGGATTTCATTATAAACCTGCCCTGAAGGGAGGGAATCCAATTTTACGAGAGGGTGTAGCCTGGTGAGGCCTGGATGACCTCCGGAGGCAGGGGCTTGTGCCTGGGCTGAGGCCTAAGGGACAATGGGCAGACATGAAGTTGCCCCAGGCAGAGGGTACAGTGTGGGCAAAGTCAGGAAGTGGCAGGGCTTGGATCACTCCAGGAAGAGAGAGGAGTCATGTGTCACAGGAGCTCAAGACCCAGAGAGGGAGGCAGGCAGGCAGGCAGGGACCAAGCTTGGGCACAGCCAGGAAGGCAGAGGGCATGGTGGGGCCAATGGAATCATTACCCAAGACGGGGATTTTCAGGGAAACAGCTTAGATAAGGCCAGGTGTACAGTAGCTCCCACCTGTAATCCCAGCATTTGGGGAGGCTGAGGTAGGAGGACTGCTTGAGCCTGGGAGTTCGAGACCAGCCTAGGCAACATAGTAAGACCCCATATCCATAAAAAATTTAAAAAAGGAGTTTGTGTTCCTGTAGTAGCAGACTTGGGAGGTTGAGGTGGCAGTATCACTTGAGCCCAGGAGTTCAAGGCTAAAGTGAGCTGATTGAGCCACTGCACTCCAGCCTGAGCAACAGAGAGATACGCTGTCTCAAAGGAAATACAAATTAAAAAACCAGCCGGGCATGCTGGCGTGTGCCTGTAGTCTCAGCTACTTGGGACACTGAAGTGGGAGGATCGCTTGAGCCCAGGAGTTCAAGGCTGCCGTGAGCTATGATTGTGCCTCTGCAGTCCAGCCTGGGCGACAGAGAAAGACCCTGTCTCTTAAAAAAAAAAAAAAAAAAAAAATCTTAGATAAGAGGATGCTGTGCCTCCCTGGGGGTCTTCAGTCACCCATAGTCCTGGCAAGAGAGGAGGGCCAGGAGAGAGCTTCACCCACCTGCTGTCCTGCCCATGTGACATCCGCAGGTGCTGCCATGGCCACGACTGTTGTTACACTCGAGCTGAGGAGGCCGGCTGCAGCCCCAAGACAGAGCGCTACTCCTGGCAGTGCGTCAATCAGAGCGTCCTGTGCGGTGAGTCCCCAGCAGCACCATGCCACCCACCCCGAGTATCCCCTGGGCACCCTGGCATAGCCAGATGACTTCCGTGCCCCTGTTGCAATAACCACTGCTTCAAAGTCTCTATAGACCACCCCTTGGGTATATCTAATGTAAGTGATATTTATTTTATTTATTTTTTGAGTCAGTCTCGCTCTGTCACCCAGGCTAGAGTGTGCTGATGTGATCTCGGCTCACTACAACCTCTGCCTCCTGGGTTCAAGCGATTCTCATGCCTCAGCCTCCCAAGTGGCTGGGACTACAGGCATGCACCATCACGCCCAGCTAATTTTTGTATTTTTTCAGTAGAGGTGGGGTTTCACCAAGTTGGCCAGGCTGGTCTCAAACTCCCCACCTCAAGTGCTCTGCCCGCCTCGGCCTCCCAAAGTGCTGGGATTACAGGCATGAGCCGTGGTGTCTGGCCCTAATGTGAGTGATCTTTAACACTGAGCACTTGAAAAAGAAAACCCTGAAGAAACCTAATTCTTTGATGTCTGGATGACAAGGAAGAAGATAGAAATGGCATCAGATAATAAACAGTGTAAATGTTTATCAGAAAGAGGCTGGTGGTCGGGACAAGTAGGAGGATTGCTTGAGTCCAGGAGTGCATCTCTACAAAAAAGTTAAAGGATTTTTTAACATTGGCCAGGCGTGGTGGCACACATCTGTGATCCCAGCTACTTGGGAGGCTGGGGCAGGAGGATTGCTTGAAGCCCAGGAGGTTGAGGCTGCAGTGAGCTGTGATCGAGCCACTGCACTCCAGCCTGGGTGACAGAGCAAACTCCAGTCTCAAAAAAAAAACAAATAATAATATTTTACATAACCAACCACTTCTAAAGATTAAAAAAACCCCTACGATTAAAAACCTCAGGTCCCTCAGGCAATCATACCAGATATTGAAACAAAGCAATAACATAAGGACTGCAGTATTCATTTTATTTTTATATTATTTATTTATTCTTCCTTAGTTTCTTGAGATTATCATCCGCTGAGGGTGGAAGGGGAGTGAGCAGACACACTCAGGAGGTGTCTTGAGATTATCATCCGCTGAGGGTGGAGCTGAGGGTGGAAGGGGAGTGAGCAGACACTCGGGAGGTGTCTTGAGATTATCATCCGCTGAGGGTGGAAGGGGATAGAGCAGGCACTCGGCAGGTGTCTTGAGATTATCATCCGCTGAGGGTAGAGCTGAGGGTGGAAGGGGAGTGAGCAGACACTCGGGAGGTGTCTTGAGATTATCATCCGCTGAGGGTGGAAGGGGATAGAGCACACACTCGGAAGGTGTCTTGAGGCTCAGGGAGTTATCAATTATAGAATGTTGTTGAGTTGGAGGAGGTGGCTGGTGGCCCATCCTGTTTTTTAAAGTTTCAGCTGTGAGGTAGGGCCAGTAGGGCAATCCTGAAGAATGACGATGCTCCACTGCCGCCATTCTGACCTGTAGGGCCAAAGGAGGGAATGTTTTCACACATATTCATTTGATGGACAAAATTACCGCCACCAACACAGTCTGCACCTTCTGTTGCTGGTGATAGATTTTTGCACCTTTCCATCCTCCAGGTTTCAAAATAGCAGTGTCAGTGTCATAATATCACCCTTCCACTGAGTACTGCCGACAGCTAGGGGGTAAAGAAAAGTCATTGGGACACACTGTTGTCTCCACATGCCACTGTGTCTGTCTGCAAATGTAGGCAGGCTGGGGTCCTGCCCCAGGGAAGACAGAGTCATAACAGAGTAATAAAGAAGCATGTTTGAGACACAGGAGTGTCTATGTCTATCCTCATTCCTCCCTCACAGCCATCACCAGAGCATGTTTCTTGCACCAGGTCAATAGACAGTAAGAGACAGTAAGAGAGGCATGAAAAGCCCATTGTCCACACATGTTGCAGCTTCTTTTTGGAGAATGTTTTCCAGGCCTTTTATGTTCTGTCTCTGATTCTCAGAACTCTGCAAGGTCAGTGTGACCACCCTGCTCCAAATCTAAGAAAACAGAGGTTTCCAGAGGAAGGAGAAATTGTGCCCAGGGTCACACAGCTTGCAAGAGGCAGAGTGGAAGTTGATTCCAGCTCTGCCTGCAGGACCCTCTCATTTCCCCTCTGTTTCCCTTCTTGACAAAGGATCTTCTTCACTCTGGAGGTGCCACCCATGAGAACAAAGAGCTCTGGAGAGATGTGGATTCCTGAAGAGCTGCAGGGGAACTGGGAGAGGGTTTTCTGACAGAACAATCTTACCTCAAGAAGTCAGTTAGGCATGGCTGTAATATTTCTTTTCACTCCCAGGTAATACCAAATTGTAAGTGCACTAGGACATAAAGAATACTTTTGTCCATGGAAAAATGAGGTGGGAATTCTAAACAAAGCAAGTTTTAAAACTGTGTTTCACTTCAAGTGTACAAGTCCCATCGCGTGTAATCATAGGACTCGGCAGCTTTTGAAGGTACAGAGGCCACACAAGAACCAGCTTAGCTGAGCATCATTTAAGGCCCTCATTTGGAATTGTCCCTGTGGGTAATAAGTTACATTCACTCTTCACTAATTTACAGTCAGGGCCCATTTGCTATTACAAATACGGAACCTCTGATACTTAGAATATTAGATGGGGGCCCCACTGGGTGGGGATGAAGGTGTTTTTGCGCAACACAGTTACCAACAGGGATGGGACTGTGATGCTTGTAGGCAGCCTTCCTCTCTGCCATCTCCCTCTGCAGGGCTTGAGCACAGAGCCGTAGGGAGAAAAATGTATCCATGTCCTGACCTGGCAGACTATGTCCAAAAGCAAGGAAAACAAGCAAACTTACCCGGTTGCAAAGAGGCTTTCTTGCAGAAGGGGTGATCTGAAAAAGCCAACACATGAGAAATTGAATGTTGAGAGAGTCTAAGGGCCGTGGCATCATCTGCATCAGCACTGAACTATCCTGCAACTGCGGGGAGGAAGCTCCTTACTTTGCATCTGTAGTAGTCCTCTGCCCGCCGCCGCAACGCTTGCGCACGTTGAAACATTTCCCTATGGATTACAATCACTTTCATCAGATAAAGCACCACTTTCAGGATGATTTTAAATAATCTGCCATGTTTCTGTTATCCTCACAACTGTACCCTTACACAATCTATCTCTACCTAGAAAACGTATTTCAGATGGCTAGAAGAGTACAGTCTGAGCCGGTCACGGTGGCTGACGCCTGTAATCCCAGCACTCTGGGAGGGCGAGGCGGATGGATCACGAGGTCAGGAGATTGAGACCATCCTGGCTAATACAGTGAAACCCCGTCTCTACTAAAAATACAAAAAATTAGGCGGGGGTGGTGGCAGGCGCCTGTAATCCCAGCTACTCGGGAGGCTGAGGCAGGGGAATCACTTGAACCTGGGAGGCGGAGGTTGCAGTGAGCCAAGATCACGTCATTGCACTCCAGCCTGGGTGACACAGCGAGACTCCATCTCAGAAAAACAAAAACAAAAACAAAAACAAAAAAAACTGTACAGTCTGATCCAAACTGTTGCTATATTGATTCCTCCTCTTGCTTACTGCCTGCTGACTTCTGAGATGATAGTTTCCTTCCCCATTCTCAGTATATCCCTAATTCATCCTTCATTGAGCATCTTTTATCATAAAGCTGTATTCTCTTTGTATTAATATCTTTACCGTGTTTCACAGGGCAGAAACAGCTGGGCTTATAAACAGGCATAGTCCTTTTGAAGGATGTGGTTGATCCTACAACAACACACTTTCCTAAGGATGACAACAACTCACCCCACCCCTAGAATGGCTGGTATGAACCGAGTTTCCACACAGTCTAGCTGGCAATGGGGTCAGGAGCCGTTTTGCTACTTCACATCTTTTGGTCACTGGTAAATATTAAGGTACTTTGTTTTCTGTTTTGTGAACTCTCTCTCTCTCACGATATGTCTTCTGACCATTTGTTTCTATTTCTGCATTTACTGGGTCTAAACATTGTACAAAGGTTAAAAACAACACTCCAATGGGCGTTTCCCAAGAGGGTGGGGTTCAGTTTCTGAACTCACATGTAGGTGTGTATTTCTTTCATATCCAATTTCCCATTTTCCTCTGCCTCTGACACCTGCCTCTCCTTTTCTCCGTGCTCACGTTCTTTCATGCTTAGTTTCCTCAGACTAGAAGGGAGAGAAATGCACACACATGATCCACCAGCACGTGTGGGATTCCCTCTGCCCTTCTGGCATCTGAAGGCTGATTCAAAGATCCCCCCTGCAACCTTCCCACAAATGAACCAACTGATTCTCACAACCGAAGGAAGAATGGACACCTCCCATTGAGGGACAAAAAAAAATCACACTCTGGCCTGCTGGCAAGTCACCTGTCATTTCCAGCTCATCTTCATAGTTCCATAGTTAGTCCTATTCTTTAGTAAATATAAAGACTATTAAAAGCTTCTATGAGGTGCACTATGTGCGTCTCTGGGGTCAGTCTTGTGCTTGACACAGCGAAAGCTCATTTTAGTTCAGTGTGAAAAACCAGACCTCACCAATTCATCACAACTAACTCCATCGGAAGCAGAGGATTGCTCCTCATCTGACTCCTCCTGTGTGAGACCTGATTCTCAGTCAGAGGCTGATGCCGGAACTGAGACCATCAGCCATAGAGAGATCCTTCCAGAATATGGTGTCATTAACCCCGCAGTTCACTACTGCACTTTGCCATGATTCAGGACTGGAACTCTTGTCATCGACTTTAAAGATCCTGAAAAGGCAATCTGAATGCTGGGCGCATCTATTGAATTAGAAATGATCGGAATGGCTCCTAAGTCAGGATGTTATGTCCTGAAAATAGGTGACAACGGCAAACCATCCACCCTGGTGTTGACTGACTTTAACAAGGTTCAGTTCACAGAGATTGAGGGCAGAAAAAGGAAACGGCCTCAAAAGGGTAAGTTTGCTGTGTTGCCCTCACACCACTTGATTCATGGTCCTGATCCTA
The DNA here is from genome assembly GCF_000001405.40 of Homo sapiens. Classification (NCBI taxonomy): domain Eukaryota; kingdom Metazoa; phylum Chordata; class Mammalia; order Primates; family Hominidae; genus Homo; species Homo sapiens. Next base: position 16,346,579 of record NC_000016.10, on the reverse strand, counting down.
AGGATCTCACCTGATACTTGGTTTTATAGGAAGGATGTGTAAAATTCCCAGAACGCTAGGAAACAGGGACGAAATCACTTCAAAGAGAAAGTTAATGAACTTGTTTCTGACCACAGGGCATCCTTCAGCACATGCTGTCTGGAGTGGCCTCAAACAAGGTGTGTGTGGTGAGGTGCTGACAATGCAATGGGAGCAGGGTCCTGTCCCCACGCTAAAGAAGCTCACAGTTTAATGCAAATGAGAAGCCAGTGAGGACAGCACTACTCCTGCTGTGCACTTGGGAACTAGAAACACAAAACCTGACTCTGGAGGGAAGCTAAGGAAGCATTCTACTCTTGAGTTGACATAAGTGCATCTGAAGCTTCTGATCTCCGATGAGAACAATGGGGGACACCAAACAGAATATAAAACCCATGATTGAATACATCAAATTGCTAACATGGCAGTAAACAGACATGAGGTGAAGATGGAGAAGAAGGAAACCCAGGACGAAAGTCAGCCTCGCATTTGGAACCCATTTCCCTGAGTTTCATTGCTGAATTCCAGAAGGAACTACTGAGATGCAAAGAAGCACAGCAGCTTTTGCACACATGCGTGGGGTTAGATGGAAAACAAGTGGATTGAGGGTCTGCCAATGAAAGCGATCCATACTGAAGTCCACTGGCTCTGGTTGAGACCCAGAAGAGTCATGCATCAGAATAGAGGTGGACAGGAAATACCCTGGCCTTTGTAGGGACTGAGCCTGCAGAGACGACCTCAATTGCAGCCTGTACGGAGGACCCCTGACCATCCCCCAGAAGTAGACTCCCATCTCTTCTGCAGCAAGATAACATGCTACTAGGCCTCAATGCATTGTTAAATATTTTTTAAAAAGTATCTCACATTTAACAAAAAAAGATCAGTCATATGGCAGCAAAATACAATGTAGTATGACCAAAACATGAAAGACTGTGAAAATGAATTTGGAGGTGACCCAAGCATTGAATTCAACAATCCAGGCTGGGTGCGGTGGCTCACACTGGGAGGCTGAGGTAGGCAGATCACCTGAGGTCAGGAGTTCAAGACTAGCCTGGCCAACATGGTGAACCCGTCTCTACTAAAAATACAAAAATTGGGCTGGGCACGGTGGCTCACGCCTGTAATCCCAGCACATTGGGAGGCCGAGTTGTGCGGATCATGATGTCAGGAGTTCTAGACCAGCTTGGCCAATATGGTGAAACCCTGCCTCTACTAAAAATACAAAAATTATCTGGGCATGGTGGCATATGCCTGTAGTCCCAGCTACTCAAGAGGCTGAGGGATAAGAATCGTTTGAACCTGGGAGGCGGAGGTTGCAGTGAGCCAAGATCATGCCACTGCACTCTAGCCTGGGTGACAGAGTGAGACTCTGTCTCAAAAAAAAAAAAAAAAAAAAAAAATTGGCCGAATGTGGTGGCACACACCTGTAATCCAAGCTACTCGGGAAGCCAAGGCAGAATTGCTTCAAACTGGGAGGCAGAGGTTGCAGTGAGCCAAGATTGCACCATAGCACTCCAGCCTGGGCGACAGAGCGAGACTCTATCTCAAAATTAAAAAAAAAAAAAAAAAGCCTGGGTGTGGTGGCTCACACCTCTAATCCCAGCACTTTGGGAGGCTGAGGCGGGTGGATTACCTGAGGTCAGAAGTTCGAGACCAGTCTGGACAACATGGTGAAACCCCATCTCTAGTAAAAATACAAAAATTAGCTGGGCGTGGTGGTGGGCACCTGTAATCCCAGCTACTTGGGAGGCTGAGGCAGGAGAATTGCTTGAACCCAAAAGGCAGTGAGCTGAGATTGTGCCATTGCACTACGGCCTGGGCAACAAGAGCAAAGCTCCATTTCAGGAAAAAAAAAAAAAAAGAGAGAGAGAAAGGAAAACCAATGCCAGTACTAGCAACTCCTCTTCCCCTGAAAAAATGACAAACAAGAATGTAGGAAGGGAAAGGAATTATACAGCTTAAACTAATGAAGCAGAAAGGACAAGCTCAATTTTGAACCCACTGAATTTGCCACAAATATTGTAGAAAATATTCTCAAGGACTTTACAGTTGTCTACTTTGATTGGCACATGGTTCATACAACAGTATTTGTGTCAAGGCACATCTTACTGTTCTTTGGCGGTCTTCCTCTTTCCATTGATTTTGTCATGACGGTTGACTTTTGTTGTCACCTTCATCTTACGGATTTTAGCTCGAACTTTGGTTTCCACCTGTCTCCATAAAGTAAAGATGTCTTCCAGGACAATTTTAATTCCTGGAAAGGAAGAAACTCTTTTCTTTGTGTGCATACAAACGGACCTCAGCCCTTGGTGAGAGTGAGGAGAGGAGAAGGTGAGAAACCTGAGGGCAAGAAGCTGTTCTTTCCCTTTCCAGGGCAAACTCATTTCCACACTATGGGGACTCCAACAGAGCCATACCTTCCTGTCTACGGCAGTTGGACCTCCTGGCTCTCTGCTGTACATCCGTGGATCCATCATGTCCATTTTGAGACGGGAAGATAGTCTTCAGGAAAGACACCTAGGAAATAATAATATAAGAATGACGGCTGGGCACGGTGGCTCATGCGTATAATCCCAGTACTTTGGGAGGCCGAGGCAGGGTGGATCACGGGGTCAGGAGTTCAAGACCAGCCTGGCCAAGATGGTGAAACCCCATCTCTACTAAAAATACAAAAATTAGCCGGGCATGGCAGTGGGCGCCTGTAATCCGAGCTACTCGGGAGGCTGAGGCAGAGAACCGTTTGAAGCTGGGAGGTGGAGGTTGCAGTGAGCCGAGATCACACCACTGCACTCCAGCCTGAGTGACAGAATGAGACTCTGTCACACACACACACACACACACACACACAACACACAAGAATGACATGAGGCTGGCATGGTGGCTCACTCCTGTAATCCCAGCACTTTGGGAGGCCGAGGCAGGCGGATAACCTGAGGTCGGGAGTTTGAGACCAGCCTCACCAACATGGAGAAACGCTGTCTCTGCTAAAAATACAAAATTAGCCAGGCATGGTGGTGCATGCCTGTAATCCCAGCTAGTCGGGAGGCTGAGGCAGGAGAATCACTTGAACCCAGCAGGAAAAGGTTGTGTTGAGCTGAGATTGTGCCATTGCACTCCAACATGGGCAACAAAATTCAAACTCTGTCTCAAAAAAAAAAAAAAAAATATATAGGCCAGGTGCGGTAGCTCACGCCTGTAATCCCAGCACTTTGGGAGGCCGAGGCGGGTGAATCACAAGGTCAAGAGATGGAGACCATCCTGGGCAACATGGTGAAACCCCGTCTCTACTAAAAATACAAAAATTAGCTGAGCATGGTGGCGCACGCCTGTAGTCCCAGCTACTCGGGAGGCTGAGGCAGGAGAACTGCTTGAACCCAAGAGGCAGAGGTTGCAGTGAGCCAAGATCCCACCACTGCACTCCAGCCTGGTGACAGAGTGAGACTCCGTCTCAAAAAAAAAAAAAAAAAATGACATGAATATACTTCACACAACTGAACTGTACACTTCAACACGGTTAGATGGTAATTATCATCTTGTAAGTATTTTACCACAGGTTAACATGTTTCACAACTTGAAAAGGAAGTAATTAATTACCTTCAGCTCTCTGAGTTCTAGAATTTGTAACATTTCACCCCCTGCTCCTTCCTGATCTGCACTGGAGCATCTTTCTTCTGTCCCTGCTCTACTCAGAGTTCACTTTCCCTTCCCTCACATCAGCTTCGTTGAGGCTGGTTTGAACTTAACGCAAAACATTCTCACTAATGACTGAATTCCCACCAAGATTTCCATATTATCACAGTATGCTTTTAATCTTCGAAGATATTAAATATTTGTTCTCATCATAGCTAAAATGCAATGCAAATCCCATCTCAGATGTGGGTCAGATACCTATGAATCTCCTGAGGTAGTCATTGAAATGACTTTTTTCTTGAGACGGAGTGTCACTCAACCATGCTGAAGTGCAGTGGCACTACCTTGGCTCACGGCAACCTCCACCTCCCAGATTCAAGCGATTCTTGTGCCTCGGCCTCCCAAGTAGCTGGGATTACAGGTGCCTGCTACCATGCCTGGCTAATTTTTGTCTTTTTAGTAGAGATGGGGTTTCACTATGTTGGCCCATCTGGTCTTGAACTCCTGACCTCAAGTGATCCACCTGCCTCAGCCTCCCAAAGTGCTGGGATTACAGGCATGAGCCACCACACCTGGCCTGAAATAATATCTTTCAAATTCTTTGTAGAACTTGTTTTTTCCTGATTTCTGCACATAGGATTAAAAAAAAATCATGTACTAGGATTTCAAGAGAAGCAATGGGTAATCTAAAAAGATGAAAAGAGCAACCACGTCTATCCCACAGCTACTGCTAGATTTCATAGGAAAGGTAGCTGGCCCAGTTTGGAGCTAGGAGAAATGTCAAACACATGAAGAAATGAGAAGCAAAGAAATGCCATCACACATGAATGCTTCATGGCACCCATGATGTCCCTGCTTAGGAGGTAATGGTATAGATGACTAGATGACAAGGACAAAGATGAGAGGTGCAAAGTTGTCCAAGTCCAACAGCTCAACTGAACTTTCCTAAATGGAATTGTTAAAAAGTGGTAAATTTAAAAACTTCCCCTGGCTCACGTGGTGACTCACACTTGTAATCCCAGCACTTTGGGAGGCTGAGGCGGGTGGATCATTTGAGGTCGGGTTTTGAGACTAGCCTGGCCAACATGGTAAAACCCCGACTCTACTAAAAATACACAAATTAGCTGGGCATGGTGGTGGGCACCTGTAATCCCAGCTACTTGAGAGGCTGAGGCAGGGGAATCACTTGAAGCCAGGAGGTGGAGGTTGCAGTGAGCCGAGATCACACCATTATACTCCAGCCTGGGCAACAGAGGGAGACTCCTCTTGGGGGTGAGAAAAGAAAAAAAAAAAAGCTTCCTCCAATTTATACCGAAAATTCTCTGTTCAGGACTAAGTGGCATAGAGAATGTTAAATGTGCCTAGATATCTTCATAACTCATATATTTTCTGTTTTCTACATATCTTGAAAGGCAGTGCCAAATGACGTGTAATTATCTAGGCGGTAAAACTGAAACATACTTCCTCTTCCCTTGAATATAAAAAAGCATTGTGGTTTAGTACTTTTATCTTGGATCATTGTTCAGAAGGAGGTTCAGCCCCCACACAACCACATTTTTATTGTCATGAATGGCAAGACAAAATGTAGAGCTCAACTTACGCAAAGGATAAAAGGCTCAAAAGACAAATTATGGCACAACTTAGCAGCCAAATTCTTACCAAGTATAGACTTTTGACATACTGATCTCATTCCAGTTGCAAGTGGGAACATGCACTTTGAATGATGTCATTCAAAATTACCCTGCCCAGACACACTTTTCATTGATTCTCTTGGAGGGCAGTTCTAAGAGATTCTCTGGGGCTTTCTCTGCATCATGAGACGCAGTGCAGTTCTGCCCTTCACCTTCCGGCAGTTTGTCACCTCGTCCCTATGACCTCAGAGGAACTTTGTCTCAGGCCAACTGTTTGTTCCTTGGGCTCTTTCATTTCCCCTAAAAATCATTTGCTGCCCCTCTAAATGGCCTACATCTCCATCTATCTCCCTCTACCCTCAGAAGAGGGTGCTCTTTAAGCATCAACCATCCAGCCCTTCTAGCAGTCTCATTTTTCAGCTGGTTCCCATGTTTATGCCTGTTCTATGTTTTTCTTTTCCTGTTAAGCTGTCTGTTGTCAGCTCATTTCTGCAGTGAATCTTCAGAGAGGAGATTGGAAGCTTTCCTTCCACCCATACGATAGAACTATAAAGCAGAAGAGTTTAGAAAGACTTTCCCATTTAAGTGACGAAATCTCATACTCCATTTGTGACAAATAGCACAAAGGTTAAAAAAACTTATTTTTGACCAAAAGCTCTGTTGACATTCTATTAAACACCGACCTATTTAATTTTCATAATGTAAATGGCAGATATTTTCATAATTCTTATGCTAATAAATCATTTCCCTGATTTTTTGGGTAAAACCACATATTCATAATGAAGTCCAGAAACGTGAATTGTTTCATATAATTTATTCTTATTTGTGATTACAAGTATACCTCTACAGAAAGTTAGTATACTCACACAAAGGTAACTTGTGCAGAGGGAGATGGCAAATTTATAACTTCTCAGAAACACAGTAATGATAAGTAACCAAGGACTTCCACCAAAGTCAGTCCCACGATGACGATGGTCAGCCAGAGTATTGATAACCTGGAATAATAATAGTTGAAATAATGAAAAGGTCAATGACACTGACAATATTTCACTCAGAAAGAATCATCCTTAGAAACCGTCAACCTCCTCCAAAAGGTAACCACATCCCTCAGATATCACCGTGGGATTCCACTGCTACAAAAAAGAACAGAAGTTAGAGAAGTCTCATGTTTTTCAGATGGCTGGTAGTGTTTTTAGGCATTGCAAATGTGGGGTGTTGTCTTTCTTGGTATAAAGCAGGGATATCCAATCTTTTGACTTCCCTGCCTATATTAAAAGAAGCAAAGTTGTCTTGAGCCACACATAACATACACTAACACTAACAATAGCTGATGATCTAAAAAAAAAAATTTTTTTTTTTTTTTTTGAGACAGAGTTCCGCTCCACTCAGTCGCCCAGGCTGGAGTGCAGTGGTGCAATCTCGGCTCACTGCAACCTCCAGCTCCTGGGCTCAAGCCATTCTCCTGCCTCAGCCTCCCGAGCAGCTGAGATTACAGGTCTCTGCCACCATGCCCGACTAATTTTTGTATTTTTAGTAGAGATGAGGTTTCACCATGTTGGCCAGTCTGGCCTTGAACTCCTGACAGGCGATCTGCCTGCCTCGGCCTCCCAAAGTGCTGGGATTACAGGTGTGAGCCACCGTGCCAGGCCATTTTTTTTGTTTTTGTTTGTTGTTTGTTTTTGAGATGGGGTCTCACTCTGTCACCCAGGCTGGAGTGCAGTGGTGTGCTCTCGGCTCACTGCAACCTCTGCCTCTCAGGTTCAAGTGATTCTCCTGCCTCAGCCTCCTGAGTAGCTGGGAGTACAGGTGCCTGACAGTGCACTCAGCAAATTTTTGTATTTTTTGTGGAGATGGGGTTTTGTCATGTTGGCCAGGGTGGTCTCGAACTCCTGACCTCAGGTAATCTGCCCGCCTCAGCCTCCCAAAGTGCTGGGATTACAGGCATGAGCCACTGTACCTGGCCAAAATCTCCTAATGTTTTAAGAAAGTTTACAAATTTGTGTTGAACTGCATTCAAAACTGTCCTGGGCCACATGCAGCCCGTCACTCATGGGTAAGACAAGCTAAGTATAAAGTAATTATCTTATCTTTTATTTTTGTTTTGAGACAAAGTCTTGCTCTGTCACCCAGGCTAGATTGCAGTGGCATGATCTCAGCTCACTGCAACCTCCGCCTCCCGGGTTCAAGCGATTCTCCTGCCTCAGCTACTGAGTAACTGGGATTACAGGCGCCTGCCACCACGCTCGGCTAATTTTTGTCTTTTTAGTAGAAACAGGGTTTCACCATCTTGGCCAGGCTGGTCTCCAACTCCTGACCTCATGATCCACCTGCCTCGGCCTCCCAAAGTGCTGGCAATACAGGTGTGAGCCACTGCACCTGGCCAGTAGTTATCTTTTCTTTAGTTATTTACTTGTTTTTTAAATTGATGTATAACATTGGATGCATTTATTATATATCACATGGTAAAAGAATCCCTCTAAATAATACTTCTCTCTTGGATTATATGAATCTTTGTCATTTAAAGCTCAGCATAAGTAAAAAAAAAAAAAATACAATGAAGAGATTACTTCATTCACAAATAAGTATCGAATTTTAGTTCTTAAAAAGTAACAAGGTGGGCTGGGCGTGGTGGCTCACGCCTGCAATCCCAGCACTTTGGGAAGCCGAGGTGGGTGGACCGCGAGATCAGGAGATTGAGACCATCCTAGCTAACACGGTGAAACCCATCTCTACTAAAAATACAAAAAATTAGCAGGGCATGGTGGCACGCGCCTATAGTTCCAGCTACTTGGGAGGCTGAGGCAGAAGAATCACTTGAACCTGGGAGGTAGAGGTTGCAGTGAGCCAAGATCGCACCACTGCACTTCAGCCTGGGTGACAGAGCGAGACTCTGTCTCAAAAAAAAAAAAAAAAAAAATTACCAAGGTGGAGATCATGAAAATGGCATGAATAGCGTGGGATTTCTCTAAGATTGTTGATATTAATTCCATTAGACTCTTATGTGAGTGAAGACGAAGACTTCCCCTGAGTAAGTTCAGACAGCTTCTGATAACATTTCTACATCGATTCCTCAGGATTTAACTATATATTCTTGAAAACATCTCAATTTTAAATGTTTCTTTCAAGATGGTGAATTAAACAGAGATAGCCCTTCAACAGGTTGAACTCAGCATATGCTGAGTCTGAAATGGAAATGATGGAGTTAGAGAACCGTACAACAATGGTAATGATTTCAGAAACATGGTGTTGAGCAGAATAAAGCAGACACAAAAGAGTACCTATGGCATGGCATGCATCTGTATACGCGAAATTCCAGAATAAGCAAGCTAAGCTATGATAAGAAAGAGACTGGCTGGGAAGAGTGAGAGTTCACTTTCTGGGGTGACATAATAGTGTAGATCTTGGCTGGGCACGGTGGTTCACGCCTGTAATCCCAACACTTTGGGAGGCCGAGGCAGGCGGATCACCTGAGGTCGGGAGTTCAAAACCAGCCGGACCAACATGGAGAAACCCTATCTCTACTAAAAATACAAAATTAGCTGGGAGTGGTGGCACATGTCTGTAATCCCAGCCACTCGGGAGGCTGAGGCAGGAGAATCGCTCGAACCTGGGAAGCAGAGGTTGCGGTGAGCTGATATTGCCCCATTGCACTCCAGCCTCAGCAACAAGGGAGAAACTGTCTCAAATAAATAAATAAATAAATAAAATAATGTAGATCTTGAAAGGGGGTTGGTTTATGCTGGTGTATGTACTTTCCAAAGTTAGTAAACTTACACTTAAGGTTATATATTTTGGCCAGGCGCGGTGGCTCACGCCTGTAATCCCAGCACTGGGAGGCCGAGGCAGGCAGATCACGAGGTCAAGACATGGAGACTATCCTGGCGAACACGGTGAAACCCAGTCTCTACTAAAAATACAAAAATTAGCCAGGCGTTGTAATCTGAGCTGCTCAGGAGGCTGAGGCAGGACAATTGCTTGAACCCCGGAAGCGGAGGTTGCAGTGAGCCGAGATCTTGCCACTGCACTCCAGCCTGGGCGACAGAATGAGACTCTGTCTTAAAAAAAAAAAAAAAAGTCATCAAACCAGATGACACAAATCAAATGACATTTCACTTTGTTTTGGTCCGTTTTGTTTGTTAGAGACAAGAGTGCAGCGGGGCCATCTCGGCTCACTGCAACGTCCAGCTCCTGGGCCCAAGCGATCCTCCCACCTCAGCCTCTCCAGTAACTGGGATAACAGGTACGCACCACCAGGCCCGACTAATCTTTTTTGGAATTTTTTGTAGAGATGGGGTTTCGCTATGATGCCCTGGCTAGTCTTCAACTCCTGGACTCAAGTGATCTGCCCACCTCAGCCCCCTAAAGTGCTGGGATTACAGGCCTGAGCTGTGTAATTTCATGCCGCGTGACACAGCCCAGTAAAAAGGAAGAAACCCCGCGGGTCCAGCGTCTACTCACACAGGTGGACTGATGGCTGATAAATCCCAGCAGGAGCCAAAAGAGCAGCCACAGCACCCATCTACTCACACAGGTGGACTGATGGCTGATAAATCCCAGCAGGAGCCAAAAGAGGAGCCAAAAGAGCAGCCACCGCACCCGCATGTCCTGGTCCTTTCAGGGCGCCCTGAGGCAGCCAGGACAGAGGTGGAGGTGGCTTAGGGCAGGGGGGAGGGAAGGGGACGGGGACCGGGCCCGATCTGAGTTGGGGAGGGGGAGGGGAGGGGGAGGGGAAGGGGAGGGGAAGGGGGGAAGTAAGGGAAGGGAAAGGAGGAGAAGGGGGCTGTTGGGGAGGAGGAGGAGGAGAAGAAGAAAGGGGTCTGGGAAAGGATCCGGTTCAAATTAAGTTCTCAAGCGCTGGTGGAAGGTTTAGCTACAGGTCACGGAGAAGATCAGGGAAGCAACAGGACAGGCGGGGCAAGGGAGCGTGAGGCTTAGGAGCAATTAGGAGACAAAGGTTCTGCTTTCCACCAAACCTTCTTCGGTCTGGGCCCTCCCTTAGCAACCCTGGGGCTTTAGACTCTCTCTCCACCAATCCCTGATGACCCCGGTGGTGCCTCACAATGGACATTCCAAGTAGCGCCCGCATCATCCCAATGACCCCTCCCCCTTCTCAGTCCCCCACGCTCCTCCCAAGGCCAGGTCCTCTCTGGAACCTTCACAAACCTGATTTCTGGTCCTCCCCAACCAGCTCCCTGTCCCTGCTTCTGGGTGCTCCTTCCTTCCTGAGCTCCCAGGGTTCCTCAAGGTCACTTTTGGCGACAAAACATAAAAAACAAATGATGGCAGGATGGCAGGAAGAACCTCATACCCAAGCAGAGTGCCAGGTTTTACAGCCTCCGCTCAGCCATTCATATCCTAAGCAACAAAACATCAGCAGGATGCGGAAGGTCCCGATAGTAAACCATCTCCATCACATCCATGTAGCCATCCGTCCATCAACCTGTATCTCAGGAACAAATGTACATACATTCATTTTAAGCATGCATGGTACATTTACAAAAATTAACCTGACTTATTTTGTTCCAGCAAATCTCAATATATTTGAGAGCAATCAAATCACACAGCATGTTTCTGATCATAAAACTGTGCTAGAAGTCAATGATTAAAAGCTAATTCAAAATTATTATTTGCTTGGAAATTCAAAGTGCCCTTATAAGACATAAACATAAGAAAGAATCCAAAATGAAACAAGATTGCCTTTCAACTCAATGATGAGATCATAACATGGCAATAAAATGTCTCCCTCTGGCCTGGGAATTCCTCTTTGTGGCACAAGGTTGTGTGATCTCAAATCACCCCTAACCCACCTAGACATTTTAACATCCGAAACCGAGTGATGATGTCCTTATCTATATCATCTTACTGCCCGTGTGTGTGGACTTTAAATTCTGAACCCAAATGAGGGGGAGAAAACCAAGCTGACTTTCATGACTGAGCTCTCAGGGACGTCCAAGGAATCTGTGCATTTCAAGAAACAAAGTTCATCAGCTTCTCTCCTAAGGTATTTGCCCACAATACCCAGAGGGCTTGGCAGCATCATGTGTGATGGGTGGGGAGCTCCAAGCAGGTGGGCAGGACCCAGGGGCCTGGTGACCAGGACAGACCCCCACTGTCCATCACCTTTCCTGGCCCTGTCCTCAGCTAAACTTCCCACAGGCCTTCTGCCCGATCACACAGAGTGTGCCCAAACTCAGGCCTCTGGCAGCTGAAAACCACTGCTTTAAATCCCTTTACCATTTACTATGACATAAGGTTATTGTAAACAGGAAATATTCTATTGATGCTACAAATGGAAAGCCAATGCCTTTACCATAAATAGAAAAACAACCCTAAGAAGCAAGCAAAACAAAAACAAAACAGGGGCTGGGGGTGGTGGCTCACGCCTGTAATCCCAGCACTTTGGGAGGCCGAGGTGGGCGGATCACAAGGTCAGGAGTTCCAGACCAGCCTGGCCAATATGGTGAAACCCTGTCTCTAATAAAATACAAAAATTAGCCGGGTGTGGTGGTGGGCGCCTGTAGTCCCACCTACTTGGGAGGCTGAGGCAGGAGAACAGTTTGAACCCGGGAGGCAGAGTCTGCAGTGAGCCGAGATTGCACCACTGCACTCCAGCCTAGGCGACAGAGCGAGACTCTGTCTCAAAAACAGCAACAACTACAAACAAACAAAAAACAGGGTTAACAAAACTATGGAATTCAATTCTATTTATATGCTGCAGCCATGTTCCAGCCCTAGATTTGGCTGGGCATGGTGGCTCACGTCTGTAATCCCAGCACTTTGGGAGGCTGAGGCAGGCGGATCACGAGGTTAGGAGTTCGAGACCAGCCTCACCAACATGCTGAAACCCCGTCTCTACCAAAAATACAAAAATTAGCCAGGCATGGTGGCACACGCCTGTAATCCCAGCTACTCAGGAGGCTGAGGCAGGACAATCCCTTGAACCTGGGAGGCGGAGGTTGCAGTGAGCCGAGATCGTACCATTGCACTCCAGCCTGGGTGACAGAATGGAATGAGACTCTGTCTCAAAAAAAAAAAAAAAAAAAGAAGAAGCCCTAGATTTCGGTTGTGTTGGTTGTAAAAGGAGAGACCCAGTAAGTGGGGGTCGTGCCGCAGATTGCTACCCACAATGGACGGGTCACTGAGCAGGTCCGGCCAACTGGGCGTTCCCTCGCTGGAGGGCCAGCACACCAGACTGCAGGTGGCGCGGGTCAGCAAGGTACCAGGGGATGTGTCACACACACAGCCCACCCCCGTCCAGTCACGCACGGACACCCTGGGCTTCCGAGCAAACCTGCTCCCAGGTGGTGTGACCACATGGAGCCACAGACACCCAGCAAGGACACGCAGCCCGCACACCCCCGGTACTCCAGACACAGTGACCTGCACCAGGGCTCGAGGTTTCTCTAGGGAACCCACCTCTTAGAATCATCCAGAAACAAGTCACTCTTCATCTGTCCAGCAAAGGCCTGCTGAGAGGTGCACAGGGTCTTGAGTCCAAGCTGCGCCAAGGCGGCAGGACCCCCAGTAGAGCCCTCACCTCAGCGTGGAGGCCTGAGAACGTGAGGAAGGAGCTGTCCAGCACGGATGAGTCCAGGCAGCTGTCGACGTCCAGCACCTGCTGCCCGGCAGGTGTGGGGCTCGGGCTCCCAGCCACCTGCAGGACAAGGGCAGTGGTCAGCGGGCAGCAGCTCAGACCTGCTCAGGACAGGGATGAGAAGCCACCTCCTCAGCAGACAGGACAGAGCCCGGTGCCATCTGACAGAATGTTCTAGAATGCTAGATATATGGGACATCTGCACCGTCCGTGATGGCAGCCCCTCGCGACATGTGCCACTGAACGGTTGACAGCAGACTGGTGCAGCTAAGGAACAGAGTTTTAAATTTCATTTTTTTTTTTTTTAGATGGAGTCTCGCTCTGTCACCCAGGCTGGAGTGCACTGGCGCAATCTCAGCTCACTGCAACCTCCACCTCCCGCGTTCAGGCGATTGTCCGTCCTGGCTCAGCCTCTTTAGTAGCTGGGATTACAGGTGCCTGCCACGATGCCCAGCTAATTTTTTGTATTTTTAGTAGAGACGGGGTTTCACTGTGTTGGCCAGGCTGGTCTTGGAACTCCTGACCTCAAGTGATCTGCCCGCCTCCGCCTCCCAAAGTGCTGGGATTACAGGTGTGAGCCACCACACCCGGCCATCGTTCCATTTTAATTAACTTAAATACGAGCAGCCACATGTGGCCTCTGGTTCCTGCCACGGACTCGGGAGCAACCCCTGCTGGTCGCGGCTTATGCGCCTTCTCTGTGTGCTGCTGGGGTTAGTTTGCATGTAACCTCTTGAGGACCCCACGTGTGCATTCCTAAGGGGTGCGGCCTCCCGTTTCCGTATGAATGGGAAGAGTTCCCACCTGCTGTATTCTTGGAAAGAGTCTGTGAAGGATTGGTGTTAATTCTTCCTTAACTGCTTAGAAAAATTCTATCGTGAAGGCTCTGAGCCTGGGCTTTTCTTTGTGGGATTTTTTTTTTTTTTTTTTTTGGAGACGGAGTCTTGCTCCGTTGCCCAGGATGGAGTGCAGTGGCGCAATCTCGGCTCACTGCAAGCTCCGCCTCCTGGGTTCATGCCATTCTCCTGCCTCAGCCTCTCGAGTAGCTGGGACTACAGGCGCCCGCCACCATGCCCAGCTGTTTTTGTATTTGTAGTAGAGATGGGGTTTCATTGTGTTGGCCAGGCTGGTCTCGAACTCCTGACCTCAACTGATCTGCCCGCCTCGGCCTCCCAAAGTGTTGGGATTACAGGCATGAGCCACCGTGCCTGGCCCTTTTTAATGTTTTATATAGATGGGGTCTTGCTATGTTGCCCAGGCTGGTCTCAAACTCCTGGACTCAGATCCGCCCACCTCGGCCTCCTGAAGTGTTGGGATTACAGGCGTGAGCCACCACACCCGGCCCGGCCACTGGGAGGTTTCTAAGGGACTAACTCGGCCTCTTCACTTGCTATAGATGTACTGAGATTTTCTTCTGGAGTGCATTTCGGAAGCGTGCACAGCCGCGTGCTTGCTTCTTCTGAGTTATCTGGCGTGCTGCTGTGCAGTTGTCCGTGGCGTCTGCTTAGCGAAGTGCCCTCGTTCTTTCACGATTCTGGCTTCTGAGTCTTCTCTCTTTCTCCCTGGTCAGTCTAGCTAAGGCTGCTCAAGTGTGTTGACCCTTCCCGAGCAGCCTTTGGTGGACGCCTTTCCCTCTGGCTGCAGCACTGGAAAGTGGCGGCCCTGGGCATGGTGCCGAGGCCCAGGCTCCATTCCCAGTACTCCCGGGTCCCCAGCCCCAGCCCACCTTGCTCCGGGACATCCGGAAGAGAAAGAGGATGGCCAGGTAGACGGGATAGACAACCACGCTGGACACCAGGCCAACAGCGACTGTGTCGACGCTCAGCGGGTTCAGCCTGGACACACGCCCCGTGCTGTGTGGAGGAGAGGAGGCCACACAGGTGAGGCTGAGGGGCAGGAAGGGCTGGGCAGGAAGAGGCTGTCCCGACCCCTACGGCACCCACCTGTAGGCAGAGTCTCCAACAGCCCCGTACCACACGGCGTTGGCGCCCAGGAAGAGACAGATGAGGAGAACGCAGCAGGTGGCCCTCTGGATGCGAGTGAAACAGCTCCGAGGCGGCCGGTCCCATATGGAGAGCCAGATGTGCTTGTCAAAGAAGCCACGCTGCAGCTCAGCCACCAGCAGGCGCCGGAAGCGCAACAGGGCTGCGTGACCTAGAAGGCAGGGAGGGCCGCACTGCAGGAGGCCACGGGGCAGGACCACCCTGCCCAACCTCCCACGGAGTGGGAACACGGAACGAGGCCTTACTCGCGGCCAGCACCTCCTTCTCCACCAGGCCCCCGTTGGCCTCCGTCTCCACCGAAAGCCAGTCATTGACCAGGAAGAAGGTGCTGCGTGCCGTCTGCAGGTCCCTGACGATGATGTGCTGCAGGAACCAGGCAGGGCTGAGCCCTGCAGAGGCGCGGGAGGGAGGTCAGGTTCGCAGGGCGCCCCAATGCAGGGGCAGAGGGGCAGAGCTTGGCAGGGTCCATACAGACCTTTGTTGTCGTGCCACACTCGGATCTTCCACATGCTACCCAGGCTGTGCGGGGTGGCGATCTGGAAGATGTCCAGACTGTTGCGGTGGAAGGCTCTGTCGCCGTCCAGGTGCCGGTGGCCGCTCCGGCTGTCCACCCCATACAGCATGATGCCCACGTGGGCCGTGGTACCTGGAGGGCAAGAGGGAGGGGTGGGAGGCTCGGTCTGCTGCCCAACACGTGTGGCATCCCAGGCAAGTCATCTCAGCTTTGGCCTCCGCGCACTCAAGGAGCCACACAGGCAGTCCCGGCTTTGCACAGCTCTGCTATACACGAGGAGCTGCGGTTACTGCAATTTGTCCAATAAACAGCAGGACCTCAAGGACATGATTAAGTTACATGGAAAGAACTGTAACTTGTAACATGCAAACATGGCTGCACACGCCTCAGTCCACACCACAACCAGTGACCCGCACTGCACACCTGTCCACACCTCAGTCACGCCACAACCGGTGACCTGCACCACACACCCGTCCCTCAGTTCATGCACAGACTGCGAAGCGTGAAGCTGTGTCACCTCCTCTCCCAGTGACAGACCCAGGTGACAGTATTTTTTTTTTTTTTTTTTTTTGAGATGGAGTCTTGCTGTGTCACCCAGGCTGGAGTGCAGTGGCGCAATCTCAGCTCACTGCAAGCTCCGCCTCCCGGGTTCACGCCATTCTCCTGCCTCAGTCTCCCGAGGAGCTGGGACTACAGGCGCCTGCCACCACGCCGGCCTAATTTTTTTGTATTTTTTAGTAGAGACAGGGTTTCACCGTTAGCCAGGATGGTCTCGATCTCCTGACCCCGTGATTAGCCTGCCTCAGCCTCCCAAAGTGCTCGGATTACAGGTGTGAGCCACCGCACCCGGCCGACAGTTTTTAAAAGTAGGTAATCAAAAGAAAGAACTGGGAAATGAAGATGAAAGCAGCATGGAAATAAAAAATGGGAACACGGCCAGGTGTGGTGGCTCACACCTGTCATCCCAGCACTCTGGCAGGCCGAGGCAGGCGGATCACCTGAGGTCAGGAGTTCGCCTGGCTGACATGGTGAAAAATTAACTGGGTGTGGTGGTGTGCACCTGTACTCCCAGCTACTCAGGAGAATCGCTTAAGGGGAATCGCTTAAACCCAGGAGCTGGAAGTTGCTGTGAGCCAAGATCACGCCATTGCACTCCAGCCTGGGCAACAGAGCGAGACTCCGTCTCCAAAAAAAGAAAAACGAAAACAAAAAGGGAATGCCAGAAGGGCAATTCCAAAGAAAGGAAAATGGAGGTATTGAAGAAACAGCCACGGGGAGGGTGCTGGCGCCTCCGTCTGAGAGACGAGCTATGCAGTCAGGATCGCGGGTGGATGCATGGTCTCCCACAGTGGTAGCGATGCTCACGTAACTTGTGGGGCTACGCTACTGTGTAGAACGTGGGCTGCCCACCCTGACTGACTGGCACCTACTTCCAGCTAGGAGCTGTCCTAGTCCTCAGGGACAGTGAGTGCTCACGAGGTCATTCCCAGGATGAACACACGAGCCCTTCACACAGCACTGCAAAAACTGCCTTGTTCTGACGCCTGCGACGAGACTCACTCCCAGAGGGTGCAACCAGCACAGCCAGTGAGAGCAGGGGAGGCCCTGCCACCCCGCCGCGCCCCTCACCTGAGCCCCGGCCCCAGCCTGTCTTGACGAGGATCTCGTACTTGAAGCGGCCCCGCTGCCCACAGAAGGGGATGGCGCAGCCCCGGCTGGCATCCAACTGGTCCAGCTTGTGCAGGATGGCGGCCATGACCATGTAGGTCACCAGGCACACAGCACATGTCAGCATGACGATGTAGTTTACATCCGCTGTTGGCTCCTGTGAAGACACAGCCGCCAGGCCCAGGAGGTCACGTGCAAGCTGTGCCTTCTCAGGATAGAGCCGAGCCCACCCAGGCCCTCCTCGACTCTGCAGAGGCTCCCAGGAGCACAGGGTCACTCACAGGAAACACAAAGCGTACATGGCTTGGGGGCATGAAGAGGCTGGTGCCGAAGGCGGTGAGGTGGCGGGTGAGGCAGACGGCCTGGCGGGGCGAGGTCTCCTCCAGGGGCAGCAGCCCCTCTGTCCGCCACACCACGTCCTCCTCGCTGAAGTACTGGCACAGGGACGTGTACAAGCCCACGGACACCTCCAGCGCCGACCAGCGGAAGTGGCTGGAGAGGTTCAGACGGTAACTCCCCACTGGGTCTCTGGTCCTGGGAAGGGAAGGGGCAGTGGACGTGAGCCCAGGCTCCGCCAGGTTGGATGTCGGAGTCCCAGAGCCCATACCCGGTCCAGTCCCCTCGCTGCCTGCCGTCCCCACGGGGCCCGTAACCCGGGCAATGCTGACCCATGATGCCCTGCCCTGCCCTGCCAGGCCGGCCCGCAGAGCTCACCCCGGGGAAATGAAGAAGGTGTAGGGCCGGTGGTCGGCACCCTGGAGGGACTCTGGGCGGATCCTCCTGCTAGCCGAGCAGTTGCGCTCATTGGGCCGGGGCTCCGAGTGCAGGTAGACTGCCAGGTAGGGCTCGGGTTCCTCAGACAGGTAGCGGCCTGGGGCAGAACGCGCAGGTCACACGCCTGCCGGGAAGCTCAACCACCCGGGGGACACCCACGATGGCCCTCCTGAGCCCACCCTCTGCCATGGGCCTGAAAGGCCATAGGAGCCTCTGCACCAGAGCTGGCACCTGCTTCTCCGTGGCCCCCAGCTCCTCTCCGGCCAGGCCCCCAGCAGCCCATGAAACAGAAAGCAAATTTCACCAGAGACACCCATGGAAGCCCTACGAGAAACGCCTTCCCCCCAAGAACAAGGCCAGGGGGCCGCGTGTGCCCCAACCGCTGCATGCACCGTCCAGCAGCGTATAGTTGAGCTGCAGATGCAGCACGGCCGCAGGGTTGCTGCTGTCCAGGGTGACCACAGCACCGACGGAGGCCTGGGGCTGGACCACAACGGAGTTGGCGGAGCTGCGGTGGCCCCGGGCAGCCCAGTCCGAGTTGTTGGGCACCTTCACGGTGAGGCGCGCTCTGAGGCCAGCCGCTCGATGGGGATCTGGGCGCCGGCCTGTGTCTGGAACGCCATCGAGGCCACCTTGGTGGAGACGGTGTAGTTGCTGATATAGCCAAAGGGAAAGGGATTGGAGTCCACCAGAAAGATGAGCTGCACCACGTCACTGAGGTTGGCCGGGGCCCTGCTGAAAGCCTAGGGGATGGAGAAGTGGCAGCCAGGCCCTGGGGCGCCGCCATAGCACAGCAGGCTCCGCGGGTCCGAGCGCTTGCCCTGGGCCACGATCTCCTCACCCGCCAGCGTCAGGGGCTCCTCGTTGAGCACGCGGGAGCGCGTGACGATGGGCGTGAGGGCAGAGGTCAGGTTGTAGGCCTGGGACGCCACCATCCGCGATGGTGACTCGGCTCCCAGCTCTGAGCGCTGTGGTGCCCGCACGTCTGAGCTGGCCAGGTGGATGAGGTCTCCTGCAGACAGGCGTGAGGTCAGTGCAGAGACAGGGAGGCAGAGGGAGGGTGGGGGCAGGCAAAAAGGGGGAGCCGGAGGGTGGGGACTGGGAGAAAGGGGGAACCTGAGGGGGCAGAGAGCGAGGTGCAGGCAGAAGGAAGAGGGAAGCTGGAGAGAGAGTGGTGGAGGGGGAGGGGGAAGGGGATGGGGATGAGGACGAAGATGAGGGGGATGATGGGGAGAGGGAGGAAAAAGGAAGGAAAAGGGTAGAGAAAAGAGAAAGGGGAGAAGAAGAGGAGCAGGGTGAAAGGGAGGGGAAGGGGATAAGGGGGATAAGGGAGGGGAAGGGGGATAAGGGAGGGGAAGGAGGATAAGGGGGATAAGAAAGATGAGGGGAATGGACAAAAGGACGGGGAGGATCGGGGGGGAAATGGAGAAAAGGGGAGAGAGATGGAGAAAAGGGATGGTAATAGGGAAGGGGGAGGGGGAGGAGAATGGGAATTGGGGGAGGGGGATAAGGATGGGAATTGGGGGAGGGGGATAAGGATGGGAATTGGGGGAGCGGGATGAGGATGGGAATTGGGGGAGGGGGATGAGGATGGGAATTGGGGGGAGGGGAGGGGGACGAAGATGGGATGGGGCAAAGGCGAGGCGGTTGTGGGGAGGAGGGAGGCAGAGGAAAGGGCGGCATGGGGCGGACGGGCCACGTGGGGCGGGCGGGTGGCGTGGGGCACGGGCCGCGGCACCTGTGATGTTGAGGATGCTGTCTCCGATGGCGGTGGGCGTCACGGTGCCCGCGGTGGTCTCTGCCTGCAGGATGCGCATCATGGCCTCCAGCTTGTGCAGCGTCTGCTTCAGGCACGAGCGGCATACGAGCTCCCTGCTGGGCCCCTGTGTGGAGCCAGCAGTGTCCAGCCCCGCTCCTGGCCCCACTCCTTGCACACGCCCTCCTCTCTACACGGGTCCTCACCTGGCTCCCACCCCCAGCCCTGCAGCTGGAGAGCCCACTTGACTGGACCCCCACAGCCTCCTCACTAAGCATTTTTTGTGGCTCTGCATGACCCAGGGCCTCCACCTGGGGAACACGTGATGCAGCCCACTGACCACACAAGGCACCTCTTCACATGAGAGAAGGAGGAGGGCAGAAGGGAGAGAGGAGAGGGAAGTGGAGAAAAGGGGGGAGAGGAGAGGGAAGGAGAGAGAAGGGGGAGAGGAGAGGGAGGGGAGGAAGGAGGAGGGGAGGGGTGAGGGGATGGAGGGGCTGGGGGAGGAGTGGAGGGGCTCAGCGGGATGAGGTGAGGGGAAGGTCTAGGGGAGGGGAGGAGGGGAAGGGCTAGGGGAGGGGAGGGGCTGGGGGAGGAGGCAGGGGCTAGGGGAGGGGGGAGGGACTAGGGGAGGGAAGGGGGAGGGGAGGGGTTAGGGGAGGGAAGGGGAGGGGAGGGGCTAGGGGAGGGAAGGGGGAGGGGAGGGGAGAGTGGAGGGCACAGAGCAGCATCTTCTTAGTCCCTCCCCACATCTGGGCCCCTCTTTACACCCTGGGTCCCCCGAGAGGCACCCTGCGTTCACACAGGACAGCAGAATGGCTGAGGCTACTGAAGCAGGTCAGAGACCGAGGAACGCCATGGCAGGAAGGAGCCCAGGCTGGAGGCTCAGCTCCTCGGCCAAGCTGCCCGTCTGCCCTGGGGGGCTGAACCCAGTACCCTGGCAGGCATGCGGGGCGGGGAGAGCATGTGGGGCCATCCTACCATGCACTGGGCCAGCGCAGCAGCGATCTGCTGGATGTCATCCACAGTGTGGACCCTCAGGGACACCAGAGTCTCCGTGATGTTCTTGCGTATCTGGGCTCGGCGCTGCCGCTCGTGCTTGGGCTCTGCCGCCACGTCCAGGGCCCGCTCGTACTGGGGCAGGCAGGGGGCACAGCAAGCTGTCAGCAGGGCAGGAGGCCGGCAGGAGGCCAGCAGATGCCCACGACTCCCGGGGTGCAGTTACGTGCTAGATGCTGTGTGATGTGGGCACTGACCCGCAACACTGAGCTGTTTCTTCATGGGCAAAACAGGGTAAGCACATGGGCCCTCCTGGGCGGGGGCTGCATTGTGGAAAGCAGACGCCGGAGAGGGCCTGGTGGGTGTGGCTGCTGGGAGCGGAACGTCGGGGTGCTGCTTCAGGGTCACTGGGATTTATCTCTGGGGCCCGGGATGAGCCCTCCGCAAAGCTCCAGGCAGGGGAACAGGTCTTGGTCCCCAGCACGCATGCAGCAGATGTGAGGTCCCCTCCCAGGCTGCACTCACCTCGTTCAGCACAGTGACCAGGGCCAGCGAGTACTCGATGACGTGCTGGGGATCGGCCTGCCGCAGCAGCCCCGGGAGCACACTAGCGGTGAGCCCGTGCAGCCAGACTGTGAGCCCCATTGCGCTGCCGTTGGGCTCTGGGAGGGTGATGGCCAGAGACCTACGAGCAGAGGGGGGTGGTGAGCAGGTGGCAGTCTCGGGGGCGCCCTCCCACGGCCTGGCTCACCTGTTGAGGGCGACCACAGCGGCTCCCAGCTGGTCCTGCACCACCACGGCCAGGCCCACCTCGAAGTGTGGCCTGAAACCCGGGGGCAGCACGGCTCCGTAGCCGGAGAGGCTGCCCTTGTAGACACAGAACTCCTCGCAGTGGCCCTGGCGACAGCGCTGCAGCAGCAGGGCGTACACCAGCGGGGCGCCAGCATCCTCCGCGTCATGCCAGCCTGAGGGACGGTCCCCACGGCATCACAGGAGGGCTCCGTGACCTCACAGAGTCGGGGGATCCCGCTGCTCCCCCTACGCAGGCCTGCACTCACCCATGCATTCGAAGTGCACCTTGGTGGTGAGAGCGTGCACAGCGCCCAGTGGGAAGAGGCAGCAAGAGCCCCCCAGCGGCGGGCGGTTGGGGGACAGGGGGATGGAGGCGCAGCCCTCCTCCTCGCCAGAGCGGCCCAGCACCGTCAGCGTGAAGGTGTATCCCTCGCCGTCCCGCAGCACGCCCCGCCGCAGCACCAGTCACATGCCTGCGCTGCCCGTGGATGTGGTGGTCTCATCCAGCACCAGCGTCTTGTTGCTGAACGTACGTGCAGCCCACCGCTGCAGGCAGAAGGGATGGTGAGGGGGCGCAACCCTCTGCCCTGTCAGCCCCACTTCTGCCTGCAGGCCCCGTCCCCTCGGCCATGGGACCCATCCCCAACCCGCCCACACCCCGCTCAACACTCACCCCTCGCTTGGAGCCGCTGCTGCAATTGAGGCAGCGGCCCTCCAGGTACACGTAGGAGCTGCGGCTCACTTCGTACACGGCCTGTGCCTTGCAGGACACACACTCCAAGGACACAATGGGCACCCGGCCACTGCGGATCAGCACCTGGCGTGGGAGTGGGGTTACCTCCAACACAGGTCTATTTGGCCTGCTGGAAGGTCTGGGGGACCCGTGGAGGATGCTGCTCCCAAACTCCAGGTTTCCCAGGGGCCTGGCCACTGCCGGTGAGCTCACCCCCTCCCAGGATACTCATCCGGTTTGCCACCTTCCAACCTGGGCGGCGGAAGGGCATACACAGGGCAGAGGACACTGGGGTGTGCGTTCTGGTGTACTGGACCCAGCTGGACCCTGGCAGGAGGCAGGCAATGCTCACTGAGGGCCCCTGGGGGGATGCGTGTGGGAACAGACGTATGTGTGGGTGTGAGGACCGCAGTTGCCACGTAGGCCTGACTCACAGACTCCTGCAGCCCTTAGCCAGGGCCTGGGTCAGGAGGCTGAGCCGGGATGGAACCTGCTCCCACACCCTCCCCTCAGACGACCCCTCTGGGCAGACCCCCAATCAGGCCAGCTGAGGAAAGCAGGGACTGGGGAACAGACACCCACTCTGGGGTACCAGCAGGCCCCAGTCAGGGAGGCGCACACGCTCACAGAGGGCAGGGAGGCGCACACGCTCACAGGCACCTGCTGCGTCCGGTTCTCGAAGGCATTAGATGCCAGCAAGGTCAGGACGTACTCACCTGTGGGGACAGGCCCAAGTGGGGCAGCCGCGGCACCCCCACCTGCTCCCCACCCGCTCGGCAGAAGCCCCCCGCCTGAGGAGCCCGGGGTGAACGGCTGCACCTGCGGCCCAGCCTTAAGGGTCCCAGGCTCCCAAGCCACGTGCGGGACGGAGCACAGGTGCAGCAGCACTGAGGGCTGCCTGGTGAGGACGGCACCGCCTCCAAGTGCAGCTGCACTCGGGGCAGCAGAGCAGCAAGAGCCAGGCCGCGGTGGGGGGCAGTTCAGGGGGCCCAGCTTCCCTGTCCACTCCTCCCACGCCTGGCCCCTCCCTCACCCCAGTAGGGGCCTAAGCCATCAGCCCAGGTGAGGTCACAGTGAGGGCTGTTGGGGAGGAAGCGGGGCAGCTTGACTGGGGGACTGGGGGGGCCCCGTGCTCAGAGCCTGAAAGGCAGTGGCCCCCTCACCCCCTCATCCCTCACCTGGGGCAGCGTAGGTGTGGGTGACATTGTGCTCCACCAGCACCTGGGCCACCGAGGGGTCTGGAACCGGGAAGGACTCGTTGTACGGAGGCTGGAACTGGTGGAGGGCCTGCTCCCCATCCCCAAAGGTCCACCTGCCGGGGCGGTGGGAGGCAGTGAGTGAACCGGGACAGGGGTGCGCAGTGGCGGGGCACAGGTGCGCGGTGGCGGGGCAGGGGGTGCTTGGGACCCAGCCGAGGCTCCACTCTGCAGTCACGCCCCGGGCCTCCATTCAGGGCCCACCCGGCTGTGCTGAGGCCTCTCCCGGCTCCCGTGCAGCCTCAGGGCTCCTGTGCACCCAGTACCTCCCAACAGACAGGGAAACCGAGGCTCAGAAAAGCAACCCCCTGATGTGGGGTCCCTCGGCTGAGGCTGGAGCCGGGACAAGAGCCTGGTGCCCGGACAAGAGCCTGGTGCCCACCCCAAACCGGCCCCTGAGTCACTCACAGGAAGGCCACCTCCACGGCCGAGTCCACCAGCACGCCCGCCGTCAGTGCCAGCGTGGCATTGGGGGACAGCACGGCTGGCACTGTAGAGACCCGCAGGCCCTGCATCCTGTTCATCCGCTCCACGGTGATGTTGTAGTTCACGGTGACGTTGCTCACGTGGTTGGAGGCCGTCAGCTGCAGGGACAGGCATCAGTGGGCCCAGGTGGCAGGTGAGAGGCCTGCCCTGCTTGGCGTCCCTCCCTCCACTCACCACAGCCATGGCAGCGTCCTCGGGCAGCATGAAGCAGAGCAGAAGGCAGAGGTGAAGGTGGAGCCCGCCCCCGCCCCGCCCCATCCCCTCCCCTCCCCACTCCCGCCCACCTACTGAGAGCTTGAAGACCGCCGCGCTCTGATAAATGACATTGAAGACCACGTTCTGGAAGGTCAGGGACTGCTTGTCGTTGATGGTCCACCGGAAGACCATGTCCGAGCCGGCCTCCACCACGGGGCTGTACCTCTGCGGGGGGACTGGTGTCAGCCTGGGCTCTGTGGAGGACTCTGCCCTTAGCCTGTCGCCTCCTGGACACACCTCCCGTCGGGCTGGAGAGTCCCACGCGGGGCACAGAGGAGAGGAGGTGCCCGGGGCTCTGCATGCCATGAGAGCCAAGCCCGGGCTGGGACACTGACTGTCCGGCTCTCCAGCCAGCCATGTAGTACTACTAATGCCTCAACCTCTCTGTGCCTCAGTTTCCCCATCTGTAAAGCAAACCTAGTACCAGCTACAAAGAGTCCACCTCTCTCTGAGTCTTCTCAGACCCTCCCGGGGCTCCTGCCCCAGCTCCTCAGCCAGAGAGCTCGGAGCAGTGAGGGGAGGCACACGGGCCTCACAGGGACAGCACCTACACTGGCTTACAGAACCCAGGACAGGCTGCACAGGTCACGCCATTTCTGATGGCCCCTCCCAAGGCCCCTGGTGAAGGGGCAGGTACCCGCAAGATGGAACAGCCCTGTCCCCCATGTACCCAGCATGGTGGCACTGCGGGCAGCCCGCAGTTTCCCATCAGGGGTTCGGACTCCACCTCAAAAGCCACTTGCTTTAGCCAGGCGAGAACACAGCAGAGGGCGTGAGAGACTCACGGGGACTCGTGTGAGGTCAGGGAGCGGAGTTTTAAATTCATTTCGTGAAATGAGACGGTGGAATGAGTTAGCGGAGCCGCTGTCAGAGCCGTGACTTTCCAGGAATTTAAAGCCCACCAGGTAGCCTGAGGAGCCAGCCAGCAGGACCTGCCCGGGGCCGACGTCCCCAGTAACTGGGCTGCCGCCCTCACTGGGAAGCCAGGCCTCACGCCCTGTGTGAGCACCCTGTCTGCAGGCACCTGCCTGGGGGCTGGTGGTGGAGCCTCGGCCATACTCACCACTGGGACTCCCTGCAGTACACGGGCCTCGGGGCTGGGCGTGGCGCGGAGGCCACAGATGGGCTCCTCCGCCGTCACCCGCAGGCTGAGGTTGGCCCGGCTGGCGCTGTTTTCCACCACAACGTCCATCACGTGCTCCCCCTCACCGAGCCACGGCAGTGCTACCACTGAGAACAGGGTATCATTGGTCTCCCAGGGGCAGCTGGGCACGAAGGTGGCCACCAGGGCAGGGCAGGCATTCTCAAAGCGGGCGCTGACACTGCCCCCAGGCCAGCGAGCCGTGGCCGTGGCGCTGGCACCAGAGTCCACCTGGAGCACCGAGGCTGAGCCGTTGGTGGGCACGTAGAGGCGGCCGTCGCGGGGGGCAGGGTAGATGACCCGCAGCCCAGCCACTGGGGAGACCACGTCAAAGCTGCAGGACAGGTTGTGCCTGGACACGCCATTGCCCACCTCTGCCCGGACCTCATAGCGCCCAGGCAGCCGCAGCCCAGGGTTGGGCCTCAGGCCCAGCAGCACGGTGAGCTGTTCCGTGGCTGCAAGCAGCCGCAGGGCACAGGCAGGGCAGGCCCAAGTGCCCTCCAGCTGGGCTGGCAAGTGGGGCAGCCATGACGAGGCGTTGGCGGAGAGGTACGGGGCCTGGGGACCAGGGTGGCCGGGAGCCGGCGAGCAGTGCGGGAGGGCGCCAGGGCCAGCGTCGTGCTGCAAGCCAACGAGGTCACCAGGGAGCATGAGGACATCCTGGCCGTGGAGGGTGACCTGTGGAGAGGGAGGCAGGGCTGCATCACGTCCTCACGGTCATGGCCCGTGGACCCCTGCACGACGGATGAGGGTGGACACGCAGGGCTCCCCGCTTCGTCAGCCACACCTCAGGGAGCCTCCCCACAGTGCTCGTGACAAGGACAGGCAGGACAGTTGCAGACAGGGGGACACACGGGGAGAGGACACAGGCCAAGACCTGACAGACAGGAAGGAGCGGCTGTGCTGGGAGAGAGGAAGAGGAGGCACAGCTCGTGCCAAGGGCCCAGGCGAGAGCTTCTCCCACTGGGAGAGGGGCAAAGGCACTGCAGAGGTCGGAGGTTGGAGGTCGGAGGTCGGAGGTCAGAGGTGGCAAGGACGTGGGAGGGGCCTGCAGGCTGGGTGTGTCTGCTGCGCAGACCCAGACCCTGGGCAGCAGACAGGAAGGTGGCCTGAGGAGATGCAGGGAACAGACCCAGGTCAGGGCCACACACCGAGTACTGCGCGGGGGGCCCCGCGGGAACGGAGAAGAGGAACTCTCTCCATAGCGCATAGGGGGACCCGAGTAGCCCTGGCCCTGACGTGCAGCCATTGGCGCAGGCCTGGGGGTGGCAGGAGGCGTCCAGCGGCAAGCAGATGTTGGCTCCAGGGCACCAGCGTCCCCCTGGCATGCACGCGGGGACCAGCTGGGTCCTGTTGTCCGGGGACCTGCTCTCAGGCTCGCTGCCGTTCTCCGGGGTCCCTGCGAGGAGGGGAGGGTGTTGGGGCCCTGATTCGCCCATGGGCCACCGTCAGAGATGCCCAACTGCCTGCACCAGCGAGCCTGGCCTTGCTGTGAGGACAGGTCTCCCCGCCCGGGCAGCACTCCCAGCCCAGTGCTGCGTCCCTGTCTCCGGCCAGCTGACTGACCCAGGCCGGTCCCCAGGCAGGCCCCACCCGATCCACCCCCAGGACACCTGGAATGAGCTGGTGTCTCTGGAACCCCTGCTCTGTCCACCTAAGACTGGGAACCACTCTGATGGCCACAGGACCAGCAGACGTGAGAGCTCAGAGAGGCCACCCCGAGTCCTGCGGCGCCCACCACCCCAGAGTCCCACCTGCTGTGCTGAGGAGCCGGTACACCTGCAGCCGCAGCTGGGCGGGCCGCCGGAGCTCCTGGGTCCCAAATTCGGCCGTGGTGAGGAAGGCTTCACGGCTCAGACGCAGGCCCGGGAATACCATGACCTGGTGGGCAGGGGGCCGCCTCAGCTCCACAGACCCCATCCCAGCCTGAAGCCCAGACTCCCCCCACCCGAACTTCGCAGGAAGAGGGGAGGGAAGGAGAGCGAGCCATCGGACCCCCACAGGCCTGGCTCCTGTCGCTCGAGAGGAAGACTCCGATGGAAACTGTCCATGGGGGGCAGGACCCCTGACCTGCCTTTCAGGAATAACTCACCCACACTCAGAGAAAAGGCCTGGGGGTAATGTGAGTAAACGCTTTCCTCTCTGCACTCTGGATTTTCCCAACCATCTTCACTGGGCACAAGCAACATTAAGGCCCCCAAGTTTTTTGGCGAGACCCACAGTGGGCAGGGCAGGCGAGGCCTCCAGGGGCAGGCAGGAGGGCAGGTTATAGAACGTGGGGGGCCGACTACCTCCACGGGCTCGTGCGGGGCTGAGAGGCCGTCCTGCCGTGCCAGAGGCATCAGGGGTCCCTACAGGTCCCCACTGGGCGCTCCCACGAGGAGGTTCTCGGCATCCTGCACTGGGCCTGGGGTGGCAAGTGCACAGTGAGGCGCCGGGCCAGGGCCCAGGACACCAGGACGAACAGACTGGGGACCGAGCCGCCCGAGAACCCCCCCACCAGCCCCTCCTCCTCAGCCCAGGCTCCACCGCGGGCGCTCGGCAGGCCCCTAACCACAGCCAGCGTCTCAGGCCCCTGCCTGGCCCCTCGCACACCTCCAGGCCGCAGCTCGCAGACGTAGCTGTGCGGCGCTGAGCACAGGTCGGTGTTACACCACCCGGTGGGCCCGAGCCGGACGCAGTGCTCGGCTGTGGCTGGGTGTGGCTCCCCGGGCAGCCAGTTCTGGCAGCTCTCCAGGCTGAAGGCCTCGCCCTGCGGCGCTGGGCCCACCTCCACCCCCTGCACAGTCGAGAAGCCGATCCACATGTCTAGGCTCCTGGGGGCGGGTGTGGGATGGCAGGGGGCTCAGGGCACTCCTCCATCCTCCCACCCTCACAGCAGCCCGCTGGGAGCCCCGTCACTGTCCCCCTTTCCAGATGGGGAAACTGAGGCTCAGAGCCCGGAGAACAGGGCCCACCAGCCCAGGCTCACAGCAGCACCCACCCACGGGGCCTGTGGGCACCGGCAGGGATCCCCGTGCAGGCCACCTCCCGTATGGCGTGCCCAGGAGTGTCCGGAGGCTGCCCCCAGCTCGCGTCCACCTCTGCATCTGCAGAGCTGACAGGAACGGCCCCACCGGCCGGCGCCACCTGCTCACCAGGGCCGGCCCAGCTCCCACCTCCCTCCTCCTGAGACTCCCCAGCCGCAGGCTCTGCCCCACTGCTTCAGAGATCTCCCAACCTATGGCCCCTCGGGGGGTGGGGCAGGCACCTGGTGACCCGGGAGACCAGGAAGCGCTGCACGGCGGGACTGTCCACCATTGCCAGGGTGGCCCCGGCCCAGGCCCGACACTGCTCCTGCGCCTGCAGCCAGGCCGCCTTCTCCACCACCAGGCGGTAGCAGTGCCCATTGCCAGAGAAGATCTCCGTGTCCGAGGGGCAGAGCGGGTGCACCGCTGGAGACCGGTGGGAACGAGGGTGTCAACGGTCAGTGTGGGCCCAAGACGGGGGTACCAGGCTCTGCCCCATCTGGATGGCCCTGGGGAGGAAGGGGAGTGGGCAGCAGACACTCACCTCGGGCCGGCTCCTCGCCCAGGGCCACGATGCTGTAGGCGGCCTCCAGGCCTGAACCACCGCGGTTCTGGATGCTGAGGTCGAGGCTCTCGTCACTCTGCACCGAGGACGGGCACACGAGCTCCAGGGCGGCAGGTGCCGCTTCCACCTGCACGTCTGTCCCCAGCAGGGCTGAGCCGGTCCCCAGGGCCAGCACGGCCGTCACGTGATAGCGCCCAGGCAGCACATAGCGATGCGAGGCAGCCGGCCCAGCGGCATCCACCTCGGGGGAGCCGTCTCCGAAGTCCCAGCGTGTGGCAGTGACAGGGAGCGGGGCAGCGATGTGGAAGGCTGCTAGCTGGCCGGAGGCCAGGGGTCCGTGGGGCCCCACCAGGGGGGCCCCTGGGGAGGCAGGGAAGACGTGCTGGAGGAGGGTGGGGCCCCTACAGGTGGGGGCAGGAGGCGGCGGGGGGCCGGAGCAGAGGGACAGGCAGGCGAAGGAGGCACTGGAGGGCTGGGCTGACCCACACAGGCACCAGCCCTGCTCGGAGAGGGCTGCGAGGCCCTGGCCGGTGGAGAAGCAGAAGGCGCTGCAGGCCTCTGGCTGAAGCAGGCCTTCGTGGGCAGCTGAAAAGGACACTGCTGCCACGGTGCCTGAGCTGTTGTCAGGGAGGCAGGCGACATACTCCTCACCTAGAAGAGGCAGCCACTGGACCCCGGGTTCTGCTCCTCCTGGCTCCACCCCACACCCCCCCATCCGCCCGCCGCACTCACAGGCTCCCATGCTGTTCCCTTGGCCCGGAGGCCCCCCCCAGAGAGGCCTTCCTGAGCCCTGCCCAGTGTCTGCAGGGCCCAGGTCCCACCTGGCTGGGAAGGACAGAGCTGCCCCACCCACCGGCACTCACCACAGCCACTGTCCAGCAAGGGGATGCCAAGCAGAGGCTGGCCAGCCAGGGAGCCAGGCCCAGCACACGTGGCTGCCTCGGGCTGCACCACCCGCACCTGCTGCTCCTCCGCCCATCGCGGCAGCCACGCCAGGCCACAGTCACACTCAAACGGGTTCCCACTCAGGTTTCTGCGGGGCAGGGGCAGGTGTTGGGGACCAGGTCTGGTGGGAAGGGTCTATGCCAGCCCCCCACTGGCAACCAGGCCCTGGAGCCACCCTGACAGCACCGCCTCCCCTGCCCCAACCAAGCCGGCACTGGGGGGCTCCAAGCAGGTAGTGAACTGCCCCCAGGATCTGGTCTCAAGCCTGGAAGGGGACACGGACCAACTGGGAGGGCAGAAGGGATACTGGGGGCCTGGGGTCCAGCCAGGACCCCACCCAAAGAACCACAACTTACATTTCACTTAAATTAAATAAATTAGCAAATATTCCTTCTTCTAACGTAGAAATCTTGTTGTTGCTTATATCCCTGGAAGAGAGGGGGGATTCGGCAAAGCTGACGGAAGCCCCCACAGCTGAGCAGCAAGAGGCGGTGCCGCCAGCCCACCCGGAGTGAGCCCCGCATGCTGGCACGACTGGGGGACACTCACAGCTCTGCCAGCGCCGAGAGGTTCGCCAGGAGCCCAACGTCCAGCGCCCGGAGCAGGTTGTGGGAGACGTCTCTGAGGAGTGAGTGGCCGTGGGTCAGGGCCAGAGCCCTTAGTAGGCCAGAGGCCATCCCTGGGCCCATCCCACACATTTCCAGCATCCCCAAGCTATGGCCTCCCACCCTTGAGCTCCCCACTCCCAGAGGTCAGGAGGGGCCTTTCTGATGGAAGACCCAAATGAACACTCATCTGGGGAAACCAAGCCGGGAGAGGCCTGGGGGCCTCAGCCCTCTGCACCCATCTCAGCCCTATGCCGAGTGCCACCTGGACCTGTCCACCCAGGGCCAGGAAGGGCACGGACCCCCAACCCATCCCACGCAGGGCCAAGGCCCCCCATCCCCTGTCCACAGTCCCCCACAGAGCCAAGGTCTCCCAACCCTGTCTACAGCCCCCACACAGACTCGAGGGGCCCCCATCTCCTGTTCTGAACCCAACAGGGTGGTCCCACTGTGGGACCACAACCAGGTATGACTGTGTGAGAAGCAGGCTCACTACCAGGCTACCAGGGAGCACAGCGGAGCAGGCGCCACCTTGAGGCATAAACCCAGAGAAACAAGACCTCCAAGACGGCCAGGCACTGGGGCACACGCCGGTAACACAGCACCGTGGGAGCTGAGACGGAAGGATCGCCTGAGCCCAGGATTTTGAAACCACCCTGGGCAACACAGTGAGACCCCGTATCTACAAAAAAATACACATTAGCCAGGCATGGCGGCATGCGCCTGGGGTCCCAAGTACTCGGGAGGTAGAGGAGAGAAAAATCACTTGAGCCCAGAGAGGTCAAGGCTACAGGGAGCTGAGATCGCATCACTGTACTCCAGCTGGGGTGAAACGGCGAGACTCTACCTCAAAAATAAATAAATACATACATAATTAATAAATAAAACATCAAAGACCAGCCGACCTAACTCCATCTAAAATACACAACTTCTACGCAAAATATAAATAAAATTAGAAAACAAACTACAATCTCAGAAAAGCACTAGCAACTTAGACGACATACTAAAGGCCAAAAATACCCTCCTGACACACAGCTAATAAAGAAAAAGTCAACTATTCCAGTTAAAAAGAAGAAAAGGAAACTGGCTGTGGTGGCTTATGCCTGTAATCCCAGTGCTTTGGGAAGGCCAGGAGTTTGAGACCAGGATGGACAGCATAGCAAGACCCCATCTCTACAAGGAAAAAAAGAATCAGCCAGGCATGGTGGTGTGGAGCTGTAGTTCCAACTACTCGGGGGGCTGAGGAGGAAGGATCGCTTGAGCCAGGGAGGTCGAGGCTGCAGTGAGCTATGATTGTGCCACTGCAGTCCAGCCTGGGCGACAGAGCAAGACCCGGTCTCGAAAGAAAAGAAAGAGAAAGCAAGAAAAGAAAGATGGCTGGGCACGGTGGCTCACTCCTGTAATCCCAGCACTTTGGGAGGCCAAGGTGGGTGGATCATGAGATCAAGAGATCAAGACCATCCTGGCCAACAGGGTGAAACCCCGTCTCTACTAAAAATGCAAAAATTAGCTGGGCGTGGTGGCGGGCACCAGTCCAGGCTACTCGGGAGGCTGAGGCAGGAGAATGGTGTGAACCCAGGAGGCGGAGCTTGCAGTGAGCCGAGATGGCACTGCTGCACTCCAGCCTGGGCAACAGAGTGAGACTCCATCTCAAATAATAATAAAAAATAAATAAATAAATAAATAAAAGACATCACTCACACCTGTAATCCCAGCACTTCGGGAGGCCGAGGCAAGCAGATCACCTAAGGCCAAGAGTTCAAGACCAGCCTGACCAACATGGTGAAACCCCATCTCTACTAAAAATATTTTTAAAAATTAGCTGGGCGTGGTGGCGCGCGCCTGTAATCCCAGCTACTCAGGAGGCTGAGGCAGGAGAATCGCTTGAACCCGGGAGGTGGAGGCTGCAGTGAGCCGAGATCACACCATTGTCCTCCAGCCTGGGTGACAGAGCCAGACTCCGTCTCAAACAAAACAAAACAAAAGACATCAGCTAGCTGGTCCAAGCACAGTGGTGTTCACAACGAATTGATCACAGCCAGGTAGAATTCTTCATTCTTTCTCCAGTTCCACTGCTTTGCTTGACCAGCCTTAAAGACACACATATACATTTTTGTCTGGGCGCGCTGGCTCACACCTGTAATCCCAACACTTTGGGAGGCCAAGGCAGGCGGATCACTTGAGGTCAGGAGTTTGAGACCAGCCTGACCAACGTGGAGAAACCCCGTCTCTCCTAAAAATACAAAATTAGCCAGGCATGGTGGCACACGCCTGTAATCCCAGCTACTGGAGAGGCTGAGGCAGGAGAATCGCTTGAACCCGGGAGGCGGAGGTTGCCGTGAGCTGAGATCGCGCCACTGCACTCCAGCCTGGGCAACAAGAGCGAAACTCTGTCTCAAAAAAAAAAAAAAAAAAGTATATATTTTTAAAAGACATTGGCCGGGTGCGGTGGCTCACGCCTGTAATCCCAGCACTTTGGGAGGCCGAGGTGGGCAGATCACGAGGTCAGGAGATCGAGACCATCCTGGCCAACACGGTAAAACCCCGTCTCTACTAAAAATACAAAAATTAGCTGGGCACGGTGGTGCATGCCTGTAAACCCAGCTACCAGGTACTCGGGAGGCTGAGGCAGGAGAATCACTTGAACCAGGGAGTCGGAGGTTGCGGCGAGCTGAGATCATGCCACTGCACTGCGGCCTGGAGACAAGAGCAAGACTCCGTCTCAAAAAAAAAAAAAAAAAAAAAAAAAAAAGACATCAACTAATTGCAGTGTGTGGACCTTATTTGGCTCTTAATTCAAACTATTAAACCAAAAATGTGAACACACCAGGCCTTCGGTGGCATGAAGGAATTGTCTGTTGTGTTAGGTGGGTCTGCGGTATTGCGATGCCCTCCAAAATGCTTGCAGATAAAAGGGTGGCTGGAATTTGGTTCAAAACATGGGTCAGGGCTGGGCGTGGTGGCTCATGCCTGTAATCCCAGCACTTTGGGAGGCCGAGGCGGGCGGATCATCTGAGGTCAGGAGTTCAAGACCAGCCTGACCAATATGGAGAAACCCTGTCTCTACTAAAAATACAAAATTAGCCAGGCATGGTGGTGCACGCCTGTAATCCCAGCTACTCGGGAGGCTGAGGCAGGAAAAGCGCTTGAACCCAGGAGGCGGAGGTTGCCATGAGCCGAGATCGTGCCATTGCACTCCAGCCTTGGCAACAAGAGTGAACTCTGTCTCAAAAAAAAAAACAAAAAACACATGGGTCAGGAGGGGAAGGGTCGGGGCAGGGAGGGCAGGGCAGGCTCTGGGGTGGGGGGTCTGTGAGTCAGCCACGGCTCTGCCCACGTCTCCCCACGAAGCTTCGAGCCATGCAGAGCAGCACGTTTTGCAGTACGCCATCTTTTCCAAAAGCCACCACCTCTCGGCAGCATCCTTAACCCAAGGCAGGCTGTGGCCTCAGAAGCCCCGGCTGTCCTCCACCTGGAACTGGACACAGCTGTCCCTGCTGAGCTTCAGCAGCCAGGGAGCCACAAGTGGAGAGGCACCTGCGTGAGCCCCCCAGGAAGGCTACTGGTGACACCCAGACAGCAACGCTCCTGGACCCTTGAACACCTGCCAGCAGCTGTGATCTGTGTCCTTCACCTCTCCCAGCTTGACCCCTCTTCCCTGGGGAAAACCCAGCCGTCTCCCCGAGGAGGAGTTTGCAGGGTAGACAGCAAAATGGCTGGGCTGCCCCACAGCACAGAGGGTGGCCTGGGGGGCCAGCCAGGGCCTTCACATCCTTCCTAGGGCCCTAGTTTCCCATGGGTCCCCTCACCCCACCTTCCAGAACTCTCCCAGCGGCGGCCCCAGGTGTGTACAGAACAGCACCCACCTGCCCACGAGGTCACCCTGTGCCCTGTTGCACACTTGAGGGGCCTGGCATTCGGAATCTTGCCAGCTCAGGCTGGGACAGGCCACCAACCCCCAGGGTCCCCCTCCTCCAAACCCCAGGACCAGAGCCTAAGAGGACAACACAAGGCAGGGGCGGGGGTTCCACTGCTGTGCCAAGGGCCTGGAGAACACGGGCCTTGCTCTCCGCTCAGCAGCCACCAGCGCCCTTCTCTCCCGGACAGCTCCCGAGGGGCTGCTCTCATGGACACCATCAGGTGCTGGGAAGCAGGAACCACCAGGACCTGGACAGAGTCCCCAGTGACCGGCCTGGCAGACAGAGGAGCCCTCAGCTACAGCATCACAAACAACGGGTGGGGTAGGTCTGATGCAATTCTGTGGGTGCTGTTGCCAGGCAGGAGGAGGCCATCTCCACAG
Organism: Homo sapiens; assembly: GCF_000001405.40. Lineage (NCBI taxonomy): Eukaryota > Metazoa > Chordata > Mammalia > Primates > Hominidae > Homo > Homo sapiens. The sequence continues at coordinate 16,311,906 of NC_000016.10, read as the reverse complement.
AGACAGCCGCGAGACACACGCGTCCGCAGTCAGGGAGCGCAGGAGCAATGTGGCCCCGAGGGGCACGGGCTCCATTGGTCCAGGAGAACCCATTCTTCTCCCACCCTCGAGACCACCCAGCAAAGCCCCAAGGACACACGGCTCCCCTAAGGAAGGGTGGCCACAGGCGGGAGTGACCCAGAAACGTTACAAAACCAAATGCCAGAACCCACCCAATGTTTAGAAAGCCTGGGGATGTGCCACGTCCCCCAGGGATCCAGCACGCACCCAAAGAGACACTGTCCCGGCGAGGAGCCTGGAGCCTGGGAAATACAAGGCATCAGACTGGTCCCAAGACTCTCCCCAGCGCTGGGGACAACTGTCTGCTTATCTTAGTCCCCTGCGCCCTTTTCAATCCAACCCTGGGTCCTGGGCACCTCATAGTTCCAAACCCCTGCTATGCACATCCCGGCTGTGATGCCTGGGACAGGTCCTGTCCTGGCTGTGATGCCTGGGACAGGTCGTGTCACCTCTCCAAACCTGTTTCCTCATCTGTGAAATGCAAATCTCCACGGTCCCTATGCCTCGGATGGTCAGAGTCAGGATTCCGCATGACGACCCCCAACAGGAGCCTGGCACAGACCTGGCTCTGGGCAGCGTCTCCATAAAGGCCACCTGTTGTTTTTATCTCCCGAAAGCGAACATGACAAGGCTTTAACCCCCCACGGCAATCCGCCCTCACCCCTGTTCTCAGGATAGCCTTGGAACCCAATAGCAGAGCGCCTGAGGCCCTTCATGACCCCAGCCCACCCGCGAGCCCACCTCCCACCCTGCCCCTACCCCTCACACCTCCCGTGGCCAGCCTCCAGCCTCACGGTCTTTGCTCACACCGTTCACCCCCCTTCTTCTGGACCCACCTCATCGCCCCTTCCTAAGCATCAGCCCAATTCTTGCACATCCATCAAATCCTTGTCCAGACACCTCCTGGAACTCTTCCCTGCAGCCCCCTACAGCCATCCCCATCTCTCCGGGTACCCCGCAGCCCCAGGCCGAATCCCAATTCCTCTCCAATTAGCGACTGTTTGTCCTCCCAGCTGAGCGCGGCCTCCGCGCCCCGCCCCCGCTGGCGTCCGCAGAGCCCCCGGGTGGGGACGTCTGTCTCCAGACCCGGGGTTTTTCGGCTCCCCGGGGCCGTGCCAACCGCGGCTCCAGGCGTTCCTTATTTAGCAGGGCCGCTGTGCCGCGCCGGAGCCTCGCCCTGGGAGCGTCCTGGCCCGCGTCCTGCTTCCCGTCCCGGGCCAGGGAACGCGCCCACGCCCGCCCGTCCCGCGGCCTCTCCCGGGTGCCGCTGGGCCCGCTACTCACAGCGCTGTGGCGTCCGCGGGGATGCGCAGCGCGGGACCGAGCGTCCGCAGCCCGCGGCCCGCGGCCCGAGCAGTTGACGCGGCAGGCGGCGCCGGGCGCTAGGCCGCAGAGGCAGGGGGGCTCGCAAGGCCCGCAGCCGCGCCCGGGGCCCCCCGCCAGCGCCCCGAGCCACAGGCCCAGGCCCAGGGCCAGCGCCAGGCGGGCGGGCGCGGCGGGCGGCATCGTTAGGGCAGCGCGCGCATGGCCCCGCCGTCCCCAGGCCCGCCCGCGCGCGGAGGCCGCGGCTCAGGCGGGGCCGGCGGACGGCATGGCGGGCGCGGGGCTGGATGGGGCTGCGGCCGCGACCTGCTGCTGAGCGACGCCCGCTCGGGGCTCGGGGCCAGGCCGCTCCGGGAGCTCGGCCGCCCGCTCGGACGTTGGCGCTGCAGTGCGGGCCCCGCCGCGGCTCCTCCTCCTCCTCCCCGCGCGGCGCAGGGCGGACGGGGCGAGGGGGGGCGGGGCGGGTGCAGGCTCCGCCCCCTTCGCCACAGCGCGACCGGGCCAGCGATGAGGGACTGGCATCCGGAGGCTTCACCCTCCGCTCCACAGGGTCGGCAGCAGGGCGGGGCCTCCGGAAGCTCCGCCCCACGCTTTCCCGGGGCGCATGCGACGTGGGGCGGAGCGTCTGGAAGCTCCGCCCGTCGCACTGTAGAGTCGGCCGAGGCGCACGAGGTATTTTTCACGCTCCGCCCCTCTGCAGGCTAAAGTGCGTGGGCGGGAAGCGGTGGGCAGGGTGCCATCTGGCTCCGCCCTTCTCCTGTGGTGTGGGCCAGGCGGCGGCTTCCTCCTCCTGCAGCAGCCACAGGCTCCACTCTGATCCTTCTCCCGCGGCATGGATCCTTCTCCCGCGGCGTGGATCCTTCTCCCGCAATCTCCGTGCGCGTCCCCAGTCAGTACCCGCAGCCTCCCGACGCACCCGCTGGCTCCAAGCCTCCCTACCCCAGGTTTCCTGGCTAAGAGAGAGACAGAGGGAGAGAGGGGGAAGAGAGAGAACAGGCAATGGGAGGTTGATGGTGAGAGCTTATTGAAAGACAAGAGGGAGGAAACCCACATCCTTCATTCCCCATCCATTCATTTATTGCCTTATTTATTCCATTGAATCTTCACAGCTCTAGAAAAAGTGTGCTACAATTATTCCCTTTATTAAATGAGGTCACTGAGGCACAGTTTAAGAAATTTGCCAGCAGGGCACAGTGGGTCACTCCGGTAATCCCAGAACTTTGAGAGGGGGAGGAAGGTGGATCCCTTGAGCCCAGGAGTTGGAGACCAGCCTGGCCAACATGGCGAGACCCCGTTTCTACAAAAATTAGCCAAAATTAGCCAAACTGGCTCACACTTGTAGTCCCAGGTACTCGAGAGGCTGAGGCCGGAGGAGCGTGTGAGCCCAGGAGGCAGTGGCTGCGCTGAGCCGTGATTGTGCCACTGCACTCCAGCCTGGGCAACAGAGTAAGACCCTGTCTCGAAAAAAAAAAAATGGAAAAAAGAAAAAAAGAACTGGCTGGGAGTGGTGGCTCATGCCTGTAATCCCAGCACTTTGGGAGGCCGAGGTGGGTGGATCACCTGAGGTCAGGAGTTTGAGACCAACCTGACCAACAAGGTGAAATCCCATTTCTACTAAAAATACAAAAATTAGCCAGGCGTGGTGGCAGGTGCCTGTAGTCCCAGCTACTAGGGAGGCTGAGACAGGAGAATAGCTTGAACCTGGGAGGCAGAGGTTGCAGTGAGCCGAGATTGCACCACTGCACTCCAGACTGGGCAATACAGTGAGACTCCGTCTCAAAAAAACAAAAAAAATCCTACCACATGTGCTCCACCAAGCTCTGTCTCCAAGGTGGCCTTGGAAGCCACATGGGGAAGGTGGCAGAGACTCTAGGAGCCTGAGCAGAAATCCAGATGATTATGAAAAATGCAGACCTACCCATCCTTATTCACCTGGGACCACCGTGAACTATATCATAAGAAATAAACCCCTATTGTACATACATGCACCATTCGAGTTGGGTCTATTTGTTACAGCAGTTTAGCCAACCCTAATCCACATATACAGTGTCAACAGTGGCTGAGATGACATGTTGCACAGACATGAGAGTCAGAAAGACCTGAGTTCAAGTCCCAGTGATGACATTTACTATCTGTGTGACCTTGAAAAGCTGCCTAACTACTCTCAGACCGTTTCCTCATCAGTTTGTTTTGAGAGTCAAATGAGAAAATTACTAAAAAGCCCTTAGCACTGCATCTAAGATGGGGAAGAGACAGTCAATGAATTCAAGTTTCCTGAAGCCCAGTTGCATCCCTGCCCTGCCCTGGGCTCTGAGAGACAGTTGCCGAAGCTAGTGTTAAAGTGAACTAAATATGGCCTGAGTGGGACTTCGTACTTCTATAGTTGAGTCCTTGTGGACAAATTGCAACCTAGCTTAATAGGTAGACAAGATTGAAAACCTAACTTAGGAGTATGCGCCTGTAACAATAGCTGAGTCTTGGCCAATCCCAGAGGCCGTAGTTCAACCGCTCATACGCTGCTGAGTGTTCAAACTGTACTCAAATAAGGCAAACGCCAACTTGTAACAATCCAGCCATTCTGTACTTCACTTCTGATTTCTGTACATCATTTCCCTTCTTTTGTCCATAAATCTTCTTCCACCACGTGGCTGCGCTGGAGTCTCTATGAATCTGCTGTGATTCTGGGGTCTGCCCAATTCGCGAATCATTCATTGCTCAATTAAACTACTTTAAATTTAATTCAGCTGAGATTTTCTTTTATCACTAATTTGAGCTGGTTTTCTAATGTTTGCAAATGGGAGGGCTGACTAATATAACACTGCTCCAAATATTAACGTCTTTCTCCCAACCCATCACCCAGGCAGAAGTGGTCCAGCCTGGGCAACCCTAGGAGGAGGCTAGCTCTCCTCTAGGAAGGCTTAGGATGCAGCCAGTGGGCAGTAACTGGCTCACTGTCCCCTGCAACTGAAATCAGAACTGGTTCCAGAAACCAAGTTGACCCCCAACCAGTCTTTCCCAAAATATGGCTCTATGCCCATCTCTGGTCAGGCTGGGCTGTTTTCCTGGACAGAGAAGTCTCAGACAAGCAGGCAGTGGTTAGTGGGCTGTGCCCAGGCTGAGAACATTTCCCAGAGAAGATGGCATCTCTGGCAGTCCCTTAAAGCCAGCAGAGGCCAAGTCATGTCCAAGAGGCCAAAAGGCCCAATATGGTGGAGACAGTATACAGTCCCCATGAATAAGGGATGCTGATGCCTTCCCTATGTACCAGGTAGTCACTGCCTGAGGGGCCCAGAGCAGCAGGAGGGCAGAGCCAGCCTGGGCAGGGGCACTGGGCCGGAAGTGGGGCTCACATCCTCAGCACACACACACACACACACACACACACACACACACACACACACACACAAGCGAATGCACACACACACACACAAATGCACGCACACACAGATAGGTGCATTCAAACATCACATACACGTGTACATTCCTTGCAAAATCAACTTCTGCTGATAGCACAACAAACAATGGGGCCACAGTGTGGCATGGAGGAAACCCTGGAGTCTGATCTCATTTTTTTTTTTTTGCATCTGTCAGGGGATAAAGATATTTGATAAAAATCCTTGAGTCACATCCCCACCAGGTCCCTGCCTACCTGTAGACCCCATCAAGCCAGCTCCATGGCCCTTCAGATACCGCCTCACTGGGTCCCCAGGGATTGACCTCAGTCCTGGAAATGCAGAAATATCTGTATCTGTCACAGCTGAGACTGGCGGCCTTCCGCCGGCTTTCCTGGAGGCAGAGCTGGAGACAGGGACTTGGGTGGATGTGGTTTTTGTTTTTGTTTTGAAAGGGGCTTTCAGGAGAAGGGAGGTGAGGACTACAGGATGCAGAAGGGGACAGAGCAGAGTGAGAATGTGGTCCCTTAAAGTCCCGCCTTGACCTATCCCACGAGCAGCAGAGAGCACGCCACAGGATCGTCCCCACCGTGGGGCAGGGACCAGCCATTCACGTTGCTGTATCAGTTAGTCACTGGGCCATTACTGGGCATGGCATCCCATCCCAGGCAATGTGGCTCCCATCTGAGGGTGATTCTCTAGAGAAGGACAGCTGTGAGCTCTCAGCAGGTGAGGCTCCAAAAGCAGCTATACCAGTCTAGACCTCAGGGGAAGGGGGAATTCATCTCTAGGCAGGGATGATTTTCATAACATTGAACTCTTGACATGCAGGAGCACCGACCAATCAGAACAGACACGGTGACCAAACAGGCACAGCCACACCAGTGGATACCAGCGGAATGTCCACGCTGCCTCTGCGAAGGGACAGTCCCATGAGCCAAGCCCTAGACCAGCTGTTCTGGGAGCACTGCATCATTGCACTGAATTCTCACAACCGCCCCATAATGCTGGGACCATCCCCATTTTCTTGCCCAACAGCCTCCGTCTCATAGACACTAGGCGGCTCTCCCAGGGTCACACGGTCCAGTCAATAACGGGCAGAACTCGCACTCCGATCTGTCTGGCTCCAAAGCTGCTAAAAATTTTCTACTTGGCCTCACTGGCTTGACAAAGATAAAAAAGAAGGCAAGTCCTTCTTTCCAAGAGATGCTGAGGTCCCTCGGTGACACTAGGTCATGATTTTATCATGTTCAGAGGGCAATGAAAGGGACAGAAAACAAGCGATGTGTGATCTCCTGTCATGTCAAGAGACGCTGTTTTCAAAGAAACGTACGTTTCGCAGAATCAATACGCTGTGGGGCCTCAGAAAGCAGAGGCAGACACACGGCCCCAACCCGTGCACGTGGGAGCCCTGTTACAAGAGACGGCAGAAATTAAACTGAATCACCTGGAGCAAGTACATTGTAAATGTTCAATATTAATGACCCACCTCGGCCCCAAAGAAGAGAGCGTTGGGCTTTGTCCAGCTGTGTGCTCTGTTGTTAAAAGACCACCTTGTGGCCAGGCACGGTGGCTCACACCTGTAATCCCAGCGCTTTGGGAGGCCAAAGCAGGTGGATCACCTGCGGTCAGGAGTTCGAGACCAGCCTGGTCAACATAGTGAAACCCCGTCGCTACTAAAAATACAAAAATTTGCTGGATGTGGTGGCTGGCGCCTGTAATCCTAGCTACTCGGGAGGTTGAGGCAGGAGAATCGCTTGAACCTGGGAGGCGGAGGTTGCAGTGAGCCAAGATCACGCCATTGCACTCCAGCCTGGGCGACAAGACTGAAACTCCGTCTCAAAAACAAACAAACAAACAAACAACAACAGAAAACAATTTGTGCCTTAATGGGCATTCCTTTCCCTTCTTGCTAAGGGATGAGATGATGGCAGAACTTGTGGCCACTGTCCTGGAGGTTGACAAGCTTTTTCTGTAAAGTGCTAGATAATAAATATTTTGTGGGCCACACGATCTCTGGTGCAACTACTCAACACTGCCATTGTCATGCAAATGTAGCCATAGATGATAATAAATGAATGGGTGTGACTGTGTTCCAATAAAACTTTATTTATAAAACAGACAGCTGGCCAGAGTTGGGCAATGGGCAGTAGTTTGCCCCCCACTCCCCGCCCATCCGTCCTATTCCTTGGCTTTTTTGGGTACATCAAGGAGTGCAGTCTGGATGCTGGGCTATTTTATGGCCACTGGGCATAACCTTAACCTGGGCCTTTTGTCTGTTAACCTGGGTCAGTGGCTACGGTGAAGGTCGGGCAACCAAGGTTTAGATGGCTCAGTACACATTCACGCCCACAAACCAAACCAGGAAAAAGATGTGCTAAGTTGAGCATATGACACTGTTGGTACTCAAATGGTTTGTTTTTTTTTTTAAATAAATGTTTAAGTAAATTTTTTATTTTAGAACAGTTTTAGAAAAATGGTGAAAGCAGTACAGAGAGTTTCCATGTACCCCATAGCTTGATGCATTATGAACTAAAGTCCATACTTTTTTTAGGGGGGTGGGGACAGGGTCTTGCTCGTCACCTAGGCTGGAGTGTGGTGGTGTGATCATAGTTCATGGCAGCCTCAACCCTCCACCTCCCCTGGCTCAAGCGATCCTCCATCTCAGCCTCCCAAGTAGCTGGAAATACAGGTGCCTGCTACCATCCCCAGAGAATTTGTTTTTGTTTGTTTGTTTGTTGTTTGTTTGTTGAGACAGGGTCTCACTCTCATTGCCCATGCTGGTATACAGTGGCACAATCACGGGTCACTTGCAGCCTTGACTTCCCGGACTCAAGTGATCCTCCCATCTCAGCCTCCCGAGTAGCTAGGACTACAGGTGCACACCACAAGCCTGGCTAATTTTTTGTATTTTTTGTAGAGATGGGGTTTCGCCATGTCGCCCAGGCTGGTCTTGAACTCCTGGGCTCAACCCATCCGCCGGCCTCGGCCTCACAAAGTGCTAGGGTTACAGGCGCGAGCCACCGTGCCTGGCCACCTAAAGTCCATAGTTGATTCTGATTGCCTTAGTTTTTGCTTAATGTCCTTTTTCTGTTCCAGGATACCACATGGAGCATTTTGAGGAGTGCTGGCCAGGTATTTTGTAGAATGTTCCTCAACTGGGATTTGGCAGATGCTTCTCATCCTTAGTCTTGGCTTGTGTGTGTTTTGAGGAGGAGGACCACAGAGCTTAAGAATCATTCTCAGCACTCTGTATCAGGCACGCATTCTCTCAAGATGACTTGCCGCTATTGAAGTTGACTTTGATCACCTGGCTGAGGTAGTCTGTCCGTGTTCTCCACTGTAAAGTTACTCTCTCCTCTCTTTTCACACTGTACTCTTTGGAAGAGAGTCACTATGCACAGCCCACACTTAGGATGTGGGAAGTCCGCTCCACCTCCTTGACGATGGAATAGCTATATAAATTACCTGGGGCCGGGCACGGTGGCTCACACCTGTCATCCCAGCACTTGAATGGGAGGCCGAGGAGGGTGATCACTTGAGGTCAGGAGTTTGAGACCAACCTGGTCAACATGGTGAAACCCCGCCTCTACTAAAAATACAAAAAATTAGCCGAGTGTGGCAGCGCATGCCTGTGATCCCAGCTACTCGGGAGGCTGAGGCACAAGAATCGCTTGAACCTGGGAGGTGGAGGTTGCAGTAAGCCAAGATTACATCACTGCACTCCAACCTGGGCAACAGAGCAAGACCCTGTGTAAAAAAAAAAAATTAAATAAAAATAAATAAATAATCTGGAATTCTTCTGCCTGGGAGATTTGTCTCTTCTCTCTTATCTGATCATTTATAGCAGTATGGAATCATGGGTATTTATTCTTTGAATTCTAATCCAATAGTACTTTTTTGGGGCTCAAATTGTTCTGGCTTTGACCCCTGGGAGCTTTTCCACTGGCTCCTGTGTCCCTCTGAGATGCCCCATCACTGCAGCAGTTTCATTTTGTTTCATTTAGCGCCTCCTCACCCTGTGACCCTACAAGATGCTTCAGGTTCTTCTTATCTATTTCCTCCCTCGGTCCTAGGATCGACATTTGTTCAAGAAGCCTGGTTCCTTTTACTGGAGAATGGTGTTTATTGGAGAACAGAGACCTGGGCACCAGAGGTTTGTTGCTACTGGGGTATCCTTGCTTCTAGGCTCTCTTCGCTGACAGCCAGGATTAGTAATGTGTGTCTTACTAATTTGTGTATATGCACATATCCATAAATATTTCTCTATGTAGCCATCTGTATCTATATTGAGCTAAACATGTGTTCATACTGATGCCTGCCACTCTAATCCACTGCCACATGGATCACTCTAGCCTTGCCTCCTTTGCCGACCTGTAAACCTCCCGCCCCCCACCCCATCTATTACTTAATGAATTTCAGTAAGCATGTGAGGTGGGTGGTTATGGAAACCATTTTTGACCTATATATAAGATGGCAGTTTCGTCTGATTTCTCCTAAATAGAAGACGAGTGTGAAATGGTAACATGGTGTCCGTAGGAGTCATATGGATGGACCATGGCCAACCATATTATTAAGGAATATTCATGCATTCATCCATCCATCCATCCATCCATCCATCCATCCATTCATTCACCAGTGAATGAGTAAAGCATTAGGTATTCACCACACTGTCCTCTCCTGGACTTCCCCCTACCTCACGGGCCACTTCCTCTCTGTCTCTTGGGCAGGGCCCTCCTCGCCCATCCTCTGAAGGTTGCACTGTCCCAGGGCTTGGCCCCCAGCCCTCTCCTTTTCTCAGTCTTCATAAGGATACCTATTATTCAATCCCGTGGCCTCATCTGTCATCCAAAAACACTCCCAGCTCACCACGTCTCATCTCCAGCCGTGATTTCTCACCCAGGCTGCAGACTCGGGTGTCTGATAAGCATCTCAAACTCACGATGGCCAAAACAGAAGTCTCAATTTACCTACACATTTCAGTGGTTCAGCTAGAAACAAACGATTCACTTATCGTTGATTCCTCCCTTCCCTCACCTCCTGTATTAAATACATCAGCAAGACCTTTCTGCTCTATCTCTGAAGCATAGCCCCAAGCTCACCACTTCCTGCCACTGTTACTTCCATCACCCCAATCCAAGCCATTGCTGTCTTTTGCCTAAACCAACACAACGTCCTCTTTGCTTCTCTCCCTAAATTCATTCTTGCTTCCCAATAATCCAATCTCCTCAAAATTTAAAGAAGCAATTGTTTAAAAACATACATCAGATCACTCCCCTTTCCCTACTTAAACCCTCCAATGCCTTCTGTTGCCATTAGAATAAAATCTAAACTCCTTTCCAGGGCACCCACATGACCCGGTCCCTGCCATCGTTCTCATCTCTTCCTCTCAATCACTTGACTCTGGCCACCCTGGCCTCTTTGCTATTCCTGAAACTCAGGGAGCTCATTTCCTCCTGGGGGCCTTTGCAATTATGGTCCCCTCTGCCTGGGCAGCTCTTCCCCCAGATCTTTGCATAACTGGCCCTTCCCCTCCTCAGGTCTCAGCTCAGATGCTGCCTCCTCAGAGAGACCTTCCATGATACCAATCATCCTCTGTCACATTGCCTTGTTCTGCTTCTTTTCTTCGTAACGCCTGGCATTATCCAACAACTTCTAATGTGTGTGTTTACCTTTCGTCCTCCATCAGCACTGTGCTCCTAAGAGCTGAGGCTCGGTCTCTCTCACACCACTAAACCCCCAGTATGCCAAGCAGCACCCAGCACAGGGGAGATGCTCAGTTAATACTTGTTGAATGAATTAATGATGCTCCCCCTAAAACTAAACTTTACAAAGCACCCACTAGACAACAGGTTAGAAAACATTTTCTAGGCCAGGCGCAGTGGCTCACACCTGTAATCCCAGCACTTTGGGAGGCTGAGGCAGGCAGATCATCTGAGGTCGGGGTTTGAGACCAGCCTGGCCAACATGGTAAAGCCCTGTTTCTACTAAAAATGCAAAAATTAGCCAGGCTTGGTGGCAGGCGCCTATAATCCCAGCTACTAGGGAGGCTGAGGCACGATAATCATTTGAACCCAAGAGGCGGAGGTTGCAGTGAGCTGAGATCACACCACTGCACTCCAGCCTGGGTGACAGAGAAAGACCCCATCTCAAAAACAACAACAACAACAACAAAATGTCTTCTGTAAAGACCCAGATAGCAAGTATTTTAGGCTTTTTAGGCTACCTGGTCTTTGCCACAACTACTTACATCTGGCACTGTCAGGCAAAAGCAGCCATAATCTGCAAATGAATGGGCATGGCTGTGTGCTCATAACACTTTATTTATAAAACAAGAACAGTGGGCCATAGTTTGCTAACCCCTGCACTAGCCCAGTCTAAGTCTTGAATATCATCTGTGTAATTAATTCACAGTGAGGAGTTCTCCACTGTAATAATTACTCATTCCATGAATGCATGCCACTCAGGTGAGGCGTTCTTGAAACTCTGAGAGGCAAGAAGCAAAATGTTCTTTCTCCATACCCAGGCACACTCCAGTCTGTGAAAAGGAAGCAAGAGAGGCAGGCTGCAAGTTTGATCACTGGGTGGCTGCTAGCCACCTCTCCCCCTCAGCTCCAAGAGCAGAAACAGGATGAAAACGCAGCAGCTGCCGGCTTCTGTCCTCTTGCCAGCTGCCTCTCTTGCAAGACTAGACAGGGAGGGGCAGCCGCCAGTCTCCGGAGGCACAGACTGCACAGAATTGAGGATCACTTGTTCCAATGCATTCATCTTATCTTACAAAATCTTCAAATTCCAAAAAGCACACGTAAGAAGGGCTGCTGTTTCATTCACACAGTGAAATATTGTGCATCTGAAAGAATATGTAGATGGGTGGCATCTTCAACAACCCCAGGATCACAGACGTTTAAATTTCACCCCTTCTACTGCTGTAAGGCACAGCAGAAGGAGTGTAATTTAAACGTCTGTGATCCTGGCTGGGCGTGGTGACTCTTGCCTGTAATCCCAACACTTAGGGAGCCCAAGGTGGGAGGATTGCTTGAGCTCAGGAGTTCAAGACCAGCCTGGGCAACCTAGTGAGAGCTCATCTCTACAAAGATTTTTTTTAAAAAAATTAGCCAGGTGTGGTGGTGCACTCCTGTAGTCCCAGCTACTCAGCAGGCTGAGGCACGATGATCCCTTGACCCTGGGAGATCAAGGCTGCAGTGAGCTGTGATGGTGCCATTGTACTCCAGCCTGGGGAACAGAACAAGAACCCATCTAAAAAAAAAAAAAGAAAGAAAAGTTCATATTCCAACCAAGATCTCACCATTGCATCATCAAGCATAAACACCTGCCCCCACTGAAAAAGTACAGAGGAAGGCAGTCATATAATATCTTCCCTCCTGACCTCACCAAGTTCCAGGGCAGGAAGAGTCTCGCCACCCCAGCACACAGTAGGCCCACTGGAAAATGAGTGCTCCCTTCTCTAGGCATTTCATTGTCATGGTCATAAAGTCAGGTTCATTTTTCTAATGAAAGAGAAAGCCAAAAATGGAGGCTGATTTTTTTCTTTTTTCTTTTTTTTTTTTTTTAGTCTCACTCTGTCGCCAGGCTAGAGTGCAATGGTGCGATCTCGGCTCACTGCAACCTCCGACTCCCTGGATCAAGTGATTCTCCTGTCAGCCTATCGAGTGGCTGGGACTACAGGCGCCCACCACCACACCTAGCTAATTTTTGTAGTTTTAGTAGAGACGGGGTTTCACCATATTGGCCAGGATGGTCTCGATCTCTTGACCTCATGATCTGCCCATCTCAACCTCCCAAAGTGCTGGGATTACAGGCATGAGCCACCACACCGGGCCTGGAGGGTGATTTTGACCAGGCCTTCTCAAGTTTTGGAAGGAAGTGGAGCTGACTTCTCTTCTGTTGCTTTTGCCCACCCAGGATCACTTATTCCTCTGGGTAATACAGCACCCCAGGCACAGGGGCCGCCTGTCACATGAGCGTGGGCATGGCTCATGTGCGGCCAGGCCCCAGTGATTCTGCAAAGGTTGCCCATAAGTCCTTCCCCCGCCCCAGGACTGGCATATTGATGTGGTGGGATGGAAGCTGTCCTTCTGCTGGGTCTGCAGATGGGGGCAATGTAAAGCCTGACATTGCCGGATGATGTCAGAAGCGGAACCCATAGGCAAAAGCCAGCTTTCCAGCACTCCACTCTCAGTTTCCTGCCATCTCCACTTCTGTGGATGTGTGCCCGGCATCTGCCTCTGCCCCTGCCTCTGAGAGCAGTGACTGAGCAAACAGTCCTGGACCTGGTTGAAAGGATGGGCCTGTCTGTTTCTAGCAGAGTGGTCTTTCAGAAAGCTGATTCCTGAAAGTTGGCATCAAGGGAAGCAGAGCCAGGAGGTGGAAATTGAGACTGGGTCCCGCTATGCATGAAGCCAGAGACTCTTGGATTTCTCCGTTACTTGACCAGAGGAATGCCCCATTTTGCTCAAGCTAGTTGGAGTTGGATTTCTGTTACTTGAAACCAAGAGAGCCTTAACTAATACACAACTAGAAATGCATCCATGGTCACTGCCCATTCATGTGACAGACATTTATTGAGCACTATTCCAGTTACCTAATGTTGCATGAGTTACCCCAAAACTTAGAGGCTTAATTCAGTCGTATAAGATATTCACAGATCCCGTGGGTCAAGAATTTGGGAAGACACTGTAGGTTGAACTTTGTTCTCTGCTTTGTCTTTCTTGGAAAGAGAGGACACAGCTTGAAGTCATTACTGATTTGGGACTGTATGTAATGCATATCTGTGCTTCATTGTCACTGTGTTTTTAAGTTTTCTAAACTTAAAACAGCTCATTTTCGGGGGACATAAAGAACCTGGGAAGAGCTCAGCTGGGCAGCACTGACCTGGGGTCTCTTGAGTGGTGGAAGTCAGATGTCATCTGCAGTTGCACTCACCAGAAGGCTTGACCGGGGCGGGGAAATTCGCTTCCAAGCTGGCTCACTCACGTGGTGGCAAGCTGTACATGCTGGGGGCCAGGGGCCTCACCCCTCCCCACGAGGCTGCCTGAGCACCCTCACGCAAGGCAGTTGGCTTCCCGAGAGCCAAAGTGCAATGCCTGTTACGACCTAGCCCGAGAAGTCACACATCATCACTCACTTCCACCACTTCCCACTGGTCGCACAGAGCCAGCCTGATTCAGTGTGGGAGGGGACCACACACAAAGGCAGTGTGCATCCCTGGGGGCCATCCTGAGGCTGGCTGTGTACCACAAACACCCGCCACATGCCAGGGACTGGACACACAGCCTTTGACCCCCACTGAACATCAGCCTAAACAGAAGGCAACCAAGCAAACCTTATCCCCCAAACTCTTTCCAACTCCTCCCTTAGGACGGCCCCTGCTTTTAAGTAAAGGGAATCGTGCCGAATAATTGTTCCTATTAAGGAACTAGATCTCAGGGTTTGGTCATGCAGCTCTTTGGTTACAGAAACAACGCTGATGAAATAATCGAAGGTCCTCCACCATTCTCACCCCCAGCCATGACCCCGTCCACTGCACACAGTGCTCCACGTCACTGTGCCTTTCCTAACTTTACTACAGCTTATACCTGCCTCTCCTGTACAACATCCACGTGACATCCATCTCTAAACCTCTGAGTCATCCCTAGACAAGCTGGCATGTGACTACATCATCTCATTTCATACATCAAGGGCAGGAAAACATGGTGGTTAAGAACTCTTGGACCTGGGTTCAAACCCCTGCTCTGCCACTTGACAGCTGCAAGATTGTTCAGCCTCAGTTTCTTTCTCTGAAAAATGGGGCTGGAAGCATACCTACTTCATGAACTCATGAAGCATCCACATGCATGCAAGGGCACGGCACAGCGCCCGGCACACAGTAGCTCAAGAAAGGCTGGTTGTGCCTGCTGGTGTGCTTGATCCAGAGAGGCAATCACTCATTTGCTTTTTCCTTATTTCCTGAATCTTTGTTTCTCACATTTAGGCCATTAGAGTTAAGCAGAAGGACTGCCTCTTCCTCCAGCCATCTCACCAGTCCTTCCACATACACATGCACAAACACACACACACACACACAAACACACACACACACACGTTCTCATGCTACCTTCGGCCCTTCCCATCTCCTGTAACCCCAGAAAAGAAGACCGAGTTGAAGCCGTTGCCTTAGAATGGCACTGCCCTGGCCAGGTGTGGTGACTCATGCCTATAATCTCAGCACTTTGGGAGGTTGAGGCAGAAGGATCACTTAAGGCCAAGAGTTCAAGACCAGCCTGGTCAACATAGCCGAGACCCTGTCTCTACAGAAAAATCAAATCAAATAAAAAGCTTTTAATTAAAAAAGAATGGCACCGTCCTAAAGCTCCTGAGGTGTCCTCATCAAGGATTTATGGTTGTTTTTACGGCCACTTTAATAGGCAGAAATGTGCACAGAGCAGAGTTCCCCAAGAATCTGCCATCTTAGACCATTTTGTTTTTTAAATACCTCAGCAAACAAGTCTGTCTCATATGACTTTTGTCCCATTCCAAGTCTAATAACAGCCCGGGTGCGGTGGCTCACGCCTGTAATCCCAGCACTTTGGGAGGCCAAGGTTGATGAATCACCTGAGGTAGGGAGTTCAAGACCAGCCTGGACAACATGGTGAAACCCCGTATCTACTAAAAATACAAAAAATTAGGCGAGCGTGGTGGTGGGCACCTGTAATCCCAGCTACTCGGGAGGCTGAGGCAGGAAATCGCTTGAAACCGGGAGGCAGAGGTTGCAGTGAGCCGAGATCACGCCACTGCACTCCAGCCTGGGCCACAAGAGCGAAACTCAAAAAAAAAAAAAAAGAATCTAATAACATTAATGTTTACTTCTCACAGGAGGATCAGAGGACTTCTGTCCTGAGATTGCCAGAAAAATGATGAACAGAAAATTATACACAACCGAACAGGCCCAACTTTCAAATGGACTGAGAATGACCCACACAAGTTCCACCGAGGCCAAGGGTGACCTGCAGCCAGCGACAGGGAAAGACTGCCACTTACTGGCGGCCTCCGGAACTGGAAGGAGTGTACTGACAATTGTATCTTTCGCAAGCTCTTAACCTTTATACCGTCAATAAAAACCCCATTAACATTTAAAAGGGATGTTTCTGGGTGTCCACTTGGAATAAGAGTTGGAAAACACTCCAAGAAATGGATCCTGTATTAATATCACATCTGTCCCAGATCTCCAACACTGTTCACTTTCCTTCCACGGTGCCAACACCAAGCTAGCTGATAGGTGGGAACAGGGCAGCTCTGCGGTTGGCCCCCAAGAGCCAGGGAGTCCCCCAAGCTGACCCCCTGGGGTGGCAGTGGCACCTAACAAGAACTTCCACCTTGTTTTCCCTCTCTCTGTTTTGTCCTTTTGGACTCTGCTCACGCATCACATCCAGAAAGTTCCCTAAGCTCTCCAGTGGGATGAGAACTCTGCTCTGTGCTCCTGTGGTCCTCCATGTTCCTCCACCTGGAGGCCCTCGGCTCCCTGCATTACCCCTGTCTACTTACTGACTTGCCTTCTACCCAGTGATGGGCCATGTGCTGTGAGGGCACACACTGTGTGCCCATCTATTCATTCCTCTGTGCGTGCGTTCATTCATTCCTTACTGAATGCCCACCAAGTGCCAAGCATTGGGGTACGAAGAACAAGGCAGACGGGGCCTCCCTGGCCTCTTCCAGCTCGCTGTAGAGTGTTGTCTACCCTACTCATCCTCACATACCCATGCCTGTCCTATGTGGCACTCAATAAATGTCGGATGGATGGATGTGTCCCCTCCTTCAATATCACTTAATTCACTTGATGACTTCCTGTGAGGATTAAGTTTAGCTGTTAAAATGCTGTGACTTCCTCTGGATCTCTGATGCAAGCCGGCAACCTTTAAGCCTCACCCGGCCGACGTAGGCATTTTGTTTGGCCAAAGTGTGTGGTTTTCTTAAAAAAACACTGCATTTGTGGCTAACATTTAAAATTGGGAAAATTTCACGTAAATCTTTGTTTTTCTGGCTTCTCTAGAAAAATGAACGCACATTTCTGCACAGCAGGGGTGAGCCAGAGCTGAGTCCCTAAGCTTCCCTTAGACGTGGTGGGCACACTTCAACTTGCCACAACCTCCACTATCTCCGATTTCTCTATCACTGACGCCAAAAGCTGCTGGGGACCATGTTGGCTGAGCTCGTGTTTTTCCTGCCCCAGCCAGCTTCACTCAGGACTCTGACTTGCTCTACATTTGGCTCAACTGAAGACTCCCGGGGGTTACGTGCATGTCATCCAAGAAATACATCTATGATGAGCTACAACACAAATGAATGGGCCATTTTATTGATTTTTACCTCCTAATAGTGGATACAGGTTGCCGTGGTTTCCAGCAGGATCTCAGATGCAAAGGGAAGTGAAGAAAACAGATGAATCCCTAGGGTACCCCGCCATGGAACCAAACACCACATCAACTGGAACTCTTCTTGCAAACGAAGGCTGAAGATCAAGAATGACATTCTCACACCACAGCACAGCTTAAATACTTCTTTGACAAAAATAATAATAAATTATATTTGACTCAGAAAATAAATTCTGTTCAGCAGAGTGACAGGAGGGTCCATTCATTGCATTGCACGAGGGGCTCTACGGAGGGGTGAGGATGGGTGCAGGATGCCACAGTGACAAGGGACATGGGGTGCGGGCCCAGCAGCACAGGCTGAAGTTAGCTGACGCATGCTTTTGGCTTTTATCCCACGGGCGGGTAGTGGCCGGACCCCTGGCTGTGGCCTGTCCCAAGTGAGACTGCAACTGTCCCCTTCCTCCTCACGTCCGCCTTGTCTTCTGTTTCTTGGCTTGTCTCTTTGCATCTTCTGGGCCGCTATTGTCAGAGGCTGCCTGGCCGAGCGCGCCGACTCCCTGTAGCCGGCTTGTCAACTGCAGCAGCAAAGGAATGAGCTAGAAAAGAGAGAAAGTGTGAGAGAGAGGGGTACAAAGAGGAGGCTTTTGCCAGATGAACAGCGGAGCCTCACTTCTCAACACACCTTCTTCAGACATGATCAGCAGCTGCCACGTGCTAATGGGTGGGTTTCAGTTCAAACGAGGCAGGCCTCTTACTAATGAGTCCCCAGGGATGGGCTGGCCTCTCTCCGGGCCTAATATGTCCCTAGAGGTGTTCCAGGTTTAAGGATTAGGAGATGTTACAGAAGTTTACAGCCTTGAAAGGAGACCTAAGTCTGGACTTGAGGCCTTCACGGGCCCTCCCGACCGGGAAATGTGATTTCTGTGACCCTGGACATCCCTCTGCTATCACTCCTGCAGCTGTGAGGACTCGCTCTCCCTGACATGCCCGCCATCTCCTGAGGCCTCTGGATTTCCTACCTTGTCATGGTTGTAACCGGCCAGCAGAACCAGCAGCGTCAATGGCAGGGCAATGTAGGATCCTTGTGCGATGTCCTGTTCAGGCAGCTTCCTCTGCAAACACCGAGAGCCCCATCACTCCTCACCAAGGCCACAAGCTTGTCCATCATCCACAATGCCACAGCCACCACCCACCCAGCCTTCCAAAGTGGCCACTTGAGGACACCCAGGGGCCCTCATGATCCAAATTCCTTCTATCCAAAGGAAGGAACCAAAGTGATTTGGATGTATTTTCCCATGAATCCTCTTCTGCCCAAAGCTTCACTATTTGCTTCTGAAACTCAGGGACAAAGAGATTCCAATGACAAGGCATTCCTCAGCCTCTGGACCCTCCTCCCAACTGAGGAAATGAAGAGATGCAGCTATCAGAGAGTCTTGGTGGTTGAAAAGCAACTGGGTCTCAGTTTGTTGAGTCCCAGCAACATGCA
The DNA here is from genome assembly GCF_000001405.40 of Homo sapiens. Taxonomy (NCBI): domain Eukaryota; kingdom Metazoa; phylum Chordata; class Mammalia; order Primates; family Hominidae; genus Homo; species Homo sapiens. Next base: position 16,293,277 of record NC_000016.10, on the reverse strand, counting down.
GGGACTTAGTCCTACAAGGATGTATCAAGAACCTACAGTTCTAGACCCAGGGCACACAGTGATGGGCAGCTATTCCCAGCCAGTACGGTCTAGTGAGGAAGCAAAGCAGGCACTGCTACTAGCATCCCTGTGGCCATTCTCCCTTTCTCCCAATAGAACCCCCAACTTTTATCTGGGCCACCGACAATATAGATCACCTTTTCCAGCCTTCCCTGCAGCAGGCGCAGCCCTGGAACTAAATTTTGGCCAATGGTACAGGAACAGAAGCGGTAAGTGCCACACCCTGGCTGGACCCTAGGGAAGTGGTGTGCCCTCCCTTTTGCTGGGTAGACAGCATTTGGCCAATTGCCCCATTTTGGAGAAAAGCAATGCACTGGAACAGCACAATGAGACAGAAGGGGCCTGGGTCCCCTGACGCCTTGGAGCTACCAGACTATCTCTGCACTGGTCACTCCTGGACACTTGACATGAGACAGACATTTCCATCTTGCTAAAGCCCCTGAAATGCTGGGTTCTAAAGCATCAAGTGAACCTATATCCCATTGGCCCACTCTACTCTCATAAAGGAAGCAAATAAATGGAAGGAGAACTTCCCAATAATGATAAAAACAAGTTAATGAGCCAGAGCAGTGTTCTCAGTGTAGGATACCGGGACTCCTCTCGCAGAGGTTCCCGAGGCCACAGCTATTTTCAGCCAATAGTAAGATGTGATGTGCCTTTTCCGCCCTCTTTCATTCGCAAGCACACAGTGGACTTTTCCAGAGACTACGCACCCTGATGTCATCACGCCCACAGCTAACGGAATGTGTAGCTTGTGAGTTCTTGCGTTTTCAACATCTCGGTTTTAATTACTAATATGATAAATATACACAGAGATAATCCATGCAAACTCAAACTCTTTAAAATCCTCAATAATTTTTAACAGTATAAAGGGGTCCTGCAACCAACCCATCCGAGAACTGCTGGGCTAGAGAGTGACTGTGGGGGCCGCTGTACCTGGGATGCCCTTTCATAAATGAAAGAATAAGGGCAGGAACAGATTTCCATCAACAACTGCCTACTCCTGTATCTCTGGACATCTCTTAGAACCCAACCCATTTTTCCACTGAAGTAAACACTTACTTAAAAGTTTAATTCAGGCCAGGTGCAGTGGCTCACGCCTGTAATCCCAGCACTTTGGGAGGCTGAGGTGGGCAGATCACCTGAGGTCAGGAGTTTGAGAACAGCCTGGCCAGCATGGTGAAACCCCGTCTCTATAAAAATACAAAATTAGCCAGAAGTGGTGGTGCATGCCTGTAATTCCAGCTACTCAGGAGGTGAGAATCACTTGAACCCGGGACGCAGAGGTTGCAGTGGGCCAAGATCGTGCCACTGCACTCCAGCAGGGGCAACAAAGCAAGACTCTGTCTCAGAAAAAAATAATAATGAATAAATAAATAAAAGTTTAATTCAGCAGGAATTAAGAGTGATTCAGTCTAGGCTCAGGTCCCAGGCCTCACTGGGTAAACTCAGGCAACCACGTTGAGACTCAGTTTACTCAACTATGACATGGAGATCATATGAACAACACCCACTGGGGGTGGATGCTGTGAAACTTGATGAAAGGAGTATGTGAAATGCTCAGCAGGGCATGGAATACTGAGTAAAATCCAGTCGCGAGGCTGTGGGCAGTCACATCAACAAAGAAGGAAACCAATGTGCTTACAAAGCCCCCGTGAACATGCAATGCTGAGCCACTCATCACGCGGAGGGCAGAACGAGGTGGAAACCATGTGGCTTGAGACAAACTGCCTCACTTGAGTCCTGGTTCTGCTAACACTCAGTAAGTGACTCAATCTTTCTGGGCTTCTGTGAAAATGGGAGGAATGGCACACCTGCTTGAAGGCTTGTTGTGAGGATCAACCTGTGAGGGCCCTGTACGGGGTGGCACAGAGTGGGCGCTCTCTTCATTCAACACTTGGCCCTGCTCGGGAATCCAAGCCCCAGCAGGCACAGCTTTTTTTTTTTTTTTTAATTATACTTTAAGTTTTAGGATATATGTGCACAATGTGCAGGTTAGTTACATAGGTATACAGGAAGGGGAACATCACACACCAGGGCACAGTTTCTTACATTCTCAGAAGTGACAGGCAGCAGCTACGAGGCTGGGCTGCTCGGCCACCACCAAGCAGTGTCTCCACATTCCTGCCACTGGCTCCCAGGTGTGTCCCTGAGCCCGGATGAGTTGTCTGCTAGGGGCCCCTGAGAATGTCACTGCCTGCAGCTATCAACGGCCTTCACAGAAGCCTCTCCCAGCAACTGGGCCACAATGCAGCCCCAAGCAAAGGTAAGTGGTTCTTGTATATGCTTATCTTTCTGGCACTTTCTTTTTTTTTTTTTTTTTTGAGACAGTCTTGCTCTGTCGCCCAGGCTGGAGTGCACTGGGGCTATCTTAGCTCACTACAAACTCTGCATCCCAGGTTCACAATTCTCCTGCCACAGCCTCTCGAGTAGCTGGGATTACAGGTGCGTGCTACCACGCCTGGCTAATGTTTGTATTGTTAGCAGAGATGGGGTTTCACTTTCACCACATTGCCCAGGCTGGTCTCGAACTCCTGACCTCAAATGATCTGCCCACCTCAGCCTCCTAAAATGCTGGGATTACAGGCGTGAGCCACCACACCTAGCCCTCTCCAGCACTTTCTAACCAGGTCTCTACTGTGAGTAACAAGGAAGTGTTTCCTCGTGGGTCATGAGAAAAACTCTCTTGTTCAGGTAAGATCATATTTACAGGCTCACTGAGCATGAATCACTCTTCACAGAAGCCCAGAATCAGCAGCAGAGCTCTGCTCAAGCCCTAGCACTGCTCCACGTGAGCTGGTGACCTTGGGCTGCTCACATCTCCTTCTAGGTTCCCATCTTCTCATCTCTAAATGAAAGGTAATTCCTGTCCACCTTCCATGCAGGATGGCGTTTGAAAAGCATGAAATGGTAACTGGATAGCATGTGGAAAAAGACAATCTGGAGCCATACTTCACATCTATACCAGGAAAAACTCCAAATGGATAGAGAGATTTAAATGTAAAAACAGAAACTATAAAAGTCTGCCTGAAAAAAACACGATAAATTCCTGTAAAAGCTGGGAATGAAGAAAACCTTCCTATGACTCTAAAATCCAGAAGCAATAAGAAAAAATCAACACATTTAACACAGAAATAAAGTAAATCTTTGCAGAAACCAAGTGAAAAGATAAATGACAAATTGGGAAAAATATGTACAACAAACATTACAAAGGGTTAATATTCCTAGTATACAAAGAGCTGAAAATGGTTGAAAAAGACCAAAAATTCTATAGAAAAATAGGTTAAATAGTTCACAGAAAATACAAATGGCTCTTAACCACATGAAAAGAGAGAAATGCAATTAGAAGTACAGTGAGATAATATCACTTCTCATCTATAAGCCTGCAAAAATTGAAAAATTTGACAAAATACTCTGTTGGGGAAAAAAGGGTACTCATTCACTGCTGGCGGGAATATAAAACAGTAAAACCCCCATGGATGGGAAGTGGCCGTATCAATCAAAATTCCGTATGCATTTACCCTTTGACTCAGCAATTCCACTTCTGGGAGTCTATTCCAAAGAGAGACTGACGAACACTCAAAAACATGCATGCGTAAGGCAATTCATTAAAGGGTTATGTGTAATAGCAGAAAACCAGTAACAACACAAACGCCCCTCAACCAGGGGCTAACTGAATATCCTACATGTAGTGCCAGGATCTGAATGTGTCTGTGCCTACGTAATTCATAGGTTGAACCCTAATCCATAATGTGATAGTGTCAAGAGGACACCCTTTTTAGGAGGTGATTAAGTCAGGGATTAATGCCCCGTAAGAGTGGCCTGAGGGAACTTGTTTGCCCCTTTCCGCCTTGTGGGGACACAGCTAGGTGGCACCATCTATGAAGCAGACAGCAAGTCCTCGCCAGACCCCAAATCTGCCAATGCCTTGATCTTGGACTTCCCAGCCTCTAGTACTGTAAGAAATAAATGTTTGTTGTTTATAAGTTACCCAGTCTAAGATACAAAATAGCAGCCCAAATGGCCTAAGACACACGGTATATCCACACAGAGGAATGCTGTGTCGTTATCAAAAAAGGAAAAAGGAGGATCGGAGGATATTGTTCCACTTACAGTTACATCTTTTGAAAACAATAAAGTTCTTATTCTGCCCACTGAAAAGGCCTAGAAGCAACAACCAACACAGTAGCTATGAGGCCAGATTTTTGTTTTTAATGCAGACTCCTGTGCTACACTTTCACCCCGTCAAGTTCAGAATCAGCAGTCCTGAGGCTGAGCCCTGGACTCTGTTTTTGCTATTGCTGATGTGTCTGTTTAATCATCAGGTGACAATACTGCATCTGAGCTTTAGGAATCACTAAACAATTTTATCAAGAAGGTAAAAGATACGTGTATGTTTTGTTTGTTCCACTGTTCCAGCCTATCGGATACAGGACAGACCGTATGCAACAGATACACATATTGCAAATAGTAAGGGCCACATATTGCAATGAATTAAGCGATAAGTTAAGTTTCTTTTAACCCACAGGTATTCTGTCCATCTGTTGTTGGTTTTTTTTTCCTTGCAATTTATTTGTCAAACAAATCAGGCTCCAGGTGGTTGTCCTGCATCCCTGTGGAGTCATTTGCGTGCTCCTGGGTCCTCCCTATTTCCTGTAAAGTAGCAGTTGGTTCTAGGGGTTTGCGTGGCCATGTACCATGTGCTCCCTCATGGAGAAGCACACGCCACACCAGCGATAGTGGTGTCCCTCCTCCCCCAAAATCATTCCTGAGCCACCGATCTAAACAATTACACTGCTCTTATTACCAGTTTCCTCCTCAAAGGGAATCGCAGGCATCAGTGCTCAGAAAAGCTAAAAACAATCTGGGGAAGCCCAGAATCCAGAAGGCAGAATGAGAAAGTGACCCAATGCCAGGAGCCCTTTAAATATCTGCCCTGCAACCTGCGACCTGGAGCACAGGTTGTATGGACATGCCTTCTTTTGCCACCCCATGGATTGTTTTGTTTTGTTTTGTTTTGTTTTGTTTTGTTTCTTCTGGAGAAAGGGTCTCACTCTGTTACCCAAGCTGGAGTGCAGGGGCATGATCATGGCTCATCGAGGCCTCAACCTCCCAGGCTCAAGTGATCCTCCCACCTCAGCCTCCTGAGTAGCCGGGACTATAGGTGCGTTCCACCACGCCCGGTTAATTTTTGTATTTTTTGTAGAGTTGGGGTTTTACCGTATTGCCTAGGCTGGTCTGAAACTCCCGGGCTCAAGAGATCCACCAGCCTTGGCCTCCCAAAGTGCTGGGATTACAGGCGTGAGCCACCAAACCCAGCCCATGGATTTTTTTTTAACTCCCTCTTTTACTTACCGTGGGATTAAAAATCAAGGTGATGTGTTTATGGTAGCCCACTGCGGTGAAAGAAACTTGAGGCAAGATGTAGTCATACTGGGATCTGGGGAGTGTGGAGTCCAGAAGCACAACATAGTTCTGTGCACACATGGGAAGAAGTTATTTTTATAAGGACAGCTCTGGCAAAGCAAATGAAAACTAAAACCTAACGTATGGCTGTGATGTAAAGAACTTTATGTTTTTAAAGAAATCCCCAAGACTACACATCCAAACCAAGGTTGCTGCCTTCAAAGTATCAACCTCAGCGGGCTATTCCATCAGTGGCGGGCATGTGTCCCCAGTGTCTCTGAGACTGTGGCTTCTGATAAGGCTGTCAGAGCCTGCAGCCTTTTTATGAGTACCCAACCTTGACAATTACGGTCCTCTGAGGATCTGACTTTATGAAACACAAAAAATTATTATGAGCCAATTCTGATGAGGGAGGTACGTGATACAACTGAGGATCCACAACGGGGCTGACTTCTAAGGGACGATGCTTGAGAGGCTCGTAAGCTGGCAAATCCTAAAAATACAGCATCCCTGGAACGGCACCAGGGGCAGCCACAGCTCTGTGTGCTGAGCACCGACCAGCTGCCAGGCACCATGCACATTGCATGAGGCCCGTCACAGCTCTGTGTGCTGAGCACCGACCAGCTGCCAGGCACCATGCACATTGCATGAGGCCCGCGGCTGCTTTGCTTTCTACCACTGGCAAGGTCGGGATCATCACCCCGTCTTATAGACGAGGAAAGTCAAGCACGAAGAGACTAAGAGTAACTTGCCCAAGGTCACTCAGCTAAGAAGGCTGCCACACATCTATGAAGGCTCTGAACTCAGGGGAAGTGTGACCCCAAAGCCCAAGATGTTTCCGCATCGCTGTAGGAAGTGACTATTTCAACACCCCTGGAGAAAGAGGAGGAGAAAATTCCGTGACAGCCTGTTTCATTATTTCGCAGCCATTTTCCACAGAGAAAGGCCAGAGTAGATCATCTTCACGGCAGGTGGTAAGGAGCCAGGAGAGGAAACGTCACCCTCTAGGCTCACACTTGACATCCTCAGGCTAAGACCACCAGAAAAGAACCAAATTCTTTGCAAAGTTTGCACTCCCCACACCAACTACAAGTTAGCTCTGTCCAAATAGAATTGATAATAAGCACTTTATAATCAGTAAATGACGGCCAGAATAATGGCTGAAAACTTCCCAGTTCCAAGGAGGGAGACATCCAGATTCATGGAACCCAAAGGACACTGAAAAGGTGGAGCTGCAAGTGTTCTACACGACACACGTTATAATCAGATTATCAAAGACAGAGAGAACGTTCAAAGCAGCAAGAGAAAAGCAACTCATCTCATTCAAGGGATCCCCCATCATGAGGAAACTGTATTTCCCTAAACTCAATAGCAGAATGTTAAAATAGAGGAATTTTTAAAAATTACAAGGCATTTTTAAAAGTGGACTTCTTAGCAGGAAAGCATGGGGTGATATGTTCAAAGTGCAAGAGTCGATCATGCCCAACAGTAGGCCTTGGTTAAATAAATCATCGCGTTTCCTAGTTTATGGACTACTGTCCATAAAAATCATAGTATGAAAGATTTGGCCAGGCACGGGGGCTCACGCCTGTAATCTCAGCACTTTGGGAGGCCGAGGCAGGTGGATCACGAGGTCAGGAGATCAAGACCATCCTGGCTAACATGGTGAAACCCCGTCTCTACTAAAAATACACAAAAAAAAAAATTAGCCGGGTGTGGTGGCGCACGCCTGTAGTCCCAGCTACTTCGGAGGCTGAGGCAGGAGAATGGTGTGAACCCAGGAGGCGGAGCTTGCAGTGAGCCCAGATTGCGCCACTGCACTCCAGCCTGGGCGACAAGGCGAGACTCCGTCTCAAAAAAAAAAAAAAAAGAAAGATTTGATGATGAGGAACAGATTTGTGATAAATTCTTCATTGAAGAGCATGGATTACAAAACAATGTACAAAACAGTGTCAGTTTTGAATTATTAAAATAAATGTCTATTTATATTTATACATGCATGCGCACACGTGCCTGAAAAAAGACCCAAAGGATACCAATCACCATGTTAGCAGTGGCTATTTCTGGATGATGGGCTTATGTCTTCTTTTTCCCAAAATCTCCTGCCATGAATATGTATTCTTTTTGTAAACAGAAAAACAATGAAGAAAAAATAATCCCTACAGAACCCAACCTCTTTTGATTCAGAGAGCGCATTTCTGCAGAGTGGTATTTAGGGAGAAAAGGAGAGAACTGTGCTTCCTTAAACTAAACAGCAGAATTATTAAAACAAAGGCAGAAGGTAGAATCCGGCCACAGGCATTACCTCGCCATCTCTGAGCAGTGGGGGGAAATGGAAGAACAGGGACTGGCCAAGGGAAACTGTCTGGATTGGATTGTCGAGGTTTTCGCTTTTGTAAAGCTTGACCTGGAGGGAGAAACAAAGTCAGACATGCTTTGAAACTGAAACACAATCAATATTTCATAGCAGACATCCTCAGGACAGCCGCTCTCTGGGTAGGTGTCTTTGGAAACATGGATATTTGAAAAAGAAAGCTCCCTCCATAGACATCACACATCCCTCTGTCATCTGAGACTCCATCCAGTTATGTATCATGCACAGAAATTAAGATTCAAATCAGATTCTGACTACCCATGTTCTTGCTCAAAATAGTAATATAAGTTAATATAATAGTAATATTAAAAATAGCTTCTAACACGTGTTGAACATCTGTAATATGCCAGGCAGGCGCCAGATATTTTATCTACATTATCGCCAATCCTGACTACAAAACAGGTATTGTTATTATCCCTATGGAGACCCAGAGAGCCAAAGTCACCTAAGGTCACACAACTTACACATGGTAGAGCCTGGGACTCAACCCCCTGACGACTCCTGAGGGTCCTTCCCGCCTTGCACTGCCTCATCATATGATGTCACCTTAACTCCACCAATCTGTTAAACTCAAAACGCATTCCATCATGTACGTGGCTCTCCACGCTGCTTCAGGAGGCACTGGAGTACTTTGTTTCTGGCTTTATTTCTGGGGTTGTTGCCTGTTCTCACTCCCACACGGGATGGGGCATGAGCAGGGTTAAGGTGCAGCCCTGGCTGATGGCAAAGGCTGTGAGGATGCCACAGTGCACCTGCCGCAAGAGAATGCCAGGACCACCTCCCTGGGCCCACACTGGCACCTTTCTACATAACACACCAGGGGAATTTTCCTAAAATGAAAGTCACAGACTGAAGGTTATGGGTCGCATTGAAGATCCCTTATGTGTTCTTTTTTCTTCTATAACATCTTAAGTAAATCTGAATTCACCGACTATATTTAAAAATCAGGTGATTTCAAATAATTCTAATTTCCAGCTTCTCCGGAAAACTGGGAAGTGACACCAACCCTGAGCCTCAATTCTAGCACAGCAACACTCAGGAGCAAGAGAGTGGCGCCCTCCCCTCCTCTCTGCCTCTTCCCCTCCCTTGTGCCCCTCATGGATGGGGCAGGAGTTCCCCAGTTTGCCCCCCACCCTACCCAACCCTCTGCACTCTCTGACATTACCTGCCTGGTCCCTACAAGCACACGCCTGCAAGCCCTGGACAGAGTGGACTAAAGCGCACACACACTTTCTCACCCATGCCAAATACTTAACTGCTTATAAAATTACAAGCGCATCTTAACAATGTACCCCCAGAGCAAATCACTAACATCCGCAGAGGGTCTGCAGGGTATTTTATAAACATTTCTTCATTAATGGTAACATGGAGATTTTGTTAGAGCTGAACAAGATTATAAGAGGTCTCTGAGTCCAAAATCTAGGTTTTGCAGAGGACGAAGTCGAGGCATGTGGAAATGAAGTGACTGGCCCAGGCAGCAAGGTGAGTCACTACTGGAGACAAGAGAAAGCCCAGACCACCTGCTCTCCAGCCCACCGTCCACCACCTCTGATACTGTTTGGATATTTGTCCCTGCCCAAATCTCATGTTGAATTGTAATCCCCCGTGCCGGAGGTAGGGCCTGCTGTGAGATGATCGGATCTTTGGGGTGGATCCCTCGTGGCTTGGTGCTGTCTTCGTTATGAGTCTTGTGAGATCTGATCATTTAAAAGTGTGTGGCACCATGCCCCAACTCTCTCTTTTGCTCCAGCTTCTCCCACATGACATGCCTGCTCCCACTTCACCTTCTGCCATGATTGGAAGCCTCCTGAGGCCTCCCCAGAAGCAGACGCCACTATGCTTCCTGTACAACCTACAGAACGAGGAGCCAATGAAACCTCTTTTGTTATAAATTATCTAGCCTCAGGCATTTCTTTAAACCAATGCAAGAACGTTTAATACGACCTCCACTCCAGAGAAAATTTTAAGTTACAAGGCGCTTTCTTTAGAATTGGCTTTCCACGTTAGATTCCATATTGTATTGATCATTGATCAGGCTTCTACTATAATTCTTTGGAAGATTAACTGATGGCAGACAGTTATCTGAAACTGGACCACATTCTCTCCCACAACTGGCAATCACTCTCCCAAATACGTGTTGTGGTCCAAGGTTCTTAAATCTCAACCTCAACCCTCAGCAGGCGGCACTCTGGAGCACCTCCACCTGTCACACCTAAGGCACGAGACAGGCACAAAACCAAAAACATCCCATTCGTACTTGTCTCAAAGCCAAAGGGAACACAATACTTGGAGCTTAAAAGTCTGGACTTACCCATAACGTAGGAAGGTATTCAGAGGAAGTGATCACATTTCCACTTAAATCAAATTGATTAATCTGCCGGAAAACTATGATGTTTACATCATCGATGTCATTATTCCCAACCTAGAGAGAGAAAGAGGGAATGCCAGTAATGAGAAAGCTGGTGGAGGAACTTCTATGCCAGCTGTCCGATGGCCTGAGAGCTGCTTCATGGCAAACTTTGCTTCTTACATTAAGGAAGCTAAGTTTGTCATTGAGTACCCTACGTCCAAGGTCACAAACCGACAGAAGATGGCTATCCCTGGCCCATAGACACATTTCATTTCGAAAGCACAGTATTTTTTTTCTACGTTTGAATTACTTGCCAACATGTTAAAAATTAGGAAATTTCATATATGAAGCCAGATTTTCCAGCTTCTCTTAAAAAAAAAGGAGAAGGATGCTCTTGCCTGTTAGAGCAGGGGCATATCCCTGGCCCATAGACACATTTCATTTCGAAAGCACAGTATTTTTTTTCTACGTTTGAATTACTTGCCAACATGTTAAAAATTAAGAAATTTCATATATGAAGCCAGATTTTCCAGCTTCTCTTAAAAAAAAAGAGGAGAAGGATGCTCTTGCCTGTTAGAGCAGGGGCAGAGTCACAGCACCCCCTCTGCGTGAGGTCTGTACATGGAGTTTGCGAGATCCCAGAGGGCCGGCCCCCTTCCCTTTCATACCTGCCCGGCCACAGTCCACATTATGCTAGTGATCCTGGCCTAAGTTACTACACCGAGAACATGCAAAGCATTTTGGTGTGAGATGCAGTCATCCCAGCCATTTAAAATGCCAACACCGTAAAGACGTCAAGGAAATCCACTTCCGGCCCGGTGCGGTGGCTCATGCCTGTAATCCCAGCACTTTGGGAGGCCGAAGCGAGCAGATCACCTGAGGTCAGGAGTTCAAGACCAATCTGGCCAACATGGTGAAACCCCGTCTCTACTAAAAATACAAAAATTAGTCGGGTGTGATGGTGTATGCCTGTAGTCCCAGCTACAGGCTGAGGTGGGAAAATCACTTGAACCCACAAGGAGGAGGTTGCAGTGAGCCGAGATCACGGCACTGCACTCCATCCTGCGTGACAGGGTGAGACTCCATCTCAAAAAAAAAAAAAAGAAAAAAAAAAGAAAATCCACTTCCTAGGTCAAAAGTTCTATCCTCCCTCACAATCTTCATGCATAATGAAGCCACCTAAATAAAGCCACTAAGAGGCAGCCCCTCTTGCCCTACCTAAGCCCTCTAGTCTTCCCAATGAGAGTTACTCAGTAAGAGAAAAGCCTTACTTCAAATGATTCCCAGGCCACATTCTGTGACTCGAAGGATGTCCTCTTTAGGGATTAATTTAGCTAGGTCATGATCTTGAGTATCAAAAGACTCTGCCCACAAAATGGGAGCAGGAAAAAGGTCATCTGAACCTAAGATAACTGCGTGGCCCTGCCACCCATTAAGCCCATGTGCTATTATTGTCCCTTGATTTGAAATGCTGCTTAGGCCTTAAGTTCCTTAACTTGCAGAATAATGATCAGAGCTTACAGGGCAAGTCGCGGGGAGGATACAACAGTTCCAATTTCCTTTCTGGATGCATGACAGCAACGCTGTTCACTAAAAACCCACATAAGATTCTGCTTGTGAAGATGACACTATTCTAAGAGGACCCTTAATTAGGATGAAAGTTCCCCCCGCCACAGATGAAAGGCAGACAGCCAGAGGAGACGGGAGGACTTCTGATTAGGGAGGCACCCACACCCAGGTGCAGCGGCAGCACTGAATGCCTTACCTCAATCACCCTATGGTGGGGGAGCGCCCGCTCAATGTGGTCGTTGCCTTCTGCCTTGAGCTGAACGTGGTACACACATCCCGGCTGCAAAAAAACTCAGGAGTCAGTTCTCTAGAAAGGGGGCTTGTCGTATCGTGCCTGGTCCAAGCCTGGTTTGGCTGCACGAGATCATTAAGACAGGAGCATTTCTCTCCCCTCATTTCCTAATCTGTGGCCTGTTAACCTTAAGAGTCCAGAGTTCCTTTAAGAACACCCCTAGTGTTGAAACATCTGAAATTTTGCGACTCCTTCCATCCCAACTCAGTTTCATTTTCTCCTACCCCAAAATAAATCAAATTTGGTTTCTTATTTCAAAATTCCAAGCATACTATGTGCTCTTACTCTTCTAAGATGTTTTTCCTCTCCATCCACCCCTCCCCTCTACCCGTATATACACATTGATGGATATCTGGAATGTCCACCATAAGCATTCCCAAATGCTTGTGTTGGGTATTATTTCTGGGAAGTGGGAATTTCTGACTTCTCTTTTTAAAATTTCAAGGATCTGGCAACCCTGACTCTGTCTTCCCCCATGGCTACAATAAGCTGGAACCAAGTGACAGGCTGTCCCTTTCCACAGGCCGTGCCCACTCCACAGCCCTCACCACTCCCTATCATTTCGCACAGCCTCCTCTCCCCCGTTCATACTGCTCTTCTGGCTCCATAGGCGTTTGGCTTGAGCCCTGGCGTAAGCCATGGCCACATACTGCTAGGGAAAAGCCCTACCAAACCCATGGTTTTCCAACTCCATTGTGCCACAGATCCTTGATCTGACCTGTTGGCTAGAAAAAAGGCAAACTCTACCAATTAAAGGTAAGAACTGGGAGGGCTCCAGAGCCCCACCCCCAGCCCTCTCGCCCAACCCACTCCTAGCAGTCTTGGGGCCACCACAAGATACTTCTGGACACAGGATGAAAAAAAAGTCCCCAAAGAAAACACATTCCAAGTCTCACCAGCAATCCACGTAATCTGAACTTGCCCTCTTCGTCTGTCACGGTGTCTTCTCCGTAAATGCTGCAGTCGTTCTGGCCCACCGCTTCCATGGCAACCCCTTGTTCGGGCTCTCCGTTTAAGGAAGACACTGTGCCATAGCAACTAGTATGGCAAGAACAGGCACGAATGAGATATTCTCATGGTTATCTGAAGGACCCAAGTGTTTCCCGTTTACCAACAATTATGGGGCAAAATAGTTCAGGGGAGAACTGTGCCTCAATGACCCAGGCAACTCGGTGTGGCCGGCCCACTTTCAAACCACACCTTCCTGCCGGAGGGATAAGCTGCCATCAATTTCTTTTCTCATACATTTTGAGGGATGCTCTGGAAAATTGTAATTTAAGAAGGCTAAAGCTTTATTTTATTCTTTCTAGGCTTTATTTGAAATAATGGAGCTTTCAATAACATGGAAATAACTCACTTCCTCTTTCATTCCATATATTCAGTAGAAAATGGTCCATTTTTCTAAACCCAATCTTTCCAATTACTCTTCCTCTAAAGTGATTCTGTATAAGTCTACAAAAAATACACATATGTGTGTATCTGTGTGTATACATGTATATATGTATGCATCTCTCTATCTATAGATGTGTATCTTTTTTATTTTGTATTTTTATTTTTTTGTAGAGACGGGGTCTTGCTATGTTGCCTAGGCTGGTCTTGAACTTCCAGACTCAAGAGAACTTCCCACTTCAGCCTCCAAAAGTGCTGGGATTATAGGTGTGAGCCACTGTGCCTTGCCAGACACTCATGTGTATCTATCTATCTACAGCTGGGAGCATTCAGAAAAACTGGAAGTACTGGTTGTCTCCCAGAAGAGGAACTTGGGTGGCTAGGAGACGAGACAGAGGGGAAATTTTACACTATACTCTTTTCAGCATTTTGAAGTTTTATTCAACTGAGCACATTTTCTCCTTTTAATGATGTAATTCAGGTTTGAAACTCTTTTAAAAAATAAAAGTGGCCAGGCGCAGTGGCTCACGCCTGTAATCCCAACACTTTGGGAGACCGAGGCAGGCAGATCATCTGAGATCAGGAGTCCGAGACCAACCTGGCCAACAAAGTGAAATCTTGTCTCTACTAAAAATAGAAAAATTAGCCATGCATGGTGGCAGTCCCAGCTACTTGGGAGGCCAGGACAAGAGAATTGCTGGAACCCGGGAGGCAGAGGTTGCAGTGAGCCAAGGCTGCGCCATTGTACTCCAGCCTGGGCAAGAAGAATGAAACTCCGTCTCAAAAAATAAAAAATAAATAAAAGCTTTTAGCAACTCAATAGGCTCTCTCAAGCCAATTCCAAAATAGGAAATTTGAGACTGAACCACCAGGTTGAGCTCCTAGGAGAGAAGGGCAGCAGTCAAAACTCCTTTGCCCTCATATCTCATCTCCCTTCCCTCCCAAGTAAAATCAGTGTGAAGCCTGGGATGCGTTTCCAGGCAACAGAGGCCTGAATGTGATTCACCAGCCCAGCCCTGGAAGAGAGTGGGGTGGCCAGGGCACTTACCTGTAAGCGGTTCGGTACCCCGTGATGGTGATCTTCAGGTTCTGGCCTTCCTGCACCTCGATCATCTGTGAGGATGGCTCAAACCGGAACTCCTTCATCATGGGTTTGAAGTAATACTGGCCAGGGCTCTGCCAAGATAATCACACTGAGCCTCAGCAGCCACATCTAGGCATGGCTTAAAAGTGAGGGGCGAATGTCACGATGGACCAGAATTACACCAGGGGAGCGCCATGGCTTCCCTGGCAGCCAAAAATAGTAACCCTCTCTCTATAATCACCACTCACAGTCAGGTAGTGGCAATCACAACTCTAACAACGGCAGCTGATGGTATCACCTGCCTGCAATGACTCAGAGAGGTAGAAGTCATATTTAATTTTTCTTTTCTTTTTTTTTTTTTTTTCTGAGACAGGGCCTGACTCTGTCCCCCAGGATGGAGTGCACGATCACAGCACACCGTAGTCTCAACCTTCTGGGCTCAAGCAAATCTCCCACCTCGGCCTCCTGAGTACCTGGGACCACAGGCATGCACCACCATGCCCAGCTAATTTTTTTATTTTTTGTAGAGATGGGGTCTTCCTATGTTGCTGGTCTCAAACTCCCAAGCTCAAGCGATCCTACTGCCTCACCCTCCCAAAGCGGTGGGATTACAGGCGTGGGCCACCATACCTGGCTCATATTTGAATTTAATGAATAAAGAAACTGAGGCTCAGAGAGGCAAAGTAACTTGCCTGATAGGACACAGCAAGTAAGGAGCAGTCTGCATCACTGCAAAGTGGTGTCTTCAGATGCCCCCACTGCCCGGTCTCCAGTAGCCCCACCACAGCCACTTTGTCACCATGACTGACAAGATGACCAACTAACACACACTTCCTGAATCCCCACCAGTCAGGGCCTCCGACTGCATCTTGAAAGAAAAACTGCTGCTCTCTTCCCACCAAGTGGAATGTCTTTTCAGAAGAAACGCAAGCTAACCACCAAACAAGACTCAGCATCATAAACATGATTCTGTGGCAAAACGAGAAGACGCCTAAGAGAGCAGCCGTTGTGGCCAGGGAAATTAATTACACTGTCTTAGTGACAAGCGGGTGATCAGAAAACAAGAAGCGCGTGTGGAAGGGAACATGAATCAGCAGCATTAAGTTCGAGTAAGAGCAATACTCTAATGACCGTGGGCCCCCAAGAAACTGAAACCACTCCACATTGGCCTTCTCTTCTCACGTTGTCAAGCAACACATAAGTCTCGCATGCTGCATCCTGGCTCTCTCTCAGGGAAGACAGGCAGGTGGTAAATTGCAGAACACGTTACCAGGTTTGAGAATGTCAGAATGCCGTTGTCCTGGGTCAAGAGGTTGGAACGAAACAGGCCACCACTCAGGGATAAGAGGACTCCCGGGAGGGGCTGGTCATCCTCAGCTTTTATCTGGGGATGAGAAGGTGAGACCAGAGCAAGGTTAAACTCCTACTAACTATGAAAATAACAGTTCCACAAGTCAAGAGGTCATTTTTTCAAGGTTTTTTTCTTTTATTGTTACTCAAAGGAGGACAGGGGACCTAATCTTCCTCCCCACAGGTAACTACTGTTGTAAGTTTTGTAAGTTTGGTGTGTAGCCTTCTAGAACTTTTTTTTTTTTTTTTTTTGAGACAGGGTCTTGCTCTGTCACCCAGGCTGGAGTGCAGTGGCACAACCTGGGCTCACTACAACCTTCGCCTCCCAAGCTCAAGCAATCCTTCAGCTTTAACCTCCTGAGGAGATGGGACTATAGGCGCACACCACCATGCCCAACTACATTTCTGTATTTTTTATAGAGACGGGTCTTGCCACGTTGCCCAGGCTGATCTCAAACTACTGGGCTCAAGCAATCCACATGCCTGGGCCTCCCAAAGTGCTGGGATTAGAGGCATGAGCCACCGTGCCCCGCCCAGAACTCTTTCTATGCCCACACAAATTTTATAAACATTACATATTATTGTTCACAGACTGGCAAGTTCATTGAGTGGGTGGAGGAGGTGAAATAAAAATGGCATGTTATATGTACAGTTCTGCAACTTGCTCTCTTCCTCAACAATTTATCCTGGTTCTCTTCTGCCAGCCAATAGAAATCTGCCTGTTTCTTAACTACTGCATAGCATTCTAAGGCAGGGTTTGACAAACCACAGCACCTACTCTTGTGGTACACAAGAGACAATTGGAATATCCCCAAATATGTATCTCTAGGCACTTAGTTTTATTTCCTGAACAATCCATTCCTAGAAGTAGAATTGTTGGATACATGCACTTTAAATTCAGAAAGATACTATCTAATTGCATTCCAAAGTGGCTGTAACCACTTACAGTCCCATAAATTATTTATGCTTGGGAAAACCCACACTTACCAAAAAATAGAGATTGTCTTAATTACAGCAAATCTAATCCCTGCAAAACAGTGTTTCGACTGTAACTTCCTTAGCACATTTCCTCAGTAACTACAGAGGCTTTGTGTTTCTGTGTTTATTAGTCACCTGCGTTACTTCCATGAATTTCCTTTTCATAATCTTTGTTCATTTTTTTTCTAGTGGGTTGTCTTTTTCTTACCAATTTTAGGAGCTCCTTGTAAAATGGGGATATTATTTATGATACAAACATTTCTTCCGAGTTTGAATATCTTTCAGTTTGGTTCCAAATGTATTCAGCAATATAGAATTTTAAATTTTTATGCGATGTAATCTGTCACTCTTTTCCTTTGGCCTATAGTTTATAAATATTCATTCTCAACGATCTCCAGACCCACTCTGTACAATCGCAGCACGCTTCTTCCCAGAAAGGACCGGTGGAAGGGAGCTAGGCAGCAAACGCCTCAGTAAGAACATTCTGTGTCCTTCAAAATGGAACAGTTATGGATGACAGCTTTAACTACTTCCCAGAAGGTACACAAACATGCTAAAGTCAACAGCTCTCCAAATTATGCTACGTGAAAGAAGTCAGACCAAAAAAAAAAAAAAAACAACAGTATATCCTGTTTGATTCCATTTATATACAGGTTGGTGCAAAAGTGATTGCGGTTTCTGCCATTATTCTCAATGGCAAAAACCACAATCACTTTTGCACCAACCTATAAAAACTCGAAAATGCAAACTAACCAATGGTGATGAAAAGCAGATCATCAGCTCAGCGGAAGGGTGGCAGGGAGGGATTACCAAGGGGCAGGAGGAAACCTTGAGGGCCACAGATGTGCTATTTTAATTGTGGAGGTGTTTTCATGGGTGTATTCCTAGGTCAAGACTACCACACTGTACCCTTTTTGTGCAGTTTATTATATGTTAATTATACCTCAGTATAACTGCCTTTTGAAAATACAGTGTTAGTTACCTCAAAGCTTACGCCTGCCAGGGCATAGGCCTTGAAGTCTCCGATGGTTCCTTCCACTGCAGTCAGAACATAGCCCTCCTTCTGTGAGGTCACCGTGTACTCCAGGTCACTGTGCAGGGGGCCAACACTGAAGAGGAGAGAGCAGAATGCTAGCAACGGCTTTGTTCACACCCTGCAGGAAGCCTTACCAAGCCCAAGGAAATGTGGGCCCCAGTTTCTTCAGAGGACTCCCACGCTGATCCCAGGCAAATGTGTCTCTATCCCGGGCTCACCTGTAGGCACCTTTGTCATCAGTAAAGACTGTGATCAGCGGTGAACTTGCCCCCTTTTCACTGATGACAATCTCGACTCCTTCCAACTCGGGGTGGATCTGGCCTTCTAAAAACAGGCCTGCCTTCCCGTGGATCTCGATCAGCTTCCCTGGGCAGCTTTCTAAGAGGGGAAGAAATAAACACAAGGATGGGGCTTGGTAGCAGAGACAGGAGCTTCTTGGTTGGGGGTTTCCCATGACAAAAGTGGCTAAAACAGATCTTAGAAGCTAGTTCCAAATGCGGTTATTTAACACCCCGGGGAGCTCAATAATCGGATACAGCCCAAGCCTCTTTCCATCCCTGAAAGGCCTTTCTCAGTGTGAAGGACTTTAGCAAGAGAATCAAAAAACGCTGAAGGCTGGGTTTTTACTACTACTCTTCCTAGGTTCTCAGGAGGCCACAGATCAGGAGGGAACACTTTACAGCAGACAGGAGGCCGTGCTGCTCAGCCTCTGGAGGACCCACTGAGAAAGACCGCCCCAAACAGCCTGCCTGCTAGAAGTCACGCTCTTCAACACCCTCTGCTTCCAAACGCGAACCACATAACACCCACAACTTAACGAAGCCAGAGTGCTGGGAAAAAAATAATAAGTGGCAAAAGACAAATACTCCACAAGTGATCACTTCAGTCATCCATTCCCCAAAAAAAGACCCTCCCATCATGCTCTGCCAAACAACAGAAAGATCATTAAAGATCATCACTGGCAGCTTTGTGCTTCATCTACCTTCTGGTGTCGACCTGATAATGTCAAAGAAAACCAAGTCCTTTTCCAAAAAGATCAACTCAATTCTAACAGCAAAAGTTACTTTTATTTATCTAAATCATTCATTCATCCATCCATCCATCCATCCATCCATCCATCCATCCATCCAACCCAACCATCCATCCATCCATCCATCCATCCATCCAACCAACAGTAACATCTGTGTGCCAGAGAGGATGTAAGGTGGCTTACAAAGATGGCTTCACTATAACATCACAAATCTACTTGTAAATGCAGGCAAGGGAACAACTGCAAAGGTGTGTGTGACATTCGCTCGCTGAGTTGACATTTACCTCCACTGACAACGGCTTCCATTGAAGGGGGATAAAAGAGCAGCTCTTTAGATGACGGTGTAACAGTGATTTTCTCTCCAGACCTAAAATAATTAATATACTTCAGTTTGGCGGGTCCTATCCCCACAAAACAGAGGACACTGTAGGGAAACGCACAAGAGAGCTTACCGCGCCCAGTAAGAGAAATCATACGAGAAGGGGCCTTGTAACTCATCTACCATCTCCTGCACAGGAGGCTTGGTCATTCTTTCTTCACCTTCCTCATTGCCGTTTTTCTCCCTCTCCTGCCTGCGGGCCTCGATCTCAGCCAGCTGCTGCTCCCTCCGCAGCTCCTGCACAGACTTCAGAGGGCCTAAGACCAAGGCGGGTTCACTGTCGATGGAAGACCTAGAAGAAAGAAATGGCGGCCCCTAGGACGTGGTTGCGTATCCTTGTGGTCAGTGGGAATTTGACCTTTCTACGAGTATGGACTTGCGAGTTACAAACTGGACATCTTATCATGACACCACAGTGGCGGAGTCTTCTGTTTTAAATAAACTAGTAGTTTCACAAAAAATAACAACTGAGCTTCGCAGTGATGGTGGCAGTATCTGGTAGATCTGGGCTGGAATGAAATACGGTTGATTTTATGGCGACTGGATATAAGCTTGTAGCTTCCATGTAGGACACGGAGTTTTCTCCACACCACCATCCTCTGTTCTCCATTCTACCTTCGCTGAGAACTGCTCTGATAGAGAACTAGGCACCAAGGATACAGCATCAACAAAACAGACCACACTTCCTACCCCTGTGGAATCCACGTTTCAGTGGGAAGGGGCTGAAAATAAAGAGAAAAATAATACCAGAGGAAAAGTGCAATAAAGAAAAATAAAGCAGTGTGGGAAGACGGAGAGCCCGGAGCACTGTTTTACATTAAAGGGACAGTCAAGGCCTTTCTGATAAGGTGACATTGAGCAAAGGTCTGAAGGAAGGGAGAGAATGCGCCACGCAGCTCTCTGGGTAAACAGTAGCTTGGGCAAAGCGATGCCAAGTGCAAAGTCCTTGGAGAGAAAGCTCACTCAGATGTTCAAGCAATGGCAACACCAGTCCAGCCTGGGGCACAGGGGCCCACGGAAGAGTCATATCCAACAGAGAGGTCCAAGGGGCAGCAGATGTCAGACTGAGGCTTCACAGGCTTGGTGCCGACCTGGAGCCACTGGAGTTTTCAGTCGAGGAATGGTATGATAAAAGAAATCGTTTGCTCCTTCATGGAAAATACACAAAGCAATGGCGGAAACAGGAAGGCCAGCTGAGAAGCTGCTGCAGTGATCCCAGAGGGGGGTCAGACCAGGGCTGAGGGCCACGTGGTGAGAAGGGAAGGCCAGCTGGGAAGCTGCTGCAATGATCCCAGAGGGGGTCAGACTAGGGCTGAGGGCCACGTGGTAAGAAGCAAAGCCCAGCTGGGAAGCTGCTGCAGTGATCCCGGAGGGGGTCAGACCAGGGCTGAGGGCCACGTGGTAAGAAGGGAAGGCCAGCTGGGAAGCTGCTACAGTGACCCCAGAGGGGGGTCAGACCAAGGCTGAGGGCCAAGTGGTAAAAAGGGACTAGATGATGGGTGTATTTTGATTGTAAAGCCAAGGCTTTGTTGGGGAATTGGCTGGGCCTAGGGTTCAAGGGAAATAAGAATCAAGAAACAAGGAGAAAGCGGGAGCTGCCATATCTGAATCAGAAAAGACCACAGAGGGGCTCATGGAGGGCAACTGTCAGCAGTCGGGTTTTGGGTCTGCTGAGTACACGATTCCCAGGGGAATCCGAGTGGCTCTGTCTAGCTGGAAGATGCATTCCATACAACCTCCGGCACAAGCAAGCAACACAAACACCCTTGTGAAGTTACAAAAATGAATGTAATCAAGCTGAAAGGAGGTAACATGCAGTTACTACTGGTAAGAAGGTAGATTGCTAGTCCTATCAGTAATTCATACTTTCCAAGCAGGGAGACAGTAAATGATAGTAAAAGACAGCAACAGACCTTCGGCAAATCCACCCCCAGCTAAAAACCTGGCTCCCCATCACCAGAAACCAGGGCCAGCCCTGACATTTCTCCCGCCCTAACCCAGTGGTCACTTTAGTGCCATGTCTCATCAACTCAGTCCCTCAACGACTCTCCGACCAGTCCGTCGCTCTCCATCTCCGCAGCCACTAGTCTGGGGCCCCCATTGCCTCCCCCTGCCTCCACCACCTCCCACTCTCAGGCCTCTTCTGTCTGTTCTCCACTCGGCCAATAGGGGGACCTTCAGGAAGAAAAATGTCATTCCTCTATGTAAAACATGTCAATTGCATCATGGGACAAAGACTATGGACCTTAACATGGCCTGGCCCCCCGCAGCCTACCTGTCCTGCATGCCCCCAAGGTCAAGCTCAAAGCACTCAGAACAGTTGTCATTTTACGGTTCTGCATGTGAGTATCTGACCACTGTTCCCCCCATGAGACTGTCAATCCCATAAGTGTAGGGGCTGTGGCCTCATAAGCCCAGTGCCTAAACACTGAAGACTCTCAGTTTTTCAGTCATCATGTACTCTGCAGGGATGACGGATGGATAAACAGATGGTGGACAGAAAGATGGAAACATAGCTGGAAAGGTGACTTCAACCAGGGGCAGGAGGGAGACAGGGACTGCAATGCCCATTCTACTTGACAGAGACGGTCATGTTGCCAAAACTCTTTCATTTCTCAAGAAAATTGGGGCGTCACAGGTACCTCACCACACTGCAAAAATTCCCTGAAAGGTGACATTCACATGAACGTGACCTTCGGTGAGGGACTTGCCTTTCAAATACTTCCTCTCTCACGACCCTTCTCTTATACCAGGTGCCATCTCTATTTCCCAAGCCTTCAAGCAAAAGTCTAAAGAAAAATAGGCAATTTGAATTTGCTAAAACACTTGAAATACAATGCACAAACCCCAGAGATTTTTTTTTTCCTTAGCAAAGATGAGAAGTACAAAGAGTTCAAACAGAAATTGAAGACACTGAAACAAGCTGTCGCAACGCTCTTCCTCACCCACAGGTAATTTCTGAATCAGAAATGGAAAGGATCAAGGCTGCTGGGAATTGACGGCAATGTCCTATAAGAGAGGGAAGGCCATTTGTATATACATCTAGAGATAAGAAATCAAAACTAATTTCCAGAGAGCCTATTAGAGACTCCCCAGGCCTCATCCACACCCTCTCCCGCCACTCTCGGCCCACTGCAGAACGCTCATCTTACTTGATAGTCACAGTGACATCCATCATTTTGTCGGTGGTGATAGTTCCAAGGACATGGTGGCGAATGGCTGTCAATGTCAAGATACTAGGTGAAGACCTACAAATCAAAGCAGAGGAAACGCTAGAACCTACTCATTCTCAGAAGATCATCAGCAATACCCTTTTTGGGCATCCTTCTTCACCCTAAATATACTACAGAAAATTGCTTTTAGTCTGGGGTAAAATAACTCTGGAGATCCAGAGAAGTATTTTAAAGAGTAAACTAATTCTCCACTCCACAACTTTATGCTTCCAATTCCCAGTGAAACCCACACACGTCTGTAAAAATACAAAAATGGCAGACTTGAACTTGACAGATGCCCATCGGTGAGGGCTGGGAGATTTGACAAAGCTTCTATTTAAGGCACTTCAAAAACACAGCCCTCTATCCTGGGGTTACAGAATTCTTGGGAAAGGGATCCTGTCTCCGGTTCCTCAGTAACTAATCCAAGTGTCTTAAAATCCTTATCTAGAAATGCTGTTGAAGGCCTAACCTTGCCTCTTTCAGAAAAAAAACAGAAAAACTCCTTTTGTTCTCTGAAGTAAATGAAGAATCCTCCACGGAATGTATACAAACACCACAAAGCATTCAATTCCCAGGCTTACGTGTCATAGGTGTAGAACGCTTGCTCAAACCGGTGGCAGGAGCGAGGGGTCACTTTGTACACACCTACAGACAGGAAATCAAAAGTAATTTTCAGAGAATGGCATCTATTACACTGAGCAATTCCGACATCTGAAATCGAGTGGCAGCTCTTTGCATGTGAAAACTCAAATGTATCGCAGATCTGCAATAATGGGATCAGAAATACTGGGCAGGCATCGTTTTCACTGCCTATGAAGGCGTCTTACCAATGACCCGATCCATGCAATGGCCCGATCACAGGCGCATGATTTTCATTTTCCATAAGGTAACAACTCACAGTAGTTAAATCTGCACAGACCAGGTGAACGGACCCATGCACGAGAAGGAACAGAAAGTACGTTTCTACTGCAAATTGGACTGAGGATAATTTCCTACTTAAAAGATTCTATTAAGGATCCAAGAGATAACCACAGCCTCAATTTCTTCCTATAAATATTCCTAAAAAGGAGGTAAGGAGTAAGGGAAGCCCCAGAAAAGTGTGAGTCTGTGTGGGAGGACACTCCGAGTAGGGGTACATTTCATCACTTGCCAGAGGAACACAGTCAATTTCAGGAAGATACAAGGAATAACAATGTATTTCCCCCAAATCATCATTAACCAGTATTTTGGCCACACTTCCTACAAAAACCTGAAATTAGCTAAAACCACCCTGCTGTTTTCATTGCACTCAACAAGCCCCAGAGTAGTTACCATCAAAAAAAAAAAAAAAAAAAAATCAGGTTTCTCTGTTTGTTTTGTTTGGTCTTTCATTCAACAAATATCGACAGAGCATCTCTTCCTGGCCAGGTATTATGCTAGGTACTGGTACACAGTGGGGAATGACAGAGCAGTGGTCCCTGTCTTCATGGAGTTTACCATCCACAGAGAGGGGGAGCATTTGACAGCCACAAACATATCAATTGTGGCACATGCAAGAAGGGGATAGAAGTGAGTGCTGAGAGCAAGAGTGTAGGAGGCAGGCCTAAGTGGCCCTGGAGGCCATCCTTCCCCAGGAAGCAATACTGAACTGATGGGTAAGAAGGCCCCAGCTAGGAGGGGCAGGAGGAGATGTCCACAGAGAACAGCATCTGCCTCACAGGCTGGCTCATTGTTTCCTCAACAGGCATCCTTCCTGCCTTGAGAACAAACCCTGGTTATGTTGAGGGTGGCAACGTGCTCAGCCTCGGGTAGCACATCCAACTGTCCCAGCCTCCCTTGCAGCTAGAAGTAACCATGTGGCACGGTTCTGGCCAATAATACAGACAAGTAGCTTACTGGAGGAGGGGGCGCAAGGAAATGTTTGCCTGCCCTCTCCTTGACTTCCTCCTTTAAACATAAGTTTTCTAACCACAGCCATCTTGAAAATACAAGGCAAAAAATAGAAGGGAAAGGCCTAAAGAATCACAAAGACACCACCCCTAACATCTACCAGCTGCTGAACCCATGCTGGCAGCCACGCACTGCCACACTTCTTTATTGAGCCAAATAAACTACCACTTGCCAATGGCACTGCTGTATGGATTTTGTTACATGTAGCCAAAGGCAGCTGAACTGACACCCAGAAGGACAGAGTGGCTGGAGTAGAGACAGTGGCAGACAGGGCTGGGTTACACAGGAGCTAAGATCAGGTTAAGGAGTTTGTATTTTATCTTGGGAACCAAACGGAGGAGCCACTGAATTATTCATTAGGAAAATGCAAAACAAAACCACAATGAGACACGACTTCACATCTACCAAGATGACTATAATAAAACAGACAATAACAAATGTTGGCGAAGGAGGTGAAGAAACCGGAACCCTCGTGCATTGCTGGTGGGAATATCAAATGACACAGCCTCTGTGGAAAACAATTTGACAGTTTCTTAAAAGGTTAAACATAAACTTATCACACAATGCAGCAATTCCATTCCTAGGTATCGAAACAAGAAAAACGAAAACATACGGACACAAAGACTTGTATAAGAATGTCCGTAACATTAGTCATAACAGCGTCAAACTGGAAACCACTCAAATATCCACCAACTGATAAATGGATACACAAAATATGATATAACCACACACCAGAATACTACACAGCAATGTAACAGAACAAACTACTGATATGTGCCATGACACAGATAAACTTCAAAAACATGTTAAATAAAAGAAGCCAAACAAAATACCAGCATCGTATGATAAACGTCCAAAAAAAGCCAATCCATGGGGACAGAAAATAGATCAGTGGCTGGCCATGGCTAGAAACAGGGATTAACTGTCAACGGGCACAGAGGATCTTACATTGTGGGTGATGAACAAATCTAAAACTGGATTCTGGCCATGGTTGTGCAACTTGATAAATTTACTACAAATCATTTTATTGTACATCTTAAATAGGTGAGTTTTATGATATGCAAATTCTGCCTCCAAAAAAAGCCATTATAAAAGAGAGAGAGGGTTGGGTGCAGCAGCTCACACCTGTAATCCCAGCACTTTGGGAGGCTGAGGCGGGCGGATCACTTTAGGTCAGGAGTTTGAGACCAGCCTGGACAATGTGGTGAAACCCATCCCTACTAAAAATACAAAAATTAGCCGGATGTGGTGGTGGGCACCTGTAATCCCAGCTACTCGAGAGGCTGAGGCAGGGGAATCGCCTGAACCCAGGAGGCGGAGGCTGCAGTGAGCCAAGATCGAGCCACTACACTCCAGCCTGGGTGACAGAGCAAGACTCCATCTCAAAAAAAGAAAGAGAAAAAAAAAATGAGAAAGAGCGAGAAGCCACTGAAAGATTTTAAGCAAAGTGGGAAATGATTCAAATTTTAAAACAGCTCTATAAAGAGAGGCCATTGGCCAATGGTATATTTTTGGAGGTGAAAGGGCCCAGTGGTGTCTACCCAACTCAAACCCAAGACAGACAGAAAAACAAGAGCAGGTTGAACACACAGAAATTGAAAGCTTGATGCAAACAGAACCAAGGTAGAAAAAAATGCCTTCAAAACCATCCTCTGGTGCCTTTCCATTTTTCTAATTCATGGCACATCAATCCTTCCAAACTTACCAGGCTTGGACAGGCAGAATCGGTTGACTCCTTTGGAGAGGTTATAAATCCCCACATTCTCACGCCCATTTCCATCCTGATAAAATTCCTAAGGGAGCAAAGCCAATACAATGACTTACTAAGAGAGATGGAGACACCAAGATGATTAATAATATTTCTCTTTCCAAACCAGTCATCTGTTTTGCCCATTAATCATTGGAGCAGTTGGGTGCCACAGGAAAATTAAAAACCTCCCAAAACTTCCAACAAAAGTGTGCTATTTTTCATTCAATCAACTAATATTTATTGAGCACCTGCTATGTGACAGACACAAGGCTGGGCCTTGGGAGTCATGACCATGGCTCCTGCTCTCACAGGGCTTATGTTCTAATACAGGAAGACAAAATCAACGCAACAACAAATAAATTAGTGATCTCAACTGGTCAGTAACGAAGCTGTGAAAATAAACAGGAAAGCAAGAGAAGAACAATCCCCACCGAGGGGTCTTTAGCTCGCTGGTCCCAGGGCACATCTCTCCTGAACAATAGGGCTGCACCTGAATGAGGAGGAAAAACCAACAACACGTGTTTCTGGAGAAGTCACAGCACTCCAGGCAGAGGGGAGAGTATGTGCAAAGGCCCCGAGGAGGGAGTGAGCTTGGTGTGGGACTGCAGAGGACCACTGTGGCTGGGGCCCGGCGAGTGAGGGGACAGTGGGAGGAGATAAAGAAGGGGTTAAGGAAGTGTCAAAAAAAAAAAAAAAAAAGGATCTTATTACAAGAGAGCTGGAAATCCACTCCACTGCTGGAAGGGAAAGGTTTCCTAAATATCTATCACTTATTATGAACCGGATATTAATCGATCTCCTATAACAAATCGACCTGTGGAGTTTTTGTAATTAAGCAGTTAGGGGAGTAAGTTGGCACATGAAACACCAGTTCCAATTCTTCTAGTTTCTCTACAGAGAAACTAAGACCTGACGATGACATCTGCCGCCGCTCGACATCAAAACATTATAGAAAATTCACGAAGGGATCTACAGAGGTGCTCCTGAAACCCATTTCACACTGCCTTTCAGGCCACAGAGACCACAGTCAACAAGAAGCTAAGATCCTGTTTACAGCTTCTTCCCCTGCACTGGAACAAATACACCAGAGAAGGTGGGGCACAATGGCTCACGCCTGTAATCCTAGCACTCTGCGAGGCCAACGCGGGTGGATCCCCTGAGGTCAGGAGTTTTAAGACCAGTCTGGCCAACATGGTGGAACTCTGTCTCTAACAAAAATACAAAAAAAAAAGAAAAAAATTAGCTGGGCATGGCGGCACGCACCTCTAGTCCCAGCTACTCGGGGGGCTGAAGCAGGAGAATCGCTTGAACTCGGGAGGCGGAGGTTTCAGTGAGCCGAGATTGCACCACTGCACTCCAGCCTGGGCAACAGAGCAAGACTCCATCTCAAAAAAAAAAAAAAAAAAAAAAAAAAAATATATATATATATATATATATATATATATATATCAGAGAAACTCACTTGGCAGTACAGAGCGGTGTACACCAAGGACACTTTGATACCTAAGAGGGTTCACTTAAGCCCTGCCATAACCCTGAGAAGTAGGTATTAAGATCTCAATTTTCGGTGAAAACTGAGGCTGAGAAGCAGTAAATGAATTTACCCAAAGCTATTATTACTAATAATATAAAGCCAGTGTGCTCTACACTGTACCAAAGGTCACCCCGAATCACCAGTCAGATTTAGTGTAGGGCCAGGACAAGGAAACCTCCTAAATACAGGGGTCCTTCCACTGAGAGAGTATAAATGCTTCCTGATTATGCGTTGCGTAACAGGTGGGTGAGTGCAGAGGCAGAAAAGGAAATCTGACTTGCCTACGTTTACAATATTCCTGGGATGTTAGTCTTTCTTGACATCCACAAGGCAAGCGCTTTTCCAAATAAGAGACTCCATAAGCCGTACATACCAGAGTGATGGCGTGAGACAGGGAACATCTCAGCATGTAGCCCGTCTGCCTGAACTCAACTGCAGACACGTCATCCTCCAGCACTTCCACCTCCAGGCTCTTGTTCTTCCAGCACCAATCCTCATGCATGATGCTTACTGCAAAAGCAAACACCAAAAACGGATACATGGGCGTGGAGCACACCACCTCCCTGCACGCCACCAGAAACAATGATCATGAATTAACTAATTTTAAAAAGCAGGTGTGTATGTAGACATAAAGATAGAAATATACACATACATATATTTATAACTAGCAGTATTTGGAATAAATTACTGCTAAAGAAAACCTGGAGTCGAGCGTGGTGGCTCATGCCTATAATCCCAGCACTCTGGGAGGCCGACGGCAGTGGATGGCTTGAAGCCAGGAGTTCAAGACCAGTCTGACCAACATAGCAAAACCCCATCTCTACTAAAAATACAAAAGTTATCCAGGCATGGTGGTGCATGCCTGTAATCCCAGCTACTCGGGAAGCTGAGGCAAGAGAATCTCCTGCACCCAGAAGGCGGAGAGGTTGCAGTGAGCCAAGGTCGCGCCACCACACTCCGGCCTGGGTGACAGAGCGAGGCTAAATTTCAAAAAAAAAGAAAGAAAAACTGGAACCAATTTCCATTACATCAAGAAAGAAATCTAATGGGGCCTGTAAGATCAGGCTGCAAGTAAGGTATTCAGGGATCCACAAACTTTTTCTGTAACTCTTTTCAGTTTTGCAGGCCACATGCTTTGTCAGCCTCAACCACTCGACTTGGCCACTGTTACACACGAGCAGCCATAGAGAATCCATAAACAAATGGGCAAGGCTGTATTCTAAGGAAACTACGCTTATAAAAGGCAGTTTTTGTAGTCTGCCAAGCCCTGCCATAACAGAAAATATTAATATAATTCCAGAAAAAGCAGTCTGTTTTATGAGCTATCCACTGCCAGCAGCCCCAAGCTGATTTCTGAAAAAGCAGAAATACAGGCAAGAAGTGGCTTCTTAAGAAGGGCAAGGAAAAGGGAAGTAACATTTGTGGGCACCAGCTACTTAGCTGGCTCTCTGCACAACGGGCTTTATAAACTTTACTTCTTTTAGTCTTATATTCTGCAGAAAGGTTCTATTATGTCTATTTTACAGATGGGAAAACTGAGTTTCAGGGAGGTCAAGTACCTTGCCATGGCCAGTACTCAGCACCAGTACTGCTAAGTTAGTAGAACACATCAGTGGAACTATTTCACACTCCTTTCTCTGGGCTTTAGAAATAAAATGCCATACGTCGGGGCACCCTCCCTTAACAGAAGCCGCCAGTGGGCTGTGCAGACAAGGTGGCGGTCAGCTCAGGGCCTGGACTCCTCCATGCTTGTCCAACGCTAAATAATG
This sequence comes from Homo sapiens, assembly GCF_000001405.40. Classification (NCBI taxonomy): domain Eukaryota; kingdom Metazoa; phylum Chordata; class Mammalia; order Primates; family Hominidae; genus Homo; species Homo sapiens. The sequence continues at coordinate 16,263,783 of NC_000016.10, read as the reverse complement.
CAGTCAAGGTCACGAGGCAAAGACGACTTAAAACAAGGAAAGGTACATGGTCGTGATACAATTTGAGACCTGAGTTTTAGAAAGTTTACAAAGACAAGAAGTGTGTGAGGGCCACAGGATGTTGCATTCCAATTCTTACTTTTGTATTTTCCAGGGAGCACGTTGTCAAAGGTGAAAGTCATGGCGTTGACCTTGCCGGAGAGCTGGAGGCTCCGCTTCTCACCCTGGCGGCTCAGGGACTGTAGAGTCACCAGCAAGTCACCACAGGTGTCTGCAGGGAAAAGAAGGGAGGGCTCCATGTGACCCCTTATAAGGCTTCAGCACAGGTTCGAATCCTAACCCTATGTAATAGCTTCTTGCTACTGCTGAGCTCCTAAGAGGCAGTGGCCGGAGGCAGACGGAGCGCTTCTTTCAAGTTAACATGTACCCACCTGACTCCAAGAAGCCTCCCTCGCACGCAGGTGATCAGTAGCAAACAACAAAGGCAAAACAAAAAGTTTCCCAAATCCCACTCCTACCGGCTGACTTCTTTGAAACTATGTGTTCTTACTTTCCAGTGATATCTTACCCAAACAAGAGACTTTCCCAGAAACTGATGCCAAGAACTGTACAAAGGCCACATCCATCACAGGCCTGTCGGTCACAGTAAGAGGAAATGTCTGGGGTTTCAACGTCAGCCCTGCTCTGGTTTCTGCCTCAGGAACCATCACCTGCGGAAACGTGGATGGAACGTTAGAGGCTGCATTCGGGGAGATCTTCCCCCTGACCTACAGGGCGCTAGAACATTCATCTGGGACCAAGGCTAAAGAGATTTTGAAGGCCAAAGGTTCGTTTCCAGGCTGATTTTACAATCACAACAAATCCACGAATAACTTGTGTGAAGTAAGCACGGTTCTACCCAGATGAAAAATTAGCCTCAACAGACCGATGTGTATGAACAAAAGTCTATCTGGCCTAATTCCCCACAGGCCCGCAACGCGGACACGCCTCACTTACATACTAGAAACCATACTACATCCCAGTCACTTTTCCCGGCTTCGGATCACTTGTAGCATAAGCTCTGAACCTGTCAACACTATGTGGATGACACTTTGGTGGAATTAAGTCATTTTCTTCCTCCTATTGTTGTGCGTGCCTTTCATGGGCTAAGAAGAGGAACAGGTGAAGGTAGCAGCGGTCAACTCTTTCATCCCTAGTAAAGACGACACTGCCCTTCCTTGGAGAAGTCCATCATGCTTCCGAAAGGGCTTCCAAAGACTTGTCAATGTGGACATCTTCGCAAGAAGCCAGCTACCATCTAATAAAGTCAGCTGTCAACCCACACACCACGCTGTTCTGTGGAAGCAGGGAGAACGCAATCTCCTACCCTGTTTCCCACAGAGGGAGGGACCCCACTTTGCCCTAGAGGACAGCAGAGTCTAACAGGGAACCTTCTCGGCCCTCTCCCTTTGTGTTATTTGCTCTTCCACAGGGAGGAAGGGCAGCTGCTGATTTGATGGGTGACAGCCCACGGAAACAGTCTCTCCCCAAGGGCAGGGCCACTGCACTGAAAGGCATGGTGGGCTGACCTCTGCTCTGTCCTGTCTCTTGCTTGCTTGGGCCAGCTGTGGCTTGGGCCTTCACCATGGTGATGAGACCACAGGCCAGACCGTCTCCCCGTTCTCGGCCTGCTTGAATGGATAAGTCGCGTGGTCCCTGCCTAGCCATCTTGAAGTCAAGGCAAAGCAGGAAATGGGAAGCTCCATTTTGGCCTGGGGTCCCAGAAGCCACGCACTATGGCCATTTTTGAGCGGCCATTAGTAGAGTTCATTTTTGGTGTCCTCTTGGACTCATCGACATTCTACAGCAGCCAGAAGCCTGAAGGTAGAGGAGTGACTGGCAGCCTGATACTAATAAACATCAAGACTGGAAAAAAGAGAGGCAGATGGCATTATTTTTTAGCTGGATGCCTATCTGACTCTCCTCTACTGGTGCAGGATTGTAAAGACTTAAAAACAAGAAGTTGGAAACTGGAATGCTCCTTCTCTAACCCCATTCGACCTAATAACCCTTCTAAAAATCACTGCTTTTTCTCAAAACATTTTAAATTTAAAACAATGCATCGCACCTGCACTTTGTAAGTCCCTGGGTTTGCTTTAAAACAAAATGATCCATGAGCATCTGTCTCCACGGTGACCAAAGACTTGTCCTTGTCTTGAGATGACAGGACAACTTTGTATTTATTCATCTGCTTGACGGTGTCGGGGAAGCGAATGATTGATATCTGACCACAGACACTGAACCTGCAAAGAGAAGACCATTCATTCCAGCACGAGGACTCAATTATAACAGGAAAGGCTCTTATCGACCAAAAAAGATGCAGCCCTCTCCCAGCCCTTGTTCCTGAGAATAGTCTAATCTTAATGAAGAGACAGAATGCAATCCAGATGATTCTGGTTTTAAAAAGCAACCTTCATTCTGGTTTTAAAAAGCAACCTTCAGAAGCAAGACTGGGCATCTTTCTACAGAACAGGGGCCCGTAGTGGGGCTGTTTGTGTGTTCCGGGTGACATCTGGCAATCCCCCACTGCAGAGGCAATTTTAAGAAAATCTGCAGATAATAAAAACGTTTCAGGTAATTGGATCGTTGACAGCAGAGCGGCCTTGGACTGAGAATGTGGGCTAGCCCTTAAAAGCAAGAGCTCTAAGCTGCCTAAGAAACTGTGGCATTACCAGGCCATCAAATAAGTCAGGATTATCAAAGACGTCTTCCTTGCTTGTGATTATATATAATACATGGATGAAAGCAAACTGGGAGATTGGAACAGAAAAGGTAATTAAGTTAAAAAATGCAAAGCTAAAATTGAACTCCTTGGGAGGTAGGAGCCACAATGTAACTTATAACTGAAAAGCCCTATTAAGGTAATGATTCAGATTTGAGATTCTAAATAAGGAGTAAGGTGTTGCAAGGCATCCCTCGAATAACACACGAGAGGCCCCCCTACAACGACCATCATCCTTGGAGTGCTGGTCTTCATTTCTGAAGCAGCTGGTGTATTAAAGTGTAATAGTACATCCTAGCTGGGGGTCACAGTTGTCTTTTCAACTGTTCATTTTAAAGAATCTTCAAGAATCATTTTAGATAAAAATTAGTTACTTCTGACATAAAGATAATCAAGAATGTTGGATTCTGACAATTAGGGGTACATTAAATGTTGGAACCACCACTCCGCCTCAAATAAAAAAACAGTGGAAAACACAAGGAAATGGTGGAAGATTGTGTATGTGAAATCTAGGAATTATGAAAAACACAGCCATTTCTTCAGAGTGAAGGGACTGCCCAGCCATATGAGCTCACTATCTCCAGCATGGGTCAGCAAACTACCACCCAAGGACCCCCCTCCCGTTTGTGTATGAACTGCAAGCCGAGAAAAAGAATTTTACACTCTTAAGTGGTTAAAGTTAAAAAAAAAAATCAAAAGAAAGATAATATTTCACATGTAAAAATTACATGAAATGCAAACTGTGGTGTCCAAAAATGTAGTTGTGTTGCGCTCTGCCCATTCATTTACAAATGTCTATCTCAGCTGTTGTCCTAGAGACCGTATGGCTCACGCAGCCTAAAATAGTTATTCTCTGGCTCTCCACAGAGAAAGTGTCCCAGTCCCTGACCTAGCATATGCATTTTGGTTCTCACATTCCCCTACTGTGAACTTTCAGAATAAAAGGATGGGAAGCGAACACTGACACAATCATTCCCAAGGACCTGTCATATTCTCTTGATTTGTGTACCTGTCAGAGGACACATCACCTTGTCTATTTCCTATCAAATCTCTTTGCCTCCTTAAGTTGTAAATATTTGAACCATAAGATCTGTTTTAGCCCACATTCTTATTAAAAAGAAGTGCCTATTTTCCCTAAACCTCAAATCTATACTGGCTTAGTTTGGAAAAATAAACCAAAAGGGTGGTAGAAAAAGGTTCCGTTATACTGAAGCCCTTAAAAATTGATTTGTATCAATAAATTCTTTCAACAGGGTTTAAATACATATATGGACAGAAACAGGTAATATTGGTGGATATTGAGAGAAATCTATTTTCACAGTCATTTGGACAGAAGCCAAAGAGTTTGTTTTTACAATAAATTGAGTAATTTTTTTATTTTACTTTAAAGGAAGACTAGGCACCATGGCTCAGCCTGTAATCCCAGCACTTTGGGAAGCCGAGGCGGGTGGGTCACTTGAGGTCAGGAGTTCGAGACCAGCCTAGCCAACACGGCAAAACCACATCTCTACTAAAAAATATAAAAATTAGCCTGTAATCCCAGCTACTCAGGAGGCTGGGGCAGGAGAATCACTTGAACCCGAGAGGCGGAGGCTGCAGTGAGCCGAGATGGCGCCACCGTACTCCAGCCTGGGCAACGGAGTAAGACCCTGGCTCAACAAAAAATAAAAAGGAAAAGAAATAGTAAGAAGTATCAGTGTGCTAAAAAGGCAAATGTACTACATCGGCCAATTAAAAAAAAGAGATTTTTCCAAAAATGTTCAACAAATGCTATTTTTCTTTCTTTGACCCAAATACTCTACTTTAAAGGAGAAAATAAATATATTTCCTCCATCTCCGTGAACAGCACCGCCTCCATCTACCCAGTGGCTCAAATAAGAAACCTGTAACCTCAACAGCACAGGCCTGTGGGTGTGTTCTCCATGTGACCTACCAAATCCATCTACTCCTCGCTCCCTCGCCTGCCAGCCGCCTGGGCCCAGCCACTACCATATCTCCTCCAGACAACCATGACTGCCTCATATCTGGCCCCTCCATTCACACCATGGCTTTCCTCCAATCCATTCTCCACACAGCAGCCAGGAAGAAAAACAAACTTTTTAAAGTACCATGATCCCTATCACTCCCTTGCCAACTGATAACTCTTTTTTTTTTTTTTGAGACGGAATCTCACCCTGTCGCCCAGGCTGGAGTGCAATGGTGCAATCTCAGCTCACTGCAACCCCTGCCTCTCGGGTTCAAGCGATTCTCCTGCCTCAGCCTCCTGAGTTGCTGGGATTATAGGCGCGCATCACCATGCCCCGCCAACCTTTTGTATCTTTAGTACAGACCGGGTTTCACCATGCTGGCCAGGCTGCGCTTGAACTCCTGACCTCATGATCCGCCCACCTCAGCCTCCCAAAGTGCTGAGATCATAGGCGTGAGCCACCGTGCCCGGCCAACCAACAGACAACTCCTAACGGGTTTCCACTGCATTAGGGAGCAAAGCCCAATCCCAAAGCAAGGCTACAAGGCCCCAGAGCTCCCTGACCTCACCCACCTCCTCCAGCTGCGCAGACTGCCTTTCAGGTCCTTCCTATCCTATGCAGGCCTCTGAGCATGCTGCTTCTCTACTAGGGAAGATCTTTCTTTAGCTAACTTTTAGTCTTTACTAAGGTCTCTGCAACCCAGAGAGCCTTGCAGAGCTCCCACTCTAAATTAGCTCTTCTTGCAGCACCCTGATCTCTTCCCTGCACAACATTTGCCATAATTTAGCAGCATAAATGTATTTGTCTTTTTTGTCTTTTTTAAAAATCTTGTTATTTTTTAATTTTTATCTCTTTATTTATTTTTAGACCAGGTTATGAAACTAGCTAATTTTTGCATTTTTGGTAGAGATGGTGTTTTGCCAAGTTGCCCAGGCTGGTCTCAAACTCCTGGGCTCAAGCGATCCGCCCACCTCTGCCTCCCAAAGTGCTGGGATGGATTACAGGTGTGAGGCATTAAGCCTGGCCACAGATGTATTTGTCTTCAGTCTGTCTCCCTGGTAGGGTGAAAGCCCCATCTCTGGAACACTAGTTTGATTAATTATTAGGTATGAAGCATTTTTCAGTGCCTCATCTAGAGTAATTGCACAAAGTGTTTATGGAAGGTGGGAAAGACTTAAATCCAAGAATTACTTTCTGAGGGTAATTTGCTTCCCTGTCTTCCATTCACCACTGGACTCCTTGACCTTGACCTCCATCTGTCTACAGAAAAGAGTCACTGTGGCCTCCTCAGTGATCAAGCCAGGGGACTGTGTTCACCAGGGCCCAGCTCCCTGCACCTCCCTGTTGGGCCCTACCTCCTACCCCAAACTTACTTTCTTAGCTCCTATGACCTCAGGCTCCCTAGGTCCCCCCCTGGGCCACCTGGCACTCTGTTTTTGGCCTACTGTTCTTCTAATTCTACTTGCACATACATATTTGAGGTCCTGGCTGCCACCTGCGGCCAAATCTTCAGGATTTACCATCCATCCAAGTACCTATTGAAGAGCTCCACCTAGTGGTCCTACAGACCAATGTGGCCAAATCTGAAACCTCATCACCTAACTGGCTTCTCTTTCTGTCCCCAGCCATCACACCTCTCAAGCTGGGCACCCTAAATATCTCACCAGTCTGTCCCTGACTTCCCTACAAGGCAAGCCCTTGTCGTCTCTGCTTTCAGACCTCCTGTGCCCAAGTCCTGTCCCCTTCAAAGCCACTCTACTCCATGCCATTGTTTTCAGAATGCCCTATTGAAAACAATGATCAAAGCTTGTTATATTAATGCTCAAAACCACTCATGGCCCGTTGGCCCCAGTGGGAGAAAGCCCCTACGCCCTGGTGGGGTGTGAGGAGGTGCTATGGGGTTGGCCTCATCATCACCTTCACCTGCCAGTATATTCTGCTCCAGTAGCACCCAGCTTTACACCCGCAGCCACCTCATGCTGCTGTGAGACTGCCTGACTTTGCTCATGCCGCGCTTCTCCCAAGCAGACCCTGCAGTCTCCTTCTAAGCTACTGTTTTGTGAGCACCTGTTATGTCTAAAGCTGTTCTGCAGGTTACATACAGGTGGATCTGGGATCTGACTCCAAAGCCCAAGTTCTTGGCACTACACAATCTTGCTTCAGATGATGGTAAAACCACATGAATTCAACCACAAGATGTCCCTGCCTGTACTTATAGTATAATGAGTAACTACAAGCAGGAAGAACTACACCAATGACCTGAAGCATCTTCCAATAAGCTTTCTCAACCAACAATACCATCTTCCAAAAATCCTCAAAGATTAAGCAAAGAGGGGTCCTGTGAAAGATCGTGAAAGTCAGACATGAAAGATTTTTTAATTTCACAAGCCCATTTTAATTTGAAGCAAGGGACTTTTCATTAAGCATCCGACATGTCAGTACCTTCAGTTTGTAAGATTTAGAACTAATCTTTCTTGGCCGGGTGCAGTGTCTCACACCTATAATCCCAGCACTTTGGGAGGCCAAAGCAGGCAGACAGCCTGAGGTTAGGAGTTTTGAGACTAGCCTGGACAACATATAGTGAAACCCTGTCTCTACTAAAAAATACAAAAATTAGCTGGGTGTGGTGGGGCACGCCTGTAGTCCCAGCTACTTGGGAAGCTGAGGCAGGAGAATCACTTGAACCTGGGAGGCAGAGGTTGCAGTGAGTCGAGATGGCACCACTGCACTACAGCCTGGGCAACAGGGCAAGACTCTGTCTCTCAAAAAAAAAAAAAAAGTACTAATCTTTCTTAAGTTCTTAAGCTCGGCAAAGACACACAGATCACAGGTCATTTGGTTCTACACTGGCTGCCAGCATATTTACTGGTGCTTCCAAATCCACACGATAAGCTTACCCTGTTGCAACAATGTCAGCCAGCTGAGGTGTGTTTGGTGCAATTTTGATGGTGACCGTTTCAAAGTAGAGGTGCTCTTTCTGAGCATGGATGGTGTATGTCCCTGTGGTTATGTTCTCAAGGCGGAATGAGCCATCAGCTTTTGTTTTAACTGTAAAACAAAAACACACAAACAGAAGATAAGCCAAAAACAACAGTGTATCCTTACATGTACACCAGAATACTTGGACCAAAAGCTGCCATGTTCTCATATAGTCATCAGTTCCTCTCCATTTCTCTCTGTGATCCAAAAAGAGCGCTGGCCATCAGCCTGGGGCTGCTGTGTCAGCCCACCTTTGATTTGGTTATTCAGGGTGACTACTGCTTCTGGAACACCATCTCCTTCGGGTCCGTTCAAGACCCTCCCGGTGACGGAGAATCCCATGACGTGGAACACGGGCTAGAAAACAAAGAACAAGAAGGTGCTCGAAGGTGCTCCTGTGCCAGAGCCACAAAGCCTCCTTCTGCTGCGCCGGCCACCACCTACCATGTCTGCTCCTGCCGCCCACCTCCCAACACTCAGTGCCCCGGTCCTGTGTGCCAGCCGGGCTCCCTCTCACTTTACCCACATCTGTCTTCTCTGTTGTGTTCCCAACACACTGCTGAGTGTCAAACAACAGAAAAGAAAAGTCTAGAGACTTACTTCCCTCGTTAAAAGGTCACTGACTCAAGCTTCTAGAAGCCCCCCACCCTTACCCCTGTGCCATCTCCTCCCCTCCAGATGCCCCCATTTTGGTGAACCACGTCTTCCTCCAGTCTCCCATGCACACCCCGGCATCACTTTGGATGACCCGCCCCGCTCCTCCAGCATCGATCAGTCCTGTGGATTCCACCTCTGCAAGGTCTCACGTGTCCCCTCCTGTCTTTCCACCACGACCTGAACACAGGTCCTTATGAAATCCACCTAGGCCAGGCGCAGTGGTTCACGCCTGTAATCCCAGCACTTTGGGAGGCCGAGGCAGGCAGATCACTTGAGGTCAGCAGTCCAAGACCAGCCTGGCCAACATGGTGAAGCCCTGTCTCCACTAAAAATACAAAAATTAGCCAGGTGTGGTGGCGGGCGCCTGTAATCCCAGCTACTCGGGAGGCTGAGGCAGGAGAATCACTTCAACTCGGGATGCAGAGGTTGCAGTGAGCCAAGATAGTGCCAGCCTGTGTGAAGCAGCAAGACTCTGTCTCAAAGAAAAAAAAAGAAATCCACCTAGACCACCCTCCTCCACCACCATCACTGGCTCACACGTGGTCCCGTGCTCCATGTGTCTGTGTCTGTGTCTGTGCCCCACTCGCCTGTGAGCAGCACAGCTGTGCTTTCTCTGCAGTTACTGAGTTCCAGCCCTGATCTGTGTATCCCCAAGGTCACCACTGCTAACCTATTTTAATATCTTCATCAAACTTACCAGTATCTGAAATGTCCTCGTTCGATTTCTTAGTTGTCTCCCTCCCACTAGCATGTTACCTCATGGAGACAGGGACTTTTTCTGTCTTAGTCACCTGGTACACAGCAGGCACTCAATAACTGACTCCTGAATGAATGAATGTGTGCACGCACGTGTGCAACAGCATTTGAGATGAAGCTTTAAATAATTAAATGACTTCCTTTTTATGCAGGGAGCCCTTCTTTTTTATTTTTTTATTTTTTTTTTCAGCAAATGGTTTCTTAGTGATGGTCTCACATGACAGGTAGTCCTTATTGATCTTTCCAAAAAGACATGTTTCATTCCATGCATTACCTACTTATTAATTCACATATGTACGCAACAAATATTTTTGCTGGGCACCTACTATGTGCCAGGCACTAAATCACATGTTAGGAAAACAGTAAAGAATAAGACACAGTACCTGACCTCAGGGAACTTACAGGGCCCCATTCCCTGAAATTCCATTCATCATTTTCAAAATATGTATTTGGCTGTAATCTGGGAATAGCTGTCTCTGCTCACCTGCCCCCATCCTTCTCTGCAAGCTACGAGAAGCAAAGTAAAGGCTTCATCTTCTTACCCTTCTCTTTCCCCTCCAGTGTACAGCAGAACGGTCAAACACTCCACTGAATCTTAAAATGCAGAGTCTGCACCCCACTGTGCATATGACCTAAAAGTCCGCTTCTGCCAGTTTAAGCGATTTTAACACAGTACTTTCAAATGTAATTATTAAAAGAAAATGATTAAAATATAATTGCTTCGATAACTCTAACATTGGGTGGTCCACTTAGGAGAGGCTGTTATTTTCTTTTGGGATTTGTTCTAGCTAGCCAATTTTCTACAGTAACCATTTTCTACTTCTGTAATTAAAGGAGACGTAAGTGAGATGAAAAATACATTTACCATTTATGTGAGGGTCTAGGCAGTTTATCAAGCCATGTATCACACTGCCCATTCCTACCATCACGGTCCAAGCTCTGCCAGTTCTCACCTGGTTTACGGCCATGGCATCCCAACTGGTCTCCCACTTCCACCCTGACACCCTGCAAACTCTCCTCAATGCAGCTGCCAGAAGGATCACGCCACTCCTCTGCTAGGAACCTTCCAGTGGCACCAATTCTCACCCAGAGTTATAGGCAAAGTAGCCCACCAAGCCCTGCACAATCTGCCCTGTCACCTCCCTGACCCTCTTTCCGCCTCCTCCTTCCTTGCTCATTCCCTCCACTCCAGCCACCCTGGCCTCCTTGGGATGCCCCAAACCCTTCAGCACACTCCTGCCTCAGGACCTTTGCACGTGCCGTTCCCTCAGTCTTACACACTCTTCCTGCAGGAGTGAAGTATGGTTCTCTTGTTCTTTCCCTTCAGGTTGTTGCTCAAATGTCACCTTCACAGGGAGGACTTCCCAAAAACACCCTATGTACAACTGCAACCCCTGTCTCCACCCTGATACTGTACTACCTCCTTTCTTCCTTTATTTTTCTAGAGAACACTTATCACCTTCTACTGTACTTTCTAACTTATACATCTATACATGTATTGACCCTTCCTGTCATTAGAACATGAGGTCTAGCCAGGTGCGATGGCTCACACCTGTAATCCCAACACTTTGGGAAGCCGAGGCAGGCAGATCACTTGAACCCAGGAGTTAGAGAACAGCCTGGGCAACATGGTGAAACCCCATCTCTAACAAAAATACAAAAATTAGCTGGGCATGGTGGCACGTGCCTGTGGTCCCAGCTACTCAACAGGCTGAGGTGGGAGGATCACTTGAACCCTGGAGGCAATGGCTGCAGTGAGATGAGATCGTACCACTGCACTCCAGCTTGAGCCACACAGTGAGACCCTGTCTTAAAAAAAAAAAAAAAAAAAAAAATGAGGTCCACAGGGACAAGAATTTTTGCCTCTTTTGGTCACTGCTATATCCCCAGTCCTGGAATGGTGCCTGAAATGCATGTCACTGGCAATCAATAAATATATTTCATTGAATGAGTAGATTTAACTAGGAATCCAGCTCTCTACGATAAGGACATCATGGGTAAGAATATAATACCAGATGGCATTTTTTCCAACAGCCCTTCCAGATAAAATAATTGATTTTTTTTTAAAACATGTTTGCAATACCTGTGCCTAGGGATGGGAACTCAAACACCTGTCCCTCCAGAAGACAGAAAAGCCTTACCTCGATTTTCAAGCTGTCATGCTCCACTGTGAAGTCAAGTCTGGAAGGCGCCACATCAAAGGTAATCCTCTCCCCTCGATAGAACGGAATCTGGAAGGAAGAGTCTCTTAATCACTAAGAACCACTAACATGATCAATCAGCAATATTAATAATCGATCTAGCAGCCCACAAATGACAAGGGGTTCAGACAGACCAAGAGAAACATTCATCATAACTGTTGCAGATTTGAAAAGAGGAAGCCTTGCCCTTTTTGTAGCTATTACGAAGGGGTGAGTGTCTCATCTTAAGTAAGTTACTGCTTAACAGCATGTTCAGAGAACTGCAGGCCAACCATCTTTTCCTTTAACACCCAAACAGCATTGGCTTTTACTGTGTCATGAGAGTCCCAGACATAAACAGAACGGAAATCTGCTTCACTCACCACAGTGTAGCCCCCACTTGGCAAGGAATAGAAAGAGAACGAGCCATCTTCTCTGGAGACCGTGTAGCACAAATACACCAGACTCTCGTCTTGGGGCTGGAACCCAGGCACTGGTGAGACATTGCAGCCCAGGACATCCTATGCCAGGGGGTAAAAAAGACAAGACTTCCTTTTCCATTTACATGTTCTGAATACCATCAATTAGCCACATTATAGGAAAATTTTTTTAAGTTTCATGTCAATATATGTATTTCTGAAATCTAAGAAACATTAATACAGATAAAAGGAACAAAAATCTTGACATTCAAGTTGCAAAGTTAAAAACTGGCACAGTCTTCCCGGGAAAGATGACATGACTGTCCTTCCTTATCATGGGTCACCATTCTCCAAATAAGGAAACGGAAGCTCAGGAAGGTAATGTGACCGGCCCAGGGTCGCATAGCTAGGAAGAGGAATTTGTTTAAATCTGAGATTTGTTTAAACCCAGGTCTGATTTCAAAGCCTGTGTACTTTCCATCACATACCACTGCCTCCCAGTGTAGATGTGCAATGTCTTGTGAGTCAACAGAGACACATGATATTCTTGAATTTTTTTTTTTTTTTTGAGAGTCTCACTCTGTCACCCAGGCTGGAGTGCAGTGGCGTGATCTTGGCTCACTGCAACCTCCACCTCCTGGGTTCAAGCGATTCTACTGCCTCAGCCTCCCACGCAGCTGGGACTACAGGCACGTGCCAACATGCCCGGCTAATGTTTTTGTATTTTTAGTAGAGATGGGGTTTCATAATGTTGGCCAGGCTGGTCTAAAACTCCTGACCTCAAGTGATCCACCCACCTTGGCCTCCCAAAGTGCTGGGATTACAGGCATGAGCTACCACACCCGGCCTGAGACAGACGATATTCTTAAGTGTTAAAATGATAAATCAACTCAGACCTGCATTTTTTAAAACAGTACGTTCTGGTCTATAATCCCCCACCCTCCTACCCTTCACACCATCTCTTTTGTTCTTTTCTTTGCTTACCTCTTTAGTTACTAAAGAAGAAAAGAGAAGAAACTTCACGCCTTTCATGGGCTCCCCATCACTTCGGACAGAGCCAGACACATTGTAGCCAGCAACTATGAGGGGACTGGCCGCATTGGCATTGGAGTTGGTTACACGCACTGTGGTGCTTGCCTGTAACAGAAAAAGATTTTAACCTGTAAAAAAATAAACACTTGCAAAGTGCCTAACAACATGAGGACACGCTGAAGCTAAAATATTAACTGGGAAACGTAATCTATAAAATTGCTTATTCAGTATGATCACTTCTTTTCTTGAGACGGAGTCTCAGTATGTCACACAGGCTTGAGTGCAATGGTGCAACCTCGGCTCACTGCAACCTCTGCCTCCTGGGTTCAAGAGATTCTCCTGCCTCAGCCTCCCAAGTAGCGGGGATTACAAGCGCTCGCCACCACGCCCGGCTAATTTTTGTATTTTTAGTAGAGACAGGGTTTCACCGTGTTGGCCAGGCTGGTCTCGAACTCCTGACCTCAGGTGATCCGCCCGCCTCAGCCTCCCAAAGTGCTGGGATTACAGGTGTGAGCCACCGTGCCTGGCTTATCATTATTTTTTAATGCCCAAAATGAAGTGAAAGGAAATGTGGCAAAATGTAAACAATAATGATTTTGTCTATATGGTGCTATTTTACTTGTATACTTTTCCAGCTTCCAAAATTTGTTTCCACTGCTTTATATTCCTCTATATGTTCCAATTTTTTTAATGAGCATATTTTGCCTTTTTTTCTATTTTTAATGATATATAGTGTTAACTGAAGATTAGCCTAAAGCTGCCTCCTTACATATTTTAAGTTTGGCCTAAAGGTTTCTCTTACGTGTTGCCAAGTCTCACCCAATTCAAGCAGCCACCCTTCAACTACTCACAGGCAGCCAACTGTTCAAACCATGTGCAAATAAGACAAACGTCCAGCTGTAACCAATCCAACTGTTTCTGTACCTCACTTCCACTTTCTGTCCGTCACTTTCTTTTTCTGTCCATAAACCCTTTCCAATCACGCAACAGTGCCACAGTCGCTGTAAACCTATTCTGGCTCAGGGAGCTGCCCAATTGACAAATTGTTCTATGCTCAATTAAACTCTGTTTAATTTGCCTTAAGTTGTTCTTTTCACAATATGTGTATATTTTTAAACATTTTTGTTAAGGTACAATAAACACAGAGAAAAGTGTACAGATTCTAAGCACGCAGCACAGGGCTTGTCACAAATTGGGCACTGATTACCCAACAGAATAGCACCAGCAAGCCAGAAGTGCCCTCACACTTGCTTCCGGTCACTAACACCCCAGGAAGATAAACATTATCCTGACTTCTAACAACATGCTTTACTTGAAAATCCCAATCTCATATTAATAAACTCAGATTCTTCTATGCAGACAATTAACATACAATGTAAACCTTAAAATCTCTTCTATTTATAAATGTGTAAGCTCTTTCATTTCGAATAAATTTTTTTTTTTTTTTTTTTGAGATGGAGTCTCACTCTGTCACCCAAGCTGAAGTGCAGTGGTGCAATCTTGGCTCACTGCTACCTCCACCTCCCAGGTTCAAGCGATTCTCCTGCCTCAGCCTCCCGAGTAGCTGGGATTACAGGTGTATGCCACCATTCCTGGCTAATTTTTTTCTATTTTTAGTAGAGATGCGGTTTCACCATGTTGGCCAGGTTGGTCTCGAACTCCTGACCTCAAGTGATCCACCCACCTCAGCCTCCCAAAATGCTGGAATTACAGCATGAGCAACTGCGCCCAGCCTCGAATAAAATATTTTTAAATGTTGCTGCAGAAGAGAAAAACCCCCAAAACCAAAAGTCACAAACAGTAAGAAGAGACATCTAGGTGTGAAACTATCATCAATTATAAGTGCGTAAAACCTACAGAGTAAAAATAATAATAAAACAGATAGAGTAGAAGCTGAAATACTGATTCCAATGCTTCTTTAGCAAAAATGAGATACAGCTTCAATACTAACACAGAAGCTAACATGTCAAGATGTCCCTTAAGTCTTATTTCAATTTGGTCTTTCACGGCTATTACAGAACCTCACCTACTAGGTGGAGTTCCTTTTTTGATCTTTGACTATAAACTATTTCAGTCAAACAAAAAAAGATATGCTAAAGAACACTTACATACCTTCTAACCAGCTAAAGAAATTTAAAAAAATACAATTCAAGATGCTGGCGTACCCCGAAGTCCCCCTCCTCCCTCTTTCTCTAGAAGTCAGTATCATTTTGAACAGCGTCTGCTATTCCCATACATGTCTTTATAATTTTTCTACATAAGACTGTATCCTCCCTGTCCCTACTAAAAATACAAAAATTAACTGGGCATGGTGGCAGGCACCTGTAACCCCAGCTACTCAGGAGGCTGAGGCAGGAGAATCGCTTGAACCCAAGAGGCGGAGGTTGCAATGAGCCGAGATCGCCCCATTGCACTCCAGCCTGGGCAACAAGAGCAAGACTTCATCTCAAAAAAAAAAGACTGTATCCTTAGCTAGGGGCAGTGGCACATGCCTGCAGTTCCAGATCCTTGGGAGGCCAAGGTGAAGGATCGCTTAAGGCCAGGAACCAGAGGCTGCAATGAGCCATGAATATGTCACTGTACTCTAGCCTGGGCAACAGAGCAAGACCCTGTTGCAAAAAAAAAAAAAAAAAAAAAGACTGTATCTGGCCGAGTGCACTGGTTTATACCTGTAATCCCACCACTTTGAGAGCCCGAGGCTGGTGGATCATTTGAGGCTAGGAGTTCGAGACCAGCCTGGCCAACATGGCAAAATCCCATATATACTAAAAATACAAAAATTAGCTGGGCGTGGTGGCACATCCCTGTAATTCAGCTGCTCAGGAGACTGAAGCCGGAGACTCGCTTGGACACAGAAGGCCGAGGTTGCAATAAGCCAAAATCATGCCACTGCACTCCAGTCTTGGCAACAGAGCGAGACTCCGTCTTTAAAAAAAAAAAAAAAAAAAAAAGACTGTATCCATAAATGATTATCACAAGTATTTAAAATCATATTTCCTTCAACTCTGTTTTTAAATGTAGTTACATTGATATATGTAGCTCTGGTTCATTCATTACTGCTGACATACAGCAGCCTATTGTATGATGGAACCCCAATCCATTCTTCTCTTAAAAGGCATTTAGGTTGTTTACAATATTTTGCTATTACAAACAAAGCTGCAATAAACATTCTCATACATTCTCCTTGGTCACGCGTACCACAGTTTCTAGAATGTTTAGTATATTTACAGATTTCTGTTTCAGGCTGAAAAAAGAACAACAAATAAATCTCGTCAGGGCCTTCTGTTGTTGATTTAGTTTAAAATAGCTATAGTTAATAAAACAGATCTATTTCACAGCAGGAAGACAACACTGTCACCTAAAACTGAAACTAACACAAGCAACATCTGCTACAGTGAGGAGTTACACCTTATAAATAACTACCAAACTAAACAACAGCACCATTGGTTCTTCATCTAGTCCTGGAGGAACCATAAATTCTTTTCATATCCTAAATTGAAAAGCCCTACATTTGTCCCAAGACCAGCATATTATTGGCATGGCTATAGACGTAGCTGTCACTCACCTCTTTCAACGCCCAGGTTGGATGAGTTGCGAGGATTTCATAATCTCCAGGCAGAACTTTAAAAAATGCAAACCTAAGACATAAAAAATAACCATTTAACTTTCTCCAAACAACCCAAGTATTTCTAATTCTATGACTAATGTTGGCAGCACAAGAAAACAATGTTGGAATTATCGCAAACTTCCATTAGCTTGTTAAATGAGCATGAATGAAATTCAATCCTTCACTGTACAAATCTGCATAAAAGAGCGCTTATTGAGCACTTACTGTGTGCCAAGAGGGGTGCTCCATGTGCTGATCGGAAAGAGGAGTGCTTACGTCTCCCTTAATCTCAAGGATTTCTGGCATAAAACCAATCCTTGTAGCACAGCAGGGACCAGTCACAGAACATTCGACTGGGTTTGACAGAGGTGACAGGCATGAACTGACAAGGAGAAGGGGACAGAAGTGTCCAAGGAAACACATGGGAAGGGAGAAGTGGGGTGAAAAAGAACAGAACAGATGCACAGGCTGAGGGGGACGCTGACCCAAGATGATGCAAATGACACAGGGCAGGGTAAACTATGATAAGCTTTGAATCCCAGAAAAAAGGCTTTAGAGAAACACAGATAAGTCATTCTGGGTTTTTGCACAAAGCAACTGAGATAAGAAACCAGCAGCTGATGAAAATTACTCTACTAGCCATAGACAGACTAACACCAGAGTGAGCCGAGCTAAAGCTGGAAATGCTGCTGCCAGTATACTAACATGTTTATCCCTTCAAATTTGTAAGGCAACTGACAAATGAGAAGGCTAAGTCCGGTGAAATGAACTAGAAAACGCATTTGATTTCTTCTTCTGTGGTATTTTATTGTGTCAAATCTTGCCTGCAATAACTGGATAGGTCTTGGAAATCACATTACTACAAGTATTGGTAAGATTGAGGTTCTATTTCATTTTCATAATAGCCCAGTGCTACATGTTTCATTGTTTCAGTTAGTGCAGATGAAAGGTATTCAGAAGGCTCAAGACACTATTTTTTTCTAGTAAGGTCAACACCAAATTACTAGCCCAGAAAAAAAATTACAGCTCCATATTCCTGCTACACACCAGGCCTGGAGAGGCACCAGTCAAGCAGAAGTAAATGTTATTTCAAAAATGAAAACTAGTTTCAACAATAATAACTTTAAAATTGAATAACTTACTGACAGACTCATTATAAACTTCTATTTTGCAATTTACTCAGTTTGTATATTAACGGAGTTAGTAATGATTTGAACGCTTTCGGAATTATCAGTTTGAACTATTCTGGTATTAATCTTGGCATATCTGTTAACATTTACAACTCAACTATATACATCCATTAAATAAATGCTTTAAATCTGACTCAGCAAGGTCAGCTAGGCATCTGTTCCAACTACAAAGCAGTTTTGATATAATAATGATAATGATTTTTTCTAATCATAACTGAGCTAACCTATTTGAGCTAATATGCCAGGCAGCTTGAAGTAATAATATTAATTTCATCTTTCCAGTACCTTAGGAGATAGGTTCCACAATTATCTTCATTTACAAAAGAGGAAACTGAGGCACAGAGGGGTTAAGGAACTTGCCCTAGGTCAACCAGCCAGCAAATGGGGGAGCTGGGATTCAAGCCCGGGCTGGCAGGCTCCAGAGCCAGGCTGAGCTGCTAAATGAAGACCCACTAAGCCCCAGGCCTTGAAGCAGGTGCTTTATGGGTATTAACTCTTTTTTTGTTTGTTTCAGACAGGGTCTTGCTCTGCTGCCGAGGCTGGAGCACAGTGGCACATGATCACGGCTCACCGCAGCCTCAACCTTCCAGGCTCAAGCAATCCTCCCGCCTCAGCCTCCCGAGTAGCTGCAACCACAGAAGCATGCCACCACACCCAGCTAATTTTCTTCCCCCATGGGACTCTACTTGATATAATTTTTTAAATTATTTGTGGAGACTGAGTCTCCCTATGTTGTCCAGGCTGGTCTCGAACTCCTGAACTCAAGTGATCCTCCCATACTGGCCTCCCAAAGTGCTGGCATTATAGGCGCAAGCCAACATGCCTGGCCAGTATGAACTCATATTTAATCATCTCATCAATGCTAGGCAAGATGGGTCAAATGGATTCCATTTCACATGTGGGGAACTCAGCACTCTGACGGGCATGAACTCACCCAAACTTAAGAGGCTGAATCAGGATCTGAACCCAGAACTCCCTGAATCCAAACTCCCAAACCCAGCTCCATGACCCCTGTCAGAGCCCGGCTCTAAGGCAACACTAAGAGACAGGACGCTACTCACTTTCCGCCAGGCTGTGTAACTGTGGACTGGATCTTTGCTTCGGTCCCAGTGTTTCTCAGAGACACCTGAACTCCCGCAGGACCCAGGGGCTGCCCTTTGCTGAGGACCTGCCATGGAGAAGAAAGTTAGGGCCCACCCAGCAAAGCACCCTCCTCTCAAAGCACTGGCAGTCCTGCTTACAACTCCCAGGTGGAGCCCAGGAACCCTCTTTGGGTCAAGAATCCCATTGAAAAGATGCTATAAATCATGGATATGTTTCCTGGGGATGAGGTAGGAGAGGGAACAGTAACAGTAAAATAAGACTCTATTTCAATGAATCTAAGACATCATCAGTTATAGATTCACCATTATTGGTCTGGGTGGGTGTGGTGGTTCACGCCTGTAATCCCAGCACTTTGGGAGGCTGAGGCAGGCAGACCACTTGAGGTCAGGAGTTTGAGACCAGCCTGGCCAACATGGTGAAACCCTGTCTCTACTAAAAATACAAAAATTAGCTGGGCGTCATGGCACATGCTTGTAATCCCAGCTACTCCTGAGGCTGAGGCAGGAGAATCACTTGAACCCAGGAGGCGGAGGTTGCAGTAAGCTGCAATCGCGCCACTGCACTCCAGCCTGGGCGACAGAGGGAGACTCCATCTTAAAAAAAAAAAAAAAAAAAAAAAAGTAAATGTACATAAAAATAAAAATATAAAAATTAGCTGGGTCAGGTGGCACACGCCTGTAATCCCAGCTACTGGGGAGGCTGAGGCAGGAGAATTGCTCGAACCCAGGAGGTGGAGGTTGTGGTGAGAGAGACTGCGCTACTGCACTCCAGCTTAGGCCACAGAGCGAGACTCTGTCTCAAAAAAATAAATAAATAAAAATAAAAATAAAAAAAGGTTCACCATTATTTTGCAAACCATCGATAAAGAAAAAACTACCCAAGATCCCCATCTCTAACAAGAAGCCCACACATACAGCTGGGATGGAAGGGCCTCCCCGTCACCGCAAAGGTAGAGGAGAAAGAAGTCCATCATGAAGAGAAGGACAGGAAGGAAGGAAGCACATCTCAACCGCAGGCACAGGGCGGGTGGAGGAGAAATGACTCTCCCCTGAGAATCTGAATCACGGGAGCTGGGCACACACCCGTTAGGACTCTAAATTCACACCACCGTGGCGGTCCAAAAAAATCTCAGAACTTAAATAATAGGAATCCTCCTACGTAAGTGTCAGAAGCAGATGCACGCTCTCTCTGGGAGAAGCTGACTTCAATTCACCCACAGGGACAGCAAGATGCCACAAGGCTTAGAGAGTGTGTCCTTCCAATTCGGCATCCCTGTAAAAGGCCATCCCTGACATAAACGCTAACAGCGGCTGGGTGCACAGCGTACACCTGTAATCCCAGCACTATGGGAGGTGGAGGCAGGCGGATCACCTGAGGTCAGGAGTTTGAGACCAGCCTGGCCAACACAGCAAAAGCCCATCTCTACTGAAAATACAAAAATTAGCCAGGCATGGTGGCACACACTTGTAATCCTAGCTACTCGGGAGGGTGAAGGAGCGGGAGGGTGAGGCAGGAGAATCACTTGAACCTGGGAGGTGGAGGCTGCAGTGAGTCAAGATTGCACCACTGCACTCCAGCCTGGGCAATAGAGGAAGACCCTGTCTCAAAATAAAAAATAAAAAAATAAAAACACCAACAGCCTATGCTCTGGGAGCAGAGGGGATGACCAGCAACCTCAATCTCATTCCTAAATACACCTGCTGTGTTCTACACGGATGAAGTACAGAGTTCACAGGCTCACTTGCCACTTATCCATGGGTCCCTTGTGGGATCAAAGTCCCCAGGTTAAAATATCCTGCATTTTTTTAAAAAAGGATTTAGTATACATTATAGAGTGAACAGGAAAAATAATCAAGTTCCAAAGACAAACCTTGCCATTCACAGAGAACCCAGTGAAGACAAAGTTGATGTCCCCACCCTTTGTGCAGATGTCACTGACTCCATCCACATGGAGCTCCACGGTCGTCGGCTCTGAGGAACGAAGCAGGGGAGGAAACCGGGGCACAAGACACAAAGGCAAGCTTAGTTTTGGGGTACAGTGAACCTAAGTAGAACGTATTTTTATTATTCAGGTTTCATTTTACTTTTGAACACTTAATACACTCGTTGTGTTTCCAAATCCAAAGGTACGAAAAAGTATTCTGGGAAAAGTCTCCCTCTCACCCCTATCCCCCTAGCCTCCTGGTTTCCTGCCCCAGAGGGAATTCGTGTTTAGAGTATAAAATAATTTTACAACGCCTTTCAGCTAAGTTATATCTCAGAGTTCCAGTGAAAATTCAGTGAGCACCAAATAATTTTATTTCCTGAATGCTCATCACCGACCAGGCACTGAGCTGAGTGCCTTTAATCCTCACAATTATCTTAAGAGACAGGCAGTAATAGCTGCAATTTACTGAGGGGTAAATTAAGGCACAGAAAGGTTAAAGGAGCTCCCAAGATCACAGAGCTTCTGAGTAACAGAGCCCCAATTCAACCCTAAAAGTCTGGCTCTGGATCTGTTCTCTGACCAAGGACATGAGCTCAGCCATGTTAAACCAGGAACACAAACTCCAGGGCCACAGGGGCCTCATGGGTTCGAAGTGAGCGGAGCATCCTCAGGGGGACTGTGGCAAATTGAAAGGAGACAACTGCCACTCAAGTCTGCCAACCACTACCATGCTTTGCCAGAGCTTCCAACTTCTCCGAAAAACTGGAAATCTGGATTTTATATACCATCTCTTGATTTTTCAATATCAGCAATTAACTCCATTTTTTAACTGAAGAGTTCATCATAATAGGGGTTAAGGTTGAGTTTTTGAAAGGTTAGGAAGAATATGGAGTAATGAGTAGAGAAAAAAATGGAAAACCATGAGATGAGATTTTCAGTTAAGATGAATTACACACGTGCTTGCACGCGTACATGCACACACACACACACACACACACACACAAAGACTCCAATAAAAAATGGGCAAAAGACTTGAACAGGAATCTTACAAAAATAGCTAGCCCATGGCAAACAAACATAAACATACGAAAAAGTGTGCAACCTCATTGGCCATCAGTGGAATGTAAATCAAGGCCACAGTGAGATAATACCACACCCCCACCAGAAGGGCTAAAATTAAAAAAAACTGACGATATCAAGTGTAGGTTAGGATGTGGAGCAATGGAAACCCTTGTACACTGCTGGGAGAACACAAACTGGTGCATCCACTTTGGATGTTTGCAAACACCTAAAGCTGAGCATGTATCAGCTCTATGGCTCAGCGACTTTACTCCTGTGATATACTCAGCAAAAATGCAGACACATGTATCAAAATATACATACAAGAATGTTCACAGGAGCACTGCTCTTAGTGGCCAAAATCGGTAAGCAACTCAAATGGCCATCAACAGTAGAAGAGATCACTGATACAAAATATGAATATAAAATATAAATATAGGCCAGGCGTGGTGGCTCTTGCCTATAATCCCAACACTTTGGGAGGCCAAAGCGGGCAGATCACTTGAGGTCAGGAGTTCGAGACCAGCCTGGGTCAACATGATGAAACCCCATCTCTACTAAAAATACAAAAATTAGCTGGGTGTGGTGGTGCACACCTGTAATCTCATCTACTGAGGAGGCTGAGGCACAAGAATTGCTTGAACCCGGGCAGAAGTTGCAGTGAACTGAGATCACACTCCAGCCTGGGCAACAGAGCGAGACTCAGTCTCAAAAAAAAGAAAAAAATAAAATAAAATATAAGTATTTTATAAAATATAAATAATTTTATATTTATGCATCAGAATTCTCAACAGCAAAGAGAATGAACTAAAGCTACAAATGATACAGATAAAGTTCATAATGTTGAGTGAAAGAAACCGGATATTAAAAAGTTCCCTGCATGATAGCATTTGTATAAAGTTCAAAACAGACCAAATGGATCTCTAATTTGTAGAAGGTCAGGGTGGTGGTCACCTGGAGGGTGGGGCGGGATGGCTAATGAGCACCCAGGATGGGGACTTCTGGGGTGCTGGTGAAGTGCTATCTTATTATCTGGATGGTGGATACATGGGTGTGTTCACTTAGTGAAAATTCATCCAAGGCACTTTTCTGAAAGTATAATTCAATTAAAAAGCTTATCAACAGCACCAGTTGGGGGTAGGGTGGGGGGTGGCAAACACAACACTCCTCCAGGCCACCAATCTGGACTTCTGCTTTGGCCATGAGCAGGGCTGCATTCCTCTCCAGCTTTCTGGAACGTACCAGCCAGGCACCCCCGACCCTACCCCTGACTATAAACTGATAAAAGAGCTGCTCTCACAGAGCCAAATTAGCTGTCAGCTGCCTGAGCCTCATTTTAGCCTTGGTGATGGCAGGTGCTAAATTCTTCCTTGTCTAATGCACGAGCAAGCCTGATATCAACAACGGTGATCCCTACTCCTCTCCCCAAGCCATGGACTGGGGTCACCCACACCTGCTCTACTGAAACATCAAGAGTCTCTCCTCTTCAAAAATGTAAACTACATCAAAACAGACCCTCTCTTCTGATCTCAACCCCATCCCCAACTCCCCAGCTATGCTTGAAGGCAGTTATATGAGGAAAGTTTGGAGCTTTTGTTGGGATGTGTGCAGAAGGGCTGTTTCTGAATACTGAGTACTTGCTAATTACGTGCCAGCCCCTCTGAACACTCAGTATTGGTTTATTAATCCTCCAAGTACCCAGTGGGGCAGGGACTATAACTACCCTTGCTCGACAGTGAGGAGCCAGGCTGACACGGGGGAAGTAACTTGCCCAAAGTTATTTAACTGGTAAGGTATAAGGCTGACAGTCTTCTCATCTCATGGGACATAAATCTGGATTTTTATGACAAATCTCACAATCTTTAAATGTTTCAATTAATTCCATAAAAACTTAAAAAACTGAGGGGGCTAAAAAAGAAGCCATCCTGGGATGGGAACCAAGTCCCCACTCTTGATTTCTATACTGTTCCACGGCCACGTAATGAGTGAAACTGCAAGGGAAGAGTTTCCAGAAAGGTAGAAGAAAAGATGTCTATTTTTCAAAGGTGACAGAAAGTCTTGAGGTAGATTAAGGTAAATCCGAACTAAACCAGAGTGATGGGGGCAAGGAGGGGAGGAATACAAACCCTCTTCCATACTGGAAATGATCCTTAATATTTTAATAGTTTATGCACTCTGCTAGCCTAAATTAATATTCGGCATATCATCTAATCTTTTACAAAGAATGTCTAGTGATTCAGTTAACTTACCAAAACTCCACCCTAGGGGAGGCTCAATCTTCAGAATGAAATCCCCCTAAAAGGAAAAAAAGAAAATGTAATTTCAAGAAATGAGAATTGTGACTCTGGCTAAATTTAGTTTAGTGTTATCATTTAATCTAAAATTTTTTTACACCGGAAATGAAATTCTAAGAGTAAGCCTTGTTCTTCTACATGGTACTGAGCACTGATTCTCTTCAGAAGCTACAAGCTGAAGCTGAACACCAGAAGTTTTCATCTAAACAATCAGAAGACAGTGCTGAAGCCCATTCATGAGTTCTAAAGACACTAGGTTCAGCCACTCACTGTCTTTTAATACTAAACATACTATAATTCTATTAATTGAGTCTCCCATTAAGCCCTCACATGCCTACAGTTGCACAAGTTAGCATGTATCTTCAGGAACTAAAGGCACCCCCTAAAACTAGATTTGGCCAGGCACAGTACCTCACACCTATAATCCCAACACTGTGGGAGGCCAAGGCAGGAGGGTCACTTGAGGCCAGGAGTTCAAGACCAGCCTAAGCAACATAGCAAGACCCCATCTGTACAAAAAATGTTCTTAAAAAATTAGCTGGGTGTGGTGGCAGGCGCCTACAGTCTTAGCTACTTAGGAGGAAGAGGCAGAAAGATCACTTGAGCCCAGGAGGTCAGTGCTGCAGTGAACCATAATTGTGCCCCTGCACTCCAGCATGGGCAGCGGAAGGGGATCCTGTCTCTAAACAATACGTTAACTCATTAATTCAATAAATAAAACTAGATTTTACTTATCAACCCTGGTTTCTGTTTTTGTTTTAGTTTTTTTTTTTTGAGATGGAGCCTCGCTCTGTTGCCCAGGCTGGAGTGAAGTGGTGCGATCTTGGCTCACTGCAACCTCCGTCTCCTGGGTTCAAGCGATTCTCCTGCCTCAGCCTCCCAAGTAGCTGGGACTACAGGCATCCACGTGACACCCGGCTAATTTTTTTGTATTTTAGTAGAGACGGGGTTGCACCATGTTGCCCAGGCTGGTCTCACACTCCTGAGCTCAGGCGATCCACCTACCTCAACCTCCCAAAGTGCTAGGATTACAGGCATGAGCTACCACGTCCAGCCTCCTGGTTTCTTGAGACTGATACTGATACTATTTAAAAATTAATTAAATAGATTTCAGGACAGACCCAGCTAGTCCATCTCTAGAAATCAATCCTATGCATTCTGGATGAAGAGTTAAGTTCAAGAATATTTCCTGGTGTGTTATGTTAAAATTACTATTATTTTAAAATTGGGGAAAGTCTATATGTCCAAGTAGTTAAATAAATTACAGTTTGGGTTTGACTCTGACACACTATGCAGCCATTAAAAAGAAGTCAGTAGGCTGAGCATGGTGGCTCATGCCTGTAATCCCAGCACTCTGGGAGGCTGAGGTGGGCGGATCACCTGAGGTCAGGAGTTCAAAACCAGCCTGGCCAACATGGTGAAACACCATCTCTACTAAAAATACAAAAAAAATTAGCTGGGCATGGTGGTGGGTGCCTGTAATCCCAGCTACTTGGGAGGCTGAGGCAGAAGAATCACTGGAACCCAGGAGGCAGAGGTTGCAGTGAGCCGAGATCGCGCCACTGCACTCCAGCCTGGCTGACAGAGTGAGACTCTGTCTCAAAAAAAAAAAAAAAAGTCAGTAGATCTATCTATGCTAATGTTGAAAGCATGCAAGAGGAAAAAACCAAATGTCCCTCTGGTATTGAAAGCATTAACACAGGGGAAAAAATGAAACTGCAGAATAAATCCTATTGTTTGATTTCATTTGTATTAAAAAATATATCAAAATCAAAACTATGTGTATTGACTATTTTTGCAACTTCCTATGAATCTGTATTTCCAAATAAAAGGTTTATATGTGGGAGGATGGGATTGTATAGAGGTGTTTGTGGATACATATCGATGTGCATGTGTGCTTGTGTGTATTTCCATATATACATATGCATGTGTACCCGTGGATATCTGAATAACTATAAATAGAAAGCAATCTGTTAGGATGCACATCAAAATTTTATAAGAGGGCCGGAAACATCGGCTCACACCTGTAATCCCAGCACTTTGGGAGGCTGAGGCAGGTGGTTCACTTGAGGTCAGGAGTTCGAGACCAGCCTAGCCAACATGGCAAAACCCCATCACTATTAAAAATACAAAACATTAGCTGGGTGTAGTGGCAGATGCCTGTAATCCCAGCTATTCAGGAGGCTGAGGAAGGAAAATGGCTTGAACCTGGGGGGTGGAGGTTGGAGTGAGGCAAGATCACACCACTGCACTCCAGCCTGGGCGACAGAGCGAGACTCCAACTCAAAAGAAGAAAAAAAAAAACAACAAAAAAAACCTTTATCAGATTATCAGAGGTTATCA
Organism: Homo sapiens; assembly: GCF_000001405.40. Taxonomy (NCBI): domain Eukaryota; kingdom Metazoa; phylum Chordata; class Mammalia; order Primates; family Hominidae; genus Homo; species Homo sapiens. The sequence continues at coordinate 16,237,508 of NC_000016.10, read as the reverse complement.
CTACAGAGGGAGGTAAAATTGGAGCGAAAAGGGTACAAATTTATTTCACATACTTCTAAAGACCTTGACTTTCTTTTTCACAAAGTTCATGAATTCATGTATTACTTGTACAATTTTTTTAACAATACTTTAAGCTGCTTGCAAGTAACGGGTTCCATGAAATCAGAGTTTCTCAGCCCTGGCACTACTGACATCTGGGCTGTCGTAGGCAGCACTGTAGCACATTTAGCTCCACGCCTGGCCACTACTCACTGGGTGACTGTAGCGCACAGCCACAGATGTCACAACAAAAACGTCTCTAGACATTGCCAAATGGTCCTAAACACAGAGAGAGCCACTGTATTCGTCAAGGCAGTTTGTAAGTTGTCTCCCTCCAAATGTGGCTAGGATTATCATATTCCACTAATAATTTACAAAACAGATGAGCATTTGCTAGTGTAGGAAAGGACATGGTTAATGCAGCCTGGTGAGGCACACTAGTGACTTCCCATCATAAGTGACAAGCAGTCCCCTCTTACCTTATCATACAAAGGGATCATAAAGTAACCATTATTAGGGGCACAGTCTGTCTGGTATTTCAAAGTCCCATGCTTGGTGTACAGCTTTATCTGGAAAGGAAGGAAGGAAAACAGAAATCATAACATTGCCTTTGGGAATTAACTACACATGTTACACCTGAATGCACTCAGTCAGTATACATTCACTGAGGACCTATTATATGCCAGCTTTTAACACGGGGCATTACTGGGGACAGAGGGAAATCAACAAACTCTCTCCCAAATCATGTGACTCAATGTTTTTCAGATTAGAAACCACCTACAGCCTATTACAATGCCTTATTTTTCAATGCTTTTCTGTTTATTTTAGTGGCTGCCTCTAGGTTGCTCGTGTAAGTTTCCGGGTCTAAAACAAATTTGCAAACTTTGCCATTAGTAAGGTGCTTATTAACATGCAAATTCCTGGCTGGGCACGGTGGCTCATGCCAGTACTCCCAGCACTTCAGGAGGGTGAGGTGGGCAGATCACTTAAGGTCAGGAATTTGAGACCAGCCTGGCCAACAAGGTGAAACCCTGTCCCTACTAAAAATACAAAAAAAGTTACCCAGGCATGGTGGCAGGCACCGGTAGTCCCAGGTACTTGGGAGGCTGAGGCAGGAAAATTGTTTGAACTCAGGAGGCGGAGGTTGCAGTGAGCCAAGATCATGCCACAGCACTCCAGCCTGGGAGACAGAGCAAGACTCCGTCTCAAAAATAATAATAAAATAAAGTAAAATAAATTGCAAATTCCTGGGGCCCACCTCTATTTCTCAACTAAAGGTCTGCAATGAGGGCCAGAAATCTTCCTTACTAACTCTGAATAATTTCAAATACTTGGAGCAACATTCATCTAGAAACTTAATTTTCTCATTACTTTCATTCTCCGAAGAAAAAGAGACTAAAAAGACATTTAATATCTGTCCTCTCTTCAAGGACTCTCTAAAACTCTTACATTCTGAGCATTACCAGACACGAAGTGTTAACCCAGTAAGATGCCCAAATGCCATCTGAGTCTTCCACGTGTTGCGTGGCCTTGGGCAAGCTCGTGTTCGGTTTCTTCAGGTGCAGACATAGAGCCACTCCTTTTCATGTGGTTGTACAGATTCACATCAATGCATATTAAGCACCTGCTACAGAATATGGATTCAAAGAAAAATCAGTTTGCGGCCAGGCATGGTGGCTCATGCCTGTAATCCCAGCACTTTGGGAGGCCAAAGAAGGAGGATCACTTGAGCCCAGGAGACCAGCCTGGACAACACAGCCACACCTCATCCCTACTAGAAAAAAAATTAGCTAGGCATGATGGCACGTGCCTGTAGCCTCAGCTACTCAGGAGGCCGAGGCAGGAGGACTGCTTGAGGCCAGGAGTCAGAGGCTTTGGTGAGCTATGATGGTGCCACTATACTCCAGCCTGAGCAACAGTGTGAGACCCTGCCTCAAAATAAAACAAAATAAAATAAGTAAAATGGAAAAAGCAGTTTGTATCACTATTTAATATCTCTCTCTGAAGAAAAAGGCAACACAGTGTAATACGTAGGGAACATACTGGGCTCAAGGAAAATTTCCTAAATGTACCTGCACAGCTCAACCACTCTGAGGCTCAGTTTCCATGTCTGTAAAAGGAAGCAGTTGGGTCTGATGCACCTAAAAGCCTCACCTCCAAAATGTTAATGCTCTATGACCATGAAACAAACCATGACACGAGCCGCTATGAAACAGTCGAATCTCACCAGCTAAGATGATGTACAAAGTGACTAACTCATAAAACGAACATTTGAACATTTGGGAAAGGACTCGTGTGAAATAAGGTTAAGCCTGTATGTAAAGTTCTCTGAGGTCAGTGACAACTTCATTCCCCAGTGCCTGAGACAGTGTCTAGCTTACTCTAGGTACTCAGTGAATTTGCTACAGGTGACAAAGAGATTCAGATGCATGCATTTAAGGCAGGGACTGGAAATTCACCAGACTAGACCGGTTAGGGAGGCAACATCAAGGGACATTCATCCAAAAGGATTCAGATCACTACAAAACCCAAGCCAAGTGTGGCAGCCTAAAGATCGGCTGGCTTTCCAGAGAAATAAAGCACCCAGTTTTTAATGTGAAACCTGCTGATTGTTAAAGTATTAGCAACCAGTATAATTTTTTTTTTTTTTAACAGTAAGGTCCCTGTTAGAGAACAAAATGTCAGTCTCATGAGAGTATGGAGTTTTGTCTGTTCTGTTCACTGTACTGCTATATCCACACTGGGGACAAGGCTTCAGTATGTGCCGGGGCTCAGTAAATAGTTGTTGACTCAATGAACACGATGTAAAAACACTCAGGATGGGAGAAAGCTAGAGAAGAATGGCGGCAGTTGCATAGGAACACAAAAAACACAATCAAGAAATAACCGTGAAATATCATGATTGTTTCTACATCTTTCATAAAGTACAATCAGGACACAGGATGGCAATGTAATCTACATCAAGATGGCCAGTATGAAATGTCTGATTTCAGAATCTGAATTACTTATGAAAGAATGAGTGTCCCACACCATCTGGACAGGCAGCCCTTGGGCTTAAGGAACACACTTTGAAATGGGTCACAAAACCTGTTCTCTGCTCTCAAGGTCACTATTAGTATGAGGGTGAGGGTGGAGGGGGGTGCCTGTCTTTTCCTTCCTTCCAGAACCCCTGGAAACTACAAGTTGCAAGAGGCCTTAGCGGCCTCTTGCATTTCAGCTTCTGAAATGCCCTGTGCCGTCTACAGCCATACCACCCTGAACGTGTCCTGTCCCCAGTGCAGACCTAGGAGGTGGCATGGGCACCCAGAAACATGTACCCAGGAAATCCTAGGAGCCCTGCCGCTGCCAGTGGGTAGATTCATTCAATGCCTGACCTCTGACCTCTTCAGTCTGAAAAAGCAGCAAACAAGGGGGCCTTGAAGAAGATCACGGATCCGCTTGTTAAAGAAATGTATCTGCTGGGTTCCACTGTTTCTCTCCCAACACCATCCTATAGGTACAAAAACTGAAACCTAGAGCAAGGGCAGGTCGCAGAGCTGGTGGGGTGTGGAACTGACTCCCTACCCCTCCCCCAATCCTCAGCAGCCCGCTTTGCAGAACACAGAGCTTCACCCTTCACTGCCAGCCCTGGAACAGCTCAAAGGTGCTTTCAGACGATCTTTGGGGTCTTATTCCCCAATCCCTCTCTTTGGCATTTCCCAGCCTCTTCCTTCGTTTTCTCCTAAATTACCTCCGAGGCACCCGCTCTTTTCCTCTTCCTTGTCCTACCCCACCATAAATCCCCTCCCAAAAATGAGGCCCAGGCCTTGCTCTGGTCCCCTCCCATCTACCGGGACAAATGACATTCTGCCCCTACCTCCATCCATCCCTTTCCTCTTTACGGGAACCTTTCTGGGTCATAATCCCACCGGGCTGATAAACATTTAACAGGACTTTACAACTTAATTAAAAAAAAAAAAAAAAAAAACCTTCAGCACAAATCTCTAGGGTAATTCCATTAACTACTCATTAAGGCAATCAGGGCAGCTGGCAACTCTCCATTTTCAGAAGTGGAGGGGAGCCGGAGAAATAAAAAATAGCTTTCCGGCCCCAGGGTTGCCAATACTGATCTACTAGGTCAGTATCTATGGGATGGGAATTGATGCTCTTTAAAATCATGCCGCGGGGTTTGGAGGAGCAGTGGATTAGAACTTCGGGGGGTTCTGGGCTGTGGAGTTTGGGGGATAAGACATGTGGTCTCTAGGTTCTGGAATGTGGGTTTGGGGAAATCTGAGTTTCAGGGGGTCTGATTCGAGGAGATCTCAGGTCTAAGTTTTAAAGAAATGGAGTCTGGGCTCCAGGGAATTTAGGGTCTGGGTTTTGAGGATCTGGGGTCTGTGTTCCGGGGATCTGGAGTCGGGGTTTTGAAGAACCTGAGGTCTGGCACCCCTCAGTCCTTAGACGACCCCATGATAAGAACCTCCCCTCCAGCGCGACTGGGGAGGGGCTGCAGGGAGCCCGCGGACAGCATAGCCTCGGAAGAGGTAAGGGCTCCAAGGACTCCACACCGCCCGGTGTCAGAGACGAGGCCAGCGCGGCCCAGAGAGGCTGAACCACCGGCCCGGCGACTCGGCGCCGGGCGGCGGGGCGGGCGCTCACCTCGATGAGAGAGTAGTTGATCTCCACGTCCGACTTGACGAAGCCACCGCAGCCCACCACGATGTCCTCCGAGCCGTGCGCCGGCCCCACGCCGCTCAGCAGCAGCACCACCGCGGCGGTGACCACCGCGGGCCCCAGCGGCCCCGCGCCCTGGCCCACCAGCATGGCCCGACCTCCCCCAGCTAGACCCACCGCCGGCAGCCGGGTCCCGCCCCTCACACTGCACGCCGCAGGCTCCTTCCTCCTCCTAGGCCGGCTGACAGCCCAGGCCCCGCCCCACCGCCGCCGCCAGCCGCCGCCGCGCACGCGCGCTTCGACCCCACGGTCACAGCCCCAGAAGAGAGAACTAAGGCGCATGCTCGGCAAGGAAACGAGACCATCTCTGCCTTCTAGAGGCCTGGAGGACTCCGCGCGACATCTGGCAGGTGCAACGCAAGGTGCATGCCTACAGGGAGAAGCTCCAAAGATGAATTCTACTTTAGAATTCACCATCACAGCTGGAAAGGACGGGAGATTTCGTTGGTGGAATTATCTAACAACTTTCTCAAATCTTTCTGACCCATATATTTCGCAGGTAAAATATATAATCTCACAAAAAGCTTTAGGGCCGGGTGTGTGGCTCACGCCTGTAATCCCAGCACTTTGGGAGGCTGAGGTGGGTGGATCGCTTGAACCCAGGAGTTCGAGACCAGCCTGGGCAATATGGCGAAACCCCATCTCTACACACACACACGCACACACACACACACACACACACACGAAAAACGCTTTAGGAATTTGTGTAAGCTGGTGTATTTTTCCATGATAAATGATCGATACTTTTTTAAGCGAAACGTGTTAATGTTAGCATATTAAAGAAAGTATGTAAGATTTATTTTAATCCTAGCTCTAATAACATATGCCTAGAAACAAATTTTGATGAGTTTTCTTCCCCTAAGCAAGAAGTGCATGCAGTCAGTATACTTTGAATTAGCTCTGCAAGATGAAACATGATTTGCCTGAAAACAAGCTCAAATCCAGCATATTTTGTCCCAAGAGTGAATTCATATGTACACTGAATTTAACTACCAGTCACCACATCAAAATACACACCAAAGAGGCCGGGCACAGTGGCTCACGCCTGTAATCCCAGCACTTTGGGAGGCCAAGGCTGGCAGATCATGAGGCCACGAGATCGAGACCATCCTGGCTAACACAGTGAAACCCCGTCTCTACTAAAAATATAAACACTTAGCCGGGCGTGGTGGCGGGCGCCTGTAGTACCAGCTACTCGGGAGGCTGAGGCAGGAGAATGGCGTGAACCTGGGAGGCGGAGCTTGCGGTTAGCCGAGATCGCACCACTGCACTCCAGCCTGGGCGACAGAGCAAGACTCTGTCTCAAAAAAATAAATAAATAAAATTTTAAAAACACCAAAAAATTGCTTTTCTAACCTAATATTAGGATTTCTTCCATTTTGTCTCAAAAAAAAAAAAGCTAGTGCTTTATTTTGATAGGTTTTGTATTTTGTTTCCAAATGACAAAGTAAGACTGAATTTCCCGCTGCAATTTGCCGTTGTGGCTAAAACTTAAGCAATAAACAACTAAGAAGCACAGGTTCAAACCATACAGTAGTCAAACCTTCATGGGGGCAAGGAGGGAATGAAGGGAATGACACATTGACCTCAGGGTCATAATCATGAGCGCATCTGATTTCAGTTTCTCGTGCTGCATTTTCACTCAAATACAGTAGACTCTCAACTATTCAGTGATAATGAGAAACCATTTAAATAATTCGTCTATTTATTGGGGTTTGTTATTTATAACCACAATTGAAATAGATGCCTTTTATGCAAATCACCAGAGGATTGAAAGCCACCAATTAGAAAGTGTAGGCCTATGGAAACCTCTCATCTTACAGAATGGGAAACTGAGGCCCAGAGAGGAAAAGGAAGTTGTCTAAGACTCTGCATGCAGCCACAGGTTTTCCCGGAGCTAGAGAGCAGGAATTGGGGCCAGAAGCCGTGGCTTACTACTGTAATATGAACATGTTGGGAGTCCGAGGTGGGCAGATCATTTGAGGTCAGGAGTTCGAGACCAAATTGGCCAACATGGCAAAACCCTGTCTCTACTAAAAATACAAAAATTAGCTAGGTGTGGTGGCGCATGCCTCTAATCCCAGCTACTCAGGAGGCTGAGGCAGGAGAATCACTTGAACCAGGGAGCCACAGGTTGCAGTGAGCTGAGGTCTTGCCGCTGCACTCCAGCCTGGGCGACAGAGTGAGACTCCATCTCAAAAAAAAAAAAAAAGCAGGAAGTGGGATCCCCAAGTTTTGTTCTGGACTCACCCCAATTGATTTCTGCTGTGTTCTTCTTGACTTTCTGACTATTTCCCTCAAATTCATCTTCAAATATAGAAAGAAATGAAGCACCAGGACTGTGACAATGCCAATTCATGGGGGTGGGATTGGGGAGTGGCTTGCAGAGAGACAGGGATTTAGCTTCCCCATAATTTCCATCAGTTTCCACCAAAACCAGCTCAGATAAGCAGACATGATTTACATGGAAACAGTAGACCTGCCACACTGAGCTTCATGACAAATCCTTGGGTTCTTTCTGTCCCGAAGCTTCCAGAAGACTCAGGCAGGAGGACAGCTGAAGGGGGCAGGGGAGGGGGTGCTCCCTGGGCCCAATACTGGATTTAGAGTGATACAAAAAGATCGGGGAAAACACACTGTGGGGTCCCTGCAGAAGGCAAGAGTAGAAGATGAGGACAGGACCCCAAGAATTAGCAAGGCAGCATGGAGAGTGCAGAGGATTTTAATTCTTCTCCCAAACTGAGCACCTGTGCTTGTCTGTCTAAAAGAGCCGAATATTTCATTCCTATCTTGAAACAAGTACTTGCTCACTGCAACAACAAAGAAATTGGAAAAGAAAACTAGGATTCCCCAAGATCACTGTGTTACCACATTTCCATCTTTTTATCGATGCATTTATGCTAGTATGACATCGAGTCATTTCTAAGAAGTGGTGGCTGGGTCTTTGACACTTTGCTTTAAGACCCAAGAGAGAGCTGGGCATGGTGGCTCACGCCTGTAATCGCAGCACTTTGGGAGGCCTAGGCAAGAGGATGGCTTGAGGCCAGGAGTTCCAAAGCAGCTTGGGCAACAAAGTGAGACAAGTCTCCACAAAAAAATTTAAAAATTAGCCAGGCTTGGTGGTGTGTGCCTGTAGTCCCAGATACTCCGGAGAGGCTGAGGTGGAAGGTTGCTTGAGCTCAGGAGGTCAAGGCTGCAGTGAGCCATGATGGCACTACTGCACTCCAGCCTGGGTGACAGAGCAAGACCCTGACTCAAAAAAAAAAAAAAAAAAAACAGAGACGGAGAGAGAAAAAGACTCAAGAGAGGAAGGTAAATGCCTTGGCCTTCTTCTCCATGTTCCCTAATTTAGGCATATCCTTTTCTTTTTTGCTTTAAAAAAACCAAAGCCTATTTTATATTATAATCTCTTTTATTCAATCATCATTTAGCAAGCACCTTTTCATATTCATATATGTCTTCAATGGCATTTTGTTTGCTTGTTCTGAGACAGAGTCTCGCTCTGTCACCCAGGCTGGAGTGCAGTGGCACAATCTTGGCTCACCGCAACCTTCGCCTCCCAGGTTCAAGCGATTCTCCTGCCTCAACCTCCTGAGAAGCTGAAACTACAGGCACGCACCAAAACACCCAGCTAATTTTTGTATTTTTAGTAGAAACGGGGTTTCACTATGTTTGCCAGGCTGGTCACAAACTCCTGACCTCAAGTGATCCGCCCTCATCAGCCTCCCAAAGTGCTGGGATTACAGGCATGAGCCACCGTGCCCAGCTGCAATGGCATTTTAAACCACTGGTTAGTAACCCATGGCCTCAATTATGACAGTAATAATAAAAGCTAAGTCTTCTGAGCATTTAATGTATATCTGGCAGTGTGCTAAACGCTTGCATAATCTCACTAAGTTCTCCCCACCACTCCACGGGTAGACAGTGTCCATTCCAGCAGTGAGGGGACTGTGACGTGGTCTCCATCCTATCTCCCTCGGATATTATGAAAAATATCACAGAGTGTACACCCACTGTGATATTAGGAGAAAGCTCTCCCTTGGGTATTAGAATAATATCACAGGGTGTACACTCACTGTGATATCAGGAGTAAAATCTCCCTTGGATACTATGAATAATATCACACAGTGCACACCCACTGTGACGCGGTACAACCACTGAGATATTAGGAATAATATCTCCCACGGATATTAGGAATAATATCTCCCTCAGATATTATCACACCCACTTTGATATTGGAAGTAATATCTCCCTCGGATGTTATGAATAATATAGGAGGGTGTACACTCACTGTGATATGGAGAGTAATACCTGCCTCAGATATTACAAATAATATCATAGGGTGTAAACCCACCGTGATATTGGGAGTAATATCTCCCTCGGATATTATGAATAATATCCTAGGGTTTACAAACATGGTGTACACCCACTATGATATTAGGAGTAATATCTCCCTAAAATATTACTAATAATATTACAGGGTGTACACACAGGGTGTACACCCACTGTGATATTAAAAGTAATATATCTGTAAAATATGAGTACACCCACTATGATATTAGGAGTAGTATCTCCCTAAAATATTACAAATAATATCCCCCCAGTATATAACAGATAATATCATAGGGTGTACACCCACTGTGATATTAGTTATAATAATATCTTCTTGGGATATAAGGAATAACATCACAGGGTGTACACCCACTGTGATATTAGGGGTAATAATATCTACTTAGCACATAACGAATAATATGAGAGGGTGTACACCCACTGTGATATCAGAGGAAGTAATATCTCCTCAGGGTGTACACCCACTGTGATATTAGTAGTAATATCTCCCTAAAATATTACGAATAATATTACAGAGTGTACACACAGGGTGCACACCCACTGTGATATTAAGGGTAATAATATCTCCAGAAAATTTGACACACCCTGTGATATTAGCAGTAATAACATCTCACCAGGATATAATAAATAATATCACAGGGTGTACACCCACAGTGATATTAGATGTAATAATATCTTCCCATGATGTAATGGATAATATGACAGGGCGTACACCCACTGTGATACTAGGGGTAACAATATCTCCCCAGGATATAACGAATAATATCACAGGGTGTACACCAACTGTGATATTAGGGGTAATAACATCTTCCATGAATATAGCGAAGAATATCACAGGGTGTACAACCACTGTGATAATAGGAATAATATGTCTCCAGGATAAAACAAATAATATCACAGGGTGTACTCCCACTGTGATATTAGCAGTAATGTTTCCCTCGGATATTGCAAATAATATCACAGGGTGTACATCCACTGTGATATTGAGAGTAATATCTCCCTCGAATATTATGAATAATACCACAGGGTGTTAACCCACTGTGATACTGGGAGTAATATCTCCCTCGGATATTATGAATCGTATCACACGGTGTACAGGGTGTACACCCACTGTGATATTGGCAGTAATATCTCTCTCAGATATTATGAATAATATCACAGTGTTTACAAACATGCTGTACACCCACAACGATATTAGGAGTAATATCTCCCTAAAATATTACAAATAATATCATAGGGTGTACAAACATGGTATACACTGACTGTGATATTAGGAGTAATATCTCCCTAAAATATTATGAATAACATCACAGGGTGTAAACACAGGGATACAGCCACTGTGAAATTAAGAGTAATATCGCCCCAAGATATAATCAATACTGTCACAGTGGGTACACACACTGTGATATTATGGGTAATAATATCTCCAGAAAATTTGATGAATAATATCACAGGGTATACACCCACTGTGATATTAGGGGTAGTAACATCTCTCAAGGATATAACGAATAATATGACAGGGTGTACATCCACTGTGATATTATGGGTAACAATATCTCCCTAGGATGTAACGAATAATATCACAGGGTGTACACCCACTGTGATAAGAGGAATAATAATATTTCTCAAGGATATAACAAATAATATGACAGGGTGTACATCCACTGTGATATTATGGGTAATACTATCTCCCCACTACATAATGAATAATATCACAGAGTGTACACCACTGTGATATTAGGGGTAATAACATCTTCCCCAAATATAACGAATACTATCACAGGGTGTTCACCCATTGTGATATGAGACATAATAATATCTCCCCAGGATACAACAAATAATATCACAGGGTGTACACCCACTGTGATATTAGAGGAAATAATATCTTCCCAGGATATAATGAATAATATTACAGGGTGTACACCCACTGTGATATTAGAGGGATTAATATCTTCCCAGGATATAATGAATAATATCACAGGGTGTACACCCACTGTGATATTAGAGGAATTAATATCTCCCCAAAATATAATGAATAATATTACAGAATGTTCACCCACTGTGATATTAGGAATAATAATACCTCCCCAGGATATAACCAATAATATCACAGGGTGTACACCCACTGTGCTATTAGGAGTAATAATATCTCCCCAGGATATTACAAATAATATTACAGGATGTACACCCACTGTGACAATATGGGTAATATCTCCCAGGATATTATGAATAATATCACAGGGTATACACTTACTGTGATATTAGGAGTAATAATATCTCCCCAGGATATAATGAATAGTATCACAAGGCGTACAGCCACTGTGATACTAGGAGTAATATAGTAGTATCTCCCCAGGATATAACAAATAATATCACAAGGTGTACATGCACTGTGATATTAAAGGAAATAATATCTCTTCAGGATATAATGAATAATATCACAAAGTATACACCCACTGTGATATTAGGGGTAATATTATATCTCCAAGATATAGTGAATAATATCACAGGGGGTACACCCACAGTATATTAGGGGTAATAGTATATCCCCAGAATATAACGAATAATATCACAGGGTGTACACCCACCGTGACAATATGGATAATATCTTCCAGGATGTTACGAATAGTATCAAAGAGTATACACCCACTGTGATATTAGGGGCAATATCTCCACAGAATATTACAAATAATATCAAAAGATGTACACGCACTGTGACATTAGGGGTAATATCACCCAAAAATATTACAAATAATATCACAGCATGTACACAATGGTGTACGTTCATTGTGATATTATGATATCCATAGGGTATTACAAATAATAGCACAGGGTGTACCCCCACTGTGATATTAGGAGTCATATCTTTCTGGGAGGTCACAGCGTGTACACGCATGGTGTAAATTCACTGGGATATTAGGAGTAATATCGCCCTAGAATATTTCGAATCATATCACAGGGTGTACACCCACTGTGATATTAAAAGGAATATCTTTCTAGAACATTACAAATAGTATCACAAGGTGTACACCCACTATGAGATTAGGAGTAACATCTCCCTAGAATATTATGAATAATATCACAGTGTGTACAGGCACTGTGATTTTAGGAGTACTACCTTCTTAAGATATTATGAATAATATCATAGGGTATACACCCACTGTGAAATTAAAAGCAATAGCTCCCTACGATATTACGAATAATATCACGCAGTGTACACTCAAGGTGATATTAGGAGTAGTATCTCCCTAGGAAATTACGAATATTATCACAGAGTGTACACCCACTGTGATATTGAAAGTATTATCTTTCTAGGATATTATGAATAATATTACAGGGTGTACTCCCTCTGTGATATTAGGAGTTATATCTCCCTAGGATATTACAAATCATATCACAGGGTGTACACCCACTGTGGTATTAGGTGTAGTATCTCCCTAGGATATAACAAATAATATCACAGGGTATACACCTACGGTTATATCAGGAGTTATATCTTCATAGAATATTATGAATAATATCACAGGGTGTACACCCTCTGTGATATTAAAAGTAATATCTTTCTAGGATAGTATGAATAATATCACAGGGTGTACTCTCACTGTGATATTAGCGGTAATAACTCCCTAGGATATCACGAATTCTATGACAGAGTGTACACCCACCATGAGATTTGGAGTAATATATCTCTAGCATATTATGAATAATATCACAGGTTGTACACCTACTGTGATATTAGGAGTAAAATCTCCCTCGGATATTACAAATAATATCACAGTGTGTACTCCCACTGTGATATTAGGAGTAAAATCTCCTTCAGATATTACGAATAATATCACAGGATGTACACCCACTGTGATATTAGGAGTAATATCTCCCTTGGATATTTCTAATAATACCACAGCGTTTACACACATGGTGTTCACCCACTGGGATGTTAGGATAATATCTCCCTTGGATATTACCAATCGTATCAGAGGCTGTACACACGTGGTGTTCACCCAGCGTGATATTAGGAATAATATCTCCCTCGGATATTAGGAACAGTCTCTCCCTGGGACTTAGCAGAACGTAGCCCCCCAGTGTTAAATAAGCGACCACAGCAAGAGGTAGAGGCGCAGGGACTGAAATGAAGACAAATATCTGACAAGTTTAAAACACGTATTTAAAATAGAATTTATAAAATGCTTAATCTGCCGACTCAGGAGCCCGCGGTGCAGGGTGGGGTGGGAGTTGGCAGGTGACCGCTACACCAGCAGAGTAAGACTGCAGGGCTGCGGCCCTCCCTCCTATGCCCTTCTGTTCAGACACCCGAGGGGCCCATGTGCACTCCTGGGATCATACGACCAGAAAACAGGACCCTAGAGGTTTCTTGAGTTTCTGCTTACCAGGGCGGCTGGGTATAGCCCTGCCAGCCCATTGCATAATCTTCTAAGTTCTCCCCACCACCCTCCATTCCAGCAGCGAGGTGCCTGTGACGCGGTCTCCATCCTCTCGGCCTCGACCCGGTGGTCCCCGCGATTGGACGCTTAGGCGGTCACCAGGCCTCCTTGTTACTAACGTGTGCACACCTTTCAGTTCTCTCATCAGGATGAACTCCTGGAAATTGCTGGGTCCAAAGTGTTTAGGAAGTCTGGAGTGATTCTTGTTGCAGGGGGAAGAGGGAACTATGGAGGTGTCACTGAACTTTCAGGGGTTCCGGGACCCCCCAACCCGGTGCCCGTCCCAGCTCCCCGAGCGCCTCTCTTCCCCCATCCCCCACCTCGCCTGTTTTCACCTCCCGTGGCCTCACTCCCGCCGCGCAGCTGGACCTTGCCCGGGGCCTCCCGATCCCGGAGCTCGAATCCCAGCCGGACCAGCCCAGCCCGACCAGCCCAGCCCCGCCTCTTCTCCGGCAGGATCGCGGCCGAGCAGTCTGCCCAGAGACTTAGCGACAGACAGACGCTGGGACCCACGACGACAGAAGGCGCCGATGGCCGCGCCTGCTGAGCCCTGCGCGGGGCAGGGGGTGAGTGCCCCCCATCGCGCCCCACTCTCCTTTTCCAGGCTTGGTTTGGCTGCAGATCTCTCGGGCTGCGATACTGGGGAGAGGAGAGACCCCCAAATTCCTGGACCCGGGAAGCGAGGAGACTTACTCCGGCCCCCTCACTGCAGCGGGTTGGATTTCTTTCACCAAGCCAGCAGCCGAGAGCCCAGCTCTATTTAAGGGGCCACCAGACCTCCCAGCTACTAGGGGCTTTGACTCTTCTTTGCATAAAGCTAGTGGGTCCCCCAAGCCCTCCTACCCCCGGAGAGCCCTTACCTCTCTGGTTTCTTTTTCCATTGCTCTTAGCAAAGGACTCCAGGGAGTGGAGTTCATGGAGTGGGGGTGGGGGTTGCAAACTGCCAGCATTTCGAGGGCCAGGGAGTTGAAGCAATAAACTGGCAATGAACTGAGGGCTTTCTCTGTGCCTAGCCTTGTGCCCAACCTTGTGCCATGCTGCTATGAACTTTGCTGCTATTAATCCATTTAATACAACTCATAGAGGTAGAGTCTCGTTTTCCCCCTTTTACAGGGAAGGAAACTGAGATACAGAGAGGTTAAAGTTTGCACAGCCGGTGAGTTGTGAAACCAGGAGGAGTAAAAAGACAGCGGAGAGAGAATTGAAGAGGCCACGTCCACTAAACTTCAAATTTCTTCTAGGGTTAGATAGGACCAGCAGACCTGCTGAGATGAAAATAACAGATCAAGCTGGGCCGGTGGCTCTTGCCTGTAATCCCAGTACCTAGGAGGCTGAGGCAGGAGGATTGCTTGAGACCAGGAGTTCGAGACCAGCATAGAGAGACCCCCATCTCTACAAAACATAAAAAAAAAAAATTAGCCAGGCCTGGTGAGGCTGCTTATGCCTGTAATCCCAGCACTCTGGGAGGCCGAGGTGGGAGGATTGCTTGAGCCCAGGAAATTCGAAGCTTTGTTGAGCTTTGATTGTGCCACTTCAGCCTGGGCAACAGAGTGAGACCCTGTCTCTAAAACATAAATTAATTAATAATAAAAAATAAAAACAAATCATACATCAAGACCACCAGTCGAACGAGGTTTGGGGTCAGATAAGCCTGGGTCAGAGTCAGCTTTGCCACTTCCCATTTGTGTGTCCCTGGGGGAGGCAGTTCCCCGACTGGTGCCTCAGTCTGCTGGTTTCTGAAATGGAGACAGTACTGTCTGCGTCCTGGAGTTGTTATAAGGATTAACTGACAGTCCATGCCTAGCAATGATTATGGAGCCCAGGTCTCCTAGACCACATGGCCCAGTTCCCTGGGTTCAAATCCCAGCCCTTCCACTCCTCAGCTGGGTAAAGTCAGCAAAGTTACTCAACCTCTCTGGTCCTCAGCTTCTTCATCTGCAAATCAATATAATTGCAACTACCTAGGGTTAATGTCAGGATGAAAGGAATTGAGAATTAGTAGGTATTCCAAAGAGTACTTGGTACATTTTTGTGTAAATGTTAAAGATCCAAAAAGTTGCCTGGCCCCCTGGGCAGGTGAGCTGGGGACCCCTGCCTTGTACCATCCTAAGGGTCCTCTTTGTGTTCCCTCAGGTCTGGAACCAGACAGAGCCTGAACCTGCCGCCACCAGCCTGCTGAGCCTGTGCTTCCTGAGAACAGCAGGGGTCTGGGTACCCCCCATGTACCTCTGGGTCCTTGGTCCCATCTACCTCCTCTTCATCCACCACCATGGCCGGGGCTACCTCCGGATGTCCCCACTCTTCAAAGCCAAGATGGTAGCTGCCATCCCTGGGAGCCTGGAACCAGGCAATGTTCGGGGGAGGCAGGGGACAGGCTGGAACCTGGTGAAGTCTTAAAGTAGACTCCTCCTATCGGGGTGTAGAAGGGAATCTGTTAATCAAACAGAGCAATATTAGAAAGGCTACAGAGGTCAACTCAGTGGAACACGGTTCTCCCAAACAGATTTTGTAATTCCGAAAATCCACGCATGCGCAAACATACGCATACACTCCCATGTTCCTGGACAGTTTATAGCTACCATAACCTGGCATTTTCCAAAACATACCATGTAGACTCTTGGATACACAAGGTAATTTTAGAGCCACATTAGGATGAACCTTTTAAAAAGTTATGCATTTATTTTTATGTTCCCCCACTGGCTGTATTATAGGACAATTTTTATATGTGATATGTATTTACCTTAGTGTGTTAAATAAACACTGGCATTCCAAGTGTGAGCCTTTCTGCTCATCCATCCTCTTCTACTCCATTCTTGTAGGCTTCCAAAGAATGTTCTTCAGAGTTCATTCATTCTTCTGCCATTGTATTAATTTTTACATTATCACCCGCCACCAACCCAGGGGTTGGCAAACTTAAAGAGCCAAGCGGTACACAGTATTTGAGACTTTGTGAGCCAGGTAATCTTCCTTCCGAACACTGAACTCTGCCATTCCAGAATGAACGCAATAGTCATAACCATAGACAATAGTCATGACTGTGTTACTTTTTTGTTTGTTTTTTTTTTTTGAGATGCAGTTTTGCTCTTGTTACCCAGGCTGGAGTGCAATGGTGCGATCTCGGCTCACTGCAACCTCCGCCTCCTGGGTTCAAGTGATTCTCCTGCCTCAGCTTCCCGAGTAGCTGGGATTACAGGTGCCCACCCCCACACCTCGCTATTTTTTTGTATTTTTAGTAGAAACAGGGTTTCGCCATGTTGGCCAGGCTGGTCTCCAACTCCTGACCTCAGGTGATCTGCCTGCCTTGGCCTGCCAAAGTGCTGGGATTACAGGTGTAAGCCACCACCCCCGGCCGACTGCGTTTCAATAAAACTTTATTTGTAGTCACTGAAATTTGGATTTCATGTAATTTTCACCTGTCATGACATATGCTTTTTGTTTTTCTTTGATGATTGATAGTTTGCCAACTTCTGCTTTAAACTGAGGTTCTTTGAGCAGTTCCTCCAACGTAACCTAGCTCTGGCCTTCCCTCTGGTGTGCCCACGTTCTCTCATTTTCTTCCTTTCTTTTATTCAATAGAGAAACCAAAATATATTAGAGAGACCCTAGAGACTTACTGGCCCAACAGAGAGTTGCTCCTTGATTTCATAGCAGGGATTGAAAAATGACTTGGAGAAAGGATAGTTTTTTACCTGGTGAGTACATTTCATTTCCTGCTGTTTCTCCATACCCACAGTCATCTCATATGTGCACGATTGGAGCACTTCCTGCATTTTGGAAAACACTCGGTTGGCTCAAGCCCTTCCTGTGCATTATTTATATGACAGTTACAGGTCAGGAGTGATCTGCAATGCCCTTTACACATTGTTCACATTGGCACGTTGCTAGCTGGTGACCCTGGTATACTCAGTATCAGCCAGGATGTTGCAGAACCAGCTCCCAGTTGGACATGGGGCCGCCTACCAGTTTGCTGTGACCTCTCTTATTGCCCCCCAAGCTTATCTAAGCCTGTATCCTCAGGTGCTTGGATTCGCCCTCATAGTCCTGTGTACCTCCAGCGTGGCTGTCGCTCTTTGGAAAATCCAACAGGGAACGCCTGAGGCCCCAGAATTCCTCATTCATCCTACTGTGTGGCTCACCACGATGGTAATGATGCCTTCAGTCTGGAGCCCGGCTTCCTCCCAGCTGCTGCTTTGCCTGCCACAGTGGAGAACAAGGGGAAGAGAAGAGGCTCCCCTCAGCCTCCCACCCTCCCCTAAGGGGCCTCCCTGACTTTCCCGTCCAGAGCTTCGCAGTGTTCCTGATTCACACCGAGAGGAAAAAGGGAGTCCAGTCATCTGGAGTGCTGTTTGGTTACTGGCTTCTCTGCTTTGTCTTGCCAGCTACCAACGCTGCCCAGCAGGCCTCCGGAGCGGTAAGTCGGGGCGTGGGCCACCCTGGGAAACCAAAATGGTGGCTCATGCCTTGGGTCCCTTCCTTTCTCCTCCTGTTTCCACATACAACTTATTCTCTATACAGTGACACACACAAGCCAGTCACTTACACTCTAGAGACACAAAATCCACTCCCGCACCTGTCAGTACCCATCATCCCATACATTTCTTATCAACACAATTTCCTGTCTTACAGGCCCACATCACACGTGCCACTTGCACACGATGCACACACTTATAGGCACTGATTCATACATCGCACAAGTACATGCATGCACGCACACACACACAACCTGGGCACAGACACACCTGTGTGCACACATACCCCTCCGTGCACACCTCCCCTCATGTCATGGATTCACCCTCCCCATGTTCCTATGCACCTATATTTACACACTCATTCTGCACACCACTCGTATTTCTGTTGCCCAATCTGGGAAGCAGCTTTTTTTTTTTTTTTTTTTTTTTTTTTTTTGAGAGGCTTGCTCTGTCGCCCAGACTGGAATGAAGTGGCATGATCTCAGCTCACTGCAATTTCTGCCTCTCGGGTTCAAGCACTTCTCCTGCCTCTGCTTCCTGTGTAGCTGGGATTACAGGTGTGTGCCACTACACCTGGCTTATTCTAAATTTCTACTAAATTTCTACTAAAAATTTCTACTAAATTTCTACTAAAAATTTTTGTATTTTTAGTAGAGACGAGGTTTCACCATGTTGGCCAGGCTGGTCTCGAGCTCCTGACCTCAAGTGATCCACCTGCCTTGGCCTCCCAAAGTGTCGGGATTACAGGCGTGAGCTCTTGTCATTCGGCCGGAAGCAGCGTTTCTCTATTAGGAGACATGATGGGTCATTTTCTCTGTAAAGAGAAAAACATGTAGCCTAGACCAACTTCCCTCAGCCTCAGCTTTAGTAATGTTGTGGCCAGACAATTCTTTGTTGGGTGGACAGGGCTGTCTTGTTTGCTGCAGGGTGTGAAACAGCATCCCTGGCTTCTGCCCATAGGTGCCAGTAGCATACCATCCAATTGCAGTAACCCAAAATGTCTCCAGATATTACCAAGTGTCCCTGGGGGTGAGGAGGACAAAGTCACCCACCTATTGAGAAGCACTGGCCTCGACAGTGTGCTTAGCCAAGGCTTCTGGGAGAGGGAGTTATCTTAACACCAATGAACAGGCTGCAGCAGGTTTCAGATATTTTACTTCATTATTTTATTTTTGTGGAGACAACATCATGCTTTGTTGCCCAGGCTGATCTTGAACTCCTCGGCTCGAGCAATTCTCTGACCTCAGCCTCCTAAAATGCTGGGATTAGAGGCATGAGCCACCACGTCTGGACTCACAGATCATTTCTTCAGTCCAGTGGTTACTCCATCCTGCCCCTAAAGGAGAAGGTAGAGAAGCATCACCCTGTCCTTAAGGACAGAGTTTTTATTTTTTGTTTGTTCATTCTGAGACAGAGTCTTGCTCTATTGCCCAGGCTGGAGTGCAGTGGCACGATCTTGGCTCACTACAACCTCCACCTCCGGGTTCAATCGATTCCCATACCTCAGCCTCCCAAGTAGCTGGGATTACAGGCATGTGCCACCATGCCCAGCTAATTTTTGTATTTTTAGTAGAGACAAGGTTTCAATATGTTGGCCAGGCTCATCTCAAATGCCTGACCTCAAGTGACTCACCCGCCTCGGCCTCCCAAAGTGCTGGGATTACAGGCGTGAGCCACAGCGCCTGACCGAGGACAGAGTTTTTAAAAGAGTAACCTTTGTAACTAAGGGGAAATTCCACAGGTTATTCAGTAATTTCTGAAATGGTGGGCTCCCACAGTTGACATAAGTCAGCTTTTTGGGACACAGCATAGAAACAATAATACTGGGACCATATACATTCTGGGGTTCCAACCATGTGCCAGGCACTGTGGCAGGCACTTACACACGTCTCCTCACTGGATTCTCACAAGAGTTCACAGTGATGGGTTCTTTATTTTTTTAAATAGAAATAGAAACAAAGTCTCATTATGTTCCCAAGGCTGGTCTCAAACTCCTGGGCTCAAGCGATCTTTCCACCTAAGCCTCCCAAAGTGCTGGGATTACAGGCTTGAGCCAATGTGCCCCAGCCAATGATGAATTCTAGCCGTCCCATTTTAAAGATGAGGGAGACTAAGGCTAGGAGAAGGGAATGACGGCCTCAGGGCCACAAAGCTTGGGAGTGCAGAGCCCGAGTTCATCTCAGGCAAATTCAGAACAAACTTTCTGAGAGAAACAGTGGGGAAAACAGTGGGAGTTTAGGGAAGATGGGCCATATTGTCATTGGAATATCCAATTGTCTGCTATCTGCCAAAAAACAAACAAACAAACAAAAACCCAAAACTAGAAGAGTATAAAATCCAGTAGAGGAATCATGATTTAAAACTAGGGCTCTGGTTTAAAGCCATAAAACCTCAGTTCACACTAGCTTAATGAAAAGGGTAAGTCAAGGGGGTTCATTAGCTCATGCATTTATTAGCTCATACCCATGGGATCTCCCAGGCATGACTGATCCAGGCCTGGGACCAGGTACCATCACCAGATCTCCACTTCTGCCTCTTGGCTCTGCCATGTTAGCTTGATTCTCCAATGGAGTGGCAAGAAGAGCCACCAATACCTTCACACTTACATTCTAGCATGTAGCAAAGCCAGCAGAATCTCCCGATGGTTCCAGCTCTCAAGTACCCAGCATGGGGTGCTATGTGCATTCCTAACCCTGCCATGGTAGCCAAAAGACCAGAACGTATTCGTTGGCCAGGCCTCATTCACCCACCCAGCCTCGGAGTAGAGTCAGTTCTGCACAAATCACACGCCCGAACACAAGCAAAAAACTTAGGAAGAAAGAAAATCAGTACATGGAAGAGATCTCTGCACTCCCATGATTATTACAGCACTGTTCACAATAAACAAGATTTGGAAGCAACCTAAGTGTCCATCAACAGACGAACTGATAAAGAAAATGTGGTATATATACACAATGAAGTACTATGCAGCCATAAAAAAGAATGAGGTACTGTCATTTTCAACAACATGGATGTTAAGTGAAATAAGCCAGGCACAGAAAGACAAACTTTACATATTCTCACTTATTTGTGAAAGCTAAAAATTAAAACAATGTAACTCATGAACATATAGAGTAGATGGAAGGTTACTAGAGGCTAGGAAGGACAGTGGGTGGGGGAAATGGGGATGGTTAATGGGTACAAAAAAACAGAAAGAATAATATCTATTTGATAGCACAACAGGGTGACTATAGTCAATAATAATTTAATTGTACATTTTAAAATAACTAAAAGAGGCTGGACACAGTGGCTCACACCTGTAATTCCAGCACTTTGGGAGGCCAAGGCAGGAGGATCATCTGAGGTCAGGAGTTCAAGACCAGCATGGGCAACATGGTGAAACCCTGTCTCTACTAAAAATACAAAAAAAGTAGCCAGGCGTGCTGGCACACATCTGTAATCTCAGATACTCAGGAGGCTAAGGCAGGAGAATCACTTGAATCCAGGAGACGGAGGTTGCAGTGAGCCAAAATCAAGCCACTGCACTCCAGCCTGGGCAACAGAGTGAGACTCCAACTCAATAATAAACTAAAAAATAAAATAACTACAAGAGTAGAATGGATCATTTGTAACAGAAAGGATAAATGATTGCGGGGATGGAGACCTCATTTACCTTGATGTGATTATTATGCATTGCATGCCTGTATCAAAATATCTCACGTCATCCAGAAATATATATATCAGGCCGGGCGCGGTGGCTCATGCCTGTAATCCCAGCACTTTGGGAGGCCAAGGCAGGCGGATCACCTGAGGTCAGGAGTTCAAGACCAGCCTGGCCTACATGGTAAAACTCCATCTCTACTAAAAATACAAAAATTAGCCAGGGGTCGTGGCACATGCCTGTAATCCCAGCTACTCAGGAGGCTAAGGCAGGAGAATCGCTTGAACCCAGGAGGCGGAGGGTGCAGTGAGCCAAGATCATGCCACTGCACATCAGCCTGGGTGACAAAGCAAGACTCCGTCTCAAAAAAAAAAAAAGTATACACACACACACACACACACACACACACACACACACCTAAAATTAAAAAATAAAAAATGCTTTAAATTAAAAAAAGAAAGAAAATTA
Source organism: Homo sapiens (assembly GCF_000001405.40). NCBI lineage: Eukaryota > Metazoa > Chordata > Mammalia > Primates > Hominidae > Homo > Homo sapiens. The sequence continues at coordinate 16,215,387 of NC_000016.10, read as the reverse complement.
GGGTGTTTCTGACCAGATGACAGGGCAGCAGATGCAAAAATCATTGTGGTGTGGCAGCAGGAGCATCACAATTTGGACCAGATCATCTGCGTGTCCTTGAACAAGGTGCTGTCACTTCTCTGAGCCTTGGTTTCCCCCTGAGTCAAAGGAAGCAAGTAAACTCCAGCTGATGAGACTGTGTATGGCAAGAATGCCGCATGTGCTCAGGGCAGGGTCAGTGCTCAATAAAACCAGCTCTCATCTCTGCAAAACAGAGAACCCTGGCCAAGGGGGAGCAGGGTTGAAGATTGGGGTAGAGGGTGGAACGGAGAAAGGATTTCTTTTGTGGCACAAAGAAGAAGGTAAATTGTTTCTTCATCTCATTGTCCCAGCAGCTGTGGCCAATCATCATGTGGCTAAGGACAAAACCCAGACGCAGCCCTGGCCCACCATTTGTATAGACAGAATATTATAAATTGGGTATTTGAAAATTAGGACCTGCTGGGCATGGTGGCTCATGCCTGTAATCCCAACACTTTGGGAGGCCAAGGCAGGCAGATCACTTTAGGTCAGCAGTTTGAGGTCAGCCTGGCCAACATGGCAAAACCCCATCTCTACTAAAAATATTTTAAAAAAGTTAGCCAGGCATGGTGGTGGGCACCTGTAATCCCAACTACTAAGGAGGCAGAAGCAGGAGAATCACTTGAACCCAGGAGGCAGAGGTTGCAGGGAGCCGAGATCATGCCACTGCACTTCAGCCTGGGCGACCAAGTGAGACTTTGTCTTAAAAAAAAAAGAAAGAAAGAAAATTAGAACCACTAGGAAAGCCAGGGCTCTGGCTTTCAAATACTCTTGCCCTGGTCCCCAGAGTGGGCACTGACCCAAGATCAGAAACCTTTTCTCTCCTCTGAGCACCCTCCTCTGTCTCCATTCCTTATCTTCTGCTTTCCCTCCCACAGGGCTTCCAGAGCGACCCTGTCCGCCACCTGTCCACCTACCTATGCCTGTCTCTGGTGGTGGCACAGTTTGTGCTGTCCTGCCTGGCGGATCAACCCCCCTTCTTCCCTGAAGACCCCCAGCAGTCTGTAAGTCACCAAGTTCCAACCTCATTCCTGTTCCACTTTGAGGTCTCAGTCTCCCCCAGGTGACCAAAAGTCTTTAATTTTTTTATTCATTTAGCCATTCAGCAAAAAGTGTACCACATTTCTACTCGATGCCACAGTTGGCAGACTTTTTCTATATGGGCCAAGAGAAAATATTTTGGACTCTGTGAGCCATACAGTGATCTCAGTGGCAATTACTCAACTCTGCCATTGAACGCAAAAGCAGAATATGTCAACAAATTGCATGGCTGTGTTGCAATAACACTATTTGCAGAAACAGGCAGTGGGCCAGATTTGGTCATAGTTTGCCAAACCCCGCTATGCCCTAGCAAGGGCATAAGGATCTATGGTGAACAAGCAGATAGAGTTTCTGTTCTCACGTAGCTACTGGTCAAGCAGGGGAACCAGACACTGGTCACAAAATTAAACAAATATGTTGAAAATTGGATGGTCACAGTGGCTCATGCCTGTAATCCCAACACTTTGGGAGGCCAAGGCAGGTGGATCACTTGAGGTCGAGAGTTCAAAGCCAGCCTGGCCAACATGGTAAAGCCTCATCTCTTCTAAAATTACAAAAATTAGCCAGGCATGGTGGTGCACGCCTGTAATCCCAGCTACTCGGGAGGCTGAGGCAGGAGAATTGCTTGAATCCGGGATGTGGAGGTTGCAGGGAGCCAAGACTGTGCATTTGCACTCCAGCCTGGGCAACAAGAGCGGAACTCCACCAAAAAAAAAAAAAAAAAAAAAGAAGGAAAAAGAAAATTACCCTTGGGGTAAGTGCTCCATAGAAGAAGCTCATGAGAGATTGAGAGATTTACAATAGGTAACAGTGAAGCAGTCTGTGAAATCAAGAAACAATTCTTTTGTGGAAGAGACTGATCTGACATCATATAAACAGATGTTCAAATGGGGCCAGATGCAGTGGATCATGCCTGTAATCTCAACACTTTGGGAGACCGAGGAAGGAGGATTGTTTGTGCCCAGGTGTTCTAGATCAGACTAGGCAATGTAGTGAGACCCCATCTCTACAAAAAGGTTTTTAAAAATAGCCTAGTGTGGTGGTGCATGCCTGTAGTCCCACTACAGAGTAGCTCTGTGGAGACTAAAGCAGGAGGATTGCTTGAATCCAAGAGATAAAGGCTGCAGTGAGCTATGATTGCACCATTGCACTCCAGCCTGGGTGACAGAGCGAGACCCTGTATTCAAAAAAAAAAAAAAAAAAATTGCTCGAAGGCTTGAGAATAGTTAAAACTATCATAGGAATCTTTTTTGTACCTACCAGAGTAGCAACAAAATTTAAAAATTAATAAGCTGTGATGGCAAAAACGTGGTGAAATGGGCACCTTCACGCCTTATTGGTAAAGAGTACAGACTGTTGTAATCTTCCTGGAGCACCTGACAAAAATCGCACGACAGGTCTGTCTTCACAACATTTGCCGAGGGATATTGTCAAGGATCTAATTTCTTCGTTATGCAGTGTCCTTCCTTTTGAGAAGCAAAGCAAGGTTTTGGTTTCAGTATAATCATAGTTGTTCTTCTGAGCCACTGTTATTTCTTACCTTGTGGACATTGTCAGGCCTGTGGCCCAACCTCTTTTTACGCTGCCTGCTGGGAAGCACCAAGCTCACTGGTCTACACCCCTGGCAAGGAGACAGGGCACCTCGATGTTTACTTTCAGTACTAAATACACCGTCAGGGCTGGGTGTAGTGGCTCATGCCTGTAATCCCAGCACTTTGGGAGGCCGAGATAGGCAGATCACTTGAGGTTAGGAGTTTGAGACCAGCCTGGCCAACATGGTGAAACCCTGTCTCTACTAAAAACACAAAAAATTAGCTGTGTGTGGTGGCGCACACCTGTCATCCCAGCTCTTTGGAAGGCTGAGGCAGGAGAATCGCTTGAACCCAGGAGGCAGAGGTAGTAGTGAGCCAAGATCACACCGCTGTACTCTGGCCTGGGCAACAGAGCGAAACCCTGTCTCGAAAAAAAAAAAAATACACAGTTCGTCCTGTCTTCCTACCCTTGCCACATACTTCCCTTCTCCATTTTTGTCTGTTGCAGAACCCCTGTCCAGAGACTGGGGCAGCCTTCCCCTCCAAAGCCACGTTCTGGTGGGTTTCTGGGTAAGTAAAGTCGCACGGAAGGGTTGGGGTGGTGCCTCACCCGCCTGCATTTGCTGCTCTGATTCCCAGCCATGGCCCTTCCCCTGTGCTTACAAAGGCCAGCAAGTCTTTCTTCATCCCAGCCTCAGTGCTTTCTTCTTCGTGTTCAGTGTCTACCATCTGCATCCTGTTCCCATTCACTCACTGGAGTGAGATCTTGATTTGAATCCCGGCTCTGCCTGTTAGCAGGCCATGTCGCAAACCTCCGGAGTCTCAGTTTTCCCTCTGTAAAATGGGGATGACTCAACCTGCATGAGACGGAAAGTGCTTAGTGCTTGCACACAGCGGGTGCTTAATAGTAATTAGAATTGTCTCCAATACTTGATTTCAGTCATTCCACCAACATTTAATAGGCACCTACTATGTGCTAAGCCCCAGGGGTGAGGAGATAAAGGAGCAAGTGTCTACTTTCTAGAGGGTTCCAGGCAGATTGAGAAAACAGCTGCTTCTCCAGGGCCAGCTCACAAGGCACTTGAGGATGTGCTCTCTCCTAACCACACGGCATTCAGACCTCAGTAGCACCTGACATATGGATTTGAATCCTGGCCCTACCACTTCCTAGCTGTGTTGCTTTGGACAGTTACTTAACCTCTCTGTGCCTCAGTCTCCACTCCTTCAAAATGGGATTGATAGTAGCACTTAGCTCATAGGGTTGTGAAGCTTAAATAAGATGAGATCTGTAAAGCACTTAGAACAGGGCCTGGCAAATAATGAGTTTAAGTGGTAATTATTTTTTTTTCTTTTGAGATGGAGTTCCGTTCTTGTTGCCCAGGCTGGAGTACAATGGCACTATCTTGGCTCACTGCAACCTCCGCCTCCTGGGTTCAAGCGATTCTCCTGCCTCAGCCTCCCGAGTAGCTGAGATTACAGGCATGCACCACTATGCTCGGCTAATTTTGTATTTTTAGTAGAGACAGTGTTTCTCCATGTTGGTCAGGCTGATCTGAAACTCCCGACCTCAGGTGATCTGCCCGCCTCGGCTTCCCAAAGTGCTGGGATTACAGGTGTGACCCACTGTGCCTGGGCTATTCATTTTCTCTTTTTTTTTTTGAGACAGAGTTTCACTCTTGTTGCCCAGGCTGCAGTGCAATGGCACAATCTCAGCTCACTGCAACCTCCACCTCCCAGGTTCAAGCAATTCTCCTGCCTCAGCCTCCCGAGCAGCTGGGATTACAGGCGCCTGCCATCATGCCCAGCTAATTTTTGTAGTTTTTTGTAGAGACCGGGTTTCACCACGTTGGCCAAGCTGGTCTCAAACTCCTGACCTCAAGTGATCTACCCCACTCGACCTCCCAAAGTGCTGGGATTACAGGCATAAGCCACCGCACCCGGCCTAAATGGCTATTAAATAAATGAAAAATATCAGGCTTTGAATGTGTGGAACTGGTAGAAAGAGCTTAGAGGTTTTCGAAACAGCTCTACTGGGGGGTCCAGCCCCTGCTTCCCAAACTTAAGCATTTATGGACCACTCTTGATGCTTTTTTGTCCTACTGGGGCAAAAACTAAATTGAGTCACTTTTTTTACTCGAATAAACTGTTTTTAAAAAGAAACTCTCTATCACTGCTAAAATAGGAAAAATCTATAGCATCACTTGCCATATAGGAGAACTCCAAAAATAATTTCAGGGAAAATCAAGCCACGTTAATAATTTCTATGTCAGAACGGTTGCTTCCCCAAGTTGGCTCTGCATTAGAAAAGGGAACTTGGTGGCCTGGCGCAGTGGCTCACGCCTATAATCCCAACACCTTGGGAGGCTGAGGCAGGTGGATCACCTGAGGTCAGGATTTCGAGACCAGCCTGACCAACATGGTGAAACCCCATCTCTACTAAAAATATAAAAATTAGCCAGGTGTGGTGGTGGGAGCCTGCAATCCCAGTCACTCAGGAGGCTGAGGCAGGAGAATCACTTGAACCCAGGAGGTGGAGGTTGCGGTGAGCCGAGATCACACCAGTGCACTCCAGCCTGAGCAACAGAGTGAGATTCCATCTCAAAAAAATAAAAAGAATAAAAATAAAAAAGAAAAGGGAACTTGGTAAGGCTTAGAGAAGAGTCAGAGACCAGAACCAGGCAAGACCTTCTGGCTGGTGTCATCAGAAAGATTAAAGAGACCTGAGGCCAGGCACAGTGGCTCACACCCATAATCCCAACACTTTGGAAGGCCAACCCTGACAGATCACTTGAGGCCGGGAGTTCGAGACCAGCCTGGCCAACATGGCGAAATCCCATCTCTACTATAAACAAAAAAATTAGCCAGGTGTGGTGGCTTACGCCTGTAGTCCTAGCACTTTGGGAGGCTGAGGTGGGAGGATTGCTTGAGGCCAGTAGGTCGAGACCAGCCTGGCCAGCATGGTGATACACCATCCAAAAACACAAAAATTAGCCAGGTGTGATGGTGGCTTGTAATTTCAACTACTCAGAAGGCTGAGGCGTGAGAATCGCTTGAGCCAGGGAGGCGGAGGTTGCAGTGAGCCCAGATCACATCAGTGCACTCCAGCCTAGGCAACAGAGTGAGACTCCATCTCAAAAAAAATAATAATAATTAAAAAAAAAAAGCTGAGGGAGGAGTTCAAGCTTCTTCTACAATGATAGTTTTGGTCAACGGACTTCTGATTCCCAGGGAAATGTCTGTTTCCCTTGCCAAGGGCTATCCCTTGGTTTAGCCACTGAATCTCTCTGCACTTCTATTTCCTTCCCCATCTGTAAAATAGATCTATAATAATATACTCATACATTTATACAATTATAAACTATCAATTTACAGGCTGGGTGTGGTGGCTCATGCCTGTAATCCCAGCACTTTGGGAGGCTGAGGCAGGTGGATCACCTGAGGTCAGGAGTTCGAGACCAGTCTGGCCAACATGGTGAAACTCCATCTCTACAAAAAATACAAAAATTAGCCGGGTATGGTGGTGGGTGCCTGTAATCCCAGCTACTCAGGAGGCTGAGGTGGGAGAATCGCTTGAACCTGGGAGGTGGAGGTTGCAGTGAGCCGAGATTGCACCACTGCACTCCAGCCTGGGAGACAGAACAAGACTCCATCTCAAACAAACAATAATAACCTACCTTATGGGTTCATGTAAGAATTAATGAGACAATCTTTGTGAAACGAGAAATGCCCTGCAGACATTAGGTGGGGTTAGTGAATTGCTTTCTTTTTACCCAGGGGCCAGTAGAGGTACAGAGAGGTAAAGTGACTTACCCAGGGTCACACAGCTACTCGCCTGGCCAGGATCCTGCAGGGGTGAATGGCAGGAAAAGCTTTCCCTGGTGCCCCTCTTTTGCAGCCTGGTCTGGAGGGGATACAGGAGGCCACTGAGACCAAAAGACCTCTGGTCGCTTGGGAGAGAAAACTCCTCAGAAGAACTTGTTTCCCGGCTTGAAAAGGAGTGGATGAGGAACCGCAGTGCAGCCCGGAGGTAAGTGGGTGGAGGTCAAGAACTCACCTGATGCTACTTCAGAAAAGCTCATCATTGGCCGGGTGCGGTGGCTCACGACTGTAATCCCGGCATTTTGGGAGGCCGAGGCAGGCGGATCACAAGGTCAGGAGTTCAAGACCAATCTGGCCAACATAGTGAAACCCCATCTCTGCTAAAAATAGAAAAATTAGCTGGGCGTGGTGGTAGGCACCTATAATCCCAGCTACTCAGGAGGCTTGAGGCAGGAGAATCGTTTGAACCCAGGAGGCAGAGGTTGCAGTGAGTGGAGATGTCACCATTGCACTCCAGCCTGAGTGACAGGGCCAGACTCCGTATCAAAAAAAAAAACAAACAAACAAGACAAAAACAAAAACAAAAACAAAAAAACCTCATCATTTGACCCCCAGTCCAGCCCCCAACGCTACTCTGGCGGCACTGCCGCCTCCCCACCTTGCCTTCCAGCTGATCCCACTAAGTAGTATCAGGCTTAAGATATGGTTCCTCCCAGAACGCATCACAGGTTCCTACAAACGGGGAACAAACAGGTTCCTACAAATGGGGAAATGGCAGAATGACAGGCAGCAAACAGAAGAGGTATTTTAAGGCCGGGGTGGAGGGTTGGGAGGTGACTCAACACACAAGCAGCTGCTCACTTACTATATAACCTGAGCAATTCCTTTCCTGGGCCTCAGTTTTCTCATCTGTTCAGTGGGGATGTCATTAGCCCCAGCTCATAGCTTATGGGGATGAAAAAAAAGGATGATTTATGGAAAAGAACTTGCAAATGTCTTGCAAATGGGAAGTGCTCAAGCACTGTTAGTCATCCAGAGGGTGTTAAGATCTTTGGAGTTATCCACTCTGTCCACTCCTGCCCTCAGTGGCATCTCTGGAAACTTCTCTGCAGCCCTTAGAGCCTGGGATGCCTCATTTGAGAAACTCTGGTCTAGATAAATGAGCCTGCATAGGATTAGATAAAATTGGGTTAAATGCTGCCCTGCCTTCAAATAGTGATGACCTTGGACACGTTGCTTAACCTCACCGGATCTTGGTGTTTTAGGAGACAGAACAAAAAAGGAAGTTAGCTCTGTGGGAAGTTCCCTGCATACTCCGGGATTTTGTGGTAGTTGTTGCAGATGGCTGAATCCCACACATTAAGAGAGACAGAGGAGACAGAGACTGATACTATAGGCTCACACAGCTAAGAGGATCTAGCCTCAGGTGTTGCTGGATCAGGGGACTCAAATGATGTCAGGATTCTCTCCTTTCATCTCCCATCCCAACTATTATCTATGTGTTGGTCTCTCCATAAGGCCTATCCCTTCCCATGCAAGTTCAGCAAACTCCAGCAGAATAAGAGAGCATCTCTCTCCTAACGTCCATATAGTAAATCCCAAGGAAGGCCTCTAATTGGCCTGGCTCAAGTCATGTGCCTGTCAGGGGCCAATCCCATGCCCAGGGGGCTGGTGCCATGACTGGTGGTCCCTTCAGAGCCACAGAAGTGGGTAGGGGCTGTTCCCACAAAGGAAGGGCATGTGTTTTTCCAAACAGAATAAGTAGTGTGAGAGAACCAAAACATCAGTTCTCTCTCACCCCAGGCATGGCTTGCTGGACCCCCTTCACTGGGTTGTGGTATGATCTCAGCTCACTGCAACCTCCACCTCCTGGGTTCAAGCAATTCTCCTGCCTCAGCCTTCTGAGTAGCTGGGACCACAGGCGTGTGCCACCACATCTAGCTGATTTTTAAATTTTTTTTAGTAGAGACAGGGTCTCACCATGTTGGCCAGGGTGATCTTGAACTCCTGACCTCAGGGGATCTGCCTGCCTTGGCCTCTCAAGGTGCTGGGATTACAGATGTGAGCTACTGCACCTGACTCACCCTCTACTTTTGAATGATTTTACGGAAGTGGCAGAATCCAGTCCACAGGGGCTCTGGAAGGAGCCTCTGCCAACTCCTGGCATCCCCAGCCAACATGAAAATTACAGGTCACCCAACACTAGAACTAAAGGGTAGAAACATTCTCCAGAACAGTTTGAGAATCCTCCCATAAACAGTTGACAGAAAGAAAGGGGAAAGATGGGGTTATACAAAGACCAGGCTCCGTCAGCTTCTGAAACAACCGACTGCACCCACAGAGAACTTTGGTTTTCTTTCTGAAGTATTTTGCAACCACTGGGGGAAGGGAGAGGGCGTCCTCCTGAGAGGCCACACAACAGCCACCTGCTGGTCCAGTCGGCTTCACTAATTTTTGTATTTTTTATTAGAGGCGGGGTTTCTCCATGTTGCTCAGGCTATCAGACTGGCCCTGAACTCCTGACCTCAGGTGATTCGCCCGCATTGGCCTCCCAAAGTGCTGGGATTACAGGTGTGAGCCACCGTGCCCGGCCTCCACCACTCCCTTTTGTATCCCCCAACTCACACCTTGCCCATGCCACTCATGCATACCCCCTGCCTTGCCCCACCATCATTTGTGAGATCTGCACTAAATGGCCTTCAGTCCAGAGACCAGACGTCAGACAGCAATCTGGACATCTTCCTTGATGGGAGGTGAGACCTGCAGGAGAGGAAAACACTTGCTATGGAGCCTGCAGGCTGAACACACTGACTCTCTGGGTTAAACAGCTCAAATAGAACTGAGCAGAACCTCAGCCAGAAAGAAAACTTTCCAGTGAACTCTTCCCCGACCCCATTTTGCAGATGGAAACACTAAGGCTCAGAGGAGAGGAGACAGAGCAGGCATTGGAACCACAGTCTCCTGGCTCCAAAGCCAAGTTCTGTCCACCCAGCCAAGCTCCTTCCTTCCTTCTATAAATTTTTATAACAGTATGTGCAGGGGGCACTCTTATTAGGCCCTTTGCACACATCACTCAATCTGTTTTTCCCATTCATTTGACAAGTGTTTATTGAGCTCCTACTGTGTGCAGGAGCTGGACTCTATACTAGGGACATCTTGGTGGAAAACACAGGCAAAGTCTACCCACCTGGGGTTCTAACGAGACAAAGAGAGGGTTGGAGCCATGGACATGGCTGTGAAGGCAATGAATTAAATGGCAGGATCAAACAGGAAAGGGTGGGCAGGGATGCTCTCTGTATGGAAGGGGCATCTTCTTGGCTTTGAGATCCAAATGCCAAAATATTTGTGAGCAGCAGGCCACACCCACTCAGTAACAGAGCTGAACCACAACCCTCCATAGATGCCAAACCAAACACCAGATCAGACCAATAATGTGGGACAGAGACCTTGGCCTTGAAGGGTCTGGCCACCTGAGCTCACCAGAGGTTTTTCTTATGCTTCTTTTTTTATTATTATTTTATTATGGTGAGGTTGGGGGTCCTTAGTGCACAAGAAACCCTTTACAAACCATAAATCAAGATCTAGGCTCAAATCCCTGCTCTGCCCTTGCTGTGTGACCTCGGGCGGCTGTCGCCATCTCTCAGAGCCTCAGCTTCCCCTTCTGTAAAATGGAAAACCTAATAATGCTCACCTGGCAAGGGGATCCAGGGGAGTCAGTGAGCTCCTTCGTGTAAAGAGCTGATCCCAGCACGTGGCCCCGGGTCACAGATCTGTAATGGGGATTGAAATTACTGATAAGTGGCCGGGCATGGTGGCTCACACCTGTAATCCCAGCACTTTGGGAGGCCGAGGCAGGTGGATCACCTGAGGTCAGGAGTTTAAGACCAGCCTGGCTAACGTTGTGAAACCCTGTCTCTACCAAAAATACAAAAATTAGCCAGGCATGGTGGTGTGTGCCTGTAATCCCAGCTACTTGGGAGGCTGAGGCAGGAGAATTGCTTGAACCCAGGAGGCAGAGGTTGCGGTGAGCCGAGATTGCTACACTGCACTCCAGCCTGGGCGACAAGAGCGAAACTCTGTCTCAAAAAAAAAAAAAAAGAAAAGAAAAAGAAAAAGAAATTACTGATAACCTTATAGGTTGTCAGAGCCACAGGGGACTCAGCAGGGGACCACACCCATCCTCTCACACACAGAGAGAGGAGCAGTGTCCCCGCCCAGGACCACACAGCAACCGGACTGTCAGCAGCTGCATCGCCCCAGCCTCTCCTTTCTGGCCCAGGGCTTCTGACCTGCCTCACAGGGGCCCTCGGGCCTCCCCCATCTCCTCCTCTCCCTCCCTCACCTTAGCTCTTCTCTGTGGCCCCTGGTTATAGCCAAAGGCTGGGGATCTTATTAGTTTGAGGCAGCCTGAGCTTCTGTCTGCACTTTCACCCAGAGCTAGAGCACCAGGCCCCATGCCCATCAGCCGTGATTCTCCACCAGTTCAAAACCACCTAAGGGCTGGCTGATTGTGTGTGTTGGGGACGGGGTGCTGTTCTTCCTCCAGGTTGACAACACGATAGGTTGAAAAGTACATGAGAGGCCAGGTGTGGTGGCTCACATCTGTAATCCCAGCACTTTGGGAGGCCAAGGCGAGCAGATCACCTCAGGTCAGGAGTTCAAAACCAACCTGGCCAACATGGCATAACCCCTTCTCTACTGAAAATACAAAAATTAGCTGGGTATGGTGGCACTTGCCTGTAATCCCAGCTACTCGAGAGGCTGAGGTGGGACAATCACTTGAACTGGGAAGTGGAGGTTGCCGTGAGCTGAGATCACACCACTGCACTCCAGCCTGGGCGACAGAGCAAGACTTCGTCTCAAAAAAAAAAAAAGGAAAAGAAAAAAGAAAAGTGCATGGGCTCTGGAGGCAGAGAGCTGGAATCAAATTCCAGTTCTTTTACTTCTCAGCTGTGTGCCCTTGGGCAAGTTCGCTTCTCTGAGCCCCAGTTTTCTCATCTGTGAAATGGGAACAACACCTGGCTTCTCAGGGGGTCTTAGGATGACTGGGGAGTGCCTGGCACATAGTAGGTGCTCAACAGGTGTGCTTTCCCATGGCCATCTAAGAGGCCTCAGAGTGCCCTCCTGCCCTGCCCCCCAACTCCCATGATTGCCTCTTAAGTGGGTACTCAGGGTGATAAGGAGGAACAGGTGAGGGAGCCAGGCTAGATCCACACCCACCCATCTCCACTGTTGGGAAAACAACCCTTTAATGCCTGGCCCTGCCGCTGGCGGCTGAGAGTATAAAATGGGACCCAGAGCTAATCTCTCCCTTCCCCTCAGGCACAACAAGGCAATAGCATTTAAAAGGAAAGGCGGCAGTGGCATGAAGGCTCCAGAGACCGAGCCCTTCCTACGGCAAGAAGGGAGCCAGTGGCGCCCACTGCTGAAGGCCATCTGGCAGGTGTTCCATTCTACCTTCCTCCTGGGGACCCTCAGCCTCATCATCAGTGATGTCTTCAGGTTCACTGTCCCCAAGCTGCTCAGGTGAGTCCCAGACCTCAAGTGCCCTGCTAAGGTGGGTGGTCTCTTAGTGGCATCCTTCCAGGGCCAGGGGGCTTCAGCTCTCCTGCCTCTGCCTATACGTCTGGTGCTCGGGACACTGGATGGTGGGTGAGAAGGACACTGAGGAAGGGAAATGGATTAATGAGAAAGTGACTGACCCCCAGAAGGGCAAATAAGCAAGCTCTTACCTGACTGCATCAATTAGTTTTTGCTGTAAAATGCCCCAAAAGTGAGTGGCTTAAAATGACAAACATTCTTTTATTTAGTTCATGGTAATGTGGGTCAGTAATGTGGGCTGGGCTCAGCTGGGTGGTGGTTCTTTTCTTGGCTGGGTTTTCTCATGTGCCTGCAGTTGTGTATCTGAGACTGGGATGGCTGTCTCTGCTCCATGTGGGTCCCCATCCTCCAAAAGGCTAGCTCAGACTTGTTCATGTGGGTGCTTGGGAGGGTTCTAAGAAATAGACCAAAAACCACATTTTCTCTTGAGGCCTAGGCTCAGAGCCAGCATGGCTTTACCTCCACTGTACTCTGTTGGCCAAAGCCGGTTTTGTAGCCAGCCCAGATTCAAGTGGTGTCTGCTCAGCTGACATAACAAAGCATCACAGACTGAGACTGAGTGGCTTGAACAACAGAAATGTATTTTATCATGATTCTCAAAGCTGGAAGTTCGAGATTAGTATCTGCAAGGTGGTTCCATCTGAGGCCTCTGTCCTTGGCTTGCAGTTGGCCACCTCCTCCCTGTGTCCCCATATGGTCTTTCCTCTGTTTGCGCCCCCTGGTGTCTCCTTGTGTGTCTACATTTCCTCTTCTTAAAAGGACCCCATCAGATTGGATTAGGGCCCAGCCTAATGACCTCATTTTTAACTTCATTGCCTCTTTAAAGGCCCTATTTCCAAATACAGTCACATTCAGAGGTACTGGGGGTCGGGGCTTCAACATATAAACTTTGTGAGGACACAATTTAGCCTATAACAAGTGGGAACAAAAACTCCACCTCTTGATCTTGAGGAGCTGCAGTCAGATTGAAAAGGAGTATGGACAGTGGGGGAAATAACGGAGACCATTATTGCAAAAAAAACCACACTGACTGATCCTCCACACCTGGACTAGTTTGGGCCGACTGATCCTCCACATCTGGACTGGTTTGGGCAAAGGCAACACCCTTAGGCACCTCCTCTCACCAGCTGTACCTTCTCCCTCCTTCCCCTGCAAGCCTTTTCCTGGAGTTTATTGGTGATCCCAAGCCTCCAGCCTGGAAGGGCTACCTCCTCGCCGTGCTGATGTTCCTCTCAGCCTGCCTGCAAACGCTGTTTGAGCAGCAGAACATGTACAGGCTCAAGGTGCTGCAGATGAGGTTGCGGTCGGCCATCACTGGCCTGGTGTACAGAAAGGTGAGCCCTGGGGGACAAGGGCAGGTCTTCCCAGCCAGGAAAAGCAGTATCACTGAGCGGGCAGTAATGTTATCAGCAGCTGAGAACGCATTCAGTCCTTGCTTATTAGAGTCACTCACCATACATTCTCACTTCCTTAGTTATTTCTCTGTATTATATGTATTTATTTTTTTGAGATGGAGTCTTGCTCTGTCACCCAGGCTGGAGTGCAGTGGTGCAATCTCGGCTCACTGCAACCTCCGCCTCCCGGGTTCAAGTGATTCTCCTGCCTCAGCCTCCTGAGTAACTGGGACTATAGACACGTGTCACCACGCCCAGCTAATTTTTATATTTTTGGTAGAGACAAGGTTTTGCCATGTTGGTCAGGCTGGTCTCGAACTCCTAGCCTCAAGTGATCTGTCTCAGCTCCTTAGTTATTCCTGTAAGGTCTTGTGTGATCTGTCCCTAGGGTGTCTCTGACCTCATCCCGTCACCTCCTCCCATGCTCACTCTCCTCCAGCCACACAGGTCTCCTTTCAGTTCCTCAAACACTCCAGGCCCCCACCCACCCTGGGGCCTTTGCAGCTGTTCTCACTGTCTAGGCACCACTTCTACTCCCCCAATCTAATTTTAATTTTTGAGCCTGATTTTAACTTCCACTCATTCCCCCTTGAGGATAAAGGATTAACCTTCTGATAAGGTGGCCTGTCAGCTGTGTTCCCAGACAATACTGCTTGGGGTAAAAATGACCCCTAGGCTGGGCACAGTGGTGCACGCCTGTAATTCCAGCAATTTGGGAGGCTGAGACAGGCGGATCACTTGAGGTCAGGAGTTCAAGACCAGCCTGGCCAACATGGCGAAACCCCATCTCTACTAAAAATACAAAAATTAGCCAGGCATGGTGGCATGTGCCTGTAATTCCAGCTACTTGGGAAGCTGACACAGGAGAATCGCTTGAACCCGGGAGGTGGAGGTTGCAGTGAACTGAGATCACGCCACTACAGCGCAGCCTGGGTAAGAGAGCGAGACCTCGTCTCAGAACAAAAAAAAAACAAAACAAAAAAACCCAAATTGCATCTGGGCTGGAAGTTCTGTCCATTGACTGTGAATACCTGGTTGGAGGCCATAGCTTTAGACTTCTCTCTGTGCAGTGGCTCTTGTCCGTTCCTGGGACTCTGGAAGCTAAGTCCCTGGACTGCTGCCCCAAGAGCTATTGGCTCCTGTGGGGTATGGAGCATCTGAGCCAGGGCAGGTCCCGTCCCATGTAAGTGTCATTCCCTGACACCTGAGCTGTCACCTAGGGGAGGAGGGGACAGAGGGGACAGCTCCTAGGTGGCCGAGAGGGCAGCTCTTGATGCTTTCCTGCCAGAGTGCTGCATCCCAGGCTCCTGTTCCCCTGAGCATGCCAGAGCTAGGTGTGCCCTATCCTGTCTTGAGAGTCCACATTTCCTTGAGCCTAAGAGGAAGGCCGCCTGGTGAGCAGGCATTGATCTTCCTATTCCCCACCCACACGCCAGGAGGCCTTCTTTGATCTCCTGATGAGATCAGATCCCTCCTCTCTAACCTCTGGGCTTTTTTTTTTTTTTTTTTTTCTGACAGAGTTTCGCTCTTGTTGCCCAGGCTGGAGTGCAGTGGCACAGTCCCGGCTCACTACAACCTCCGCCCCCTGGGTTCAAGTGATTCTCCTGTCTCAGCTTCCTGAGTAGCTGGGATTACAGGTGTGCGCCACCATGCCCGGCTAATTTTGTATTTTTAGTAGACAGGGTTTTACCATGTTGGCCAAGCTGGTATCGAACTCCTGACCTCAGGTGATCCACCCACCTCAGCCTCCCAAAGTGCTGGGATTACAGACATGAGCCAACGCGCTCAGCCTGGGCTACTTTTTTATGTTACTCATCATAACTGCCATTAAAGCATGAGTTTTAGAAATATTTTTGTTTTGTCTTATTTTTTTGAGACAGAGTCTCACTCTGTCACCCAGGCTGTAGTGCAGCGGTGCAATCTTGGCTCACTGCAACCTCTGCCTCCTGGGTTCAAGCAATTGTCCTGCCTCACCCTCCCAAATAGCTGGGATTACAGGTGCCCACCAGCATGCCCAGTTAATTTTTGTATTTTTACTAGAGATGGGGTTTTGCCATATTGGCCAGGCTGATCTCGAACTCCCGGCCTCAAGCAATCCACCCGCCTCAGCCTCCCAAAGTGCTGGGATTACAGGTGTGAGCCACTGTGCCCGGCCAGTTATATAAATCTTTATTATAGAGCCTTGTTCCCCACCTCAAACTCCAGGCCCGGGAGAGCAAGCCTCATCTCTGTTGTTCACAGCTGTATTTTCAGTTCCCAGCTCAGTGTGAGTCACACAGTGAGCACTCTTCAAAGACTTGCTAAGTGGAGAATTTCTATGTCCAGTCATTCCTGGATCACTTCTTCACACCCTCACGCAGTCACAAAGGGAGGGCTGCATTTGGAATTTAGCATTCAACAGGCTGGAAGAGGTCCACTGTGACCCCAGGGTTAAGGCAGATGTGAGGCTGCCAGAGAACCAGGTTGGTGTCACAGAAGCACATGAAAGGTCTCACCCTTGTCATGCCTTCGTCACCCTGGATTCCATTCCTTGTGTAGGAGCTTACAAGGCCTGTGACTTTGGGCAAGTTGCTCAACTTCTCTCTGCCTCAGTTTCTTTAGCCATAGAATGGGGTTAGTAAATGTTCATTTCATTGATTCTCGTCTCACATTTTTTTTTCACTCTAATACTTCCAAAATCGAGATGTCTCTTACATGTCTTAATTTAACTGGAAGTGGTATTTTCCTTGGTGAGAGAATAATAGAGAGCAATTTATCCATAGAATTTTTTTTAAAGACAGGGTCTTGCTCTGTTGCCCAGGCTAGAGTGCAGTGGCACCAACATGGCTCACTGCAGCCTCAACCTCCTGTACTCAATTAATCCTCCCACCTCAGCCTCCCCAGTAGCTAGCTAGGACCACAGGCGCACCACAACCATGCCTGGCTAATTTTTTCTTTTTTCCCCCCCGAAATGGATTTTGCTCTTGTTGCCCAGACTGGAATGCAATGGCTTGATCTGGGCTCACTGCAACCTCTGCCTCCTGGGTTTAAGCGATTCTCTTGCCTCAGCCTCCCAAGTAGCTGGGATTACAGGTGCCTGCCACCATGCCCAGCTAATTTTTGTATTTTTGGTAGAGACAGGGTTTCACCATGTTGGCCAGGCTGGTCTCCACCTCCTGACCTCAGGTGATCTGTCCACCTCGGCCTCCCAAAGTGCTGGGATTATAGACGTGAGGCACCGCACCCGGCCCCCTGGCTAATTTTTTAAAGTATTTTGTAGAGCTTGGGTCTTACTATGTCGCGCGGGCTGGTTTCGAACTCCTGGGATCAAGCAATCCTCCCACCTCAGCCTCCCAGAGTGGCGGGATTACAGGCAGAGGCCACTGCACCTGGCCTGGCATTAGAGGGAATGAATATGGTAGTGCCTGCTTGGTACCATTCATGGCTGTGAGCACCCCGGGAAAGGATAAGGCTGTTCATTTAGCACAGTGCCTGCGACATGGTGAGCACTGGGCAGATGACCACCGTTATCTGTGTTAATCTGGTGTTTTCGTGCATGTTATTCATTATTATGCCTCCCGTGCTTTAGGGATCTTGGAGGATTTTCATTTTTGTCATCTCTGTGGATCCTCAAAGAGCCCTGAGAGGTTGGCCTAAGAGACTTTACTCACCCACCTCGCAGACGTGTGAGGTGGGGCTCAGTGGGTGGAGAAGCCACCTGGGGCATCCCTCTGCCCCGGCCTCCCCACTTTACTTCTCTCCTTCTGCCCACCCGCCAGGTCCTGGCTCTGTCCAGCGGCTCCAGAAAGGCCAGTGCGGTGGGTGATGTGGTCAATCTGGTGTCCGTGGACGTGCAGCGGCTGACCGAGAGCGTCCTCTACCTCAACGGGCTGTGGCTGCCTCTCGTCTGGATCGTGGTCTGCTTCGTCTATCTCTGGCAGGTATGCCAGAGGAGGAAGACGGGATTTGAACGGAGTCCCCCACCCCCTCCTTCTCCCCCTCCTCCTTCCCCCTCCCACCCTTCCTCCTCCTGACTTAGCATTCAAGAGGCTGGAAGAGGTCCGCTGTGACCCCAGGGTTAGGGCAAGTCTGAGGCTGTGGGAGAACCAGGTTGGTGTCAGAGAGGCACATGAAAGGTTTTACCCTTGTTCTGCCTTCATCACCCTGGATTCCATTCCTGGTGTAGAAGCTCATAAGGCTTCCTCCCCTCTCCCTCTGCCCCAGCCTCCTCCTCCTGCCCCCCTCCTCTTGCACCCCTCCCTGCACCCTCCCTCCTCCTGCATCTCTCCCACCTTCTGCCCACGCACCCCCTCCTCTTCCTGCACCCCTTCCTTTTCCTCCTTCCCCCTCCTCCTCCTCTTCCTCTCTCCTGCTCCACCTTCTTCTTCCTTTCTGCTCCCTGTCATCTTCCCTCCCACTTCTTCCCTTCTCCCTTCTTCTCCTCTACCGTCCTCCCTCTCTTCCCTCTGCTCTTCCCTCTCCTTCTCTTCCCTTTCTTCTTCCTCTCCTCCTTTTTCTCCTCCCCTTCCACCCCCATCTCCTCCTTCTCCTCCTCCTCCAATCCTGTCTCAATTTGCCTACTATTGTCTGATACGATGGGAAAAGTCCTCAATAAGGATGACCTTCACTTGACCTTGGGCAGGAAGTTCACCCTCTCTGGGCCTCAGTTTCCTCTGTAGAAAGATGATGATGATGACGTTGATACTTCCCCATGTGCTATTAGGGTACCCAGTAGGCAAGTTAACCATGTTTTGAAGTTACCAGTAACCCTGAGGCACCACCATAGCCACTGTCCACAAAACACAAGAGGAGAACATTTTAGGGGGAAAAATTGCTACTTAGTGTTCAAAAAACACAAAGTAGCCATCAGGAAACAACCAAACAAAACAAACAAAACATTTACTTTCCAACTTCATTCCTTTAACGTTGTGGTATAGGATTTTCTTTTTTTAAATTAAAATCAGACTCTGGGCCAGGCACAGTGGCTCATGCCTATAATCTCAGCAATTTGGGGGGTGAGGTAGGTGGATCACTTGAGGCCAGGAGTTCCAGACCAGCCTGGCCAACCCCGTCTCTACTGAAAGATACAAAAATTAGCCGGGCATAGTGGTGGGTGCCTATAACCCCATCCACTCAGGAGGCTGAGGCAGGAGAATCGCTTGAGCCTTGGAGGTGGAAGTTGCAGTGAGCTGAGATAATGCCACTGCACTCCAGCCTGGGTGACAGAGTGAGACTCTGTCTCCAACAAATAAATAAAAGTAAAAATAAAATTAGACTCTGTATCGGGAACTGCCTAGGCTCAAATCCTCCTTCTGACCACTTATCAGTTGTGAATCTGTGTGCAAGGACCCTACTCTCTCTGTGCCTCCTGTTCTTGTCTCCAACGTGAGGATCATAATTAACAGTAGCACTCCTGCCCCAGAGGGGCTGAGGCATTAAACGAGCCCATATGTAGAAAGCACTTAAAAGGGTGCCGGGCACACAACTGCACCCTGTAGGTATTTGTAATATTATCATTAGTTACTTTTCCATAAAGGATAAGACAGTAGATGCTTTTTACACTGGAGGCCACACCATCTCTCCTGCAAATATTCATCTCTGCCCTTGGAGTGCAGAAGTGGCTGTAGACCATACTAAGCAAACAGGCATGGTATTCCTCCAATAAAACTCTATTTATGGATGCTGACATTTGAAGTGCATATCATTTTCATATGTCGTGAAATAGTATCCTTTTGATTTTTTTTTTTTTTTTGAGACAGAGTCTCACTGTGTTGCCCAGGCTTTGGTGCAATGGCACAACTTCGGCTCACTGCAACCTCCACCTCCCAGGTTCAAGCAATTATCCAGCCTCAGCCTCCTGAGTAGCTGGGATTACAGGCGTGCACCACAACATCTGGCTAATTTTTGTATTTTTAGTAGAAACTGGGTTTCACCATGTTGGCTGGGCTGGTCCTGAACTCCTGACCTCAGGTGATCTGCCCACCTCAGCCTCCCAAAGTGCTGGGATTACGGGCATGAGCCACTGTGCCTGGCCTTGTAAAAACTGTTAATGGCATTTTGATTGTAATTGCTGAATATTCCAAAAAAAACTCGAATGCTCATGCATATGATTGTTTTTGCTAAGGCTAGGGGCCAGGACTTTTTCCAGTGTCTTCACCTTGTATTCCAGGGCCTTGCAAACAATAGGCAGGTGCTTAGCAATTACAACATAAGGCACTCAGACAGGGCTTCATGTGCAGTACATAAATGTCATCATTAGGAAGAAAGAGAGGGAGAGAGGAAGAACATGGGAAAATTCAGGGCAATTGATCAGGTTGACCCCACCGTTGCTAAAAATCAGATGAGACCAGGCGGGGCACGGTGGCTCACGCCTGTAATCCCAGCACTTTGGGAGGTGAAGGCCGGCAGAACACTTGAGGTCAGGAGTTCAAGACCAGCCTGGCCAACATGGCAAAACCCTGTCTCTACTGAAAATATAAAAATTAGCCGGGCATGGTGGCATGTGCCTGTAATCCCAGCTACTAGAGAGGCTGAGGCAGGAGAATCACTTGAACCCGGGAGGTGGAGGTTGCAGTGAGCTGAGATCACATCACTGCACTGCAGCCTGGACGACAGAGTGAGACTCCTTCTAAAAAAAAAAAAAAAAAAAAAAAAAAAATTAGATGAGACCAACAAGATATCCATAGATAATGCACCATGTTACTTTGCTTGTGTACTTTTCCTGCCTCTTGGTAGACAGTTCCTAACATCACCGTGAGGTCTTGGTGAAGGAGGAGTGGACACTGAGGTTGCTACAGTTTAATGATACCATTTTTCCCCCAGACAGAGATGTTCATCTTCTGCTCACATTCCTTGAGTGTTTTTCCAAGCCCTGCTGTGGGCTGGTGTTTACCCTCTGCGCCCTTCTCCATTGAGCCACTAGGTAGCGCCATTGCCGCATAAATGAAACAAACTGGCCCAATGTTAGAAAATAGTGTTCCCAGGCCAGGTGGGGTGGCTCAAACCTGTAATATCAGCACTTTGGGAGGCTGAGGTGGGTGGATCACTTGAGGCCAGGAGTTCGAGACCAGCCTGGGCAACGTGGTGAAACCCCATCTCTACTAAAAATACAAAAATTAGCCGAGTGACACATGCCTGTAATCCCAGCTACTCAGGAGGCTGAGACAGGAGAATCGCTTGGGAAGCAGAGGTTGCAGTGAGCCAAGATCATGAGACTGCACTCCAGCCTGGGTCACAGAACAAGAATCCATCTCAAAATAAACAAACAAATAAATAAATAAATAAACATAGTGTTCCTAAGGACTGAGACGGGAAACTGAGGCACACAGACTGGAGTTGGGGTGGGGCTTGTCAAGAGAATGGGTCCAAATAACCTGTGCAGAAATCTCAGAAAGTCACAGCAACTTAAAAATCATTTATTCTACCCCCCACTTCCACATTTTCCAGATATAGAAACCAAAGCCGAGAGGGGGAAGATAACCATCCCAAAATCACCACGTTGGTGGGGGAGCAGGGTTGCCAGAGAAAACACAGGACATTCAGTGAAGTGTGAGTTTCAGACAAACGGAAGAATTTCTCAGTGTATGTCCCAAATATTTCACGAGACTTAGACTAAAACCTTATTCACTCTTTATCTTCAAATGTAACTGGGCATTCTGTATGATGATTTACTAAATCTGACAACCCTTGCGAGGGATGAAATGAAGATTAGGAAAATAATTAAACGCAATAAGAGAAAATGCCAAATGAGAACAACTCTATTCCCATTTTGCAGACAAGAGAATTGCACCTAAGGGAGATGACTTGCCCCAAGGCCACACTCAAAACTCTCAGGGTCAGGATTTGAACCAGGTCCCCTGATTCCATAGGTCTCAACTTTACTGTTGTGGCTGGGAACACCCCCCAGTCCCACTCGTGTGTGTGCACAATCTGTCTTGAATATAACTCTCTCCCTATCGTGTAAGAGGGCTGTTTCCCTCCCTGACATTGAAGGACCCCACCTTCAGCAGGCATCTCCTGACACAGCAGACCCCATGAGCACAGATCCCTGGGACCTGGTGGCTGCCCTTATCAGATTCCCTGACATCCCCATCTTAGGACCCAAGTCTGACCACCTTCGGGGTCTGCAGCTGTGTTACAGAAAAGGGGTCCTGATCCAGATCCCAAAAGAGGGTTCTTGGATCTCGTGCAAGAAAGAATTCAGGGCGAGTCCATAAAGTGAAAGCAAGTGTTTGTTTGTTTGTTTTTTGAGACGGAGTCTCACTCTGCCACCCAGGCTGGAGTGCAGTGGTGCGATCGTGGCTCACTGTAAGCTCCGCCTCCTGGGTTCAAGCTATTCTCCTGCCTCAGCCTCTCGAGTAGCTGGGATCACAGGTGCCCACCACCACACCTGGCTAGTTTTTATATTTTTAGTAGAGACTGTGTTTCACTATGTTGGCCAGGCTGGTCTCAAACTCCTGACCTCAGGTGATCTGCCCGCCTCCGGCCTCCCAAAGTGCTGGTATTACAGGCATGATCCACCGTGCCCGGCCAAAAGCAAGTTTTTTAGTAAAGTAAAGATCTAAAAGAATGGCTACTCCATAGAGAGAGCAACCCAGAGGGCTGCTGGTTGCCCATTTTTATGGTTATTTCTTGATGATATGCTAAACAAGGGGTGGATTATTCATGCCTTTCCTTCTTAGACCATATAGGGTAACTTCCTGATGTTGCCATGGCATTTGTAAACTGTCATGGCGCTGGTGGAGTGTAGCAGTGAGGATGACGGGAGGTCACTCTCGTAGCCATCTTGGTTTTGGTGGGATTTGGCCGCCTTCTTTACTGCAACCTGTTTTATCAGGAAGGTCTTTGTGACCTGTATCTTGTGCCGACCTCCTATCTCATCCTGTGACTTACAATACCCTAACCGTCTGGGAATGCAGCCCAGTAGGTCTCAGCCTCATTTTACCCAGTCCCTATTCAAGATGGAGTTGCTCTGGTTCACGTGCCTCTGAGAGCTGGGCTCCTCGGGATCTCCTGACATCCTGCCCCTTCTATCCCCAGCTCCTGGGGCCCTCCGCCCTCACTGCCATCGCTGTCTTCCTGAGCCTCCTCCCTCTGAATTTCTTCATCTCCAAGAAAAGGAACCACCATCAGGTTTGGCTTTTGGGAAAGGGACGGACCAGGCAGGAAGTAGGGAGGAAGCCACAGGTCCTGGTGTGGGAGATGCGGAGGGGAGAGCTGAGTGCGAGCCCACGGGTCTGGCTTTGTTCTTGTCGTCTGTGAGCTGCCCATCACTCAGACCTGCACCCCCTCCCCCTATCCTCTCAATGGACAGTGGCTCCGTCCCTCCAATGTTCAGGCCACAGGCCCTGGGTCAGTTCAATGCCTTTTTCTCTCACATCCCATCTGTCAGCAGATTTGCTTGGCATCACCTTCAAAATGCATCCAAAATGTCACACTTCCCAGCATAGGCTCTCCGAACCCCATGATCTCTAACCCAGGTCACAGCAGCAAGCCCCTGGCTCACTCCCCGCCTCTGCCCTCAGCCTCTCTCCACTCCCAGCCAGAGGAGACCTATGCAAACCAAATACGTTGTACCCCTCCTCTACTCAGACCCACAGCGGCCCCATTTTCCTCAGACTGAGCCAAAGACCCCACAGTGGCCCACCAGGCCCGCCCTGAGCTGGCCTTATTGCTTCCAACCTCACCTTCTACCCATCTCCCCTCCTTCCCTGCCTTTCCCCACACATCTCCCATCCTCAAACCTGCCCGATCTCACACATCCCTGCAGGCCTTCGCTTTAGCTGTTCCCTCCACCTGGATCACCCTCACTCCCGAAGATCCTCTGTCACCTCCCTGCAGTCAGGGCGGCTTCCCTCACCACCCTCCAGCAAGGAAATGGCACGTCCATCCCTCCCCTCCCAGCAGCAGCCTCTCCTTTGCCTGCCCTGGGATTGTTTTTGCTTTTTTCCCCCCACAGCACTTCCCACAACCTACAGGGTCCTACAGGAAGCACCCGGCAGGGTTGATTGCCTTGTTTTCCTTAACTGGAAGCTTTGCAACAGCACAGGCCACTGATTGTGGCCAACTCGGCATCTAGTTAGTGCTTGGCAGGCAGAAGGTTCTCAGTAAGTGTTTGTGAACTATGGAAGAAAGGAGGGAGGGAAGAAGGAAAGGAGGAGAGGAAGGAGGGAGGGGAAGGAGAGAAAAGGAGGGAGGGAAGGAAAGATAGGAAAGGGGAGGAAGGACAGAGGGAAGGAGGGAAGGAAAGAATTGAGGGCGGAAGAGAAGGAATGAGGGAGAGAAGGAAGAAAGGGGGGAGGGAGGGAAGGAAATAAAAGGAAAGAGGGAAGAAAGCAAAGGAAAGAGGAAGAAAGGAGATAGGGAAGGAAGGAAAGAAAAGGCGGGAAAGAGAGAGGGAGAGATGGGGGATGGAGGGAAGGAACTTATTTCCTCTCTTGGCCCAGCTGTCCCAGTGTCCGTCTGTCACCTGGGCTGTTTCTTCAGCCTCCTGCGTGGACTCCTCTAAAACATTCTAGGCTGGGCACAGTGGCTGACACCTGTAATCCCAGCACTTTGGGAGGCCACACCTGTAATCCCAGCACTTTGGGAGGCCGAGGCAGGCAGATCACCTGAGGTCAGGAGTTCAAAACCAGCCTGGCCAACATGGCATAACCCTGCCTCCACAAAAAATACAAAATTTAGCCGGGCGTGGTGGCGGGCGCCTGTAATCCCAGCTACTCGGGAAGCTCAGGCAGGAGAATCGCTTGAACCCAGGAGGCGGAGGTTACAGTGAGCCGAGACCACACCACTGCACTCCAGCCTGGGCGACAGAGGAAGACTCGGTCTCAAAAAGTAAAACCTTCTCCAGGCAGCTGCCCCTCTGATGATGCCCCCCGCCCCATGGTGAAGCACAGGAGACCCTGAATTCTTCTGCCTGACTTTAAAGTGCCAAGTGACCCTGCCCACACGCTCCTCTGGTCACACTGAGTGTCCTCTGAGTCATGCTATTCCCTGTGCCTGGGTTTTAGGTGCCCCCGCCACCCCCCTACCCCCCAGCCCCCACCCCCCACCCCCATCTCAAGCCCCTCCCCTCCCTCTTCTCCAGCTCCATCCCCCCATCCTCTGCCTGCTCAGCACGCACTTCCTGGTCATTTAAGATTTAGCTCAGGCTGTAATCCCAGCATTTTAGGAGGCTGAGGGCAGAGGATCACTTGAGCCCAGGAGCTCGAGGCCAACCTGGGCAACATAGTGAGACCCCAACTCCACAAAAAATGTAAAAGGTAAAAAAAAAAAAAGACGTAGCTCAGGCATCAACCACCTCCAGGTAGCCTTCCTGATGGTGTCATACCCAGGTGGGCTCAGGCTGCCTCTGTTCTCCGGGCATCAGAGGCTTCCTCCATGGGGCACATTATCCCAGGGGCACTCCTGCAGAAGTCCAGGTACAGGATGATGGTGGTTGGACCAGGAGTGAGGGTCAGAGGTGCTGAGAGGCAGACAGGTTTGGGACGCAGTTTGGTGAGATGAATGGGATTTGCTGAAGGGTGGCTGTCAGGGTGCAGGGAAGAGTTCTCAACTGTCCCTGTCTTCATCTCTCTTTTTCCCTCCGATCCCAGGAGGAGCAAATGAGGCAGAAGGACTCACGGGCACGGCTCACCAGCTCTATCCTCAGGAACTCGAAGACCATCAAGTTCCATGGCTGGGAGGGAGCCTTTCTGGACAGAGTCCTGGGCATCCGAGGCCAGGAGCTGGGCGCCTTGCGGACCTCCGGCCTCCTCTTCTCTGTGTCGCTGGTGTCCTTCCAAGTGTCTACATTTCTGGTGACGTCACTCTAGTCTCTATGCTGAGCAGCACTGGGGAAGGAGTGCGGGGGTGGGGGCAGGGTGAGGTAGGTGGAGCCCCCCAGATCCTACCACCCCGTCCATCAAAACCCACTCATTCTGGATCCTGTTCTCTCTGGGTCCCTGCTGTCTTCTACAAGAACTAATTAATCATATTATTCTAGCAAAGGTGGCAGTGGCTGATAAAGTCTGCTGAACTCTCAGAGAGAGTTCCAGGCTTCTACCGATGTGGGGAGGAGGGTACAGATGCAGGGGGGTGGCAGAGGTAGAATCCTGGGTCAGAGTGACTTCCCTGATCCTGGCCAGCAGATGTCCATAGCCACCCTGTCACTGGACGTGATCCTTGTCCTGCCATTCTGTAATTTATTTCATATTGCTGTCAGAACAACCTTCCTAAACCACAGTTTTAAAAAATTTGATACGTAGGCTGGGTGTGGTGGCTCATGCCTGTCGTCCCAATACTTTGGGAGGCCGAGGTGGGTGGATCACCTGAGGTCAGGAGTTCAAGACCAGCCTGGCCAACATGGCGAAACCCTGTCTCTACTAAAAATACAAAAATTAGCTGGTTGCAGTGGCGGGCGCCTGTAATCCCAGCTACTTGGGAGTCTGAGGCAGGAGAATCACTTGAACCCAGGAGGCAGAGGTTGCAGTGAGCCGAGATCATGCCACTGTACTCCAGCCTGGGCGACAGAGCAAGACTTCATCTCAAAAAAAAAAAAAAAAGCACCACAAATGGCACCAACACCTAGAGCCCTCAAGTGCTGCTCCTGCCTGCAACTTTAGAGTCATCTTCCAAGGGACTCTAGAATCACAAGTTCCACCACGTCTAGAACAACAGGGCTACCAAGATCAAAAACTCTGCTGTCCCCCGATGCCTGGAACCTAGAGGCATTAGGTTCTCCCCTAGGTTCTAGTGATGCCTAGAGCCGTGGGGCTGCGCACTCATCACCATTAGCAATGCGCTGTGTCTTTAGAGAGAGCCTTATGTAGCTTATGACTGCGGAGAGGACATGTGTTAGCAGGACTGGGAGTGGGATCTACGGAGGGAAGCACATGCGGACATGGCGGGTGGGCCACATGGACCGTGCAGGCACCACAGCTTGCCCAGGCTGCCCTATCCATGCTTGCGTGTCTCACTGTTGCCCCACGTGTCCCCCCCACCCCCCAGGTCGCACTGGTGGTGTTTGCTGTCCACACTCTGGTGGCCGAGAATGCTATGAATGCAGAGAAAGCCTTTGTGACTCTCACAGTTCTCAACATCCTCAACAAGGCCCAGGCTTTCCTGCCCTTCTCCATCCACTCCCTCGTCCAGGTGAGGTGGGTGCAAGGGCTGGAGCCATCCTGGGAGAGTGCGTGGGCTACACCTGGCTCCAGCTTCCCTACCCCTGCCATTTGCAGAGGAGAGGGAAGACAGAGTGGGAGGGAGAGGGATGGTGTGGAGCTGGAAAAGAGGCGGGTAGGGGCAAGAACAGAGGCGGGCAGAGAGTACAGCAAATACATCTGGAAGGGGTCAGCCTTTGGAGGGCAATGTGCAGACCTTTCCACACACACCTCAGAACATGCATACTTGTCCATCTGCCCAGCAATTCCACATACAAGCAATCATGTCAGTTCCCTTTTTTATACAAAGCGATTTTGTTTCTCTTCCTTTGCTATCTCTAGTCCTTTCAGCATGGTGAAAACAAGAAACGGCGGCATACCTGAGCCATCTCCATGTTTTTTATTTTTTATTTTTATTTATTTATTTATTTGAGATGGAGTCTCACTCTGTCACCCAGGCTGGAGTGCAGTGGTGCAATCTCGGCTCACTGCAAGATCTACCTCGCAGATTCAAGTGATTCTCCTGCCCCAGCCTGCCAAGTAGCTGGGACCACAGGCATGCACAACCATGCCCAGCTAATTTTTTTTTTTTTTTTTGTATTTTTAGTAGAGATGAGATTTCACCATGTTGGCCAGGCAGGTCTTGAACCGCTGACCTCAGGTGATCTGCCCACCTTGGCCTCCCAAAGTGCTGATTACAGACATGAGCCACTGCACCCAGTCTTATTTATTTATTTATTGTGTTTTTAGTAGAGACAGGGTTTCACCATGTTGGCCAGGCCAGGCTGGTCTTGAACCCCCGACCTCATGTAATAAGCCCGCCTCAGCCTCCCAAAGTGCTAGGATTACAGGCATGAGCCACCGCGCCTGGCCGCCTTATTTATTTATTTATTTATTTATTTATTTATTTATTTAATTTATTTATTGAGACAGTGTCTCACTCTGTCACCCAGGCTGGAGTGCAGTGGCACGATCTCAGCTCACTGCATGCTCAAACTCCTGGACTCAAGTGATGCTTCTACCTCCCAGCCTCCTGAGTAGCTGGGACTACAGGCATGGGCCACCACATCCGGCTAATTTTTTTAATTTTTTGTAGAAACAAAGAGTCTTGCTATGTTCCCCAGGTCTCCAACTCCTGGCCTCAAGTGATCCTCCTGCACTTGGCTTCCCAAAGTGCTGGGATTACCGGCATGAGCCGCTGCACCTGGCCTAATCTCTATTTTAACGACTGGTCTCTTTCTTCCCCAAAGATGGGTTTGTGACTGGGAGAGAGCGCCCCCAGGTGGACAACATTTGAAATTGTTCCACACAATGGCTTGATAACCTTATTGGAAAAGCCACCATCCTCTTCCCAGATCTTGTCTGCAGAATGGCAGCTGGCTTGCTTCGGTGTCACTGATTTGTAGGATCGCAGAGGTGGGAGATCACCACCATCAAGGTCACCACTCGGGTTGCATCGTTTCCCATGAACTAGAAAGCTTTGTCCTCACGCCTCCTATGCACAGAGCTTGGTAGACAGGAAGCTGTTGCCACACATCTTGAGACACCGACACCCAAAACCTGAGTTCTTTGCTCTTCTTGCTGGGTGACCTGCGGCTTCGGTTTTCCTAGGCCCGGGTGTCCTTTGACCGTCTGGTCACCTTCCTCTGCCTGGAAGAAGTTGACCCTGGTGTCGTAGACTCAAGTTCCTCTGGAAGCGGTGAGTGCTGAGTCTGGCAGGAGGGGTGTGGGAGGGATGGGGGATGTGGGGGCCACCCCAGCCCATAATGGCAAGCCAGCATCAGTACTGGGGGGAGATGGGGGCTGCGGGCAATGGATGACACGTGCAGATCACGCCATCTGCGTGTCACTTGGAAACTGGCACCGTGCTGCTCTTCTTTCTGCTAGCCATTCAGCGACCACTCACTGAGCGCCCACTTTGTACCATCCTGGGTGTACAACAGGGAACACTCTAACACAGTGGTCCCCAAGCTTTTTGGCACCAGGGACTGGTTTTGTGGAAGACAGTTTTCCCACGGACCGGGGAGAGGCGCGTGGTTTTGGGATGATTCAAACACATTCCATTTATTGTGCCCTTTATTATTATTACATTGTACTATATAATGAAATAATTATACAACTCACCATAACGTAGAACCAGTGGGAGCCCTGAGCTTGCTTTCCGTCAACTAGATGGCCCCAAAGCGGGTGATGGGAGACAGAGATCATCAGGCATTAGATTCTTATAAGGAACACGCAACCCAGATTCCTCACATGCACAGTTCACAAGTGTTCGTGCTCCTTTGAGAATCTATTGCTGCTGCTGATTTGGCAGGAGGTGGAGCTCAGGCGGTGATGGGAGTGATGGGGAGTGGCTATAAACACAGATGACACTCTGCTCACCTGCCCTGCGCTCACCTCCTGCTGTATGGCCCAGTTCCTAAGAGGCTGCAGACTGGTACCAGTCTGTGGCCTGGGGGTTGAGGACTCCTGCTCTAACAGACCAGGTCCTTGTCCTCATGCAGAAAGTCCCAGGTAATAAGCATGACAGCATTTTGATCAAGCTGGAAAATAGCAGCATTTCAAGCACCATTGCACGATGAGACTTACCAAGCTCAAGTTACCTGGGCTTCCCCCTCCACCCCATCCTTCTTTTATGCCACGGGCCAAGACACCCTCCCCCTTGTTGCACTGAAGAACCTGGGCAAACTGTGTACCTGGAAAACACCCACATAGTGGTAAGAAGCCGAGCCTGTGGCATTCAACTGCCCAGGTCCAAATCCCAGCCCCAGCACTGACTAGCTGGGTGATCCTGACAAGTAGATCATCTCTCTGAGCTTCCGTGTTCCCATCTCCAAAATGGGCATGTTAATCGTTATAGCAGCTAATTGTGACGATGAATTTAATTGATCTGGGCTAAGCCATGAGAGCTTTGATTTTTAGAAAATCTTTCAGGCAATTCTAACTACGTCTTAAGGATCAAGAACCACTAATCTAATTACACTTGTTATCACAGTGAAATAATAATAATAATTAGTAGTAGTAGCAGTAGTATTTTTGAGACACAGTCTTACTCCGTCATCCAGGCTGGAGTGCAGTGGTGCAATCTTGGTTCACTGCAACCTCCGCCTCCTGGGTTCAAGCAATTCTCCTGCCTTAGCCTCTCAAGTAGCTGTGATTACAGGCGCCCACCACCACGCCTGGCTAATTTTTGTATTTTTTGGTAGAGGCAGGGTTTTGCCATGTTGGCCAGGCTGGTCTCAAACTCCTGACCTCAAGTGATCCTACCACCTCTGCTTCCTAAAGTGCTGGGATTACAGGCATGAGACACTGTGCCGGCCACAGTGAAATTAATAACACCCCCTTCACTCTGGGAAGGCTGGGATTTGATGATAATTTATTTCAGAAATTCACTAACTTTTTCCATAAATGACCAGATTGTGCATATTTTAGGCCTGTGGGCCACACAGTCTCTGTCACAACTGCTCAAAGCATGAAATAGAGAAATGAATGGATGTGGCCGTGTTCCAATAAAACTTTATTTATAAGAAAAGGCAGCAGGCAGGATTTGGTCTCTGGGCCACAGTTTGCCTCCCCCTGGATTATGTAGCCATGGGACACGGACAGAACAAGAACCCTGCGGGGTCACCCACAAGCCAGTGAGTAGCAGGGCAATTTGTTCAGTGGGAGAGATTTCTTCCTGCAGCCTCTGCCCCTGGGGGGGGCGGGGGATGGTGCCTGGGGGCCTCTCCGATGCAGAGGCCGGCCAGGTCAGGGGTCTCCTGTAAATGGCCTCTTGTGCCCTGCAGCTGCCGGGAAGGATTGCATCACCATACACAGTGCCACCTTCGCCTGGTCCCAGGAAAGCCCTCCCTGCCTCCACAGGTACAGAACGACACCCGTAGTAACCAGCCTCATGTTTTTAGGGAGAAGATGCATGGGGCTCCTGCTGCCTCCCACCTGAGAGGTGGTGTAGGTTTCCAGCCTGGGACTGGAGGGTGGGTTTGGCTGGGCTGGGGCTCTGCCGGGGAGGTTCTCAGGATACATCTCTACCTCCTGAAGGTGGGGACCTGCACAGCATAGACCAGTATCTCCTGCAGACGGGGACCAGGGCATCTGAGCCTCCCCCATTAGGGGGAGACACCCCTGTGCTCCCAGGCTGGCCAAGACGATGCCAAGGGAGGGCTGGCTGAGAGGAGCCCCAAGGTTCAGCCCTATCAGCTGTGCTCACTTCTGTGCCTCCTGTATCAGTCCGAGGTCATGATCATCTATAGTCTCCAACTCTATCGCTTGGTCTTTGTGGCCAAAAATCTCAGACAGCCCTGAAACTCCCTAAGAAGAGAAGGAATATGCCCCAGGTAGTATTTGTATTGGTTGTCATTCACTCACTTCATCGATAGAGCACTAGGTATGGGCCACGCTCTGTTCTAGGTATTGGGGATAGGGCGAAGGAAACAGACAAGGGCCCTGCTCTCGTGGGGTGACATGCTGATAGAGGTGAGGCCCAAACAGAAAACCAGAGCAAGGGAACAGAGTACGATGGCATGTCTAGCGAGGGAAGGCTTTGCATTCAAGCCGAGATCATAAGGAAGGAGTGTCTGGGAGAAGAGCTGTTCTTTTTTTTTTTTTTTTTTTTTTTTTTTTTGAAACGGAGTCTTGCTCTATCACGCGGGCTGGAGTGCAATGGCATGATCTCGGCTCACTGCAACCTCCACCTTCCGGATTCAAGCAATTCTCCTGCCTCAGCCTCCCGAGTAGCTGGGATTACAGGCGCATGCTACCACACCCAGCTAATTTTTGTATTTTTAGTAGAGATGGGTTTTACCATGTTCGTCAGGCTGGTCTCCAACTCCTGACCTCAAGTGATCCACCTGCCTCAGTTCCCAAAGGACTAGGATTACAGGCATGAG
This sequence comes from Homo sapiens, assembly GCF_000001405.40. Lineage (NCBI taxonomy): Eukaryota > Metazoa > Chordata > Mammalia > Primates > Hominidae > Homo > Homo sapiens. The sequence goes on along the minus strand of NC_000016.10, from coordinate 16,183,933 downwards.
CCACCGTGCCCGGCCTGGGAGAAGAACCTTCTAGGCGGTGGGAATGGCATCAGCAAAGGTCCTGGGGCAGGAGAGTGCCTGGACCTGGGTTTCTCAACCTCAGCACGGTTGATATTTTGGGCTGAAACTCCTTTGTTGGGGGCTGTCGTGTGCATTGTGGGATGTTTAGCTGACCCCAGTCTCTACCCACTAGATGCCAGCAGCACCCCCTACTGGTTGTGACATCCAAAAATATCTCTAGATCTTGCCAAATGACTCCTGGGGGATGCAGTCACCCCCTGGTGAGAACCACTGGCCTTTTGTGTTCAAGAAACAGCAAGGAGGTCAGCAAGGCCAGGGCCGAGCAGCTGAGGCACAGAGCGGAAGGAGGCGGGAGATGTCATTCCTGATCGTCAGGACTTTAGCTTTGACCCTGAGTGAAATGGGAGTGCTGGCGGGTTTAGCTGGGAAGTGTCACGATCTGACTTGGGTTTTAACAGATCCCTCTGGTCACTGGGTGGAGGATGGGCTGTGGGACGTGGACAGGAGTGGGGCGGGACCAAGAGTAGCGGGAGGGAGGGAGGAAAGAGCCTATTTATCGCAAGAGCCAAGGCAGGAGGCCAGGCTGGTGAAACCCTCAGGCTATAGTCAACCCTGTGTGTGTGTGCGTGGTGTGCATGTGTGCACACATGTATGCGTGTGAGCATGGATTGATTGGGTATGTGCATGCACTTGTGTGTGTGTGGATGCGTGCCCACATTGTGTTGCTGTGCATGCTAGCATGCTTGTATGAGTGTGCAAATGTGCATGCATGTGTGCACGCTTTGTGTGCATGTGTACATGCACAGATGTGCACAGGATAGTTCCTCAAATAGCTAGACAAGGACTGGGAAAAAGAACAGCCCCACAGGTCCTCTTGGAGACTCCCAGAGCAGGAAAGCTCAGCTCCGTCTGGGGCTCATCCTTCCTCACAGAGGCGGGCTGAACCCTAACCAAGGTCATGTCTCCCCTCTTGCGTGTCCAGAATAAACCTCACGGTGCCCCAGGGCTGTCTGCTGGCTGTTGTCGGTCCAGTGGGGGCAGGGAAGTCCTCCCTGCTGTCCGCCCTCCTTGGGGAGCTGTCAAAGGTGGAGGGGTTCGTGAGCATCGAGGTGAGGCCACCCCCAGCCTGTCTGCTAGGATGTCCCCATCCTGAAAGTCCCACTTCCTCGCTGCCTTCCCACCCTCCCCATCCCAGCCAAGTTCACTTTCACTCATTCTCTCCACCTCTCACCCACCACTGAGAGCCCAGCTCCCACTGCTCCTCAAAACCTATCCCACCTCTGTCCCCATCATCCTCCTGTGACCAAAGTAAGTTGTGTTTTAGGGTGCTGTGGCCTACGTGCCCCAGGAGGCCTGGGTGCAGAACACCTCTGTGGTAGAGAATGTGTGCTTCGGGCAGGAGCTGGACCCACCCTGGCTGGAGAGAGTACTAGAAGCCTGTGCCCTGCAGCCAGATGTGGACAGCTTCCCTGAGGGAATCCACACTTCAATTGGGGAGCAGGTGAGAGTTTGGGGGTCTTTTTGGGACAGGGAGACATTGCAGTTGGGAGTCATTTGGGTCCCCGACTCATCATGGGCAGTATGATGGAGAAATGAGAGGAATGGTTAGGGAAGTAGCGGAGAAAAAGGGCTCAGCTCAGCGTCAAGCACGTGCTAGGTGCTCAATACGTAATCACTAATTGATAAGCAGAAATAGACACAAAGAGAGAGGCAGGGAGTTGTGGCAGGGATTGGCAGTGAGGAGCTCTCTGACAACTGAGAGTGAGAAGACCTAGACTCCTGTCTTACTCTGCCCTGCCTTGCTGAGTAATGTTGGTGTAATTGCTTCCCCTCTCTGGGCCTCACCAAGGGGTCTGGACAGAGATGTCCAAGAAACAGGATATATGCATCTGGAGCTATGGATTGGGCAGGGGTTGGCAAACTGTGACCCCAAGCCAAATCCAGCCCACCACTTGTGGTTTTGTTTTTTGTTTTGTTTTGGAGACAGAGTCTTGCTCTGTTGCACAGGCTGGCATGCAGTGATGCAATCTCGGCTCACTGCAACCTCCGCCTCCCACGTTCAAGCAATTCTCACACCTCAGCCTCCTGAGTAGCTGGAATTACAGGCACATGCCACCATACCTGGCTAATTTTTATATTTTTAGTAGAGACAGGGTTTCACCATGTTGGCCAGGCTGGTCTCAAACTCCGGACCTCAGGTGATCTCCCCATTTACCTCAGAGACAAAGCCCAAGTCATGACAATCCCTGGCAAGGTCCCTGTGACCTGGCTCTGGTATCCATTAGCCCCATCTCCCATCATCACCTCTCAGCTTTACTGCAGCCACCTTAGTCTCTGTGATATTCCCTGATCCCCCACAGCACACTCTGGCCCCAGGGCCTTTGCACTGCTGTTCCCTCTGCTGGAAAGCTCTCCCCAGGAGTCCCCAGGGCTCATCCCTCACTTCTATCACCTTCACAGAGAGGCCTTTCCTGACCACCTTATCTACCACCACAGCCACCCTACTATTGTTAGTGCACCCTACACCTGCACCTGCTTTTTCTCTTTTTTTTTTTTTTTTTTTTTTTTCTGAGACGGAGTCTCGCTCTGTTGCCCAGGCTGGAGTGCAGTGGCACAATCTTGGCTCACTGTAACCTCCACCTCCTGAGTTCAAGCATTCCTCCCACCTCAGCCTCATGAGTAGTTCAAGCAATCCTCCCACCTCAGCCTCATGAGTAGCTAGAATTACAGCCATGTACCACCACAACTGGCTAATTTTTTTTTGTACTTTTAGTAGAGATGGGGTTTCACCATGTTGGCCAGGCTGGTCTTGAACTTCTGACCTCAAGTGATCCACCCAGCTCCGCCTCCCAAAGTGCTGGGATTACAGGCGTGAGCCCCTGAACCTGGCTCCCCCTGCTTTACTATTTATTCTTCATAGCACTTTCCACCTGATGTGCTGTCTGCCTTACTTGTTTATGGATTGCCTGTCTCTGTCCCCTTCATGAGAATGATGGATCCATTAAGAGAGCAGCAACTTTGTTTTGCTCATTGCTGTTTCTCCAGAGCCTAGAACCATGCCTGGTTTATGATAACGAGGCAGTGGTTATTAGTGGAATGACTGAATGTAAGAATGAATGAATGGCTGGGTACGGTGGCTCATGCCTGTAATCCCAGCACTTTGGGAAGCCAAGGCGGGAGGGTTGCTTGAGGTCAGGAGTTTGAGACCAGCCTGGCCAACATGGTGAAGCCCCATCTCTACTAAAAATACAAAAATTAGCCAGGCATGGTGGCGTACCTGTAATCCCAGCTACTTGGGAGGCTGAGGCAGGAGAATCGCTTGAACCCAGTAGGCAGAGGTTGCAGTGAGCCGAGATCAAGCCATTGCACTCCAGCCTGGGTGTCAGAGTGGAACTCCATCTCAAAAATAAATAAAAATAAGTTTTAAAAGAATGAATGAAAGACAAGAAGGCCTAGATAGAAGGAATAAGTTAAAGTAATCAATAGTGCACAAGGGAAATTATAGTTAATGATCATTTACTTGTATATTTCAAGATAGCTAGAAGAGAAGGATGGTTGTGTTCGCAATACAAAAGATAAATATTTGAGGTGATGACTATCTCAGTTACCCTGATTTGATCATTACATATTGTCTACAGCAGGGGTCCCCAACCCCCGGGCCATGGATCAGCACCAGTCTGTGGCCTGTTAGGAACTGGGCAGGCAGCACAGCAGGAGGTGGGCAGAGGGCAGGCGAGTGAGGTTTCATCTGTATTTACAGCCATTCCTTATTGTTCCCATCACCGCCTGAGCTCCACCTCCTGTCAGATCAGTGGCAGCATTAGATTCTCATAGGAGCACAAACCCTACTGTAAACTGCACATGTGAGGGATCTTATGAGAATCTAATGCCTGATGATCTGTCACTGCCTCCCATCATCCCCAGAAGGGACTATCTAGTTTCAGGAAAACAAGCTCAGGGCTCCCACTGATACTGCATGATGGTGAGTCATTATATATTACAATGCAATAATAATACAAGTAGGCCGGGCGCAGTGGCTCACGCCTGTAATCCCAGCACTTTGGGAGGCCAAGGTGGGCGGATCACCTGAGGGCAGGAGTTCGAGACCAGCCTGGCCACCATGGTGAAACCCCATCTCTACTAAAAATACAGAAACTAGCCAGGCGTGGTAGTGGGTGCCTGTAATTCCAGCTACTCAGGAGGCTGAGGCAGGAGAATTGCTTGAACCCAGGAGGCAGAGGTTGCAGTGAGTCAAGATCATGCCATTGCACTCCCAGCCTGGGTGACAAGAGCAAAACTCCATCTCAATAATAACAACGACAACAGCAGTAATAATAATAATAGAAGTGCACAATCAACGTAATGTGCTTGAATCGTCCTGAAACCATCCCCCGGGCCATCCCCCTGCCCCCAGGTCCATGGAAAAATCGTCTTCTACAAAACTGGTCCCTGGTGCCAAAAAGGCTGGGGACCACTGCCCTACAGGTATCCAAATACCACTTGTGCCCCTCGAATAGTTACAACTATTACATATCAATGAAAACTAAAAGAAAACAATTAAAATTTAAAATACAAAAGTAGGACTGAAAAGCTGCCACTGGATGAGGGAATAGGGAAATGGATGGTGGTCTCAGTGGAGAAAGGGAAACAAGAGTTGGACTCAAAGAGATAGAGAGAGTGAGCAGGAGGAGACAGAGTGGATTGGGAAGTGTAGGTAACTCCTCCAGGAAGCGTGCTTGGGAAGTGGAGAAGTGAGGTCGGGTAAGGATGGAGGCATTGTTGGCTTGAGAGCGAGTGCCTTGGAAGCTGGGCCTGTCCCCAGGGAATAGGCATGTTGAGCTGTACCTCACCCTGATGGGCAGGTGTGCCCTGACCTGCCACAGCCTGGGCACCCCAGTTTCACCCTGTAGATGCTGACTCAGGCCACTGTTCCTTTTGTGGCCACAGGGCATGAATCTCTCCGGAGGCCAGAAGCAGCGGCTGAGCCTGGCCCGGGCTGTATACAGAAAGGCAGCTGTGTACCTGCTGGATGACCCCCTGGCGGCCCTGGATGCCCACGTTGGCCAGCATGTCTTCAACCAGGTCATTGGGCCTGGTGGACTACTCCAGGGAACAGTAAGTTTGGGAACATGTGTCAGACAGTACAGGGCAAAGGCAGAGGAAGCACTTAGCATCCAGTCCTAACCCAAGTTTATCTCACCTCCCCCTTCCACTTGAGTCCAATTTCCTCTTTGTATTGGTCAGCTTTTGCTGTGACAATGCTATGTAACAAACAACCCCCAGATCCCAGCAGCTTACAACAGCAGGTGTTTCTTCCTTATGGATCTGTGATTTAACTACTACAGCTTTGCCTTGGATGATTGGCCAGGGTCAGATGTACTCCTTGTCTTCTTGTTTTGAGACACAGGCTAAGGGAGTCCCCTCTGTTTCTCTATTTGGATATGCTGTTTACAAGAAAGGCGGCAGGAGCACAAGAAGGGGAGCTGTCCCCACTCTGAGTCCAGGGACAATACCCCCACCCCAACCCCCAGCTCAGGAGGCTGGCCAAGCACATGTGTGTAACTTTTTTCTTTTTCTTTTTTTTTTGAGATGGAGTCTCGCTCTGTCTTTCAGTCTGGAGGGCAGTGGTGCGATCTCCGCTCACTGGAAGCTCCGGCTCCCGGGTTCACGCCATTCTCCTGCCTCAGCCTCCCGAGTAGCTGGGACTACAGGTGCCCGCCACCACGCCCAGCTAATTTTTTGTATTTTTAGTAGAGAAAGGGTTTCACCATGTTGGCCAGGCTGGTCTCGAACTCCTGACCTCAGGTGATCCATCTGCCTCGGCCTCCCAAAGTGCTGGGATTACAGGCATGAGCCACTGCGCTCGGCCGTACATTTTTTTTTTCTTTCTTTCTCTCTCTCTCTCTTTCCTTCCTTCCTTTGTTTCTTTTCTTTTCTTCTTTCTTTTCTTCTCTTTCTTTCTTTCCTTTCTTGACAGAGTCTTGCTCTGTCACCCAGGATGGAGTGCTGTGGTCCAATCTCGCCTCACTGCAAGCTCCACCTCCCAGGTTTAAGTGATTCTCTTGCCTTAGCCTCCAAAGTAGCTGAGACTACAGGTGTGCGCCACCTCACCTAGCTAATTTTTGTATTTTTAGTAGAGATGGGGCTTAGCCGTGTCAGCCAGGCTGGTCTCGAACTTCTGGCCTCAAGTGATCCACATGCTTTGGCTTCCCAAAGTGTTGGGATTACAGGCATGAGCCACTGCACCCGGCCACATGTGTGTAACTTCTACCCCTTCCCTGCCCAGACACGGATTCTCGTGACGCACGCACTCCACATCCTGCCCCAGGCTGATTGGATCATAGTGCTGGCAAATGGGGCCATCGCAGAGATGGGTTCCTACCAGGAGCTTCTGCAGAGGAAGGGGGCCCTCATGTGTCTTCTGGATCAAGCCAGACAGCCAGGAGATAGAGGAGAAGGAGGTACTAGGTGGGCTTTGCTGATTCTCCAGGCCTGGCTCCTGCCACCCTTGGGGGAAAAGGCTCGAAGGGTCCTACTGGCATGAATGGAGTGCTCTGGCCACACCCTGTCTGCAGGCCTAGGCCTGGAAGCAGACAGCTCTCTTAATAGGTCACCTTTCTCCAAGAATAGCCGATAACATCATCCATGAGCCAGGGGTTGTGCTAAGTGCTTCTGTAAAAAATACACTATTTCATTTGATTCTCACACATGCCCCAGAGGCATGTGAAGTTATTGCTGTCATTTTACAGATGAGCAAACTGAGGCAAAGAGAGTTAAATCACTTGCCCAAGGTCACAAGATTAGAACTTGAGTATGTCCAGCTCCAGAGTCTATGCTTGCAGTTGCTATGGAGACAGCCCAAGAAGGACTTTGATGCCTAGCAAGCTACACCATGCTAGCTAGGGTTTCTAATAATCCAGAAAAACAGTGTGCTGGATACATGGCAAGGTTCTGGAAGTAAAGTTGCCAAGCCAAGCTCACTCACAATGACTGAAAAGTAGCAACTAACAGCACATCACAGAGGTTAGCTCATTTAATCAACATAATGCCCCTGTGAGGCTGGTACTAGAATCATTTCCATTTCACAGATGAGGAAACTGAGGCCCAGAAGTTAAGGAACTAGTCCCAGGTTACATGGCTTGTAAGTGGCAGCACTGGGATTTGAACCCAAGCAACTTGATTCCAGAGAATGTGTTTTTTAATTGCTACCCTCTACACTATCCCTTCATGACAAAGCAAGGATTCACATCCAGGTCTCCCTCAATCTCAGGCTTTGCTTCTTCTGAGAACATCTGCTTAGCACTGGCCCAACCTGGTTAAAACCTTAAGTGTTGATTCACAATGTCACAGTCCTGAAGCTTGAAGATAGAACTTGCCTGTTTGTGTTGGTCAGCTTTTGCTGTGATGATGCTGTGTAACAAATAGCCCCCCAAATCCTAGCAGCTTACAGTAGCAGTTACTTGTTGCTTACAGGTCTGTGGTTAAACTACTACAGATTTGCTTTCAGTTACTGGCCACACCTGGGGGATAGTGGTGGGGAGGTGTCCTTCCTAGGGGAGATGGTACCTGAGGGTAGGTGAGAGTTAGCCAGAAAAAAGCATTCCAGACACAAGGAACTGCTTGAGCAAGGCTGTTGGGGGAAACAGAGGTAACTTGACTTTGTACAGTGTTAAATGCTGTTTTTCCAACCTCAAGTTCATAGTAGGTGCTCAGTTATCACTGATTGAAGAAATGAATGAGTGAGTGAATGCCTGAAGGATGTTCCTGGAAGAACTCAGAGTGGGGTGTTGAGAGAGGTTGCTGGAGACGTGGCAGGAGCCAGATCAGGGGAAATGGATGGTCAGAGCGGTTAAGGCCACATAGTCAGTGGGTGTCAAAGTGGGTATCTGGGCCGTGTTGCGTGACAGGACTCTCTTGACCTTGCAGAAACAGAACCTGGGACCAGCACCAAGGACCCCAGAGGCACCTCTGCAGGCAGGAGGCCCGAGCTTAGACGCGAGAGGTGAGTCCACCATGGTGCCACACTCAGAAGGGCACAGGCTGAAGCTGAAGTAGCTGAAGGGACCACCCGCATCTCGGGCAGTTAGGCGGGCAACCAAAACCATTATGGATAGAGAACCTGCTGAAGTCCCCCCCATGGTGCCCTGCTGAGGGATAATTTACCAAAATTGGTCCAGTTAGCCAAGATGATTAGGCCCCTATAAGGCCAGTTCATGGAATGAACAATATGCCTTCCAATTGATGGATGTCTTCAAGTGGGCCGAGGCCAGCTTGCTGGAGTTGTCTGAATGCTGCAGTAGGGCAGGACTGGTTCCTCCCCATAGCTGTAAACCACCATGCCAGGCCTGGCCACTTATGCTTTGACAGGCTGGCTATGCACAGGGCTTGGGTCTGTATGCACAGCATCACTTGACGCTGGCCAGAACACGTGGGCAAGGGGCCAGGAGGAGGCCTCCGGTCCCCTCTTTTCTCAGCTCCCTCCAGCCAGGACACAGCTGGGCTCACTGTGGAGCTGTCGGCAGCAGAAGGACCTGCTGCCTGATACTCTCCCCTCTTAATGAGAGGGGTCTTGGGAAGCAGAACAACAGGCCACTGATACCAGATGGCCTGAGCTTAAGTGCCTGCTATACAGGGGTGGTGGGCGGCAGCGATCTTGAGGGGCCTCAGTCCCCAGGGACCATTGGGGCTGACCCCCATCCCAGCTAGCCACCCTGAGGGCACTTCTCAATCACACACACACTGAGAAATCCCACCACCTTCACAGCGCACAAGAATCTGAAGTAAGATCAGATGGATAGGTAGTCATGTTAAAAGAAAACCAGTAGACACATTAAGGCTGGGCATGGTGGCTCACACCTGTAATCCCAGCACTTTGGGAAACTGAAGCGGGTGGATCACTAGCTAGAGGTCAGGAGTTCGAGACCAGCCTGGCCAACATGGTGAACCCGTCTCTACTAAAAATAAAAAATAAGTAAATTAAAAAAAAAAAGCCGGCGTGGTGGCATGTGCCTGTAGTCCCAGCTACTCGGGAGGCTGAGGCACGAGAATCACTTGAACCTCGGAGGCGGAGGTTGCAGTGAGCCGAGATTGTGCCAAATTAACCTCTAGCAAATTTAATGTGTCTGAGGTTTTTTGTTTTTTGCGGGGGGGGGTTTTGAGACAGAATCTTGCTCTGTCGCCCAGGCTGGAGTGCAATGGCACAATCTCGGCTCACTGCAATCCCCGTCTCCCAGGTTCAAGCGATTCTCATGCCTCAGTCTCTTGAGTAGCTGGGACTACAGGCACATGTGACCAGGCCCGGCTAATTTTTGTATTTTTAGTAGAGACAGGGTTTTGCCATGTTGTCCAGGATGGTCTCAAACTCCTGACTTCAGGTGTTCCACCTGCCTCAGCCTCCCAAAGTGCTGGGATTACACGCGTGAGCCACTGCACCTGGCTAACAGAGGTTAACTAAGCAAAGAATGATCCGCACATCGGGCAGTCCCTGAACCAGAATACGTCCAGAGAGGCTCTGGTACAGCCACGGGGTCAAAGATTAATAGACAGAAAAAGGAAGGTGAAGGACAGAAAACAGAAGTGAGGTACAGAAACAGCCGGATTGGTTACAGCTCAGCGTTTGCTTTATTGGAACATGGTTTGAACGGTTGGTTGCCTTTGATTGGCTGAAACTCAGTGATTGACACAGGAGTAGGTTGCAGTCTGTTTGAGTCCAATTAGGTTACAGTTCACTATGTACGGGGAAAACCTTTAGGCCAAACTTAAAATATGTAAGGAGGCAGCTTTGGGCTAACCTCAATTTAATAGAAGGTAGGTAGACATGTATATGTAGATATACAGGTATGTAGATGAATGGATAAATGGATGGATGGATAGATAGATAATATTCCTATTTTTACAGCTGAGGAAACTGAGGCACAGAGGTTAAGTCAGCCCACTCATCCACAGATAAAACATTCAAAGAGTCTTTAGCATCTGAATTGTGCATAATTTATATTCTGCCAGTTGGACTGACAAATCTGATGGTATACAGTAGGAACAAAACAATTGCACGAAAGCTTAAGCCAAAATAAAAATTCTGAGAACAGGCTGGGCATGGTGGCTCATGCCTGTAATCCCAGCACTTTGGGAGGCTGAGGCAGGTGGATTGCTTGAGCTCAGGAGTTTGAGACCAACCTGGGCAATGCAGCAAGACCCCATCTCAAAAAAAAAAAAAAAAGAAAATTCTGAGAACAGAGTTCCAATGGTGGGCAAGTTAAGTTCATCCTGTGAATTGGCATCAGAAGAATGGGCTTGCTTGACCCTGGGGTAATAGATGGCATTTAGCTGGGTACCATATGGGAAGAAGGGAAGTGTGATATCTGGTCAGTATTCTGTTAGATAAATGAATGAATGAAAGAGTACAGAGTGTACCCAGAGCTCAGTGGCTGTCAGTGGGCCTGAGGGTTAGGCACATACACCCCACCATTGGGAGAGATACTGACTTTGTCTTCATTTCCTCTAAATGACAGGTCCATCAAGTCAGTCCCTGAGAAGGACCGTACCACTTCAGAAGCCCAGACAGAGGTTCCTCTGGATGACCCTGACAGGGCAGGATGGCCAGCAGGAAAGGACAGCATCCAATACGGCAGGGTAACCACCAGCTTCACCCACCCCTCCCCACCCACTGCTGCCACCTCCAGGGGCCCAAGTCTTCCCACCAAATGTAGCACTTGGCAGTGATACTCACCTTTCTTGAGCACCTACTATGTGCCAGTAGCATTCTAGATGTTCATTTTCTTAATCCTCACAACCACCCTAAAAAATAGATATGATAGGTCTATTTCAGACATAAAGAAACTGAATTCTTTTAAAATTTATTTTATTTTGATTTTGAGAAAGTGGCTCGCTCACTCACCCAGGCTGGACCGCAGTGATGTAATCATAGCTCACTGCAGCCTCGACCTCCTGGGCTAAAGCAATCCTCCTACCTCAGTCTCTCAAGTAGCTGGGACTACAGGCGTGTGCCACCATGCCCAGCTAATGTTTGTATTTTCAGTAGAGATGGGTTTTGCCATGTTGCCCAGGTTGGTCTGGAACTCCTGGGCTCAAGTGATCCTCTGGCCTCTGCCTCCCAAAGTGCTGGGGTTACAGGTGTGAGCCACTGTGCCCAGCCAAGAAACTGAAGTCTTAAACAGTTAAGAGACTTGTTTGTGTTTTCATATCTAGCCTGGGACACAACCTGGGACTCAAATCTAGGCCAATCTGAGTCTGAAGCTTACACTGTTTCTCATCTTCTATACTGCTATGTATCTCCACCCACCTACTTACCCATTCCATCATCCACCTAGATGCTCATCCACCCACCCACCTATCCATCCCACCCACTCATTTATCCATCCCATCCATTCACCTACCCACTGATTTATCCATCCCACCCACCCATTTATCCATCCCACCCACTCATTTATCCATCCATCCCACCCCCTCATTTATCCATCCCACCCACTCATTTAGCCATCCCACCCACTCATTTAGCCATCCCACCCACTCATTTAGCCATCCCACCCACTCATTTAGCCATCCCACCCACCCATTTAGCCATCCCACCCACTCATACCCATTTATCCATCCCACTCACTCATTTATGCATCCCACCCACTCATTTATCCATCCCACCCACCCATTTATCCATCCCACCCACCCATTTATCCATCCCACTCACTCATTTATGCATCCCACCCACTCATTTATCCATCCCACCCACCCATTTATCCATCCCACTCACTCATTTATGCATCCCATCCATTCATTTATCCATCCCACCCACTCATTTAGCCATCCCACCCACTCATTTATCCATCCCACCCACTCATTTATCCATCCCACTCATTTATGCATCCCACCTACTCATTTATCCATCCCACCCTCCCATTTATCCATCCCATCCACTTATTTATCCATCCCACCCACCCAACCACTCATTTATCCATCCCACCCACCCATTTATCCACCCACCCACCCACCCATTCATTTATCCATCCATCCCACCTACTCATTTATCCATCCCTCCCACCAACTCATTTATCCATCCCACCCACTCATTTATCCATCCATCCCACCCACTCATTTATCTGTCCATCCCATCCACTCATTTATCCATCTATCCCACCCACTCATTTATCTGTCCAACCCATCCACTCACCCACCTACTCATTTATCCATCCCATTCGCTTACCCATCCATCTATCCCACCTAACAATACATCCAACCATTCCCTCACCTATGCATCTGTCTGTTCAGCTGTTCATCCATTCATTGATCTTTCCATCCATTCATCCACTCATTCACACACCTACCTACCTACCCACCCGCTCATTTATTCACCCACCTACCCTCTCATCCATCCAGCAAACATGTACACAATACCCACTATGTGCCAGGCTAAGTCTGGTAGAGATTAGACACTAGTGAGGATAGACGGAGAGTAAATAATTATGCTAATAAGTAAGCTATGTCCAATAACAATAAGTGCTATAAAGAAAATAAGAATGATCAGGCGCAGTGGCTCATGCCTGTAATCCCAACACTTTCAGAGGCTGAGGCAGGAGGATTGCTTGAGGCCAGGAGTTCGAGGCTGCAGTGAGCTATGATCATGTCACTGCAATCCAGCCTGGGTGACAGAGTGAGACCCTGCCTCTTAAAAGAAAGAATGATGAAATAGAGACCACTGAGAAACCCTACCATGGTTGGTATGGACAGGATGCTCTGAGAAGTGACATTTGAGCTTCCCCAAAGAATGTGTGAAGGAACCAGTCATACAAAGGGCAGGAGAAAGAGCGCTCCAGGCAGAGAGAGCAGCAGGTGCAATGGCTCCGAGGTGGGAAGTAGCTTAGGGTGCCAGAGAAAGGGGTCCCATGAGGCTGGCAGGCAGTGAGTGGGGGCGAGATAAGAAGCTTGGAATTTCTTTCTTTCTTTCTTTCTTTCTTTCTTTCTTTTTTTTTTTTTTTTTTTTTTGAGACAGAGTTTCACTCTTGTCGCCCAGAGAAGAGTGTAATGGTGCAATCTCAGCTCACTGCAACCTCCACCTCCTGGCTTCAAACGATTCTCTTGCCTTAGCCTCTCGAGTAGCTGGGACTACAGGTGCCTGCCACCACACGTGGCTAATTTTTGTATTTTTAGTAGAGACGGGGTTTCACTACGTTGGTCCAGGCTGGTCTCAAACTCCTGAGCTCAGGTGACACACCCGCCTTGGCCTCCCAAAGTGCTTACAGGTATGAGCCACCCCTCCTGGCTGGGATTTCTTCTAAGAGCAAGAGATAGCCATGGACAGGCCAACGACAAGATATAATTAGATTAATGTTTTCAACAGTCCCGTCTGGCTGCAGCTGTGCAGAGAACTTCAGATTTGTAGGAGCAGGACCTTAAGCCAGTGGCTGAACCTCTCTGTGCCTCAGTTTCCTTATCTGTGAAATGGAGGTTGTTATAAGGAGAGACACATGCCTGACCTATGGTGGGTGTTCAAGAAAACCCTTCTAGCTGGGTGTGGTGGCTCACACCTGTAATCCAAGCACTTTGGAAGGCCGAGGAGGGAGGATCACTTGAGGCCAGGAGTCTGAGACTAGCCTGGGCAACACAGCGAGATTCCATCTCTTTAAAACTATGAAAATTAACAAAACATGGTGGTACAAACCTATAGTCCTGACTACTCGGGAGGCTGAGGCGGGGGGATTACTTGAGCCTAGGAGTTCAAGGCTGCAGTGAGCCATGATCATGCCAGTGTACTCCAGCCTGGGTGACATGGGCGACAAAGCAAGACCCTGTCCTCAAAAAAAAAACAAAAGAAAAAATATTAATACTAGCTCCCTGGGGATTGTATAGGAGATGGGGGTTCTAAGGCTGGCTGGGGCCTGTCGGGGAAATGGTGCTTCTGGTGGGAGGCACAGCGGGAGAACCAGTGAGGTCTGCGTGGTGGTCCCATCTGCCATGGGCATGTTTTCTGGGAGCCTCGCCTGGCCTTGCCTCAACCCACCCCTCCCACTGGGGGCTCTCTCTGCCTCCCTCTCCCTCATGTGTGCTACAGGTGAAGGCCACAGTGCACCTGGCCTACCTGCGTGCCGTGGGCACCCCCCTCTGCCTCTACGCACTCTTCCTCTTCCTCTGCCAGCAAGTGGCCTCCTTCTGCCGGGGCTACTGGCTGAGCCTGTGGGCGGACGACCCTGCAGTAGGTGGGCAGCAGACGCAGGCAGCCCTGCGTGGCGGGATCTTCGGGCTCCTCGGCTGTCTCCAAGGTACGCCTCACCTGCCCTCCTCATCCCTCTCCTCCCAGCTGCACCAAGGGGTGCTCAGGACTCCTTTACCCCACCCCTCCCTGGGTCACCCTGTCCCCCTGGAACAGTGTGCAAAACGTCTGGGGTCCAGGCAAAGATCTGCGTCCTTAAGATGAGGCTGGAGGGAACGGGAAGGACAGGGCACATCCCTCCTTTTCTGGAAGCTTCAGAACCTCTCCCAGTCCCTCCCCACTAGCGGAAGGCGTCTGCAAGGCCTGCCTGCTGGTGGCTTTCAGTGCCTGCCCCCAAACCTCCAGACAGAGCCAGACCCTCCCTAACAAATGCATCACCGCTATCACTCCTTCTTCTCCTCCTCAAAAATGGAAAGACTTCTTCTTGAAATAATTGTAGATTCACATGCAGTTCTAGGAAATAAGGCAGCCAGCTACCTTGAACAGTCTGCCCAGTTTCTCCCATTGGTGATATTTTGCAAACTGATAGTAAAGTATCACACAAAGGATCCTGACACCCATCAATCCATGGATCTCAATTATTTATTTATTTATTTATTTGTTTATTTTATTTTGAGACAGAGTCTTGCTCTGTTGCCCGGGCTGGAGGGCAGTGCTGCCGTCTCGGCTCACTGCAACCCCCATCTCCGAGGTTCAAGCAGTTCTCCTACCTCAGCTTCCTGAGTAGCTGGAAGCTGGGATTACAAGTGTGCAGCCTGGTTAATTTTTGTATTTTTAGTAGAGATGGGGTTTCACCATGTTGGCCAAGCTGGTCTCGAACTCCTGACCTCAAATGATCTGCCCGCCTCGGCCTCCCAGAGTGTTGGGATTACAGGTGTGAGCCCCCGCACCCGGCCCTATGGATCTCATTGTGATTTCCCCAGTTTTGCTTGCACGTGGGTGTGCGCATGTTTGCCTCTGTGCAGTCGTATCCCCTGTTCAGTCTCTCGCATCCATCACGATGGTTGACAGTTGAGATACTGAACAACCCCCTCACCACGAGGCGCTCTCGTGTTGCCCTTTTGCAACCACACCCACCCTTCTCCTGCCTCGCCCACCCTGTCCCCAACCCCTGGTTCTTCTCCTTTTAATACGTGGCCTGGCTGAAGGGAGTAACAGGAGTGCACATGTGAGTTTGGCTTCTTATTTATACACACACACACATATATATAGACTGGGTCTGGCTTTGTCACCCAGGCTGGAATGCAGTGGCACGAACTCGGCTCACTGCAACCTCTGCCTCCTGGGCTCAAGCAATCCTCCCACCTCAGCCTCCCGAGTAGCTGGGACTACATGCACATGCCACCATGCTGGCTAATTTTTGTTTTTGATAGAGACGGTTTCGCCGTGTTGCCCAGGCTGGTCTCAAACTCCTGGGCTCAGGCAATCCTCCGCCTCAACCTCCCAAAGTGTTGGGATCACAGGCATGAGCCACCACGCCCGGCCTGGCTTCATCTTTAAAGGACAGTTGCCTCGTTTTCATGTTGATTCGTCCTCATTCACTGGGTGACATTGGCCACATCACCAAAATGCTGTGAGCCTGTGACCTCCCCTGTAAAATAGGGGGCGCCAGGCCTGAACTTGAGGACTCTTCTAGTCCTAAGAACCTGTACACCTACTCACCACAACTGCATGTACAGTGGAATACTCAAGGCGAATGGTTACTTAACCAAGAGGAAATTAGGGATTCTCAGAGTCAGCCGAGCCCTGGAATTAACCCAAATCCTCATTTGGGTGGCAAATAGCCCTTTCAAAATCCTTCCACTTCCATCCCTCATTTGATAGCTAAGGGCAAGTCTTACTCTCCCCTAAAGATGGAGAGATGGGAGCTGAGAGAGAGAAATTGGTTATGACTCTCGAATACAAAGAATAAAAAATTCAGCTCCAGGCCAGATACGGTGGCTCATGCCTGTAATCCCAGCACTTTGGGAGGCCGAGGCGGGTGGATCACTTGAGGTCAGGAGTTCAAGATCAGCCTGGCGAACATGGTGAAACCCCGTCTCTACTAAAAATACAAAAATTAGCCAGGCATGGTGTCAGTGTTTGTAATCCCAGCTACTTGGGAGGCTGAGGAAGGAGAATCGCTTGAACCTGGGAGGTGGGGTTTGCAGTGAGCAGAGATTGCACCACTGCACTCCAGCCTGGGTGACAGAGCAGGACTCCGTCTGAAAATAAACAAATTCAGCTCCAATTCAAAGTGTTTAAGCAACAAGAGAATTGATTGGCTCTTGGGACCAGTATCCCTAGATTTCTGGCTTCAGGTATGGCTGGATGTAGGGGTCCAAACAAGAAATCGCTTTATTTCCCTCCTCTGTGACAGCTTCCTGTCCAGCTTAGCTGCTCCCCCTGGCAGTAAGATGATATTCCACGGCTCCAGCTTGGCTACCTCCAACAACCAAGTACCACTTTTCCAAAAGTTCTAGTGAAGTCCCAGGTCTCCCTGTCATTGGCCTGACTTGGGTTATGTGTTCATCCCTGAACCAACTGCAGTGGTTTGGATTGGCCATGGGTGAAATTTGCCCCACCCCAGAGGAGAAGTTAGCCCCACCCCAGGCATACAGATTAGCACTGGGAGGAAGGATGTGCATTTCTCTCACAGGGCTACTGCCAAACAAGTTGCCACAAACTTGGGAGCCCAGCACAATTGAAATTTGTTCTGTCGCAGTTCTGAGGCCTGAAGTCTAAAATCAAGGTGTCAGCAGTGTTAACTCTTTGTGGAGGTTTTTTTGGTTTTTTTGTTTGTTTGTTTGTTTTTTCTGAGACGGAGTCTTGCTCTGTCAACCAGGCTGGAGTGCAGTAGCACGATCTCGGCTTATGGCTCACTGCAACCTCTGCCTCCTGGGTTCCAGTGTTTCTCCTGACTCAGCCTCCTGAGTAGCTAGGACTACAGGTGCCTGCCACCACGCCCAGCTAATTTTTGTATTTTTAGTAGAGAGTAGGGTTTAGTAGGGTTTCACCGTGTTGCTCAGGCTGGTCTCGAACTCCTGACCTCAGGTGATCCACCCGCCTTGGCCTCCCAAAGTGCTGTGATTACAGGCATGAGCCACTGTGCCCGGCCCCTCGTGGAGGTTCTGATGGAGAATACGCCCCAGGCTTCTCTCCTGGTTTCTGGTGGTCGCCGGCAGTCGCTGGCATTCCTTGGCTTGTAGATACACCCTCCCATCTGTGTCGCCATCTTCATATCTCCTGCTGTGTCTCTGAGTATCCTCTAGTATTCTTATATAAATGGCAGTCACTGAATTTAGGACCCATCCCAAATGAATTTTGGGGGACACTCTTCAACCCATTACATCAAGAAACAAGCAGGGTACAGGCGCAGTGGCTCATGCCTGTCATCTCAGCACTTTGGGAGGCCAAGGCAGGCAGATCACTTGATCCCAGGAGTTCGAGACCAGCCTGGACAGCATAGCAAGATCCCATCTCTACAAAAATACCCCAAATTAGCCGGCATGGTGGCGTACACCTGTGGTCCCAGCTACTCGGAGGGTGAGGCGGGAGGATCGCTTGAGTGCAGGAGGTCAAGGCTGCACTGAGCCATCATCATGCTACTGCACTTCAACATGGGTGACAGAGTGAGACCCTGTCTCAAAAAAATATAATAATCAGGGTGGCCAAGCCATAAGATGTCCACCATGGGGTAGCGGGAGAGACCTGCGCAGGGCCCCGTGGGCCGCTCCTGAGGGTCTCCAGCCCTCATGCTCTTACCTCCTCTCCCTCCCCAGCCATTGGGCTGTTTGCCTCCATGGCTGCGGTGCTCCTAGGTGGGGCCCGGGCATCCAGGTTGCTCTTCCAGAGGCTCCTGTGGGATGTGGTGCGATCTCCCATCAGCTTCTTTGAGCGGACACCCATTGGTCACCTGCTAAACCGCTTCTCCAAGGAGACAGACACGGTTGACGTGGACATTCCAGACAAACTCCGGTCCCTGCTGATGTACGCCTTTGGACTCCTGGAGGTCAGCCTGGTGGTGGCAGTGGCTACCCCACTGGCCACTGTGGCCATCCTGCCACTGTTTCTCCTCTACGCTGGGTTTCAGGTACGGAGAGGTCAGGGAGGCTTCCGGGACCGGCTGAGGTCAACTCAGCCAGTCCCCTGTCTCTGGGGAAGACTCCATATATGAGGTTTCACCCAGCTGGACATCTAGGGGCTGTTCCTAGAATTCCCAGGGACAGGGACACTACAGTCTTTCTGGTATCTCCACTAGTGTCTGTCTCTAAATGTTCACATCAAAGTTCTTTTTTTTAGAGAGACAGAATCTTGCTCTCCTGCCAAGGCTGAAGTGCAATAGGTGATCATAGCTCCCTGCAGCCTTGAACTCCTGGGTTCAGGTGATCCTCCTACCTCAGCCTCTCAAGTAGCTGGGACTACAGGCACGTGCCACCATGACTGGCTAATTTTTAAATTTATTTTTGTAGGACAAGTGTCTTCCTGTGTTGCCCAGGCTGGTCTCGAATTCCTGGCCCCAAGTGATCCTCCCACCTTGGCCTCCCAAAGTTCTGGGATTACAGGGCATGAGCCCCTGTGCCCCACGGCACAGTTAAATATTAAGGGCCAGAGCCTTTCACGCGTAATGTTTTTATCCTGCCGTAATTTCTTCCTCTCCAATTATCTGGAAGCCAAAAAGGCATTGCAAGGTCTCAAAGGCTATTATATGAAGCTAGATTCTTTCAATTGCTGGGACCAGCAACCAACTAAAATTAGCTTAACCAAAAGAATAGAATTTAATGGCTTATATTTCCTTGGGGGCATGGGCCCAGTTGTCATCAGGACACAGTGACTCTCTCCATATCTTCACTCAGTGCTTCTCAAAGTGTGACCCCAGGACCAGCAGTAGTATCACCTGGGGACTAGTTAGCAAAGTACATTCTTAGGCCCCAGCCCAGGACTACTGCCTCAGATACTATGTGGGTCGGCCCATGAATCTAGGTTTTAATTAACCCTCCAAGTAATTCTGATGTACACAAATGTTTAGGAACCACTGGCTTACCTCTGGTCTAATTTTGTACACGCTCTCTTTCCAGGGCAGGTCTTATGGCCACTAGCTATCATATCATCTCACCTTAGCAACTCAACATGCAAAAAACGTTTCTTCAGCTCAGTAGTCATATATTAATCCCAGGGAAGGTTCTGATTGGCCCTTTGTGGATCATGTGTCCATCTCTGAACTCGTCACAGTAACTGAATGGATAGTAGATTCTGATACACTAGGCTGCATCATGTGACCACCTCTCTGATCAGGTCCCATGATTGACAGCACCCCAACCCAGCCCTTTCCCACAGGAAACCAGAAGTAGAAAACATGGTAGTCAGATAAAAACCATGGCTAGGGCTAGGCATGGTGGCTCACACATCTAATCACAGCACTTTGGGAGGCTGAGGTGGGCAGATCACTTGAGGTCAGGAGTTCGAGACCAGCCTGGTCAACATGGTGAAACTCCGTCTACTAAAAATACAAAAATTTAGCCAGTGTGGTGGCGCATGCTTGTAATCCCAGCTTCTTGGGAGGATGAGGCGGGAGGATTGCTTGAGCCCGGGAGGCAGAGGTTGCAGCGAGCTGAGATTGCACCACTGCACTCCAGCCTGGGTGACAGAGAGAGACTCCATCTCAAAAAACAAACAACAAAACCCATGGCTACCACTGTCCCCGACAATTGTCCTAGGTCTTC
Source organism: Homo sapiens (assembly GCF_000001405.40). Classification (NCBI taxonomy): domain Eukaryota; kingdom Metazoa; phylum Chordata; class Mammalia; order Primates; family Hominidae; genus Homo; species Homo sapiens. Next base: position 16,163,992 of record NC_000016.10, on the reverse strand, counting down.
TCTAAGTTCACTTGACTCCGAGGATGGGCTGTTTCTGTCTCAAGCTTTAGAGTCAAGCAAAGATGGGTTTAAATCCAGGCTCTATCACTTACTGTGGCACTCAGGACAGCTGCTGAATCCCCCGAGCCTTGGATGTTCTCACCACTAACTGATGAATGACGCGAATGCTCACTCTGCAATGAATGAGACACTGTGTGAAAAGCCTGGCACATACAGTTGGGTGTTCAGCAAATTCAGTTCCTCCCTGCCTGCCTGTCTGCCAGCTGCACCCAACCTGCAGCTGCAAACCAAATAACGAATATTTTCTGCACATCACCTGGCATGTAACCCTTGGGTTACATGAGTGAAACTGACTTGGCCAACTGCCTTCATTGCCCCTTACAGTTTTGTTCTCCCACTGACCAGCCGTAAATGAAGTAGTCGGCCTCAGTGCTGGGAAGTGAGACACTTAAACTAAATTGGTGGTTTCTCAACCCTGGCTGTCCCTTAGAATCATCTGGAAGGCTATTTAAACAGCACCAAAGTCAAGGTGACATTTCCAGAGATTCCGATTCAGTCATTCTGGGGTGGGGCATTAGAGGTTTTTGAAGCTCCCCAGGTGATTTTCAAAAAAACCATAGAACTCTGATTCTGCAAGGAAATGAGAACCCAGAGAGGGCAAGCAACTAGCCCAAGGTCACACAGTAAGCTGTTAACAGATCCTGGTCTGGAATCCTGTACTTGGGGCTCTCTGTGCTTCTGGAAACTACCTCTCTATGTCTGTGGCTTCTCCTCTTCCCTCTCCCATCCATCCTTCTCAGAGCCTGTATGTGGTTAGCTCATGCCAGCTGAGACGCTTGGAGTCAGCCAGCTACTCGTCTGTCTGCTCCCACATGGCTGAGACGTTCCAGGGCAGCACAGTGGTCCGGGCATTCCGAACCCAGGCCCCCTTTGTGGCTCAGAACAATGCTCGCGTAGATGAAAGCCAGAGGATCAGTTTCCCGCGACTGGTGGCTGACAGGTAGGAAGAGCCAGGGCAGAGAAGACCTTGCAATTCATCCATATCCTTAGAGGGTGAGACCTGAGGTCATATTGTATGGTAGAGAGGTCACCCAGAGAGTCAGGGACATAGTTGAGGCTAGATCCCACAGGCAGTCTATCAGTTCTCACCGTGGGCAGATGGAACATGACCGAGAGATTCTCAACAGCAGGTGGGCGGGGGGTACAGGAAGAAGCTTCTGTTGCCAGGCAACTGGATCAACCTCTTTTGCCTTGGTGATAAAGCAGCCATATAAGCATCCTCAGCCATCTTTAGGTACTAAGCAAGAACAAGAACACAAGCTTTAAGCACAAATAGACACAGGTTCAAATCCCAGCTCTGCCACTTACCAGCTGGTTGATTTCAGGCAAGTTACATAACCTCTCTGAGCCTCATTTGTCAAACTGGGATCGTGCTCATGGAGTGGATATGAGGATTAAATACAGACACTCATAGGTAAGACCTGTAACATGCTTACTGCATGCCTGGCACTGTTCTGAGCAATCTATGTAGATTAATTTATTTAATTCTGCTAACAGCTTCACCAGGAAGAAACTGTTCTATAGATGATAAATCCTAGGCACAGTGAGGTTTGGAAACTTGTCCAGGGTCTCACAGCTAATACTGGCAGAGCCAGGATTTGAATCCAAGCAGTCTGGTACCAGAGTGTGGAGAGGGTCAAGTACACACTAGGTGCTCAATACATGTGAAGTCCTTTTTCCTTTCATCTCAGGTCCCCAGCCAGCTGGGGCTGTGTATTAGTCCATCTTCACACTGCTAAAAAGAACTACCTGAGACTGAGTAATTTATAAAGAAAGGAAGGTTTAATTGACTCAGTTCCACGTGGCTGGGGAGGCCTCAGGAAACTTACAATCATGGTGGAAAGGGAAGCAAGGCACGTCTTACATGGCAGCAGGAGAGGGAGAGCATGAGGTGGGAACTGCCGCATCCTTTTACGCCATATGATCTTGTGAGAACTCACTATCTCGAGAACAATATGGGGAAAACTGCCCCCATGATCCAGTCACCTCCCACCAGATCCCTCCCTCCACATGTGGGGATTACAATTTGAGATGAGATTTGGGTGGGGACACAGAGCCAAACCATGGAGGCCATGGTTCAGGCCAGGGGAATGGCAGGTGGACATGGCTTGGCAAATTCCAGGGACAGAAAAGCAGCCACACAGGGATGCTCTTCAGAACACCGAGTGTACCCCAGACCCTAAAGTGGGCTTAGTTGAGACAGGACGGTGTCATCTTCCTCTACTCCCTGAGCCTGGGTTGCATGTGGAGGCCATTGCTGGGACCCCTGTGTGTACAAAGCTGGTGTGATGACCAGTCCTTGTGCCCAGAGAAGCATCTCCCTGCAGATGAGAGTAACCACTCACCCTGCTGTCGCTTCCCTTTGCAGGTGGCTTGCGGCCAATGTGGAGCTCCTGGGGAATGGCCTGGTGTTTGCAGCTGCCACGTGTGCTGTGCTGAGCAAAGCCCACCTCAGTGCTGGCCTCGTGGGCTTCTCTGTCTCTGCTGCCCTCCAGGTACTCCCCACATCCCCAAACTGGGCTTGAGGGACAGACAGAGGCAGAGACTGTCGGACCCCTGCTAGTGGGACCTTTGAAGACCCTGTGTCCAAACCAACATGGTGTGTGGAGTCCCTCCACCAAGGAGGGACACGCAGCTCTACAAGAGCCAGACTCAGCTAAGGTGAACTTGCAACCTTGGGCAAGAGTCTTTCCTTGTGGAGTGTCAGTGTGCTCCTTGGAAAGACAGGCCAGAAATCCCACTACTTCTGATGTTATAAAGACTAGTTGAGACAAAGCATATCCTGTGGAGGACATTTCTAGTGCATTGTTAACTTTTGTTTTGTTTTGAAGACAGAGTCTCTCTCTTTTACTCAGGCTGGAGTGCAGTGGTGCAATCTCGGCTCACTGAGAACTCTGCCTCCTGGGTTCAAGCGATTCTTATGCCTCAGCCTCCCAAGTTGCTGGAATTACAGGCGTGAGCCACTATGCCTGGCTAATTTTTGTTAACTATTAACAGTATGTAATGTCAGTTCATGACATCTATGAAAAAAATATATATATACACTCATAAGCATTTGTTATGGAGGAGGCATTATTCTAAGAGCTTTATATGTTTTTGTTCGTTTTGGTTTGTTGTTGTTGCTGTTTGAGACAGGATCTCATTTTGTTGCCTAGGCTTGAGTGCAGTGGCATGATCTTGGCTCACTTCAGCCTCCATCTCCAGGCTCAAGGGATTCTCCCACCTCACTTTCCCAATTAGCTGGGACTACAAGCATGCACCACCATGCCTGGCTAATTTTTTTTTTTTTTTTTTTTTTTTTTTTGGTAGAAACAGTTTCACCATGTTGCCCAACCTGGTCTCAAACTCTAGGTTCAAGTGGTCTGCCTGCCCCAGCCTCCCAAAATGCTGAGATTATAGGTGTGAGCCACCATGCCCAGCTGTTTTGTTTTGAGACAAGGTCTCACTCTTTTGCCCAGACTGGAGTGCAGTGGTGTGATCACAGCTCACTGCAGCCTTCAATTCCTGGGTTCAAACAATCTTCCTGCTTAGACTTCCAAAAAGCTGGGATTATAGGCATGAGCCACTGTGCACAAGAATTTTATAAATATTAACTCACTTAATACTGCCCACAACCCCATCAGAGAAGCACTGTTATTATCCTCATTTTACAGTCAAGGCTGCTAAGCTTAAGGATGAAGTAAGAGGCTGGAGCATGTTGGGTGGCAGTGAGGGAACTTTCCTACTGCATCCAGAAAGGCCTCTCTGAGGAGGTGACTTAGGAGGAAGTGAGGTTAACAGCAGGAAGAAAAGGCCTGGGAGTTGAAGGTTCATCCCTGGTGTGTTAGAGGAACAGCAAGAAGACGGGTGTGGCTGGAGAGGGTGGGTGAAGGCAGGGGTGCTGGGAGACAAGGTTGGGGATGGGATGGCAGGGCTAGAGCTGCTAATGGCTCATAGGGAGGAGCTTGGAGTGGTTCTAAGTGTCATGGGAAATTGGTGGCCACCCAGTCGCTGCGAGAAAGCCGTCAGAATGGAATCAGTGGGCCTGGGTCCTGCTGTGTGTCCTTGGGAGGGCCACACACCCTCTCTGATCCTGTCTACTCACCTGCATCAAGCCAGTTTGTACAAGCTGATGTCTGAGGGCTTCTTTTTGCTCTGCATGCTCTGGTTCTACTGAAGGAAGAGAGGGACCTGTTGGTTGTATCCAAATCCCAATCCCCTGGGCCCAGGTCCTCAGACTGTCCCATTCCTGCCTCCCCTCTTTACTCCCCTGGGTCTGGCCTCCCAGAAAAGGTTGGGAAACCAGGGGGGCTGTTGCAAGCCCTCAAGTGGCCTTGCCAAACCCAGCCAGAGAGGCTTTCTTGCACCAGGTGACCCAGACACTGCAGTGGGTTGTTCGCAACTGGACAGACCTAGAGAACAGCATCGTGTCAGTGGAGCGGATGCAGGACTATGCCTGGACGCCCAAGGAGGTGATGGGCGGGAGGTGGGGAGGGGGTCCCAGCAAGGACATATTGTGGGGGGGGGCAATGGGTCCCTGTTGACATCTGCTACAGGCTTTGGAGTTTATACCCTCTTCTCCCCTCACTCAACCCCCACCACTATAGGTCAGAGTCACAGACAGGGTGGCAGCAGTGGTTAGGAGCATAAGGTTTGGAGCCAGGCCAAATCTTGGTTCCTTTGCTTCTGAGCTTGAGGAAAGCAGGTCACCCATGGGAGTGCAGGGAACCACAAGGAACAGCATTGCAACAGCAACATAGCTGCAACATGATAGTAACATAATGGCAACAGCAACACAATGGCAATATTCCAGAACATGAGAGTAATGCAACAGCAATGTAACAGTAATGTAACAGCAACATAACCACAATATTGCAGTACCAGAATAGCAACATAGCAGTGTAATAGTAACATAATAGAGACATTATAGTAACATGATGGCAACATTCCAGCAATACAACCACAACATAGCAATGTAATAGTAACGTAATAGCAACATTTTAGTAACATGATAGAAACAAAACAGCAACATAGCAATGCAATAGTAACACAACAGCAACATCATAACATGACAGCAACATCCCAGCAACACGACTGTAACAGAGTAACAGAGTAGCAACATAACAATGTAACAGTAACAAAACAGCAACATTATAGTAACATGATGGCAACATTCCAGCAAAATAACTGAAATTATAGTAACGGAATAGCAACATGGCAATGTAACAGTAAGAAAACAGCAACATTATAGTAACATGATGGCAAAATTCCAGCAACATAACAGTAGCATTATAAGGACAGAACAGCAACATAGCAACGCAACGGTAACAAAACAGCAACATGATATAATGTGTTAGCAATATAACAGTAACATTACAGTAACAGAACAAGGAAGAATTAATTAGTTGATGAATAGGGTAGAAGAAATGGTGAGAGATGGACAGATGAATGGATGGAATGGGATGGAAGAATGAGAGATGGAGGGATGGGATTGGAGATGGATGGATGGATGCATGGATGGATGGATGGGTGGGATGGGGTGGATAAAGGATAAGAGATGGATGGATGAATGGATGGATGGGATTGGGTGGAAGAAAGGATAAGAACAGCAGCATAGCACTAATGTAACAGTAACATAACAGCGTTGAGTTTACTGGGAGGATCAAATGAGATCCTGCAAAGAAATGATTTAATAGAGTGCCTGGTCCATTGCAAACACTCAATACATGTCTGCTGCTCTTATTAGCCCTATTTCCCAGATTGGAAAACCAAGACTCAAGGGGGTAGAATGATCTGTTCAAGGTCACGGGAACAGCAAAGGCAGTATTGGTCTTCCCACTGCACAGTCATGTCCTTTCACAAAGACAAAGAGAAATGTCTGCTCCCACTATAGAAAAAGAGATTATTTTATAATAAACAGTGGCTAATAATAACAATAAAATAGACTAAAAGTAGCCACCACCATCTGTTTTTAGCATTGACATAGTCCATGCCCTCTCTTGTTGAATTCCCATAACAACCCTGTAAAACAGCAATAAATACGTCCATTTTGCGGAAGAGAAAACTGAAGCTGATAGAGGTGGGCCATCTTGTGTGAAGTCTTAGAGGAAGGCTCCTCTGACTCAGTTTCCCCTCCTGCTCCAGGCTCCCTGGAGGCTGCCCACATGTGCAGCTCAGCCCCCCTGGCCTCAGGGCGGGCAGATCGAGTTCCGGGACTTTGGGCTAAGATACCGACCTGAGCTCCCGCTGGCTGTGCAGGGCGTGTCCTTCAAGATCCACGCAGGAGAGAAGGTGAGTGGTTCTCTCACAATGTCTTCTTCATGGAGTTTAGGCCAAAGGACTCCAGGGACAAGGCCCTAAACCCTGGGCACCAGCCACCTCCACAGTGTCCCCACCTCAGGTCCCCTAGCTTTCAGACCCATTACCCCCTAAAATGAACTCCTCACCTTCCCCAAACCTGCTTCCATCTGGTGACTTCCTCATCCACCTTGGTGTCCCCAGATGAGGAAGCAACTCCGTGACTTCCTTCTTCCTTTAACATTAACCCAGCACCTAATATGTGCTGGGCAGTGTGTTAAATGCTCCAGGTACATTTTCCAGTTTGCACAAATGGGATATTTGCTTTCAGCTGGGAGACATTGGGAAAAGCACTTCATAGCTCAGTCTCAGTTTTCCCATCTGTAAATTGGGACTGGTAATACTGATCTCTGAGTTGTTGTGAAGTTTGAGTTAATACATAGAACATGCTTAGCTCATAGAAAGTGCTCCAGAAATGTTTACTAATGCTTTTATTATTTGCGTTTTCACTCTCACAACAACCCCTAAGTGAGGTGCTAGTACTATCCCATTTTACAGATGCCTCATCAGGCCCCTTCACTGAATCCCTTTCCTCCCTCCCTCTGAACCTACAGAGGCTTCCTCCCTGTCCTCTCCTTGTCCCCTAAAAAGCAGTGGATCCTGTCTCACCAGCTCCAATCTGCTCTCCTGTGATTTTTTTTTTTTTTTTTTTTTGAGACAGAGTCTCACTCTGTTGCCCAGGCTGGAGTGCAGTGGTGTGACCTTAGATCACTGCAACCTCCGCCTCCCAGATTCAAGTGATTCTCCTGCCTCAGCCTCCTGAGTAGCTGGGATTACAGGCACCTGCCACCACACCCGGCTAATTTTTGTATTTTTAGTAGAGACAGGGTTTCACCATGTTGGCCAGGCTGCTATGAAACTTCTGACCTCAATCACCCCCCTCGGCCTCCCAAAGTGCTGGGACTACAGGCATGACCCACCATGCCCAGCCATCCTGTGACCTTTATCAGCATGAATGACACTGCATGTCATTCCCCTGCTCAAAACCTTCTACTAGTTCCAGCTTCCCTTGGGGTAAAGTGTGAATTCCTGAGCTTGGCATTCAAGGCTCTACCCAACCCAGGCCCTGCCAACCTCCCCCTCTCATTCATTGCTCTGCCAGGGCTTAGCCAACATTGTGGAGCAGCTGCCTCTCGGCCAGGGGGGCACATGGTGCTGTGAGCTCCATGAGCTTCTAGTTTTGGAAACCCACTTGGTGTGGTTTACCTGGAGTGTTCCCCTTCCTTGAACTCCTATTGATCCTTCAAGCTTCCATGCAAGTATCCCTTCCTCCATGAGGTCTTCTCTTATTACCTCTGTCAAATCCCAGGCAGCATGAGCAGCACTGCCTTGCTTCCCTTAATTGCCAGAGGTCCAGACCTTGATAATAAACAGCATTGTTGGCTGGGTGCTGTGGCTTATACCTGTAATCCCAGCACTTTAGGAGGCCAAGGTGGGCAGATCACTTGAGGCCAGAAGTTTGAGACCAGCCTGGCCAACATGGTGAAATCCCGTGTCTACTAAAAATACAAAAATTAGCCGAGCATGGTGACAGGCACCTGCAGTCCCAGCTACTAGGGAGGCTGAGGCAGGAGAATTGCTTGAACCTGGGAGGTGGAGGTTGCAGTGAGCTGAGATCGCACCACTGCACTCCAGCCTGGGCAATAGAGCAAGACTTTATCTCAAAAATAAATAAATAAATAAATAAATAAAGCATTGTTCATCACACTGTATTACATTTACTCAATTGCACTGTTTCCTAGACCGGATGATGGGCACACTGGAGCAAGGACTCTTTAATTTCTATACTTCCGGTGCCTAAACAGGTACTTGGCATACAGTGGGGTGACCCACATGTTTCCATCATTAATTAAACAAATAATGTTGAACCCACACCATGTGTCAGACACTGAGGATGCAATAGTAGCAAGAGAGATAAGGATGGAGGGTGGATAACAGCATGGGAGATGGATAACAGAATGGACACATGGATAAGATGGAGGATGAATGGAAGGATGGATGAGGGAAGGATGGACTGGATGGATGGATGGGAGAAAATAAATGAATGAAAGGATTAGTGAATTGATGGATGAATAGGGAAGAAGAAACGAGAGACGGATAGACAGATGAATGGATGGATGAATGGAATGGGGTGGAAGAGAGATGGAGGGATGGGATTGAGGATGGATGATGGATGGATGGATGGCAGGATGGGGTGGAAAAAAGGATAAGGGATGGATGGACGGACAGACAGATGGATGGGATGGGGTAGAAAAAAGGATGAGAGATGATGGAGAGGTGTAAATAGAAGGATGAGGAAAGATGGAGGAACTAAAGGAAGGGTGGGGAGAAAGATGGGAGAGAGATATCAGGATAAGGGAAAGATAGAGAAGAACACAGATGGAAGACTGGATGGATTGATGGGTGGATATATAGAAAGGTAGACAGATGGAAAGAGAGATGGAAGGTAGACCTTTACACAATGAGGGATGGATAGACAGATCTCGGGTACAGCAGAAAGATCTCCCCAATAAATGCCCACAAACCCTCTGGTCAGAGCAGGCCTTTCCTCCCAACCCCGGGCAGGTGGGCATCGTTGGCAGGACCGGGGCAGGGAAGTCCTCCCTGGCCAGTGGGCTGCTGCGGCTCCAGGAGGCAGCTGAGGGTGGGATCTGGATCGACGGGGTCCCCATTGCCCACGTGGGGCTGCACACACTGCGCTCCAGGATCAGCATCATCCCCCAGGTGAGGCTGGTGGAGGGGGTGGGCAAAGATGGGAGGCATGGTGGGACCCGGCTCTGACCCACCGCCCCTCCCCGCCAGGACCCCATCCTGTTCCCTGGCTCTCTGCGGATGAACCTCGACCTGCTGCAGGAGCACTCGGACGAGGCTATCTGGGCAGCCCTGGAGACGGTGCAGCTCAAAGCCTTGGTGGCCAGCCTGCCCGGCCAGCTGCAGTACAAGTGTGCTGACCGAGGCGAGGACCTGAGGTATGGTCGTCCCACCATGGCTGGGACCTGCAGGTGGGAGAGGAGGGGATGGCCATGCCCTCCCCAAGGGCCTTCAGGAAATGCCTCCCCCGATAGGATTATCACTCTGTTACATTAATAACCACATGTCTCTTATCTGCAATTCCAAGCTCTGACACAGTCTCTGAATACCAAGGTTTTCCCCCCTAAATTAGCAGTTAGTCTTCTATATTTACTTGGTGGCAAAACCCAACCTCAACTGACACAGGGCTACTGATAGCCTTTATTGCTCTTGCTCAGTATTTATTTTGCTATGAAAATATTGTTTGATATCGGGTGGTAACCTCACCACTCACTGGGACTATAATATAGGATTTTTTTTTTTGGTAAATGTCAAGTGTGGACTGGGCACAGTGGCTCATGCCTGTAATCCCAGCACTTCAGGAGGCTGAGAGAGGAGGATTGCTTGAGCCCAGGAGTTCGAGACTAGTCTGGGCAACATAGCAAGACCCTATCTCTGTGGACAACAGTATTAGCCAGGTATGGTGGCATGCACCTGTAGTCCTAGTTACTTGGGAGGCTGAGGTGGGAAGAACGCTTGAGCCAGGGAGGCGAAGGTTGCAGTGAGCCGATATTGCACCACTGCACTCCATCCTGGGCTTCGTCTCAACAACAAAAAGCTGTGTGGAAAGATACACATAAAATTTACTATCTCAACCTTTTTTTTTTTTTTTCTTTTTCTTTGGAGACAGGGTCTGGCTCTGTCATTCAGGCTAGAGTGCAGTGGTGAGGTCAAGGCTCGCTGCAACCTCCACCTCCCAGGCTCAAGCATTCCTCCCACCTCAGCCTCCCGAGTAGCTGGGGTTACAGGTGTGAGCCACCAGGGCCAGGTAATCTTTTTATTTTTTGTAGAGACAGGGTTTCACCATGTTGCCCAGGCTACAGTCGAACTTGCGTAGGCCTCCCAAAGTGCTGGGATTACAGGTGTGAGCAGCCACGCCGGGCCCATCTCACCCATTTTTCAGTGTATAGTTTCTGTAGTGTTAGGTACATTCACACTGTTACACAACAGAACTACAACTCTGTACCCATGAAACCCTAACTCTCCTTGTCCCCTCCCCCAGCGCCCAGCCACCAGCATTCTCCTGTCTCTCTGAGTGTGACTACTCTAGACACTGCATAGACGCAGAATCATAGGATCTGTCCTTTTGTGACTGGCTTATTTCACACAGCATGATGTCTTCAAGGGTCATCCACATCGTAGCATGTGTCAGATTCTCTACCTTTTTAAGGCCGAATAATTTTCCACTACATGGATAGACCACATTTTGCTTATCCGTTTATCTGCCAGTAGATACCCAGGCTGTTTCCACCTCTTGGCCGTTTTGAATAATGCCACTATGAACATAGGTGTATAGGTATATGCCTTTAGAAAAACCAAAGTGGCTGGGCGCGGTGGCTCATGCCTGTAATCCTAGCACTATGGGAGGCCGAGGCGGGTGGATCACCTGAGGTCAGGAGTTCAAGACCAGCCTGACCAATATGGTGAAGCCCCGTCTCTACTAAAAATACAAAAATTAGCTGGGTGTGGCGGCAGGCGCCTGTAATCCCAGTTACGTGGGAGGCTAAGACACTGAGACAGGAGAATCGCTTGAACCCGGGAGGCAGAGGTTTCAGTGAGCCAAGATTGTGCCACTGCACTCCAGCCTGGGTGACAGAGTAAGACTCCGTCTCAAAAAAAACAAAAAAAAACCTAAGGTGTTCTGGATTTATAAACCCCTCTGACCCTGAGGGTGTCCGAAGGGCTTGTGGTAGGCAATAATTTCCAGCACTAGAGAGGCAGCGTTGCTTGGTGGGTAAGAGTATACACAGGTGACAGACTGCCTGGGCTCAAATCCAGGCCCCCCACCCCACACCCCCACCCCCGCCCCGCCCTGCCACTTACTAGCTGTAGGATCTTAGGCAACTTATCTTGTGTGCCTCAGTTTCCTCATCTGTAAGGTGGGAATAATAGCACCTACCTACCTTGCAAGGATTGAATTATATGCACAAAGTTGTTGAAACAGTGGCAGGCATAGAGCAAAGAGTAAATACTCATTTTAGTCCTGAGTCACACTCCTGATAACATCATTTCACAGAGTTGGAATTGGAGGCCTGGGGCTTGCCTGACGTCACACAGCTTAAAAGTAGTGAGGTTGGGACAAGACCCAGGCACTCTAACGCCTGCATGACCATAGTAGGTTCTGATCATGTAAAAGGATGCTGTTTCATGGAAGGGCTTACTGTGCAAGACAGCCATGCTGGGGCCCCAGGGGTCAGTTCCCACCTGGGTCAGGGGCTCACTGGGCTCACAACCTGGAATCTCAACTCCTCCACCCTCCACGAAGGGTGCTACTCCATGCCAAGGGCTTATTCTGTGACAAGCCTACACACTTTTTTTTTTTTTTTTTTTTTTTGAGACAGAGTCTTGCTCTGTCGCCCAGGCTGGAGTGCAGTGGCGCGATCTTGGCTCACTTGCAAGCTCTGCCTCCCGGGTTCACACCATTCTTCTGCCTCAGCCTCCTGAGTACCTGGGACTACAAGCGCCCGCCACCACGCCCGGCTAATTTTTTGTATTTTTAGTACATACAGGGTTTCACCGTGTTAGCCAGGATGGTCTCGATCTCCTGATCTCGTGATCCGCCCACCTCAGCCTCCCAAAGTGCTGGGATTACAGGTGTGAGCCGCCGTGCCCCGCCACCCACACACTTTTATGTGCCATGTCGTCACGATTCAGCGAGGACGGATCCATTAGGAGCACAGACTCTGGGGTCAGAGGACTTGGGTTCAAATTATGGACCCACCACTAGCCTTGAGACCTTGGTCAAGCCACTGAGCTTCTCTGTATCTGTGTCCTCTTCTCTCAAAAGAAGAGAACAATAATATCTACCTTGGTGGACATTATGAGGATTGAGTGAATATATACAAGCACTTAGAATGTGTTTGGCACAAGGTGGAAACTAGAAATAGAACTGGACATAGCCATAAACAGGCCAGGCACGGTGGATCACGCCTGGAATCCCACCCAGGTGTTGTACACATCTGTATTTAAGGCCCACGTGACACCAGCCTTGAATGTCTTAGGAAGACTGTAGATTTGATTCTTGAAGCAGCAGTCAGTCATTGTAGGTTTGTTTGCAACGGCATGACTGAAGTGAAAGCTGTGCTTTCGCTGTTGGGGGAAATATAAATTAGTACAGTCACTATGGAAAATAGTATGATGATTTCTCAAAAAACAAACTAGAAATAGAACTACCGGGGCGCAGTGGCTCACGCCTGTAATCCCAGCACTTTGGGAGGCTGAGGTAGGTGGATCACCTGAGAGTTTCAAACAAGTCGGACCAACATGGTGAAACCCCATCTCTACTTTAAAAATACAAAAGCCAGGCATGGTGGCGCATGACTGTAATTCCAGCTACTTGGGAGGCTGAGGCAGGAAAACTGCTTGAACCGGGAGGCAGAAGTTGCAGCGAGCTGAGATTGTGCCATTGCACGCCAGCCTGGGTGGCAGAGCAAGACTCCGTCTCAAAAAAAAAAAGAAAAACGAAGAAGAAAAAAAGAGCCATAAACAGAAAAAAGAAAATAGCCATTTCACAGGTGGGGAAACTGAGGCACAAAGGGTTTGAATGACCTGCCTACAGTCAGCCTGCTCAAAGATGGCAGGAACAGGCTTCCTATCAGTTCTGCAGACCACAGACCCCAGACCCCATGTGTGGGGATGCCTGAACACAGGCACCTCACTCCTGCACTGCTTCAGGGACCTGTTTCTGGGCACACCCACACATCACCATGTGCCGACAAACGCACGTCCCAGCTAATTGTCCCAATCGTTCCCAGCGTGGGCCAGAAACAGCTCCTGTGTCTGGCACGTGCCCTTCTCCGGAAGACCCAGATCCTCATCCTGGACGAGGCTACTGCTGCCGTGGACCCTGGCACGGAGCTGCAGATGCAGGCCATGCTCGGGAGCTGGTTTGCACAGTGCACTGTGCTGCTCATTGCCCACCGCCTGCGCTCCGTGATGGACTGTGCCCGGTAAGGCTCCCGCCCCGGCCTGACCTCACAGCAGCCCTGCAGTGGTGGGGGAAGGAGGCGGAGGCAGTCCTGGGCCACTGGGCTTCGGGTTAGAGCTGGAGGGGTCCTGAATGGGGCCAGAGCGGGAGGAATGCCCGGGAACACATGCCAAGTGGGAAAGCTGCCCAAGGACATGCGCCCAGCACACGCTTCCAACCCAGCTGTGAGGGCCAGGGAGCCGCATGGAAAGCAGGACTTCTATGGAGAAAACCTCAGCGCAGACACACTGGGCTCTCACAGCTGCCGAGAGCCTGGGCTGGTGTCCAAAGAGCCTCTCTGTCTCCCTCTCCCCCACAGGGTTCTGGTCATGGACAAGGGGCAGGTGGCAGAGAGCGGCAGCCCGGCCCAGCTGCTGGCCCAGAAGGGCCTGTTTTACAGACTGGCCCAGGAGTCAGGCCTGGTCTGAGCCAGGACCCTCAACCGTACCCCAGTTGGACCAGCCCGCACAGCCTGCAGTGCTGGAGATGGAAGTGACCCGTGGTCATCGATAGCTCCACACGATATTGAGTCTAGACCTGTGTTTGCTCTCTGGGAGGAAAATGGCAGAGAAAGTGGCCAATTATCACAGAGCATCAGAGCCGGAAGGACCTAGCAATACACAGGTCTGCCCGGGCAGGGCCCATCTCGCCCTGTCCACCCTGCAGCCAATGTCAACAGCGACTCTCAGCCCCGCTGTACTCTGGACTCACCTGGGGGCCTCAAGCACATGCCCAGGCTCCCGGCTAGACCCTTAAATCAGAATCTCTGAGGCTGGGAACTGCCATGCTGTGTGTACTTTTTACAAATTAACACTTTTATTTTGGGATAATCCCAGACTCACATGCAGTTAAAGAAACAATAATATAGAGAGATTCGTGTACTTGGTACCCCATTTCACCCAATGGTAACATCTTGCAAAACTCTAGGATAAAGCATCACAGCCAGGGTGTTGACATTGACACAACAATCTTGCTCGATTTCCCGTTTTACCTGTACTCCTGTGTGTGTGTGTGTTTATTTTGTCCCATGCAGTTTTATCACACATGTAGGCTCATGAATCCACACCAGGGTGAGGATACGGAATAGCCACCACCATTTTCCGACCACACCCATCACTCTCGCTCCTGCCCCCAGTGACCATGCTCTGTTCTCCAGTTGTGTGTGTGTGTGTGTGTGTGTGTGTGTGTATTTTTTTTTTTTTTTTTTTTGAGACAGAGTCTCACTCTGTTGCTCAGGCTGGAGTGCAGTGGCTCAATCTCAGCTCACTGCAACCTCCACATCCTGGGTTCAAGCAATTCTCCTGCCTCAGCCTCCCGTGCAGCTGAGATTACAGGCGTGCGCCACCATGCCTGGCTAACTTGTGTAATTTTTATTAGATACGAGGTTTCAGCATATTGGCCAGGCTGGTCTTGAACTCCTGGCCTCATGTGATCCACCCTCCTCGGCCTCCCAAAGTGTTGGGATAACAGGCGTGAGCTACCGCACCTGGCCGAGTTTGGTGTATAATTTTAAAGCTCCCCCATAGGATTCCAATGTGCGGCCAGGACTGAGAACTACAGCCCTCGCATCTCCTGCTGCTCCTCCTCCCCCACCAGAGATGAGCTCCAAGGACACAAAAACCAGGTGCCCCCCCATGCCAAGCATGGGTCCTCTCCACGCATGAGAAAGTCAAATATGCAAGTTTGGTTTCCAAAACAAACAACAGAGGAGCCAAGACTTCACAGCCCTCAATGGGAGAATTTGCCCGAGGACTTGGTTCTTTTTTTTTTTTTTTTTTTTTTTGTCCGAGACAAAGTCTCACTCTGTCACCCAAGCCGGAGTGCAGGGGTGCAATCTTGACTCACTGCAACCTCCACCTCCCGGGCTCAAGCGATTCTCCCACCTCAGCCTCTGGAGCAGCTGGGATTACAGGCGCCCACCACCACGCCCAGCTGATTTTTGTATTTTTAGTAGAGACGGGGTTTCACCATGTTGGCCAGGCTGGTCTCAAACTCCTGACCTCAGGTGATCCGCTGGCCTTAGCTTCCCAAAGTGCTGGGATTACAGGCGTGAGATACTGTGGCTGGCGGGTTCATTTCCTATATGTGGTTGCTAAAAACCAAATTCCAGCTCCCTGGGGGCGCCCCAGCACCCGTCGGAACACCTGGAGTGTTTCTGTTCACAGTTCCGCTCCAGATGCTGCTGACAGCCAAAGGCTGGACCCGGCTGAGCGTGGAGAACTTGCTGTAACCAAGGGTGGTCAATGCACAGCTTGTTGCATTCCTCACACATTTCTTTTTTTGTTTTTTGAGACAGAGTCTTACTCTGTCACCTAGGCTAAAGTGCAGTGGCAAGATCTCGGCTCACTGCAACCTCTGCCTCCCAGGTTCAAGCGATTCTCCTGCTACAGCCTGCCGGGTAGCTGGGATTATAGGCACCCACCACCACACCTGGCTAATTATTTTTGTATTTTTACTAGAGACGGGGTTTCACCATGTTGGCCAGGTTGGTCTTGAACTCCTGACCTCAGGTGATCTGCCCACCTCGGCCTCCAAAAGTGCTGGGATTACAGGCGTGAACCATCATGCCCAGCCTCCTCACTCCTCTTTCTGACAGCGGTCAGTATATTAATACTGGACTCACCAAACCAGCTGCAGGCACCGGAAAAGAGGGACTAAGTCTAAAGTAGCCAAGCCTAAGGCCACACATAGATCGCTGGGAAGGGCAGCGTGAGACATTAGACAACTCCCTAGATCCTAACATTATGTATGCTAGTCAGGGAGTCTCACTGACCTCGTGGCATTGCCGCAAGAATGACATAATACATGGATATGTGTTCGTGGAAGCACAGAAGGCAATCCCCCAGGCTTTCTGAACCTTATTGACACGTGGGGCCAGATAGTTCTGTGCTGTGGGGACATGTCCTGCACATCGTAGGACGTTCAGCAGCGCCCCTGGCCTCTTCTTCACTAGATGCCAATAACATCCTCCTTCTACCGCCACCAGACTTGTGACACTGCCATTAATCCCCCAGGGGGTCAAAGCCACCTAGTTGGGCCGGGTGCAGTGGCTCATGCCTGTAATCCCAGTGCTTTGGGAGGCGGAGGCAGGTGAATCACTTGAGGTCAGGAGTTCGAGACCAGCCTGGACAACAAGGTGAACCCCTGGCTCTACCAGACATACAAAAATTAGCCGGGTGTGGTAGCAGGTGCCTATAATCCCAGCTACTCTGAAGGCTGAGGCAGGAGAATCGCCTGAACCCAGGCAGAGAAGGTTGCAGTGAGCCAAGATCACACCACTGCACTCCAGGCTGGGTGACAGAGCAAGACTGTCTGAAAAAACACAAAACAAAAAGACCCACTTGGTTGAGAATCCCCGGTCTAACCTGCCCCGCTGCCATCCATCATCCACAGATACTTGAGCAGTGGCTTTGCTGGTGTCAGGGGTGGCAGGGCAAGAACTCCACCTTTTCTTAAGGACACAGGGCCTGCTCCGCCCATCAGGTCATGGGACTTTCTGATGGCCCATCCTCACAGGTTTTGTGATGCCCCTTTTGGCCTGGAGTAAACTTCTAACTGCAGCTTCTACCACCTTCAAAGTGGGGCAGGAAGTCCGCATTCTTGACCTGCCCCTAGTCATGCCTGCAAAGCTGTGGACCCACAACTACCTATTCCTAGCTCCATTTCACAGGTGAGGAAACTGAGGCTCAAGGGGTTGACATGACTTGCCAAGTTGACCCAGTCAGTAAGGACAGAGTGGGGATCTGTTTCTGGGTGTAATACCAAAGTCATTGCACAGGACACATTTGTCCTTTAGAGAAAGGAAGGGCGGCAGATGCAGCCTGTCTTCTCTGGCTGGAGCTGAGCCACCTGCCTTGCAGAGTGACCCTAGGCAGGGGCTGCCATGTGGGCATTTGGCAAACTCAGCTGGGGATGACCCAGGGCCACCAGACTCTCTTTCCTAGGCTGTGTGCCAGGGAGCAGAGGGTGGGCCACAGGCGGCCAGCACGTGGGAACCGGCACCTGCCAGCCTGCTAACGAGACTGCTGTTGGGCCCACACCACGGCAGTCTGGAGACGCGCCAGAGGGGATGCCCAGGCCATTAATACCCCCGCCATGGGCTGCTGCCAGTAGGGTCTGGCTGGTGGGTGGAACACGAATTTCATCCATCAAGGCTGCAGACTTCCTCTCTGGTCAGTGCCTGCGCCCAGTAGACTCTTTAAAACTCAACAGTCCACCTCGCCACTGCAAACACGTAACTACGTATACCTGACACTGCTTTAAATGCCCGCCACGCACGCATTCAGTGGACCAGAGGAGGAAGCCACCTCACTGGGCCCCTTACTGGAACGTTTTGATGAGGAAGGTACTACCATCAGGCCCTTTTGACAGATGAGAAAACAAACAGAATGAGTGGCATCTCTGCCCAAGCAGTGTGGCTTCAGAGCCCGTGTCCTCACCATCAGTCACTCACTCTGTCACCCAGGCTGGAGTGCAGTGGCGTGATCTTGGCTCACTGCAACCTCCACCTCCCAGTTCAAGCAATTCTTATGCCTCAGTCTCCCAAGTAGCTGGAATTACAGGCACTCGCCACCACACCTGGCTAATTTTTGTATTTTTAGTAGAGACAGGATTTCACCATGTTGGCCAGGCTGGTCTCGAACTCCTGACCTCAGGTGATCTGCCTGCCTCGGCCTCCCAAAGTGCTGGGATGACAGGCGTGAGCCACCGTGCCCGGCCAGTGCGTGTTTTCATAAGGTCACTACAGCCACCAGGTTGAGGACACTGATGTGTGTGTGGGGGGCTGGGGGCAAAAGCCTCGAGACCACTGTGGCAGCTGTTGTAGGGATGCAGGGAGAAAGTGGGGTGGCTGGGACCAGCGTGGTGGCAATGGGAGGACGGGGAGTGGATAGATTCTGGGTGTTTTGCAGAAAATCAAACAAATTTGCTGTAGGACCCGATGGTGGGTGTGAGGACAGATGAACAGTTCAACACTGGAAAGCACCAGCCCCCTCCTTACGCCTCTCTGGTCTGGGGGGATCCTTTCCAATGTGGAGAGTTCTGCACAGTGAGGCCAGGGCCAGCACGTAGTAGGTACAAAACAGAGCTTCCTTCCACAGTACTTCCACTCCCCTGGATGAGGAGTTATGCCTCACTCTGCCTCCTCTTCATAAAGTGGATTAAACTTGAACTCAGCCCCGGATTCCACCTGAGCATGCAGCTGCCCCACCCCAAGACACTGGCACAGATGCACACCAGGTGGAGCTCTCTGGGACTGCTTAGGATCTGACCTGGGATTTTAAGACTCAGGGTCAGGCTTTGAGATCTAAACACATCTCACATCCCTATTAAGATTCCCGCTGGTAGATCCAACTACTACTCTTTTGAAATGGAGTCTCGGCTTGCTCTGTTGCCCAGGCTGGAGTGCAATGACTTGATTTCAGCCCACTGCAACCTTTATCTCCCACATTCAAGCAATTCTCCTGTCAGCCTCCCCAGTAGCTGGGACTACAGGCATGTGCCACCATGCCCAACTAATTTTTGTGTTTTTAGTAGAGACGGGGTTTCACCATGTTGATCAGGCTGGTCTTGAACTCCTGACCTCAGGCAATCCACCCGCCTCAGCCTCCCAAAGTCCTGGGATTACAGGCGTCAGCCACTGCACCCAGCCTCAACTACTTCTAATTTAACAAAAAAAAAGTTTTTATATAGAAAGAGTTCCACTATGTTGCCTAGGCTGGTTTTGAACTCTTCAGCTCAAGCAGTCCTCCTGTCTCAGCCTCTCAAAGTGCTGGGATTACAGGCATGAGCCACCTCGTCTAGCCAATACTGCTAATTCTAATAGTCACAACGTCACCAGTTTTTCACTGGGCACCTTCATACTCTGTGGTTCCTAATGCAAGCCAATGACATCATTCAGGCATGAGCCACCATGCCCGGCTGGCTGATACTACCTATTCTAATGGTTATGACCTTACTGGCTTTTCACTAGGCACCTTCACACTCTGCAGTCCCTAATGCAAGCCAACAGTTTCAATGGGGCATGAGTCACTGCACCCAGACACTACTACTCATTCTAATGGTCACCACCTCGCCGGCTCTTCCCTGAGCACCTTTGTACACCACAGTCCCTAGTGCAAGCCAACAATTTCAATCAGGGGACAGGAAAGCTTGAGGGAACAATGGCAGTGCTAGAACGTTCTATCTGCACATGTACTTGGTGCATGGTTTTAGGTGTGGCAGAAATGGTGTGCTCCCCAAATACAGACATTCCTTACTGCCCAGACTCACCCAGTTCGAAGTTAGAAACCGAACACACTAGTCTGACTACTCCGCTATCCAAAACTCCAGAACCACATCAGTTAGGAAAGGGAGAAATCCTTCTCTTCCACAGGCACCGCTCCATTTCCCAGCTCCCGCAGTGGTTGGGTTGGGGCCATGTGACTCATTTTGGCCAATGGGCTGTGAGTGGGATTAACTGCGTCAGTTCCGGTTTCAGACACAGAAGAGTGGGTGAGAGTCGTCCACTCTCCCTTCTCCCACTGTGGGGACCTGGAGGCCAACCCTTGGGAGGCCATGTCACAAAACCAGGACAGCCTGGATCACTTGTCACAGGGAAGTCACCTACCCTGGAGAGGCAGCTGACCCTCACCAAGAACTGCGTGAGCAAGAAATAAAGCCTTGTGATCATTTCCGAAGATTTTACGGCGAATTTGTTACTGCAGCGCAGCCTCGCCTCTCTGGACTAACATAAAGGGATTTTCAGGCCAGGTGCCTGAACCCCAGCACTTTGGGAGGCTCAGGCAGGAGGATCCCCAGAGCCCAGGAGTTTAAGAACAACCTGGGTAACATAGCAAGACCCTGACTCTATAAAAATTTTTAAAAATTAGCTGGGCACATGCCTGTAGTCCCAGCTACCCAGGAGGCTGAGGCAGGAAGATTGCGTAAGCCCAGGAGTTTGAGGCTGCAGTGAGCTATGATCGTGCCACTGCACACCAGCCTGGGCAACAGAGTGAGACCGTGCCTCTAGCAAAAAAAAAAAAAAAAAAAAGGGCAGGGGGAGGGCAGGATTTTCAAGGATCGTTCTGGCCACATGTGATTTCTGCCTCGCCTGTGTCTTAGAACCTGACCGAGGCTACGAGTACCGCACACATCACTGCTCACAGGGTAAGTACGATCAGCCTCATTTTACAGACAAAGCAAGTGAGGCACAGAGGCTGAGTGACTTCCCCAGGGTCACAAGAACAGCAAATGACAAGAGCAGGACTCAAGCCAGGGTCTGTCCAACCCCAAAACCTGGGCTCCGTCCACCTTGCGGCTGTCCCGCCTTCCCACTAAACCCCATCTGACTAGTGATCTCTACAACTTGCCCTTTCTGGCAACAGCTCCCACTAGAGGCGACTTGTTGTCAAAAGGAAAGAACAGAAACAGGAAGATGCCACATCCTGACCCTGCAGAGGACATGGCTGGAACCCTCGCCGAGGCCCCAAAGGAAAGGGAACCATTCTTTAGAAAGAAATAAAATATATAGATATATATATATTTTTTTACTGCAAATGTTCGCATTTCCAGTGTAAGTCATTACAAAAGGATCCCCCAAAACTTAGTTTATCTAATGTGAAAGAATGGTATAACTTACAAAAAATAAATATATGCGTTTTCGCCTAAAAGAAAGATGCTCTCTGGGTTTGAAGTCGGCGGCGTAATTCTTAGCAAGTCTGAGTCTTGGGGCAGCCTCAGCTCTGGCTGCCTTCCGGATTCCACTTTGGGCTCTAACGAGACACCTTAAAGAACAGGCTTTAAAAGATGCTGCTTCCCTGTTTTCTTCCAGGAACACAGAGACCAACACGGTTTCAAACACAGGGCGAGCTTCTCACTATTTCCTGGGAATGTTACTTCTCAGCCCAACACTTCTATTCCCAAGAAGTTCAAGTTTTGAGACTGTTTTTCTCCCCGGAACAGTACTTAAAAAAAAAAAATCATTGATATTCAAAGATGGGTTCTTTTCGTGTCCTGGAAGAGCATCAGTAACTAAATATCAAGTTCTCCACAATGCTGCCCCCCCTGGGGGGCTAACCGGATGCCAAGGGAGAGAATTAACATCTAAAAACAAGGAAAAGACTCAAGGGGACATTTTTTTGGTACCCACTGGTAATACTTGGGAGGTATTTCGTGTTCTTTACTTTGAAAGCTTCATAACCATGAGCAGGTACCATGAGAGGGAAAGAAAAGAGGTGGTAAGAAAAAAGAACAAAATCAATCAACACTGTAAGCAACCAACACTGCTTTGGGCCAGGCCCCTAACACATTTTTCTGCTAGGACTGGCATAGTACCTTCCAGCTGGTTGCTCACTCTCAGTCTCTATTTCTAGTCAAGGTCAAATTCCCATGAGGCCATCTCCTTAATATTTACCCCACATCAATCATGGTGGGAACAGTAATAACAGCATTGATTGTTCTTACAATGTTGAACAAAAGAAAAAAGGGAAAGCCTGGAGTCGGGGTGGGTGGGGAGGGAAGCCCCAGGTGGAACGTCGGCCCTGAGACAATCCCCTGGCCCTACAGTTCCAGGTCCAGGTTAGCCGTTAGTCCAACCAGGTCCCTTCCAGGAGGACAGGCGTGGGAGTGCAGAGGCTGCCTCTGGCCCAAAACGAGAACTGGTAGAGCTGGCGCTGAGATGCTGGTTCCCAGCTTTTGAGTGCCTGGAAGACCAGATGTTGGTAAGAGGACCATCCAGGGCCCTGGGACACTGCCAAGGGGAGAAAATGATTTTCTCCAGGCCCCTCAACCACAAAACTGCAGCCCCAAGGAAATGAAGCGTTCCTGGTAGACCCAGACAAGGATGTTAGAGGTGATGGGAGCCAGAAGCATCTCAAAGACTTGCAGTCCACAGACTTCGGCTGGAGAGATCCGAGGCAGTAGGCTGAATTTGGTCACTAGGATCTTCTATACAACCAATTCCTCCAGAAGTCTGGCTGCCAAAACTCCTCCGTGGGAAGCACCAGGAAACCACTTGCATTCCTGGGGGCGTGAGGCTGTGTGTCTGTCTCAGGGCACCAGGGGCAGGGTGTGCGTGTTTTGGGTGGTTCGCATCTCTGTCTCTCCTGGGTCTTCACAGCCAGTTCCAGGCAGGGGACCGGATGGCGGTGGCTGCTGCTTTGAATATGTTTTGGTTGTCTGGGTTTGGTTTTTATGTTTTGGTTTCAGTGTGGGAGGCTTGGTTTACCAGGGGTACTGACTCCTCCCTGGGCGCTGGCATATAGGCCCTGCAGTTCTGACCAGATATGCCAGCTCTGGGGCTCACACCAAGCCGGCGTCTTTGGCCATGCTGTAGAAAAGACCTCTCTGCTGCAGGAGGTCCGATGGGGCGCCGTACTCCTGGATTTCTCCTTTGTCCAAGACGATCACCCTGAGGGAGAGGGGATACAGACATGAGGGGAAGGGGAGGGGTGAGCACCTCGTGCCCCTGGGACAACTGACCTGGGCAAGTCACTGCTTCGGGTCAGGCCCCTAACACTTTTTGCTAGGACTGGTGCAGTACCTTCCAGCTGGTTGCTCACCCTCAATCCCTATTTCTAGTCAATGTCAGATTCCCATGAGGCCAGCTCCTTAATATCTACCCCACATCAATCATGGTGTGAATGGTATTAACAGTGTTGACTGTTCACATTCACTGTTCCATTACATTCAGAGTAAAATAAAAAGATCTTACCACAGTCTACAATAACGATTGGCAACATTTTTCTGAAAAAGGCCAGATAGTAAATACTTGAGGCTCTGCAGGCCATATGCTTTCTGTTACAACTACGCATCTCTGCTGTATTTATAGTGTGAAAGCTGCCAGAGACAACAGGAAAATGAACAGATGTGGCTGCGTGCCAATAAAACTTTATTCATAAAAACACGCAGGGGGCCAGATCTGTGGCCTGTGGGCCATAGTTGGCTGACCCCTAATATTTTAGGTCCTGTAAGATTTGACACTGCCCACTTCTGTCCTCATTTCTATGTCCTATATTTCAAAAGCACCAACTCAGCATCTGCCACTTAGTAGGTGGTACTCAGTGAACTAGAAACATCATGTCAGCTGGGTGCAGAGACTCACGCCTATAATCCCAGCACTTTGGAAGGCTGAGGCAGGAGGATCACTTGAGGCCGCAGTGAGCTGTGATCCCACCACTGCACTCCAGCCTGGGCGACAGGGTGAGACCCTGTCTCAAAAATATATAAAATAAAATAGAAACTCATGTCACTTCCCTGCTTAAAACCTTCCAATGGCTTTATAGGGCTCTTAGAGTAAGTTCCAAGCTTCTCACCGTGGTTACATGGTGCTCTAAGATCCAGCCCCTGCCTACCTTTCTGGCCTAATCTCCTGCCCCTGTCCACTCAATTCCAACCTCTAGGTACATGGCCTCCTCATGCTAGCCTTCAAATTCATTAAGCGCATTCATTTTTACATTCGGCTGTACCGGCTGCCTAGAATGTTCTTCCTTTAGATCCAAGGTTGGCAAACTGTGGCCTGCAGGCCAAATCTGACCCCTTGCCTGTTTTTATGAATAAAGTTTTATTGGAACATAGCCATGCTCATTCATTCGTGCACTATCTATGACTGCTTTCACACGGCAACACTGGAGTCAAGTGGCTGAGAGGCCATGTGGCCCACAAAGCTGAAACTACCCCGGCCCTTAAGAACAAGGTTGCAGATCGCTGTCCCAGATCTTCTCAAGGCTGACTCCTTTTCATTGTTCAGGTCTCAGCTAAAATGTCACCTCTTCAGAGATGACCCACACAAAACTCAAAACCCCCCAGGACCCTGGCACTATGGCAGCATTCTGACTTTTGTGGTCCCCGGCACTGATGCCTACGGAGGTGGCTTTCTCCACACAAAATGCTAGAAATTCTATTTTATGACTGTGTTAGTATAAATAAAATCCAGGTTGGATTATATTCTTTTTTTTTTTTTTTTTTTTTTTGAGATGGAGTCTCACTCTGTTGCCCAGGCTGGACTGCAGTGGCACAATCTCAGCTCACTGCAACCTCCACCTCCCAGGTTCAAGCAATTCTCCTTCCTCAGCCTCCCAAGTACCTGGGATTATGGGCACGCACCACCACACTTGGCTACTTTTTGTATTTTTAATGGTGACAGGGTCTCACCGTGTTGGCCAAGCTGGTCTCAAACTATCGACCTCAGGTGATCTGCCTGCCTCGGCCTCCCAAAGTGCTGGGATTACAGCCGTGAGCCACCGCACCTGGCCTGCTTCTGATTTTTTAAAAAAAATAAAACCTTTTTGTGGGCCCCACGCACTGGGCCTGCAGTGTTCAATGGAAACAGTGGCCCTGCCCAGCACTCGCTATCCCGTCTCCTTGGCAAGCGTCCTTCCCAGCACCTGCTGCCCTCTGGAATCCTGTTGGTTTATTGCTCTGTATATTTTTTGTCTCCTCCATCTAATAAGCTACTTGGTCCTGGAGGCAGGGACTTTGTCTGACAGCAGCCTACAGAGTCCCCAGTGTCTGGGAACACCGCAGGTGCGCTGACGTGAATGAATGACTAGATGATATTAGAAATACCTGGTACCACTGGGCACAGCGGTTCATGCCTGTAATCCCAGCAATTTGGGAGGCGGAGGCGGGCAGATCGCCTGAGGTCAGGAGTTCGAGACCAGCCTGGCCAACATGGCAAAACCCTGTCACTACTAAAAATATAAAAGTTAGATGGGCGTGGTGGCACATTCCTGTAGTTCCAGCTATTCGGGAGTCTGAGGCAGGAGAAATGCTTGAACCCCAGAGGCAGAGGTTGCAGTGAGCCGAGATCACACCACTGCACTCCAGAGATGAAGCGAGACTCTGTCTCAAAAAAAAAAAAAAAAAAAGAAATAGCTGGTACCATCCAGGATGAAGAGAGGATCCACCCACTGGGGCTGTCACTAGGGATAAGGACAGTGTTGAATGAATTAATGAATTAATGAGTGAGCCAGTGAGTAAGGCAAACTCCCAAAGCCTAGAGGCCACTGTGCCAGTGGCATCACCTTGTGTAGTCCATGATGGTGTTGAGCCGGTGGGCGATGGTGAGGACGGTGCAGTCCTCGAACTGTGTCCGGATGGTGGACTGGATGAGGTCGTCCGTTTCCAGGTCCACGGCTGCCGTGGCCTCATCCAACACAAGGATCTTCGTCTTCCTCAGCAGGGCCCGGGCTAGGCACACAAGCTGGCGCTGCCCGACACTTGACCGGAAGAAAAAAACCAGGAGATAGTGTTGGGTCAAACCACCCCTGACCCTGAACCTAGGCCCAGGCTGGGAGAAGCGAAAGGAGACACTCTATGTTGCTTGACCAGGAAAGCATGTCCACTCCCAACATCTGTGTCTGCAGCAGACATCACTAATCAATCAGAGCACATCTCCTATTCAGCAAGATGCAGGTTCAGAATCATTCTCAAAACAGCAGCTCACACCTACAATCTGAGCACTTTGGGAGGCTGAGGTGGGAGGATAGCTTGAAGCCAGGAATTTGAGACCAGCCTGGGCAAAAAAGCAAGACCCCCATCTCTCCAAAAACAAAAATAAACAAATTAGCTGGGTGTGGTGGCATGCTCTTGTAGTCCCAGTTACTGGGAGGCTGAGGCAGGATTGCTTGAGTCCAGGAGTTAGAGTCCGAGATCAATCCACTGTACTCCAGCCTAGGCAACAGAGTGAGACACTGTCTCTTAAAAAAAATAAAATAAAAAAAAAATAAGAGCCGGGCACAGTGGCTCACACCTAGTATCCCAGCACCTTGTGAGGCTAAGGCGGGTGGATCGCTTGAGGCCAGGAGTTTGAGACTAGCCTGGACAATGTGGTGATACCCCATCTCTACTAAAAATGCAAAATTTAACTGGGCATGGTGACAGGCACCTGTCATCCCAGCTACTTAGGAGGCAGAGGCAGAACAATTGCTTGAGCCTGGGGGCGGAGGTTGCAGATGAGATTGCGCCACTGCACTCCAGCCTGGGTGATAGAGTGAGACCCTCCGTCTCAAAAAAAAAAAAAAAAAAAAAAAAAAAAGGCCTCATACCCATGCATCCCTTATCCAACTGTGGGGCCATGAGAGGTGGCTCTGGAATCAGACATGTTCCTTGCTTTGGCCAATGGGACACCAGCAAAAGTAAGGACAGCCAAAAGAATACTGTTAGATGCAATAGGGGCTTGCACGCTCTTGTGCCCCTGCCATCGCCATGACAACATGCCCAAGCTGGTCTGCTGGAGAATGAGGGATGCACGGAACATACCCTTCTTGCCCCACCTGAGGCCAAAAGCCAGCTGACCCCGAGATCAGCCAACAGCCAGCTGACTCCCAGACATGCATGTGAGCCCAGCCGAGATCAGCAGAGCCACCTGGCTGACTGCCCTCGTATGGCAGCAATGATCGTTGCTTTATGGTTGAACATGCCTGAGGCTTTATGGTTGGTTGTCATGGAGACGGATAACAGAACCAGAACCAGGCACTAACAAACACCACCAAAGCAGGACCCCAGAGGTTCCGCTGGTGTGCCAGGCATTAATGCTTTAGTTGCTGGGTCATGGACAGAGCTCCAGGATCCTGGTAGAGACCAAGACAGCTGGGGTAGTGCATGGGGACCTGGGGGCTCAGAGCAGTGCTAGTGACCAACTGGTACAGAAGACTTTCCATAGCTTAACAACTGACAGCCACTATCAACTGAATGGAGCTGGTGTGTATAAAAGGAAATGTACTGGTCATCCTGGTTATTCTACCTCATGGTACAAAGAGCCTGGATTGAGACCCGTTTTACAGATACAGAAACTGAGGCTCCAAGAGGTGAAGGGACAAATGGTCATCTGGGACTCAAATCCAGGTGACACAGATCTGGACAGAATCTTCAAACACCCCTACCGAGATGGCGCCTAGGACACCTTACCCGGTGTCTCCTTGTTCACCCCCGCCTACCTGAGGTTCTCCCCGCCTTCTGCACATTCATGGTCTAGCTTGTCAGGAAGGGCTGACACGAAGTCCTTCAGGTGGGCCAGCTCCAGGGACGTCCAGACTTCTTCATCCGAGTACTGGCTGAATGGGTCCAGGTTCATTCGGAGGGAACCCGAAAACAAAACAGGGTCCTGTTCAGAGAGAAGAGAGTGGACGGCATGTGACACCTGTGTCACGCTGACATGGATGGAGGCGACCTAAGGACTTCTGGCCAGGACTGTTGAAGGTGGGGTATCAGAGCTCCTTGGAATCACTATTTCTGGAGATGTTAATAATGGAGAAAAAGGCCAGGTACGGTGGTTCACGCCTGTAATCCCAGCACTTTGGCAGGCCGAGGCGAGTGGATCACTTAAGGTCAGGAGTTCGAGACCAGCCTGGCCAACATGGCAACACCCTGTCTCTAGTAAAAATACAAAAATTAGCTGGGCATGGTGGTGCATACCTGTAGTCCCAGCTACTCAGGAGACTGAGGCAGGAGAATCACTTGAACCCGGGAGACGGAAGTTGCAGTGAGCCAAGATTGTGCCACTGCACTCCAGAGCAAGACTCTATCTCCAAAAAAAAAATTGCCTTAATAATGGAAAAAAAAAAAAAAGTCTGGAAAGTCTGAGTTTGGCAGAATACAACAGATTTCCTTTCCATACAACTTCCTGGAGCCTTCAATATGCAAGTGGGTTGAGAACCTCCAGAAATGAGACGCAGCACAGGTGATTCCTAACAGTAAAGTCCCGTGGATTCTCCCGTCATCCAACCACAGAAGAGAATCTTCTAAGACACTTTAGGGAAGATTACACTAAAAGGCAACATATTAAGGAATCCACCTGCGGGGATTGGTCTAGAAAATCCTTATTTCAGCCAAGCATGTTGGCTCACCCCTGTAATCCCAGCACTATGGGAGGCCGAGGCAGGCAGATCACTCGAGGTCAGGAGTTTGAGACCAGCCTGGGTAACATGGTGAAACCCCGTTTCTACTAAAAATACAAAAACTAGCCACGCATGGTGGTGCGTGCCTATAATCCCAGCTACTTGGGAAGCTGAGGCAGAAGAATCGCTTGAACCCAGGAGGTGCAGGTTGCAGTAAGCTGAGATCGTGCCACTGCACTGGGTGACAGAGTGAGACTCCGTCTCAGTTAAAAAAAGAAAAAAAAGAAAAGAGAAAGAAAAAGAAAATCCTTATTTCTCACCAAATACTGTGTGTTCTCACTTGTAAGAGGGAGCTAAACTCTGGGTACTCATGGTTGTAAAGATGGAAATGATAGACACTGGAGCCTCCATAAGTGGGGACAGATGGAGGAGGGTAATGGTTGAGAAACTACTCTCTCTCGGGTACTCTGTTCAATAGTTGGGTGATGAGATCCATAGAAGCCGAAGCATCAGCATCACACAATATACCCACGTAACAAGCCTGCAGGTGCACCCCGTGAATCGAAAATTAAAAAGTCTTATTTCTTGTCTAGCTCTTGGAAGGGTTAGAGATGCTCAGTCTGACTCTGGCAGCAGAGAGAGAAGACGGTGTCTTTTTGGATTTTTCTAGATGCTCTGAAACTACCCCTCCCGGGGACAGGAAGTCGGGACTGATAGTCAGTTAATTCCCACGTTGTTAATCATATACTAAGAGGAAATTCAGGGAAGCAGCAGCACAGCCTAACTTCAATAAAAACAATGAAGGCCAGCCACGGTGCCTCATGCCTGTAATCCCAGCACTTTTGGAGGCCAAGGTGGGTGGATTGCTTGAGCCCAGGAGTTCAAGGGCAGCCTGGGCAACACAGTGGAACCCCATCTCCACAAAAAAGTACAAAACAAATTTAGCTGGGTGTGGTGGCATGTGCCTGTAGTCCCAGCTACTCAGGAGGCTGGGGTGGGAGAATCGCTTGAGCCTGGGAGACGGAGGTTGCAGTGAGCTGAGATTGCGCCAGCGCACTCCACTCTGGGCAACAGAGCGAGACCCTGTTTCAGGAAAAAAAAAAAAAAAAAAAAAAAAAAGAACGATGAAGTAGGGCCAAATGTATGTTTGCCCCAAAAATATACATACACCACTGTCAGTGCAATCATAGGGCTTGCCAGCTCTGGCTCACCCCCTGGGCCACACCCAGACCCCACCTGGGGGATGATGGTGATCTTGAAGCGGAGGTCGTGCAGGCCGATCTTGGCGATGTTGATGCCATCGATGATGATCTCTCCTTCGGCAGACTCGTTGATCCGAAATAAGCCCAGGGTCAGGGACGACTTCCCAGCTCCCGTCCGCCCCACGATGCCGACCTGCAGGACAGAAGGGCCCAGGTGTGGTGGGAATGCTGGCATCCGGACTTGTCCCTGCCCCAAAGTGCCCTCATCTCGGCCCCACCTCAGGCATCAGTCATCTGGTCAACCCAACTCGACAGCCCTCTCCCTTGCGCGCTGCCCAGAGACACTCCTTTAAGGGTGTTTCGGCCGAAGGTCAAGAAGGACTCTCTTCCCTTTGCCAGGCTCCCAAAAGGAATGACTCGGCTTTTTATAAGTTACTAGAGACCTCAAAAGAGATACAGAAGAGGCAGAAGGAATTTCCAACAAAGCCCTATTTGTTTAGACTCAAGAAACTATTAAGTAATAATCAGGCATTTCCTCATTTCCCCACTGTTTTTCACACCTTTGATGGTGAGTTTCCCATCATGAGTTGTTGAAATATCTGAAAGATTCAGGCAGATCTTCCGGCCCTTTGCTATGACCTGGTCTCCATGCATCCTCTCTTGAAGGAACTAGGTTCTCTAGCTAATGGCCAAAGGATGATGTTCCTGACCTCCAGTTCTCCCCTTCCTGCCTGGCTCTTGAGAAGTGGGCTCCTTCTTCCCTCCTACAGGGGTGTCACAGAGCAGCATGCGTGCAAAAATTCTCATGACGTGAGATAAGCCATAAAGACTCAACAAGGGCTGGGGCACGGTGGCTCATGCCTGTAGTCCCAGCACTTTGGGAGGCCGAGGAAGGTGGATCAGAGAAGGTCAGGAGTTCGAGACCAGCCTGGCCAACATGGTAAAACCCCATCTCTACTAAAACTACAAAAATTAGCTGGGCGTGGTGGCATGCACCTGTAGTCCCAGATACTCGGGAGACGGAGGCAGGAGAATCACTTGAACCCAGGGGACGGAGGTTGCAGTGAGCCGAAATAGCACCACTGGACTCCAGCCTGGGTGACAGAGTGAGAGGCTGTCTCAAAACAAAACAAAACAAAACAAAAACAAAAACAAAAACAAAAACAAAAAAAGACAGCAAGAACATCACCCACTCTGCTCTTCTCTGTAACTCAGAGAGAAATTATCTGCTGGGAACAGAATGTTCTGAGCTTTGTGGGAGGTACGTAGGAACAGTTCAATAAGTCCATATGTTCAGAGGTGAAAGCAGCCTTGTCCCCCAGCAAATGGCCAGGAAGACTGTCAGACCAATTCCAGAGGAAAGTCTAAGGGTATCACTCAGGTCAAGGAACCTCTTCCAAGAACAGCTCGGAACCAAGAGAAGGTTCCAAAATTCTGACAATTTCTCACTTCCCTTGAGCCATCCCCCTAGAAGGGATGGTGACACCTTATTCTAGAGATCACAAATTCTAATGTTTTGGAGGGGCCAACTAGGCAATGAATGGGACAGGGAGGGACTGGGGTGAACCAGGAGGCTCACAGGTTGACTAGAAAGAGCCAGGCGGGGGAGGATTGACCTGATGTTGCCAGATGTTCTGATCTTCCAAAAAAAGCAGAAAATAAATTTTTATATTAAGTCTTCCAGATTTTTCAGTATTTGCAACTTATTCAAATTTCTTCCAGGCCAGGTGCAGTGGCTCACACCTGTAATCCCAGCACTTGGGGAGGCTGAGGCGGGTGGATCAGTTGAGGTCAGGAGTTCAAGACCACCCTGGCCAACATGGCAAAACCCCATCTCTACTAATAACACAAAAATTAGCTAGGCATGGTGGCGCATGCCTGTAGTCCCAGCTACTCGGGAGGCTAAGGCAGGAGAATCACTTGAACCCAGGAGGCAGAAGTTGCAGTGAGCTGAGATCGGGCCCCTGCACTCTGGCCTTGGCAACAGAGTAAGACTCCATCTCAAAAAAAAAAAAAAAAAAAAAAAAAAAAACAACCAACCAAAAAACAAAAAAAGAACTTCTTCCAGGGGCCAGGAATGGTGGCTGATTCCTGTAATCCCAGCACTTTGGGAAGCTGAGGCGGGCAGACCGGTTGAGCTCAAGAGTTCCAGATCAGCCTGGACAACATAGTAGGACCCCCATCTCTACAAAAAATACAAAAATTAGCCAGGTGCAGTGGCACACACCTGCACTCCCAACCATGTGTAGTCCCCCCACTTGGGAGGCTGCCGCTGCAGTGGGCTGAGATCACACCACTGCACTCTAGCCTGGGTAACAGAGCAAGACCCTCTCTCAACAACAACAACAAAAAATCTTCCAAAACAAATCTGTGGGGCTCATTTGGTCTTCAGGCTGTCAGTTCACCTAAAAGCCTTCACTTCTGCAAGCTGTATGCGCTCTGAACAGCTTTTACTGCCACAGTCCACTCCCAGCCCCCCAAAAAGCCATTCAAGCAAAGGTGTGGAGCCGTGAGTGACTGGGGAGACGCTGCAGCTAGGTTCACCTGCCCGATGGCACCCTGTGCCCGACTGGGAATGGGTGAGGGAATGGGGCGATGTGTACCCACCTTTTCTCCCCCATTGATCGTGACATTGATGTGCCTGAGAACGAAGTCCAGGTCCTCTCGGTAGCGCAGGCAGTAGTTCCGGAATTCCACTCGGCCCACCTGGGGCCAGCTGCTGGGCGGAGCTGTCTCCTGGATTTGCCAGGGCGCCTTCGATCGCAGTGAAGGGAGAGAGTAAGGAATTTCCAGTCCATCTGGTAAAGCTGTGACTCCCCTGACCTCCCCTCTCACTCACTCTGCTGCCCAAGGTGGCCTCCCAGGCCTCAGCACTGGGGGGTTGCCCTTCCTGGAATGTTATTCCCCAAATGACCCCCTTGCATCCTGTGGATCTCTGGTCGATACAGAGCACCCTCTCAGCCCTGTGTCCCTCTGTCCCCTCCCGCACTGCCTTCTCCTTCAGGGCACTGCCTGTCCCCAGCCCTCTTGGGGCTCGCATGCTTGAGTGTATTCTGTCTCCCACACCCACTGCACCATCCACTCAATGAGGACAGGCTCTAATTGTTCACTGCTGTATCCCAGGGCTCAGAGCACATAGTAGGTGTTCAACACACATTTATGAACATAAACAAGAAGAGTGACACAGCTGCTGATATAGAAAGTGAACTAGTGGTAGAAGGCACAGAAACTGAGAGGACATGATCATCCCTCAGTAGGTCAGAGATACCTTCTGTAAAGCTGTCATCTCTGTGTAACAGATAATGGCTCAATGGACCATAGTTGTTCATTTTTGTCTGCCAGAATTAACGTGACGTTCATGCTCACCATTCTTTTAAAATAATTGTACAACTGATTTGTATAGACATTGTTCTTTTTTTTTTGAGATGGAGTCTCACTCTGTCGCCCAGGCTGGAGTGCAATGGCATGATCTCAGCTCACTGCAACCCCTGCCTCCCAGGTTCAAGCGACTCTCCTGCCTCAGCCTCCTGAGTAGCTGGGATTACAGACACCCGCCACCACACCCAGCTAATTTTTGTATTTTTAGTAGAGATGTGGTTTCACCATGTTGGCCAGGCTGGTCTCTAACTCCTGACCTCATGATCCACCCACCTCTACCTCCCAAAGTGCTGGGATTACAGGCGTGAGCCACCATGCCCGCCACAGACATTGTTCTCAATATGAACATGATAGGTAAACTTTTAAAAAGTTTTTCTGATAAAATATAAATGTTGCCCCCAGATTCTTTTAACGTCAAGGAAATGAATAACAGCTTGTCAGAGACTTCCTACGGAACAAAGAATTTTTTAGGTAACTATCATTAGGCTGGATAAGGTAATAGATGTATTTCAAAAGAGCAAGTGGAGGTATATCTTATCCATATCTTTAGGCTGATGCAAAATTTTACGGTTTAGACAACAGTGTGCCATGTTATGCACAGACTGGCTCTAGGTATTTGAGGAGCGCAATACAGAGAGTTTAAAAAGTGATTTTGTAAAATCTACACTATGGTCTCTGTTTCTCCAAAGTAAATGTGATTTGTTCCTCACACTGCAGTGAGTAAAAAAGAAACAAGAAAACAATAACATAAATATTGAAGTATGTTTCAGTGTTGGGTGAATTTTGTTTTTAGATGCCAATAAAACTTACTTTTTGATAAAAAAAAATTTAAATAAATATTTATAAATGGAGTCAATGAAATGAGTGGTCTTCTCTGGACAGACACGACAATAAAAGTGAGTTACCCTGGCTGCCCACCCCGGCAGGAAGGCAAGGATAAAAGCAGCATCTGTATCGCAGTGTCTCATCCAATCCTCACAGCAACCCCATGTGGGAGGGTCCTTTCATTATCCCCAGTTTACACACAAGGAGACTGAGACACAGAGAGGGGCGGTAACTTGCCCAGGGACACACAACCCTCCTTTTGAAAAGTAGTTCAGTTCAGCATTTCCTGAGGCCCACAGCTGGATATGGCCTGGGCCAGGTTCACTGGTTTTAGCCTCGGGGAATGCACCTCCCCGTCCAGGGCACACACAGGTGCTGAACCAGGCTGCAGAGCACATGGCCAAGCTCAGGGGCACTGCAGACGGCACATAACAAGAAAACGCCGGGCAACTTTTAGGCAAGACATGCAGCCCTTTTGTGGACGTGCTATAAAATCACAGCGTTGCCGGCGCAGTGGCTCACACCTGTAATCCCAGCACTTAGGGAGGCCGAGGTGGGCAGAACACTTGAGGTCAGGAGTTTGAGACCAGCCTGACCAACATGGTGAAACCCTGGCTCTACTAAAAATACAAAAATTAGCTGGGCCTGATGGTGGGAGCCTGTAATCTCAGCTACTTGGGAGGTTGAGACACGACGATCACTAGAATCTGGGAGGCAGAGGTTGCAGTGAGCCAAGATAAAACCACTACACTCCAGTCTGGGTGACACAGCAAGACTCCTCTGTCTCAAAAAAAAAAAAACAAAAAAAAACCCCACCACCACCGCCAACAACAAAAAGTATTATTTTTTATTTTGTAGAGACGATGTCTCACCATGTTGCCCAGGATCGTCTCAAACTCCTGGGCTCAAGTGATCCATCTGCCTTGGCCTCCCAAAGTGCTGGGATTACAGGCGTGAGCCACCGCGCCTGGCCAAAAAATAAATGTTATTATTGAGCGCTTACAATGCAACTAAGGCAAGTTGCTCTGCTCAGCACTTGAGACCCATGATCTCATCTGAGCCTCACAGCAGCCCTTAGAGGCAGTGACTGTTACTATACACAGATGCAAAGGTGCCTCATGGTTAAAGAAAAGGTTTCACAGGATAACAGGTAGATTCCACTTACGTTAAAAGAAAAAGAAACAAGCAAACAAAAGTGTTGGGGTATGTGGGAATCCACACGGGAAAGTTTTGGGGGAAATTCACCCGAATGCTAATGGGGCCTCTCTCTGGAGAGGAGAGGAACGGGGCGAACAGGAACAAACTGTCTTTCTCCACCATAAACTTCTTTGTTTTTTTGTTTTTCGAGACAGAGTCTCACTCTGTCACCCAGGCTGGAGTGCAGTGATGTTTCTTCAGCTCACTGCAACCTCCACCTCCCGGGTTCCAGCGATCCTCCCACCTCAGCCTCCCAAGTAGCTGGAATTATAGGCACCTGCCACCATGCCAACTAATTTTTGTATTTTTAGTAGAGACGGGATTCACCGTTGGCCAGGCTGGTCTCGAACTCCTGGCTTCAAGTGATCCACCCACCTTGGCCTCTCAAAGTGCTGGGATTGCAGGCGTGGGCCACTGTGTCCAGCCCTGTATTGATTTTTTCTTTTTTAAAACAACAAGTGTATCTCTATTTTATAATTTATGTACATAATTGAAGGGGAGATGCTATAACAACACAGTGAGCGGAATGGAGAGAAGTATGTGGAACTTTCTATCTATATATAAAAATACATGCAAATACAGAATAGTGGTAGGACTAATGAGGACAATTACTTTCTCTTGGGTTTGTCAAACACGATCCTTCTAAAAATATAAAAGTCAGTCAAAAGTAAAATGCTTTTAAAAACTGAACTCAGGCCGGGTGTGGTGGCTCACACCTGTGATCCCAGCACTTTGGGAGGCTGAGGCGGGTGGATCACGAGGTCAGGAGTTCGAGACCAGCCGGGCCAACATGGTGAAATCCCTTCTCTACTAAAAATACAAAAATCGCCTGTAATCCCAGCTACTCAGGAGGCTGGGAATCGCTTGAACCCAGGAGAAGGAGGTTGCAGTGAGCTGAGATCATGCCACTGCACTCCAGGCTGGAGCGAGACTTAAGTCTCAAACAAACAAAAAAAAAACTGAATTCAATCTAACTGAACGCTTTAACTGGGTGAATTCCATGGCATGTGAAATTCACATGTCAATGAGGCTATTATAAAAACTAATGAAATAAGTTAGCTGGGCGGGGTGGTGGGTACTTGTAATCCCAGCTAATTGGGAGGCTGAGGCAGGAGAATCACTTGAACCCAGGAGGTGGAGGTTGCAGTGAGCTGAGATCGTGCCACTGCATTCCAGCCTGGGCAAAAAAAAAGCCAAATTCCATCTAAAAAAAAAAAAAAAAAAAACCTAATGAAATACCTTGTAAGTGAATTAAATTCAGTGTCAAGTTGGAAGCCGCCGGTGTAATACACCCTTGGTTCCTCACGGGGGCACTCACGCCATTCTTACAATGCTCACCCGTGACATGGGACCTGGTTCACCCAGTCAGAATGTTAAAGGAGTGGGCCGAGGTCACCTCTGTGAATTCCTCAGGAGGACAGACCTTACAGAGGCCTTGGTCTCACTCCCAAGGGGCATCTCTCCTCAGGAGGCCGGGTAGCATGACTCCCATGGCACTGGATAGGGTCTCTGAGGAGGCACAGGCTCAACGCCTAGGTCTGCCATTTACCAGCCATGTGATCTTGGGCAAGTAACTTCAGCTTTTTGTCTCAGTTTCCTCACCTGTAAAATGGGGGTAATAGTAGCATCTAAATTATAGGGCTGGGCTGGGCATGGTGGCTCCCGCTTGTAATCCCAGCACTTTGGGAGGCCAAGGCAGGCAGATCACTAGAGCTCAGGAGATCAAGATGAGTCTGGGCAAAATCCCGTCTCTACTAAAAATACAAAAATCAGTCCGGTGTGATGGCATATGCCCGTGGTCCCAGACACTCAGGAGGCAGAGGTAGGAGAATCACTTGAGCCTGGGAGGCAGCGAATGAGATCGCACTACACTCCAACCCGGGCAAGAGTGAGACCGTGTCTCAAAAATCAGTCATAGAGCGGGGTAAAGACTGAGTGCATTACTCTATATTAAACGTTTAAGTCTGGGCCTGACATTCTACAAGGCACTATGTGTGTCCCTGTTATCATTAATGTAGGGTGGGGGTGTCGCCAGGCATTATTGTGATTATCTATTATCACTGCTGTTCCTACTTGTGCTGCTGTTCAGGGCCTAAGAAGGCAGTTATTAAGGGCAACGCAACATCAAAGACTGGAGGCACGGGTCCTAGTCCCAGCTGTTCTACCAAGCCACGTGGGACCTTGGATCAGCTGTTGTCCCTCCCCAGGTTCCCTTTTTCTCCATCTATAAAAAGGGGACTGGGGTTCAATAACGGCAGGGTTTCCCAAACTTTGGTCAGTTCCCAGCTACATCATTCGTGTAGTATGCATGTACTCATTCTCTTGTTGTTTTAATATGCTTAATCAAGTCACTTAGACTTAATTTCTCAACTTACTTAAGAGGAAAATTTATTACAATCACAAAAGGAAAAGTAGTATTATTTTCCGTAACAGGAGTCCCCTATACAAATACATAACAGGCCAGGCGCAGTGGCTCACGCCTGTAATCCCAGCACTTTGGGAGGCTGAGGCAGGCGGATCACCTGAGGTCAAGAGTTTGAGACCAGACTGGCCAACTTAGTGAAACCCCCATCTCTACTAAAAATACAAAAATTAGCCAGGCATGATGACAGGCACCTGTAATCCCAACTATTTGGGAGGCTGAGGCAGGAGAATTACTTGAACCTGGGAGGAGGAGGTTGCAGTGAGCCGAGATTGTGCCACTGCACTCCAGCCTGGGTGACAGTGAGACTCCATCACACACACAAAAAAACCAAATTCATAACAAATAACAGAAGGTTATTTCTGATAGACAGAATCCGTCCTGTTGAAGACTCCAAGTGTGAGGGCTGCTGTTTATCTGTCTGTTGAAGGGAGATCATCTCAATTGCTAAGGTGTTAAAGACCTGCTAGCCCCAGACTAAGACTTTCTCTGTGATACCATCAGAAGTTATGAAAGAGAAATAGAGGGGGAAACTTCTTCACAATGTGAATACCTTCTGAATGCCCTGACAGCATCCCACAGTCTCGTATATGGATACCCCAGATCTTGGGTAAAGCCGGTAAACTATTTTCACCCTAAAACCGGGCTCTAAATAAGTGCTGCAAAAAGACTGGACAAGCGTTAAGATGCACTTCTACCTGGTGAGGTATCCAGCTCAGAGGCAGAGGTGCACAGGATAGGGTCCAGAGATCTCCTTGGGGTAAAGCTACACCAAAGACCAAGAGGTCCAGCCAGGGGCCCTTGCCTACCTCCTTCTCAGTCTCTGAATACTCCTTGAGCCTCTCCACGGCCACGATGTTGGTTTCCATTTCAGATGACATCCGAACCAGCCAGTTCAAGTACGTGGTGACCTGTGAGTGGAAGAGTCACGTGGCATTTCTAGAGTAAGCGGGCGTACTTGACTTTCCTTTTTCTTTTTTTCCACTGAGATAATAGGAAACAAATTATTTTCAACAAGTATGAATTATGGGAGGCTGAGGCGGTCAGATCACCTGAGGTCAGGGGTTTGAGACCAGCCTGGCCGATGTGGCGAAACCCCATCAGTCACTACTAAAAATATAAAAATTAGCCAGGCATGGTGACGCACACCTGTAAACCCAGCTATTTGGGAGGCTGAGGCAGAAGAATCACTTGAACCCAGGAGGCAGAGGTTGCAGTGAGCCGAGATCCCACCACTGCATTCCAGCCTGGGTGACAGAGTGAGATTCCGTCTCCAAAAAAAATAAATAAATAAAAATAAAAGGTTATGAGTTATGAAACATTCAGGTAAGAAAGGTACCGAAATTAGCAACCCCAGGTATAGCCATCACCCAGGCCTGCCACATTGCCATCTCCTAAGCACACACATTTCCAAAATAACTCATGGGCCACATAATAAGAAACTGGAAAATATTTTTAGCCAGGTGACAATATGAAAACACAATGTATCATCATTTGTGAGATGCAGCTAAAGCAGTTCTTAGAGGGAAATTCATAGCTTTAAAAGCATTCCCCTCGTACCTGGAAGTATCCTCTTGGGCCACTAAGGAATCTGTGTGACTGATGGGGAAAATCCTGGCCACATGTCAAATCCGTCTCCTGCTCTAGTTGGTCACCAGGCACTGTGGCACTGTACCTGCTCCTCAAACTCCGTACCTCTCAAGTTCCTCTCCCCCATTCCTGTTGGAGCTGGAATCCAAAGCCAAGGACAACTGGCTCCCCCATTAACAGACTTTAATAATCCAGCCAAGAGCATCCCCTCTTACCTGCAATGAGTAAGACACTGAGAGGCCCACCAAGCCAGCACTGAGGCTGTGCCTGGAGATCACCGCAAACAGGGCAGCAAACAGAACGATGCAGTTGCCCACACACTCCAGCCGCACGGCCAGCCACCTGCGCCAAGACACACAGGCAGACAAACAGGCATGGAGTCAGCTCTACAGAGACTTGGCTTACAGCTCTTGGGGGAGGAAGGGGATTCTTTGCTAACTCAAGTAACTCCGCAGTAATTCCAGAGAGAGTCCTTCCTGGCACTGCTTTTTCAAAACATGCACAATGGGCGCAGGGTAGGGAGGGCCGAAGGCACGAGGCCAGTAAATCCTCATTAATCTGGCAAACCCATGGATTAAAACAGAGCTCTCCAGAGGCAATCTTCCCTGGAATCTGAAGCTTGCCTTTTTAAGAACCAACTTTTTTCTCATTGAAGCCTTTAAAATACATACACATAGGCCGGGCGTAGTGGGTCACTCCTATAATCACACACACACACATACACACACACACACACACACACACACACACACAGCCGGGCGTAGTGGGTCACTCCTATAATCACACACACACACACACACACACACACACACACAGTGCATTAACAACAACAAAAAGATGTCCTGGAAATTCCTAAATACTAAGAAGACATCAACTGTAAGAGACACTAGGGATTTAAAATAACCATCGTTTCTCGGCCTTTTGGCTAAAAACAAGTAGAAAATAACAGTCTCTTGTTACGAGACAGATCTGGGAGGGGAGTGCGTAACTAGTACGAGTAAACATCATTGTAACGTTCCCAAGCCCAGACTCTTCATTTCAAAGTGTTAAAATATACTATTTTACCCTTTAAAATAGAAACAGAAATCATGTTTTCTGTCATTTTGTTTTTTTGAGATGGGGTCTTACTCTGCCATCCAGGCTGGAGTGTGGATGACATGATCACAGCTCACTGCCGCCTCAACCTTCCAAGTTCCAGTGATCCTCCTGCCTCAGCCTGAGTAGCTGCGACTACAGGCCCATGCCACCACACCTGGCAAATTTTTGGTTTTTTGTTTTGTTTTTAGAGACAGGGTCTCCCTAGAGTGCCCAGGCTGGTCTCGAACTGCTGGGCTCAAGTGACCCGCCTGCCTTGGCCACCCAAAGTGCTGAGATTACAGGTGTCAACCAATGTGCCTGGTCATCTTATTTGTTTAAAGCTAGGTTTAGTATGGTATCATGTACCATCAGAACTATTTTATTTTACTTTTTATTTTATTCTTCTCTTCTCTTCTATTATTTCTTCAGATAGAGTTTCGCTCTCGTTGCCCAGGCTGGAGTGCAATGGTGCGGTCTTGGCTCACTGCAACCTCTGCCTCTTGGGTTCAAGTGATTCTCCTGCCTCAGCCTCCCAAGTACAGGCACCCACCATCATGCCCGGCTAATTTTTTTGTATTTTTAATATAGATGGGATTTTGCCATGTTGACCAGGCTGGTCTTGAACTCCTGACCTCAGGTGATCCACCCACTTTGGCATCCCAAAGTGCTGGGATTACAGATGTGAGCCACCGCGCCTGGCCATCTTATTTGTTTAAAGCTAGGCTTCGTATGATATCATATAGCACTAGAACTATTATTTTAATGTTCTAAAATATAAAGCATTCTAGGAAGATGGGGTGTTGATCTTTTCTCCATTGCAGCCCTTATGAACCAAGTGACTGATCCTCACTACTCCGACAGACACAGCCAGATTGTGACAAACTCCCTAAAAATTCTGAAGGGAAGTCAAGGTCTGTAATCATTCAGGGTTAGCCCACCCAGACTTACGCTATGGGATTAGAGTGTGTAAGACGGGCTAATGGTTATGGGACACCTCTGGGGTGCTGTCACTTTTTCAGAAAAGTCTATAAGGATGCAAATGGGTGAGAGGGACACTTCTCTAAATTCAGCAAATAATTAGCAAACTTCTGCCTCTTTTGGATTGATGCTATTATCTGTGATCCACAAGATGTCAATCTCCCACCCCCATCTCCTTTTTTTGTTTTTCCAGAGACAGGGTCTCACTCTGTCACCCAGGCTGGAGTGCAGTGGTGTAATCATAGCTCAATGCAACTTTGAACTCCTGGGCTGAAACGATCCTCCAGCCTCAGCCTCTCGAGAAGCTAGGACTACAGGCACACACCACCATGATGGGCTACTTTTTTTTTTTTTTTTTTTTTTTAAGAGAGATGGGGGTCTTGCTATGTTGCCCAGGCTGGCCTGGAATCTAATGGATCCTCCTGCCTCAGCCTCCCAAAGTACTGGGATTACAGGCGTGAGCCATGACATCTGGCCCACAAGATGACAATCTCATATGGTTTAGCTTAGTATTAGTAAATTGCTTCTGACACACATCACCCAGGGGTGCATGATCACCCCCAGACGGGAACAGCGGTATGAAGATACTCAATAGCAGAGTCGGTCGCTGGCAGTCTTGCATCACTAGGATGACAGTTAACGGGAAGCACTTGCAGGGCTTTCTGACTCCAGAAGAGCTGTGTCCCTGCACTTAAATGCCGCGGGCACTGCATGTCTACAGTGCCGCTGTCTGCTCTTAATGATTCATCTGTCCTCCGCGCTCATCAAGCCTCTCCATCCTTTCTGCAAGGCCGGGGTTTGGCTTTATACCCAGCTCAAGGTGCGAGGAAAAGATCGAGGCAAAGAGACAAGGTGCTAAGGCGGCCTCCTCCACCCGCTCCTGCAGGCCCACCATGCCCACCTGTTGGCCACGATGCTGGGGTAATAGGCCTTCTGGTTCTCGTCCACCTTCAGGTCACTCTGGTGGATGAAGCGCTCCTGCTCCTCGAAGGCTCGAATGACGCTGACCCCCAGCAAGGTCTCGTTGAAATGGGAATAGACCGGGGAGCGGCTGACCGACTCGAGGCGCTTCAGCTGCCGGGAGGAAGCCACGTAGAACCTCTGGGGTAGAGAACAGACGCGGGGAGTTGATGAAGGTTCCCTCCTGCCATCCTCCCAGGGCAGGGCTGTGCTGGAGAACATCTAGACGTAACCGATACCTCCAGGAGGCAAAATGTTAGAGCCGGGCTGCCCTCACAGGGGTGCCCACTCACCTGGTGAACCACAGGAATAGCACCACCAATGACAAGGACAGTGACAATAATAGCTCACGCTTATACAAAGCCCACAGCCCCAGGCATCGTTCTAAGCAGTTTTACAAACATCAGTTCATTCAATCCTCACAAAAAACCTGAGGTGCTCATTCCTATATGTGATGGGTAGACTAAGGCACAAAGAAGCTAGTTAATCTCCTCCCCAAGGTCACATGGCTAGCAAGGGGCAGAACTGGGATTCAAACCCAGGCCATCTGGGCTGCAAAGTGCTAACCTCTACCCTGTACTGCCTCTCTGAAGCCTTTCACCTCTAGGGTTTTCTGGAACCAGCAGTGTGGTTTTCAGCATAGGCTTTGAGGTCAACGAGACCTCAGTTCAAATCCTGACTCAACTACTGACTGGCAATATAAACACGACTAACACTTTACTTCTCTAAGCCTCAGTTTCCTTATCTGTAAAATGGGAACAACAAGGCTTGCTCGGCCAGGTGGGGTGGCTCATGCTTGTAATACCCGCACTTCAGGAGGCAGAGGCGGGAGATCACTTGAGGCCAGGAGTCTGAGACCAGCCCAGGCACATGGCAAAATGCCATCTCTACAAAAATAAAATATTATTAAGAAAACAAACGAAACAAAACAAAGCTTGCTTCACGGGGTCATTGTGAGGGTGACATGTAAGAGTTACAGTCTTACATGTGATGTGTATTTGCGTGGACACATTATTTCATAAATCATATAGATATGCATGATGTCACTAAGCACAGTGCCTGGTAATACTAGGTTGAACCACAGGAAATAGCTGTTTCTGTAGATAAGAAATAAGTATTAGCAGTTTCATATAGTTTGACCTAACAGTAAGCATTCAGTTAGCTGGTGACTATTGTTATCATTAAGTGACAGAATTCCGCCTGTTGATCACATCCCCTCAGGAGTGACTGTGTCCATGCAATGGCCGGTTCCAGCACACTCAGCCCAGCTGAGATGCCCATGAGGA
The DNA here is from genome assembly GCF_000001405.40 of Homo sapiens. Classification (NCBI taxonomy): domain Eukaryota; kingdom Metazoa; phylum Chordata; class Mammalia; order Primates; family Hominidae; genus Homo; species Homo sapiens. Next base: position 16,120,829 of record NC_000016.10, on the reverse strand, counting down.
TAGGGTCAATCTCGTCACCCCCCTCCGATGGCCTCCCAGCGCTGTTAGAGTTGCCAACCATGCTTCTTCCCTCAACTCATCTCATCCTGTAACTCTCCCCTTCCTTCCCTGCACACAGGCCGCCTGCCTCCACCCACCATGCCCATCCCGTCCAGGCCATTCCTCATCACCCAGCAGATGGGAGCACAGATGTCACTTCCTCGGGAAGCCCTTCCCATCCTCCATGAGCACCTTCTCCGGGCTTCAGTGTCCCAGCTCCCGGGCTACGATGATACGTTTCACAAGCAGCTCCACCCACCCTCGCGGGCAGATGCTTCATCTGCTCTGCCTCCCCCAACCTGGGCATTCAGCCAGTGCCAGGCACCAAGAGCCTCCCGATAAGTCTTGTTAGATTCAGAACAAAAGCCAACCACCTTCTGCAAGCTTTGTGGAGCTGTGGATCAGAGGCTGCACCAGCCATGTGAGGACACTGCGCTCTCCTAGCCTAGGTTTTTCTCATCTACGCAAAAGGAACTGGTGAGCCCGGGGTTCCTGATTCCACAAGGTGCCTACAATTGCTTATCGACAGGAGAGCTGGGAAAACTAACAAAGGGTTGCTAGGAACTCGGCCTCCCTGCATCCTGCCCTGGGCCAGGTGTACTGGGCTGCTTTGGGGCAGAGTCCAACAAAAAGCATCAATAGCAGCAGGTGGCTTTTACAAGGCCTCTGTGGTTGGCAGCTTCTTCCTGGGTGGCGGCACGGGCGTTAATTGCAACCCACAGATGGAGAGTCTTCTGGGGCCCCAGAAGCTATGTAAGTGAACCCAGGTACCGCACAACCCCACGCAGTCTCAGAATAGCTGTTCTGCCAATTCCTGGAATGTGGATCAGATATAATTTCTTCTCCAGCTGTTCCCACCGCCTCCCATGAAATCCAGACCCCTCTGCATGGCTGAAGGCCCAGGTGATCTGCCCCATCTTACCCTGGACCACATCTCCTTCCTCTCTTACCAGCTTGCTTTCTGAACAATCCAGATGCAAATCGCTCTCAAGTGTGTTACCTGTTCACTTTCCTCCACTTGCCACTGCCTCTGAACCTTACTTACTGGAAAAATCTAACCTGAGATGAATATTTGTTCAGGAATGATCTTATTTTATTTTTTAAGACAGTCTCGCTCTGTCACCCTGGCTGGAGTGCAGTGGCACAATCTTGGCTCATTGCAACCTCTGCCTCCCAGGTTCAAGCAATTCTCCTGCCTTAGCCTCCTAAGTAGCTGGAATTGCAGGCGCCCACCACCGTGCCTGGCTAATTTTTCTATTTTTAGTAGAGATGGGGTTTCACCATGTTGGCCAGGCTGGTCTCAAACTCCTGACCTCAGGTGATCCACCTGCCCTGCCGATCTGATGTTTTTTTCAGACAACTCGCCCTGTCACCAAGGCTGAAGTGCACTGGCACAATGTCAGCTCACTGCAACCTCCGCCTCCGAGGCTCAAGTGACCCTTCCATCTCAGCCTCCCAAGCAGGTGGGACTACAGGTTCACGCCACCACACCCAGCTAATTTTTGTATTTTCTGTAGAGACCAGGTTTTCCCATGTTGCTCAGGCTGGTCTCGAACTCCTGGGCCCAAGCAATCCTCCTGTCTAGGCCTCCCAAAGGGCTGGGATTAAAGGCATGAGCCACTGCACCCGACCGAACTTCATATAAATGAAATCTCACAGTACCTACTCTTTTTCGTCTGGCTTCTTTTGATCACTATAACATCTCTGAGATAAACCCAAATTGTTGTGTATTAGCATTTCATTCCTTTTTACTACTCAACCATAAATTGTATAATTATATCACAATTTATTTCTCCACGGTCCTGTTAATGGACATTTGAGCTGTTTCCAGTTTGGGCGATTATGAATCAAGATGCTGAGAACATTCTAAGCACTGCCTTTGCTCTTTTTTTTTTTTTTTTTTTTTTAATATACACTTAGGAATGAGACTGCCTAGTGAGAGGATAAATGTAAATTTAGCCAAAAGCCATTAAAAAATTAACTATTCTATAATCTCAACCCTTAAAAAGACGATGTTTTCATGTATCTGCCTCCCTTCCAGTCCTGCCCACACACATTATGCATTTCATCTCGGTGATAACGACAGTGCACCTAGAACTTGGTCCTTTGCTAAAATCATTTCCTTTGTTGTTGAAAAATAAAAATCCTTGGTGCTCCAACAGCTGCGTCTTCTAATTATCCCTGCTCAAAGCCACATTGCTCCACGGTGTACCCAAGGTCCTGCTATTGGCAGACATTTAAGTTGCCTTCAACACTGCATTTGGCCTGTTTTGTTCTTTTTGGGTCTTTCAGGAAATTTTCCAGCTTGCGTATGAACACAGATAACATATTTGGTAAATGCAGGGGAAAAAAAAAAAAAAAAAAAAGCTGGCACCAATTTCAAGAGGATATAACGAGACTCCAGGAACTGGACCTACTCTCTCTGATTCCATCACTGTTCGTTCTCATCAATCATTGGGCCACAGTGTGGTGGGGCGCAGGGGCCACATGATTGAACCAAGGCCCCCTGGATGCCACCTGAACAGCTGTGCAGCGTGGTTTGAGATATGGTGAGCCTCATGGTTTCTTACTCTTGTTTTGCTTTGCAGCTGGAATGCTCCCATCTAAACAACCCATCCCTACTGGCAATTGTGCTGCGGTTAATCCTTTAGCGGTAACAGCAGTTTTGGAATTGGACAGACTTGAGGTTGCACTCTCAGCTCTCCCACTTAGCAAGATGCTCCACCTGTCAATTGAAAACATTATCTATCCTGCGATATCCTAAGAAACCACATGTGTTCAAAGAACAAAGAACATATAACCGTTTCTGCAGAAGGGATGCAGCAGAGACGACTGACTGCCTACACAATTTCTCCTTTCCCAACAGAAACTTCTCTGTTTTTTTTTAGACAGAGTATCACTCTGTTGCCCAGGCTGGATTGCAGTGATGCAATCTTGGCTCACTGCAACCTCCACCTCCCAGGTTCAAGCAATTCTCCTGTCTCAGCCTTCAGAGCAGCTGGGACTATAGGCACATGCCACCACACCTGGCTAATTTTTGTATTTTTAGTAGAGGTGGGGTTTCACCATATTGGTCAGGCTGCTCTCGAACTCCTGACTTCAGGTGATACACGCGCCTCGGCCTCCCAAAGGGGTAGGGTTACAGGCGTGAGCCACCGTGCCTAGGCCCAACTGAAAGTTTTTGCTGGGAAGTGCAATGTGCCCAGCTAAAACACGGCACTTTCCAGGGTCCCTTGTGAATAGAGGTGGTCCCATGACTAAGTTCTGGACAATTAGATGTACAGGTGTCCCTCTAATCCAAGGTTGCACTTTCCGTGGTTATATGGTTTGGCTGTGTCCCCACCCAAATTTCATCTTGAATTGTAGTTCCCTTAATCCCCATGTGTCATGGGAGGGACCAGGTGGAGATAACTGAATCGTGGGGGCAGTTTCCCCCAACCCTCATGATAGTGAGTTAGTTCTCACAAGATCTGATGGTTTTATAAGGGGGCTCCCCGACTTCGTGGTGCTCTCATTCTTCTTCCTACTGCCATGTGAAGAAGGACATGTTTGCTTCTCCTTCTGCCATGGCCTCCTCAGCCATGCGGAACTGTGAGTCAATTAAACCTCTTTCCTTAATAAATTACCCAGTATTGGGTATTTCTTCATAGCAGTATGAGGACAAACTAACACACATGGTTTCGGTTATCCATGGTCAACTGTGGTCCAAAAATAATGTGTAAGTTTTAAATTGTGCACCCTTCTGAGTAGTGTGATGAAATCCCCCCCAGTCCCATCCGCGGTGTGAATCATCCCTTTGTCCAGCAGGTCCATGCTGCAGACCCTCCCTGTCAGTTTAGTCACTTAATAGCCATATCGGTTATCAGACTGACGGCCATTGTACTGCAGTGCTTATGGGTAAGTAATCCGAATTTACTCAATAATGCCCCTGGCTGGGCTCAGTGGGTCAATGCCTGTAATCCCAGCACTTTGGCAGGCTGAGGCGGGCGGATCACTTGACGTCAGGAGTTTGAGACTAGCCTGGCCAACATGGTGAAACCTCGTCTCTACTAAAAATACAAAAACTAGCTGGGTGTGGCGCATGCCTGTAATCCCAGCTACTTGGGAGGCTGAGGCAAGAGAATCACTTGAACCCGGGAGGCAGATGTTGCAGTGAGCCGAGATTCCATCACTGCACTCCAGCCTGAAGGACACAGCTAAACTCTGTCTCAAAAAAAAAAGTAATAAAAATAACGCCTCTAATGTGGAGAAGTAGTGATACTGGCATATTGTTATAATTGTTCTATTTTATTATTATAAATTACTGCTATTAATCTATTATGCCAAATTTATAAATTAAACTTTATCATAGGTATGTATGTACAGAAAAAAACAGGATATGTAGGATTCAATACTATCTGCAGTTTAAGGCATCCATTGGGGGAGTCTTAGAATGTGTGCCTGCAGATAAGGGAGTAGTGCTGATTCAGCACCCATATGCTCCCTTGCCCTACTTCCCTTCCTTGATCTCACTGACTGAAATATAGATATAATGGCTGGAGCTCCAGCAGCCACCTTGGACCATGAGGCCAACTTAAGAATGAAAGGGGCCGGGCGCAGTGGCTCACGCCTGTAATCCCAGCACTTTGGGAGGCTGAGGCAGGCGAATCACGAGGTCAGGAGATTGAGACCATCCTGGCTAACATGGTGAAACCTTGTCTCTACTGAAAATACAAAAAAAATTAGCTGGGCGTAGTGGCGGGCGCCTGTAGTCCCAGCTACTCGGGAGGCTGAGGCAGGAGAATGGTGTGAACCCGAGAGGTGGAGCTTGCAGTGAGCCGAGATCGCGCCACTGCACTCCAGCCTGGGCGACAGAGCGAGACTCCATGTCAAATTAAAAAAAAAAAAGAAAGAAAGAAAGAATGAAAGGCTTGTATAAATATGGTAAGATTTTTTAAATTTTTAAATAAAAGCAGGTATCTGGGATATTAAACTCATGAAGCTGCCATACCAGCCCTGAACAGCCTACCTCTAAATTTCTATTATGACAGAGAAAAAGAAAACGTCTATCTTATTTAGGCTGCTATTAGTCATGTTTTTTGTTTAGTTCCTGCCTCCTGCAGGAGGCTTAAGAACTAAAGAATTTTATACTTGAAGAAATTTTAGGCTGGACGCAGTGGCTCACATCTGTAATCCCAACACTTGGGGAGGTCGAGGTGGGTGGATCACCTGAGCTCAGGAGTTTGAGACCAGCCTGGCCAACACTGGTGAAACCCTGTCTCTACTAAAAATACAAAAATTAGCCGGCCGTGGTGGTGCGCACCTGTTAACTCAGGAGGCTGAGGCAGGGGAATCACTTGAACTGGGAGGTGGAGGTTGCAGTAAGCCAAGATTGTGCCACTGCACTCCAGCCTGGGTGACAGAGCGAGACTCTGTCTCAAGAAAAAAAAAGAAATTTTAATAATGAAGTTGTCTTTATAGTGATAGGTTTTGTTTCCTTTTTGAATTGACAGGTGGAAAAGTAAAACTTAGGAAAAAACTGCATTCCACAAAAAAAGTGCATTTTGTTATTGTGAGCAAAAAAACAATTTAGGTATTCGAAACTGACAAAAACAAATCTACATGCTTCAAAAGCACCACACTGGGGACATGGTAAGATAAAACAAGGCTTTAGGTAACACTGGTATATAATGCACAGTAGGGCTTGTCCCGAACACTAAGACCTCACCCCTTACCTGGACGAAGAAGTAGATGAGGCCAAGGGGCGGGATGATGATGGCGGCGATGGGCGTGGCCAGCAGGATAACGATGCAGGCACCAATGACGTTGAACAGGGAGCCCATGAACATCTTGATGACCTCCGGGATCATGGAGTCCACTGTGTCCAGCTCCTTGGAGAAGCGGTTCACCAGGTTCCCACTGGGGGTCCGCTCAAAGAAGCTCATGGGTGACCGCAGGATGCTGTGCAGCAGGTCCACGTGCAGACAGCGGGAAGCCAAGATCCCCCCGATGGACACGGCCATGGAGTAGCCAAACACGGCGATCCCTGCAGACACTCGGAGTTAAAACTCCACAATGCAGAGAGGGAGCTGACCAGGCACTGCAGGGAGGAGTGGCCATGTGGACGAGGCAGGCCTGGACTCCCAACTTCTAATAATAATAATAATGATGAACCAGGCATGGTGGCTCACACCTGTAATCCCAGCACTTTGGGAGGCCGAGGTGGGTGGATCACTTGAGGTCAGGAGATCGAGACCAGCCTGGCCAACACAGTGAAACTCCGTCTCTCCTAAAAATACAAAAATTAGCCAGGCGTGGTGGTTGGCGCCTGTAATCCCAGCTACTCGGGAGGCTGAGGCAAGGGAATTGCTTGAATCCGGGAGGTGGAGGTTGCAGTGAGCCAAGACTGCGTCCACTCCACTCCAACATGGGCGACAGAATGAGACTCCGTCTCAAAAAAAAAAAAATAGTAATAATAATGATGATGATAATGGCAGCTATTATTCAGAGGGTACTTCCTATGTGCTAAGCACTGTGCTGGGTTTTACATGTAACTGATTTTTATGATGACTCTGAATAACTTCTATTACTACCCAACTTACAGATAAGAAAACTGAAGTCCAGATAGGTGAACGCCTTTGCCCTTAGTATACTGTGCCTAGCAGAAGCAGAACTGGGATTTTAATCCAGACAGCCTGCTCTTAATCCCCATGCCATATTCTTCTAGACCAGGGGTCCCCAACCCCGGGGCCACAGATTGGCAGCAGCTCATGACCGGTTAGGAACCAGGCCCCACAGCAGGAGGTGAGTGGTGGTCACCTCCTGAGCATCAGCGCCTGAGCTCTGCCTCCTGTGAGCTCAGTGGTGGCATTAGATCCTCCTAGCAGTGCGAACCCTATTGTGAACCGTGCATGCAAGGGACCTAGACTGTGCGCTTCTTCTGATAATCTAACTAATGCCTGATGATCTAAGGTGGAACAGTTTCATCCCGAAATCACCACCCACCATTTCCATGAAACCAGTCCCTGGTGCCAAAAAGGCTAGGGATCGCTGTTTTAGAACAGTGCTGAGATAATTTTCTGAAATGATGGCTACTGAGCACTTGAAACGTGTCTAGTCTAATCGAATAAATCTTTAATTTTATTTTTCTTTTGAGATGGGGTCTCTCTCATCCTGTCACCCAGGATGGAGTACAGGGCTGTGATCACGGCTCACTGCAGCCTCGACCTCCTGGGCTCAAGCAATCCTCCCACCTCAGCCTCCTGAGTAGCAGGGATTACAGACATGCGCCACCACGCCCAGCGAATTTTTGTATTTTTTGTAGAAACAGGGTTTTGCCATGCTGCCCAGGCTGGTCTTGAACCCCTGGATTAAGCGATCCACCCGCCTTGGCCTCTCAAAGTGTTGGGGTTACAGGCGTGAGCTACTGCGCCCAACGTTTATTTAATTTTAACAGCTGAAATTAAAATAGCCACCTGTGTCTTGTGACTACCGCACCAGACAGCACAGCTCTGGAACAGACGTTGTTGCTGTGTGAGTTCAGGTAATACCACACCCTCTCTGTTCTCTACCTTCCCTCAATTATAATTTGTAGGCCACAGTCCTTTCCCCTAATGGCAAGGAGAGGGGAGGGGAGGGATTGAGAGACTCAAGGAGTCCATGTGTGCTCTGCTACCGCTGGGTTTTCCCAAAGCCACCTCCTGGAGATCCTGAGACACTGGTGCTTCTCTCAAACAATCCACAGGAGCGCACTGTGTGTTCCAGAGCAGCAACTTCCTAGGAACAGAGAGGCTTCCATCTCGGCCTCTTTAATCGGGAAGACACCCAATAGGCAGGGGCTCAAGTAACAGGCTCTGGAGCCAATGCTGCCAAATCCCATCTCTGCCACTTACCAGCTATGGGACCTCCTACTGGTCACTGAATCTCTCAGTTTCCTCATCTGTAAAATGGGACAATGACGCTGACCTCGGAGCACTGTGGAATGTGAAGTCCCCACCTGGCAATGTGCCTGGCATACAGAAGTACTCAAATGTGTCAAGACTATCCATTTACTGTGTATATATCATATGGACCATACATGTGTATTTGCAAACATGGCTCACATACTGCGTAGCACAGTGGATAACAGCGTGAGCTCCTGAGCCAGACTGCCTTGTTCAATGCCAATGCTGCCATGTATTAGCTGTGTGACTTTTGGCAACTGACTCAACCTCTCCGGGCCTCAGTTTCTGTATCTCCAAAATGAGGGAAATATTAACTCCTACCTCACAGGACTGCTGCAAGGATAAAATAAGTTAAAACACGTGGAAGTGTTTAGAACAAATCCAAGCACCAAGTAAATGCTCAGTAAATGCCAGCTGTTAATATCAACGCTGCTGCATTTGAGGACTCCCATAGGACCACACAGAACAGTATAGAGCAGGGTTTTTTTTTTTTTGTTTATTTTTTGAGACAGGGTCTTGCTCTGTCACCCAGGCTGGAGGGCAGTGGTGCAATCATAGGTCTAACTGTAGGCTCAAACTCCTGGGCTCAAGCAATCTTGTGACCTCAGCTGCCCAAGTAGCTGAGACCACAAGCGCATACCACCACGTGACCTGTAGTTTATTTTATTTATCTATTTTTTCTAGAAATAGGGTCTCACTATGTTGCCCAGGCTGGTCTCGAATATCTGGCCTCAAGCAATCCTTTGACTTCAGCCTCCCAAAGTGTGGGATTACAGGTGTGAGCCACCATGCCTGGCCAACAGCAGGGTTTCTCAATCTTTTGACAACCAAAAGCATCTCCAGATATTGTCAAACATCCCTGAGGGACAACACTGCCCATAATTGGGAATTACTAGTATAAGCCAATTTCCGCCCTCACTCAGCAGGCAAAAGTCCGCAAATGAGACCTCATGGAAGCTCTGTCACTGTGACAAAGCAAACATGCTCAAGGGGGTCCTCCCAACCCTCAGTGCTTCCAGAGGCCTCTGTTCTCAACTGTCCTCATCTGTAAAATGGGCACACTGGAGCACTCCTCCCGTCTACCACCAAGGCCCATATGAACAAAGCACTCAAACACCCACTCTACAAATATCTGAGTGTCTACTAGCTGACAGCTACCATTTTTCTGGGTTTGGCTTGGTTTGGGGTCCCACAAAACGCTGAGGACTCTAAGGATCCATTTCTATAATTAGACAAAGCCACAACAGGGGCCCAAATCAGGCGGGGTGGGAGACAGCGGCACCAACCTTGTGAAATGCCCAGGGCTCCATAGACGCTCAGCCGGACTTTCGTGTGCTCCTGAGTCCCGTTGACGATGGGGTCATCAGTCCAGAGGCTGAGCCAATAGTTGGAAGCCAGCGCGGACACATGGTTACACATGAAAAGGAAGATGCTGAGGAAGGAGATGAAGAGTCCGATGGCCTTCATGTAGTCCCAGTACACGGAAAGCTTGACCTGGAGATCACAGGAGATAAGGCAGCTTAGCACATGCACGCACCCAGCCCCAGCCCCAGCCCCACAAGGTCGGGGGCTTCACCAGCACTGTGCCACCCAGCTGCCTGCCTTTGCTCCTACGTAGAACACCCCTCCCCTTTAGCTATTCAACAAAGTCAGCAGTAAACAAAGTCGAGGGCCAGGCGCCGTGGCTCACACCTGTAATCCCAACATTTTGGGAGGCTGAGGCGGGCAGATCAACTGAGGTAGAGACTTCGAGACCAGCCTGGCCAATATGGCAAAATCCTGCCTCTATTAAAAATATAAAGTTAGCCGGGTGTGTGGTCGGCATCTGTAATCCCAGCTAATTGGAAGGCCGAGGCAGAATTCCTCGAACCCAGGAGGCAGAGGTAGAAGCAGTGAGCCAAGATTGCCCCACTGCACTCCAGCCTGGGCGACAGAGTGAGACTCCGTCTCAAAAAAAAGAGACAAACTCAGGGTCTCTGCCCTCATGCATGGAGCTTCCAGTCGCGTGGTGAGATAGGCTCCCATAAAATCATCCCAGATAAATGCGTCATCACAGAGAAGGGCTGTAAACGGTGCACAATTCCACGTGAGTATAAAATCAGACAACCTGACCTAATGCAGTCTAGAGAGGTATTGGGGGAGGTTTTCTTCGAGGAAGTGACATTAAAGAGTTAAACCAAGGCTGGGTGCAGTGGCTCATGCCTGTGATCCCAGCACGTCGGTAGGCCGAGGCGGGTGGATTACCTGAGGTCAGGAGTTTGAGACCAGCCTGACTAACATGGCGAAACCCCTTGCCTACTAAAATACAAAAATTAGCTGGGCATGGTGGTAGGCACATGTCATCTCAGCTACTCGGGAGGCTGAGGCAAGAGAATGGCTTGAACCCAGTAGGCGGAGGTTACAGTGAGCCGAGAATGCGCCACTGCACTCCAGCGTGGGTGACAGAGTGAGACTGTCTCTAAAAAATAAAAAAAAATAAAGAGTGCTGGGCATCGTGGCTCACACACCTGTAATCCCAGCACTTTGAGGGGCTGCGGCAAGTGGATCACCTGAGGTCAGGAATCCGAGACCAGCCTGGCCAACATGATGAAATCTCACCTCTACAAAAAATACAAAAATTAGTCAGGCGTGGGGGCACATGCCTGTAGGCTGAGGCACAAGGGTCGCTTGAAGCCAGGAGGTGGAGGTTGCACCAAGCCAAACTTACTGCACACCAGCCTGGGTGACAGAGGGAGACATTGCCTCCAGGGGGAAAAAAAAAAAAAGGAGTTAAACCAGCTGAAAATGGAAAAAAGGTGGCAGAACCAGCATGTGCAAAGGCCCTGAGGTAGGAGGGAACACAGTGCATCTGGGGAACTGAGAGAAGGCACTGGTGGCTGGAGCCAGGAGATCATGGGGCAGCAAGGAACAAGAGGCTGGAAAAACCGGTCGCAGTCAGACCACACATGGCATGGGAGACTCGGGTCAGGATTCCAACTTTTAGCCAAGACTGACAGAAAGCAGAAGCCACCAATGAGTTTTAAGCAACGTGTGACATGTTGCCTGGCAACCAAGGCCAAATGTCACCTCAACACCACAACTGGGCCAGCCTCCTCCAACTCTTTTCACTCTGAGCACAGAATACCATCTCACCCATCTTCCCAGTGCCCAGTTCGCTCCAGGAGGTGAAGGTTGGAGTTTCTTTCCCTCCTATATTCCCTGTGGAGCCCAGCATGGGGCTAAACAAATGTGTCTAGCCGCCTGACATGAGAGACAGGGCAATCTGCTTTAGGCCAGCCCCCACCTAAACCACCTGACTTGGTTTCAAGAAATTCCAGGGATCTTTACCCGTGTCTGTGCTCATTGTCATTTCAAGCTTTTCATGCTGAATTTTGGGTCATGAAAATCATCTGGACTGGGTGCGGTGGCTCACACCTATAATGCCAGCACTTTGGGAGGCCAAGGCAGGACAATGACTTGAGCCCAGGAGTTTGAGACCAGCCTGGGAAACACAGTAAGACCCTGTCTCTACAAAAAATTTTAAAATTAGCTAGGTGTGGTGGTCCACACCTATAGTCCCAGCTACTCAGGAAGCTGAGCTAGGAGGAGCTCTTGAACCCAGAAGCTTAAGGCTGCAGTGAGCGTTGGTCACACCACTGCACTCCAGCCTGAGCGACACAGTGAGGCTCTGCCCCTCACCAGAAAAAAAAACAAAAATCATCTGACCCTACGGTCTAGCTGAAAGGTAACAGGTGAAAGATAACAGGTCTGATGTGTAACTGGCTGCTTCCTTTTGAGTTTTCAAGTCCCCATTCTGGAAAATGAAAAATGTGGGTGAGGAGACAGGTCATAATTAAGAATGTGTTTATTTCACCACTTGGCTTTGTCATGCGGCCAAGTTGCCTGCTGTCCCTGAAATTAGCCTGCAGCGTTCAGGAACCTCTTTCTCATGAGTAGTGGAATGTGGTGGGCTCGGGGGTCAGAAATGACAAGTGTGTGGCCAGGTGTGGTGGCTCACATCTGTAATCCCAGTACTTTGGGAGGCGGGCCAGTCACTTGAGCCCAGGAGCTCAAGACCAGTCTGGGCGACAGGGCGAAACCTCATCTCCACAAAAAAATTAAAAAAATTAGTCAAGCGTGGGGGTGCACACATGTAGTCACAGCTACTTGGAAGGCTGAGGTGGGAGAATCACTTGAATCCGGGAGGTGGAGGCTGCAGTTAGCCATGATTGTGCCACTGCACTCCATCCTGGGTGACAGAGTCAGACCTTGTCTCAGAAAAAAAAAAAAGAAAACAAATTAAAAAAAAAAAAAAGGCCGGGCGCAGTGGCTCATGCCTATAATCCCAGCACCAGCTCTTTGGGAGGCTGAGGCAGGCAGATCACAAGGTCAGGAGTTTGAGACCAGCCTGGCCAACATAGTGAAACGCCATCTCTACCGAAAATACAAAAATTAGCTAGGCATGGTGGCGCAGGCCTGTAGTCCCAGCTACTCGGGAGGCTGAGGCAGGTAAATTGCTTGAACCCGGGAGGCGGAGGTTGCGGTGAGCGCCACGGCACTACAGCCTGGGCAACACAGCAGGACTTCGTCTCAAAAAAAAAAAAAAAAAAAAAAAAGACACAAAGAAACGATAAGCGTGTTGTGCCTGGCTCCACTCTGGGTCCAACTTTGACAAGTAACAAGCCCCCTGGCTTTGATGTTCCTTGAATATAAAATTGGAGTTAAATGAGGATTAAATGGGCCTGGCATCTCTGGCCCTTCCTTCCCATGTCCTGCGATTTGGGGTAACTTCTCTGGCTTCCTGGAGGGTCACTAAGGGTAAGGCGAGAGAGGACACCAGAGTCACCTCTGCCCCTTGTTACGGTCCTGACTCTGATGACAAGTTAAGGAAGAAGCCAGGAACAGACAGTCCTCGGAAGCTCTGGACACATCCGGGCAGATCTAAGAGAAAGTGCCCCAGCCCCACTCCCCGGCTACCACCTTTCATGTTTTTTTTTTTGTTTTTCTTTATCTGCATGCTTATTTTTTACCTACTTTAAAAATTCCATTCCCTTTAAAAACAAAAACAAAAAAAACCACATTTATTTTTAAAAATAAACTTTGGATCACCACCATAAATGGAGAATTATTAACACTTGCCCAAAATAGACGATCTTTAAAAACAATAAAACAGGAGCTCAAAACCCGGTCTCCTTGTTACAAAGAGAGGATAGTGGTTGATAGGTTGAGAAGGCAGGGTAGGACCCAACTGGGACTTTCTCAGGGACGTAATCATTAGGACCAAATGAGAAATGAAAAACAGGCAGGACGCGGTGCTCACCCCTGTAATCCCAGCATTTTGGGAGGCCAAGGTGGGTGGATCACCTGAGGTCAGGAGTTCAAGACCAGCCTGGCCAACATGGTGAAACCCTGTCTCTACTAAAAATACAAAAATTAGCTGGGCAAGGTAGCAAGTTTCTGTAATCCCAGCTACTCAGGAGGCTGAGGCAGGAAAACTGCTTGAACCCAGGAGGCAGAGGTTGTAGTGAGCCGAGATCGCACCACTGCACTCCAGCCTTGGTGACAGAGTGAGACTCCATCTCAAAAAAATAAAAATTAAAAAAAGAAATGAAACAAACATTCCTCTGTCATTTAATGCGTCTGTGCACAACCGGACACCATCTCATGCACAACTGAACCCCACGTTGCAGGAAGCCCTGATTTAAAGCATCCAGCTCACCTCTAGCGAATGAGACCCCCCTGAGCTGCTCAGGCAGTCAATAGAGCAGAGACTACAAGTACTAACCCTGGAGTTGGCCAGGGTTCAAATCCCAGTTCTGCCGCTGACCAGGGGTGACCGTGAGTAAGTCACTTAGCCTCTCTGGCCTCAGTTTCTGGTGCTGCAAATAGTATCTTCACAGGTGTGTTGTGATGGACAGGTGAGTTAACATAGACAAGGCACTTTGCACAGTGCCCAGTGCACAGTGGGCGCTCTATAAACTCCAGCCACTGTCATCACTTAAGGAGCGAATCTCACCTGCCCTGTCTGCGCCTTGTCAGCCTCCATCAGCTTCCAGGTCTCCTCCTTCTTGGCCTCAGCTTTCTGCAGTTCTGCGGTGCTGTTGTGGTGCCTGCTGATGTCCCCACTATAGGAGGAGGAGCTGCTGAGCTGTCTGGAGAAGCAAAGCACAAGGGTGTCAACCGTACAGATGCCTTGGGCAGGGTCGGAGGGCTCCCTGCTGGGACTGCTATTGTGGGTCTGAACCATGGCATAAGAGACGGAGTGTTTCCACATGCACACATGTAAACATATATATGAATATATGCACCACACCCCACCATGTCACTCTCCAGGTTTATAGGTACCCAGAGAAAGGCAGTGTCTCAGGCAGGAATGAGACCCATGGGAAACGCAATCTGTGATGATCTCTGGGGGCCTGCAAAAAGCCCATGACAACTGGTATATAAAAAGTGCGTGCTTTTTTTTTTTTTTTCTGAGATCAATTAGAATTCATCTCAAAAAAAAAAAAGCCAATAAAAGATATAACAGAAAGGGCACATCGTAGATCATTTTTCAAACATGAAAAAGATTCAAAATGTAACATATGATGAAAAACATAGGGCAAAGTACCCAGCTAGTTCGATTTTCTTGTTTTACAAATGTGGTGGGCACTGGGGTGGGATCTTGCCTGACTGCTCCTTCATGCAAGCGTGTTACTCAGAAAGCATTATTTGGCCAGGTGCAGTGGCTCACACCTGTAATCCCAGCACTTTGGGAGGCCGAGGTGGGCGGATCACTTGAGGCCAGGAGTTCAAGACTAGCCTGGCCAACACGGTGAAACCCCGTCTCTACTAAAAATACAAAAATTAGCCAGGCGTGGTACCGTGCACCTGCAGTCCCAACTACTTGGGAGGTTGAGGCAGGAGAATCGCTTGAATCCCAGAGGCAGAAATTGCAGTGAGCCGTGATTGCACCACTGCACTCCAGCCTCAGCGACTGAGTAAGACCCTGTCTCAAAAAAAAAAAAAAAAGCACTTTTCGCACATCAGTGGTCATGAGCTTTATGCAGACCCCCAGAGATGATCACAGATTGCGTCGCCCACAGTTTTCCGTTCAGTGGCTGACATCGCGCCACTGCACACTGCACTCCAGCCTGGGCGACAGAGGGAGACTCATGTCAAAAAAAAAAAAAAAAGAAAAGAAAAGAAAAGAAATTATGGAGACCATGCAAAACACAGCTGCGGCTCACTGCCGTGGAAATTTCTATACTTTCCTCTACCCACTTATCTCCTGCACAAGATTATAAGCTAACTGAGGTCAAGAGCCCCATATGAGTCATCCCTGCACCCCCAGAACTGTGTCCCCTGAAAACACTTCCTGAAGGCCGAATAAACCTCCACCACCTCCCCTCTTTGAATTAGCGCCTGGGATTGGGTAAACTTTCCTTACCCATGAGATCTGTGCAAAGGTCTTTAGTTAAGGCCTAGTGAGGTGGAAGTGGCCCTCAAATCTGAAAGCAAGAGTGAGTTTTCAGGGAGTGGCAGAGGGAGCAACTGGAACCAACTCTGGATGGAATCTAGAATTCAAATGGGGAGCTGGGGCTTCCTGCTTCATGACCTAGGACTTCACACATCCACACACCTCGACAGAAAATCTTACATCCTTCTACACTCATGCACTGTCTGGAGTCTCCCACTAGAATTTAGGCTGTGTAAGATTGAGAAGTGACAGCGTGCTGGCAGCCCTCGCAGCCCTCGCTCGCTCTCTGTGCCTCCTCGGCCTTGGCACCCACTCTGGCAGCGCTTGAGGAGCCCTTCAGCCCGCCGCTGCACTGTGGGAGCCCCTTTCTGGGCTGGCCAAGGCTGGAGCCGGCTCCCTCAGCTTGCGGGGAGGTGTGGAGGGAGAGGAACGGGAGGGAACCGGAGCTGCACAGGGCGCTTGCGGGCCAGCGCTAGTTCTGGGTGGGCGTCGGCTCGGTGGACCCCGCACTCAGAGCTGCCGGGCAGCCCCGCCAGCCCGGGTAGTGAGGGGCTTAGCACCTGGGCCAGCAGCTGCTGCACTTGATTTCTCACCGGGCTTTAGCTGCCTCCCCGCGGGGCAGGGCTCGGGACCTGCAGCCTGCCATGCCTGAGCCTCCCCACCTCCCCGCTATGGGCTCCTGCGCGGCCCGAGCCTCCCGGACGAGTGCCGCCCCTGCTCCATGGCGCCCAGTCCCTTCCACCGCCCAAGGGCTGAGGAGTGAGGGCGCACGGCACGGGACTGGCAGGCAGCTCCACCTGCAGCCCCAGTGTGGCATCCACCTGGTGAAGCCAGCTGGGCTCCTGAGTCTGGTGCTGACTTGGAGGCCCTTTATGTCTAGCTAAGGGATTGTAAATACACCAATCAGCACTCTGTATCTAGCTCAAGGTTTGTAAACACACCAATCAGCACCCTGTGTCTAGCTCAGGGTTTGTGAATGCACCAATCAACACTCTATATCTAGCTAATCTAGTGGGGATGTGGGGAACTTACGTATCTAGCTCAGGGGTTGTAAACACACCAATCAGCACCCTGTCAAAACGGACCAATCAACACTCTGTAAAAACAGACCAATCGGCTCTCTGTAAAATGGACCAATCAGCAGGATGTGGGTAGGGCCAGATAAGAGAATAAAAGCTGGCTGCCAGAGCCAGCAGTGGCCACCTACTGGGGTACCCTTCCAAACTGTGGAAGCTTTATTGTTTCACTCTTTGCGATAAATCTTTCTGCTGCTCAGTGTTTGGGTCCACATTGCCTTTGTGAGCTGTAACACTCACCATCAAGGTCTACAGCTTCACTCCTGAAGCCAGCCAGAGCACAAACCCAGCGGGAGGAACGAACGACTCCAGACACGCCACCTTAAGAGCTGTAACACTTACCGCGAAGGTCTGCAGCTTCACTCCTGAGGCCAGCGAGACCACGAACCCACCAGAAGGAAGAAACTCCGAACACATCCGAACAGCAGAAGGAACAAACCCCAGACGTGCCACCTTTAAGAACTGTAACACTCACCGTGAGGGTCTGCGGCTTCATTCTTGAAGTCAGTGAGACCAAGACCCACCAATTCCGGACCATAACCATGTCCGGATGATAACCATGGCAAAAGCGACATCTACGAAGTGTTTGTCTGTTCCAGGCACCGTGCTATGCCGCATGGTCTTTGCTCTCTCCTGACCCCTGTAGCAACTGCAGGTCCGGGATCCTTTCTCAGATCTCCGCGGTCTGATACGTTTAGGCTCCGACTTTGTCAATTTTTGTTGTTGTTTTACTGTTTTCTGCTGCTGCTGCTGTTTTGTTTTGTTTTTGTTTTTTGAGATGGAGTCTCGCTCTGTCACCCAGGCTGGAGTGCCATGGCGCAATCTCGGCTCACTGCAACCTCCACCTCCTGGGTTCAAGCGATTCTCGTGCCTCAGCCTCCCGAGTAGCTGGGACTACAGGCGCCTGCCACCATGCCTGGCTAATTTTTGTATCTTTAGTAGAGACAGGGTTTCATCATGTTGGCCAGGCTGGTCTTCAACTCCTGTCCTCAGGTGATCCGCCCGCCTCAGCCTCCCGAAGTGCTGGGATTATAGGCATGAGCCACCCTGCCTGGCCGACTTAGCCAGTTTTTTAAAAGCTAGGATGGTTAATATACTGCATACGCTATAAATCCCCAGGGATCTAAGGAAGCCCTCTATAATCAAACACGAGCATACTTCCTTTTTTGTAGAGATGAGGTCTTGCTATGTTACCCACTGTGGTCTCAAACTCCTGGCCTCAAGCGATCCTCCTGCCTCAACCTCCCAAAGTGCTGAGATTACAAGCAGGAGCCACCACACCTGGCCTTGAGACAGTTTTAAATCAAATGCTGCTTCACAAAGCCTGAACCTTCCAGGCCCCGCCAAGAGACCTGAGCAAAGACCCACACCATGTAGGGAGCCCGAGTGTCAGAAGCGTGGACAGCTGGTTAAATCATGAGGCCTGTGTGAGTTGTGCCACCTGGCAAAAAGAGTGCCACATTCCTTCTTTGGGCCTCTGTACTCTGAAAAGCAAGGTCCTTGGAGGATTTGGGAGGGAAGGTAAAAGCCCAGGCCTTCCAGGACCTCAGGGGGCTGAGGCCTTTTTTTGTTCCTCCTCTTGTCCTCCCACTGGCAGGGCAGGGTCCTTAGGTTGGGGCCTTCCTCCCCGCCCTTACCTCTGCAGTTGCTTCCCTGCACTGTCCGTCACCAGCATGCCATTCTCCATTTGCTTTGCTTCCTTCCCTGGACCGCTGACGCCCGTGACCCCTGGCAGAAGAGAGACAAAGGGGGCAAGTGGGGTTATATGAGGCAGATGCTAAAACCAAGGGCAACAAAAACCGGCCACTTCAGTGAGGAGACCACAGAGCACCTGGCCGCCAGGATGATCAGAAAGTAGGAGACCTGCTCTGCAGAGGCCATGAACAGGCTGTCTGGTTGTGGGGCAGGTGGTATCTGGAGCTCAGTCCCTTGGGGTAGGGACAGTGCTTTGCAACTGTGCAGAAGGCTCCATCCACTGAGGGCACTGGGCCTGAGCCAGCATCCTGTGCCAGCAGCAATGGGTAAAACCCAGCCCAGAAAACAGTAGCCCTGCTATGTTAAGCTCACTTCCTAGGACCAGGATGCAAGGAAACGCATGAGGGAAAGGGCATAGCCCCGTGATTCCCAAGCATTGAAAGAAGAAGTGATATTCAAAATAGATAACCAATTTGACAAGGCCATCAGCCAACAGGCAGAGGCCCGGAGACCCCTGTAGTGCCAGGAGTTAACCCTTCAGTTCCTAGACCACAGAGAGGTCCCAAGAGTTCAGGGTAAAAGGTACCTGGGGCAGTGGCTGTTTCCACAGTAATAAAGTATTTCAACATTTGAACTGGGGAACCAAGTTCTGCCAACAACCAGGTGAGCTTCAAAGTGGACCCTTCCCTGATTGAGTCTTCAGATGAGACCCCAGCCCTGGCAGATGCCTTGGTTGCAGAATTAGGAAGGACACTGATAAGGACACCAAGGGACACAGCAGCTGGATATCTGCCCTGATCCCAGGAAGAATCCACCCAGCATCAACAATAATCACCGGAACATCAACAATGACAATGACAGCCAACATTTATCAAGTGCACTTGGGCACCGTGTGTCGTGTCAACACAGATCATATCTCTTTCCCGGTTCACAATAACTCAGTGATGATGATGACTACTGCCCCCACTCCGCACTGACTGCCTCATTCTTTGGTGCCAGGAGAGAAAGCAGCACAATGTAAGGCACCACAGGGCTGACCCCAGAGAAGGTGGGAGAGGACCCAGGACAGAAGATACAAAAGGGATAAATACGCAGCCAGCAGCATGGTCAGGGTGACCCTGGGAACATGCTCGGGTGATGACATGAATAAAAGCAGAGCTCAAAAATGCAAAATCTTGCAGAAACAGCCACAGGGAGACACAGACACACCTGGAAGGGAAGAGGGGGCTGCAGATCATTCCTGGACAGAGGGAGGCACTCCATGCCAGGAATTCTCAGTCTTGGTTGTAAATGAGTCACGGGGGGCTTTATAAATGAGCAGGTGGCCGCCGGGCACGGTGGCTCACACCTGTAATCCCCAGCACTTTCAAGGCCGAGGCGGGCAGATCGCTTGAGGCCAGGAGTTCAAGACCAGCCTGGCCAACATGGAAAAACCCCAACTCTATTCTAAAAATACAAAAATTAGCTGGGCGTGGTGGTGCATGCCTGTAATCCCACCTACTCGGGAGGCTGAGGCTCTAGAATTGCTTGAACCCGGGAGGCGGAGGTTGCAGTGAGCTGAAATCATGCTACCACACTCCAGCCTGGGTGACAGAGCGAGACTCTGTCTAAAAATAAAAATAAAAAATAAAAATAAAAAAAAAATCTAAAAAACACGAATAAAAGAAAATAAACCAAAAAATTAAAATTAAAAACTGAGCAGGTGCCCTCGTGTCCAGCCCAGTCCCTGCTATGAGTCTCGATTAGAGCTCCAGGAACTGTGATATGTGGGAAGTGTTCTCTCACTTCCTGGCTGTGCCCCTTGGGGAAATGATAAATCTGTCTGAGCCTCATCTTCCACATCTGCAAAACAGGAACAGCAGACCCAACCTTCATTTGCGAGAGGGTGAAACGAGACTGCACGCAGTGCCTGGCACAGCAAGTGTTCAGTGATGGCGACCCCCGTGTTGCTTATTACTAAATACATTTTTAAACAGGTTCTACAGAGAATTCTAGGCACAGCCAGGAACTGAGAAACTCTGCTTTAAACATTCCCTTTAATGTCAGCATCTGTTTTGTTTTGTCTAAACTAACTAAACACTAACTTAAAAAACAAACAAAACACAAATAGCCACATCACCCAGGAAGGAAGAATGATACCAAGCAGGACTTCCCATGCAGCCTGTCCTCACACACATGTGTGACACTGGGAACCAGCCATGCCCTTAACCATCTTTCTCTGTGCAGGGATGAGAATGTTCCAGAACACTCCCAGGGACCCCCATCTGGAGGCTGCATGCCGCAGAGAGCCCCCCCGCTCTCCTACCAGCAGCCTCAGGCCACCCTCCTATAAGCCTCAGCCTTCACTTCTCCTGTTCGTCACTGAGCGCAGCCACCATGGTCAGCTGGGAGCTTCTGCAGGCATGCAGTGCTCGCTAAGGCTGTCTTACCCTCTCAACCCACCAATTAGCCCACAGGTCGAACTGGGCAGCTGGAAAATTCCACTCTGCACGGAGGAGGACCAAGCGCCTAAGAGGAGGAATCTGAACATCAGTTAGTCCACCATCCTCTCAGCATTTTTTTTTTTCCTTGTCTTGAGACAAGGTCTTCTCTGTCGCCCAGGCTGGATTGCACTGGTGCCATCTTGGCTCACTGCAACCTCTGCCTCTTGGGTTCAATCGATCCTCCCACCTCAGCCTCCCAGGAAGCTGGGATTACAGGCATGCACCACCGTGCCTGGCTAATTCTTTTGTATTTCTAGTAGAGACGGGGTTTCACCATGTTGGCCAGGCTGGTCTCAAACCCCTGACCTCAGGTGATCCACCCACCTCGGCCTCCCAGAGTGCTGGGATTACAGGTGTGAGCCACTGTGCCTGGCCCCCTGTTGGCTTTTTGAAGGGATCAGCTCTCCCTCTTCCTACAGCCTTGGTGGGCCTGTCAATCAGGGTGCCTCAGATTCCCCCAGCCAAGGTGGGCACTGTCTGAGGTCGCCCCATAAAAGCCCCTCTCCCAGGATTTGAACCGTCATCAGTGGTCTACAAGGACCAAAGACAGTTCAAGTTCACCTGTCCTAAAAGAGTCTAGTCTCCCAGAGTTCCCATTTCCTGAGTCCTACTTGCTCAGTTCTGCCTTTGATTCATGAGTTACCTGGTATCCTTCCAGGAAACACCCTCTGTTTGTTTAAGGTGGCCAGATTCAGCTTCTGCTGCTTACAAAAAAAGCCCTTGGCTGGGACCCTAAGCCACACACTGCAGAAGGCAGGAGGGATGGGTCCAGTCTGGCCACTGGAATTCCACTAGGCGACATCCCTCTTCAGGGTCCCCACCACCACCTGCTGCAGTTCCCCAACAGGCGCTGATCACCCTGCATTGTCTGGGCCCATGTGTGTCTTGACTGTGCCCCAGGATCTATGCGTGGCAGCTCACAATCAAACTGTTGCCATTTATTGTCCATCCACTGTGTGCCAGGCACTTCATAAGCATGGTCCCCTCAAGGCATGCTGGTCACGGTAACGTGATGCATGAAACAGTAGAGCTTACCCAAGGTCATCAGTGACAATAAAGGGATCTGGGGACTCAGGCTGTATCCCCCAGTGCCAGCCTCAAAGCCAGACACACAGTAGGTACCCAGTAAATGTGTGCTAAATGAACCAATGAACAACCGGAGGGGTGAAAACACAGACATCTGACGGCACCTCCCCAGACATGCAGCGACAGTCTCGGCCCGTCTCTGGCCTCATTCTATGAGCCAAGCCAACTCCAACCCGGGCAGTACTGACCTGCTTCCTCCTCGTCCATCACTGTGCTGCCTGGGAATTCAGAAGACCCAAGATATTGTTAAGAAGCAAAGCGAAACTCCCGCCCTAAGCCCCTATCTAAATAAAGGAGTGAAGGGAGTGTCTTTTCTAAAGGGGGAGAGGCAAGAATGGCTGAAGGGTCTGCTCCATTTGTGCGTCAGTTTCCCCATCCCACACGTGCTGGGTGGATCCGGGACAAGCACACTGCACAAGACCAACCCCTTTCTCCAAAGTCATAACTGTGTTGGGTTTTTGTTTGTTTGTTTGTGACAGAGTTTCACTCTTTAGCCCAGGCTGGAGGGAAGTGGCGTGATCTTAGCTCACCGCAACCTCCGCCACCCAGGTTCAAGCAATTCTCCAGCCTCAGCCTCCCAAATAGCTGGGATTACAGGTGCCCGCCACCACACCTGGCTAATTTTCGTATTTTTAGTAGAGACGGGGTTTTGCCATGTTGGCCAGGCTGGTCTCAAACTCCTGACCTCAGCTGATACACCTGCCTTGGCCTCCCAAAGTGCTAGGATTACAGGCGTGAGCCACCATGCCTGGCCAAAGTCATAACTGTGTTTAACCATAAATAGAGCTAAACAAATAATGCAGACCAACCTTCAGTCTTCAGGCTTGTTTTTACGCAGGAGAGGAAAAGAAATAAAGTATTACAGTAGGCAGGCCAGGCATGACACTGGGAGGTGGCATGGGCATCAGCTCCAGCCCCTTTGAGGACAGACACTGCTCCTGAGAGGGGCTGGCCCCACACAGAGCCAGATGCACATGTGCCCAAGAGGAGAAGAAAAGGTGACTTAGCCCAGATATCACCCTGGACCCTCCCAGGCTGGGATGGGGGCTCCTTCTCTGTGATTTCCCAGGCCCTCAAGCAGCCCTCCATCACTGCATTTAGCACTATGATACCCTTAATTGTTTGGCGTTTGTCTCTCCCATCAGACTGTGAGCTCTCAAGGGCATGAAGTGGGTCATATCCATTACTGTATCACCAGCACCTGGCACAGCAGGTGGCCAAGTGCAGTTACACAAGATGCACACTGCACAACTCAACGTGGGGGGCACCATTCCACACAGAGGCTCACGTACCAGGTGGCCTTGTGGCACACAGCAGGCACTCTGTACACACCCGACAGACAGATGGGCAGACTGACAAGTGTATAGTCAAGTCAAGAAGCAGAGCTGACTTCCCAATGCCAGAGGGGCCCCTCTCATAGGCAGGACTGACAAAGCTGCTTTCTAAAGCAGACCTGAGAGGGGGTGAAATCCACTCCTATTTTCTCCTAGTCTGAGGTATTTATCTGCAGTGTAAACATCCAAAGCCCTCCGGCCTACCCACTGCTTATGCAGGACATGCCTTGAACAGCCAAGGTGCGATTCATCCACTCATTTAACACATTTACTGAGTGTCTACTATGTGTCAGGCTCTTTTCTTAGTCCTGGGGATGGAGAGACAACCAAAAAGCCCTCAGAGCAGCCGGGCACGATGGCTCATGCCTGTAATCCCAGCACTTTGGGAGGCTGAGGCGGGTGGATCACTTGAGGTCCGGAGTTCAAGACCAGCCTGACCAATGTGGCACAACGCCGTCTCTACTAAAAATACAAAAATTAGCCGGGCGTGGTGGCAGGCATCCGTAATCCCAGCTACTTGGGAGGTTGCGGCAGGAGAATCACTTGGACCCAGGAGGTGGAGGTTGCAGTGAGCCGAGATTGCACCATTGCACTCCAGCCTGGGCAACAGCGTGAGACTCCCAAAACAAACAAAACAAAACAAAACAAACAAACAAAACCCTCAGATCTTAAATTCCAAAGGAAGAGATCAACAATAAATGAACAAGTAGATCCATAATTTACTCCAGGCAGCAATAAGTGCCACAAAGTAATCAAAGCAGGGAAGAAGAGGGACATGAAGGCTGGGGGCCAGGGTGGAGAATGCTATAAAGTAGCAAGAGTTCTTTCTTTTTTTTTTTAAAGCAAACACACGAAACTTGTAATTCAGTGACTGTCACTGAGTTCATGCAACCACCAGGTGTTGGGTTTTGGATGCTGTCAAGCCAGGTGCTGTTTCTACCCTTGACCCACGTACGTTAAGTGCTGCCCCGGGTCTGTGTATTCCGTTGCCAGTCCTCTCACTGTTTATTCCACCAACACTGCCTTTACTCAAGAAGGTTCTGGAACTCTGCTTGGGCAAGGTCCAGCAGGCCAGCCTCCCCGGAGGGAAGAATTCAACTCACAGCTTTATAGTCAACGCCTCATTTTTGACCAAAAACGGCATTCACTGGCTGCCTCACTGACCTCCTCCCCCAGCCTCGGCAGAGAAAGCTCTTCATCCTCAAAAGAGGAAGAAATCCGGCCTCTGAGGACAGCCAGAAGGAATGTGGGGGTCTGTCTGATGAACTCTCTCGGCAGCTGCTCTGTGCTGACAACTAATTTGTGTAACTTGGGGAGGTGCTTATGGCCCACTGTTAAGAAAAGAAATCAAAAGGTGGCAGGAGATGAGAAAACTCTAAGATATACTCTCAATCTTGTCAAGGGAGAAGGCCTAGGAAGGAAGGACAGGTGAAAAAGATGCCAAAGCTAACAACAGCTCCCCTTCTGGGCAGTGAGGGCAGAAAGATGTTCTTTCTCGGGAGTTTTTTTTTGTTTTTTTGTTTTTTTTTTGAGACAGTCTCGCTCTGTTACCCAGGCTAGAGTGCAGTGGCACAATCTTGGCTCACTGCAAGCTCTGCCCCCCGGATTCACGCTATTCTCCTGCCTCAGCCTCCTGACATTTCTGTATTTTTAGTAGAGATGGGGTTTCACCATGTTGGCGAGGCTGGTCTCGAACTCCTGCCCTCAGGTGATCCGCCTACCTTGGCCTCCCAAAGTCCTGGCATTACACATATGAGCCACCTTTTTTCCTGATTCTTTGTACTCTTTTGTAGTTTGCAAATGTCTACGATGAGCACATGTTGCTTTTATAATCATTAAGAAAAACTCGGTAAATACTTAAGAGGGAAAAATATTTGCCATGAGGTTAACAGATGGTTCAAGCAAGGTTTTGAAAAATGGCCACGGGCCAGGTGCCGCGACTCATGCTTATAATCCCAGCATTTGCATTTTGGGAGGTCAAGGTGGGAGGATCGCTTGAGCCCAGGAGTTCGAGACCAGCCTGGGCAACAGACTGATATCCCATCTCCATAAAAAAACATAAAAATATATAAATAAAATTTTTTAAAAGAGAAAAATGGCCACATTGTTGGAATAAAGATCCTTCTCCCAAGAGGACAAGGGAAGAATTCAGCAGTGTGAAGTCGGAGCACACAGGGTTTCTTGCTCGTGGTGCTTTGGATGTCCTGGCAAGGGGATTCCCTGTCACGGGGGGCAGGGTAAGGGGGAATTCGTCTTGAGTGCTGTAGGATGTTTAGCGACATCGCTGGCCTCTACCCTGCTTGCCTGCCAGGGGCAAACCCCACTCCAGTTTTGACATCCCAACATGTCTCCAAACATTGCCAACTGTCCCCAGGGTGGGGGCAATTTGCCCCTGATGGAAAACCACTGCTCTAGGTATTAGGTTCCTAAGAAAGAAACCAGAGTCATGAAGATGTGTTTTACCTTCCAGGTATGAAGGTTAATGAGCCATTTTTTTAAATCCCTTAAAAATTTGTTCCCCTAAGGGGCTTGAGGCAATCTGTGAAAATGGTTCACTATTCACTTTATCCAGAAAACACCACAGAATCATGCAGATCAAGAGGTTCAAATCTTCGTGTTCACCTTAAGAACATTTGTGAGGCCGGGCATGGTGGCTCATGCCTGTTATCCCAACACTTTGGGAGGCTGAGGCAGGAGGATCCCTTGAGGCCAGGAGTTTGAGACCAGCCTGGTCAGCATGGTGAAACCCCATCTCTACTAAAAATACAAAAATTAGCTGGGCGTGGTGGCACATGCCTGTAACTCCAGCTACTCGAGAGGCTGAGGCACAAGAATTTCTTGAACCCGGGAGGTGGAGGCTGCAGTGAGCCAAGATCGTGCCACTACACTCCAGCCTGGGCAACAAGTGAGACTCTGTATCAAAAAAAAAAAAAAAAAAAAAAGGCCAGGCGCAGTGGCTCACGCCTGTAATCCCAGCACTTTGGGAGGCCGAGGCGGGCGGATCATGACGTCAAGAGATCGAGACCATCCTGACTAACACGGTGAAACCCCGTTTCTACTAAAAATACAAAAAAAATTAGCTGGGCATGGTGGCGGGCGCCTGTAGTCCCAGCTACTCGGGAGGCTGAGGCAGGAGAATGGCGTGAACCTGGGCGGCAGAGCTTGCAGGGAGCCAAGATCGCGCCACTGCACTCCAGCCTGGGCGACAGAGCAAGACTCCGTCTCAAAAAAAAGAAAAAGAAAAAGAACACTCCTGAAAGCGCCCAGGCCATCAAAGGTATGCACGTACAAAAGGCCACAAAGTATCAGAAAGATGCCACTTTACAGAAACAACATGTACCATTCTGACATTATAATGGTGGAGTTGGTAGATGTACCCAGGCCAAGAAGTGGGGCTGGCCACAAGGTCGGCGGCCCAAAAAGAGCACTGAATTTCTGCTGCACATGCTTAAAAATACAGAGAGTCACACTGAACTTAAGGGTTCAGATGCAGATTCTCTGGTCCTTGAGCATATCCAACTGAAGAAAGCACCTAAGTTGCGTCGCCGGACCTACAGAGCTCAGGGTCGGTCGGATTAACCCATACGTGAGCTCACTCTGCCACATCCAGATGATCCTGCCTGAAAGGGAACAAACTGTTCCTAAACCGGAAGGGGAGGCTGCACAGAAGAAAAATATATCCCAGAAGAAATTGAAGAAACAAAAGCTTATGGCATGGGAATAAATTAGGAATAAAAGGAATGCCATTAAAAGTTAAAAAAAAAAAAAAAAAAAAAAGGAGAGAGGGAGACAAACAGTAAAAAAGATATATTTCTTAGAAATCAGTAAACTGAATATCCCGGGAGAGAGGTCGGTATGGCCCCATTCACAAGCCTGGTTCCTGCCCATCCCCCCTCAAGGATTCTCCCAAACCAAATACCAACACCTGCACCCCTTCAGCCTGGGTGTTCTAAAAAAAAGAGCTGATTAATCCAACAAGGAAAAAAGTTCCCCTTTAGGAAGAGCCAAAAATGTGGTTTAAACAAACCCAAGGTCATTGGCGCTTCGAGTTGGCTAAGGCTGGGCAAGACCAGACCCTGATGTCAAGACTTTATAGCCAGGGCCCCTCCAGAGCAATGGAAAAGGGTGGGTGGTGAGAGAGGGGGGTGCCCCAGTTTGATGTAAGACCCACTGCCAAGGACTTCTATGTAACCTCAAAGGCAGGAGGTAGGGAGGTCAAACTGGGAAAATGAACGCACGAGGTGCCAGGGTGGTGGGCGGCATTTGCATCACCAAATTAAGTGCTGATGTGTACAAAAATCACAAAGCATCTGGCAGCCTTCCATGTTCTGTATACACTGCTTGGATACTCTAGCAGCTGGGAAAGAAAGGCGGGGGTGCGGAACCTATCTGGGGCCAAGAGAGTTTAAGGACATTTTTTGCTCACCTGGACGGAAGGGTAGAGAGACAGACCTCACGCTGGGCAAAAGATTCAGCTAAACCCACACATTTTGATTTAGAGAGCACAAAGGGTATTGTCACCTAAAAGTAGCCTGCCAAGCAGGTCAGTGAAAAAGTCACCGAGAAGTTGCCACAATGCATTGCTCGGGCTGAGAGATAGACAAAGGGGGATTCTGCAGCAAGAAGAAACAGGCTAGACTCAAGGTAGAACTTCCCAACCACAAGGGAATGAACATGCAGAAATTCAGTCTAATCAAATAATTTAAAAGCTGAAGGGAATGTCAGCTATCATGCACTGGCAAGAAACAAAAATCCAACTGTATTTTGAGACATGGTCTTGCTCTGTCACCCAGGCCAGATGGAGTGCAGTGGCATGATTTTGGCTCACAGCAGCCTGACTCCCAGGCTCAAGCGATTCCCCCACCTCAGCCTCCCGAATAGCCGGGACTACAGGTGTGCACCACCATCCCAGCTAATGTTTGTACTTTCAGTAGAGACGAGGTTTCACCATGCTGCCCAGGCTGGTCTTGAACTCCTAACCTCAAGTGATCCACCCGCCTTGGCCTCCCAAAGTGGTGGGATTACAGGCACAAACCACCACACCCGGCCACCAACTTTTCCTTTAAAACCACCAGGGCTCATGACAGCAGTATTCACAAGAGTCAGAAAGTGGAAAAAACCTGAATGTCCATCAACCAGTGAACAGATCAACACAGTATGGTCTATCTGCACAATGGCATATTATTCCGCAATAAAAGGAAATGAAGCTACAACATAGACGAACCTTGAAAACACCACGCTAAGTGTAAAAGCCGCCAGTCACAACATTCCACCTATTGTGATGGCATTTATATGAAATGTCCAGAATAAGCAAATCTAGAGAGACAGAAAGATTAGTGGTTGCCTAGGGCTTCGGAGGTGCTGGGGAAAATAGGGAGTCATGGCTGATGGATTGGGGTTTCTTTTGGGGGTGATTAAAAAAAGTTCTAAACCTGACTGTGGTGATGGTTGGATTTTGTGATTTAAGTGGGTTAATTGTATGTTGTATGAATTTTTGTTTTGTTTTGTTTTGTTTTTCTGAGACGAAGTCTTGCTCTGTTGCCCAAGCTGGAGTGTAGTGGCACGATCTCGGTTCACTGCAACCTCCGCCTCCAAGGTTCAAACTATTCTCCTGCCTCAGCCTCCCCAGTAGCTGGGCCTATAGGCGTGCGCCACCACGCCAGGATAATTTTTGTATTTTTAGTAGAGACAGGGTTTCATCATGTTGGCCAGGCTGGTCTCCAACTCCTGACCTCAGGTGATCCACCTGTGTCAGCCTCCCACAGTGCTGGGATTACAGGCGTGAGCCACTGCGCCCAGCCTACGTGTGTGAATTACATCTCAAGAAAGCACTTATTAGAGATCACTAGGACCTCTGCAGAGAAGGAGCTCCCACCCCAGGCAAAGGATGAGAAACTCAGAGACCAACTTGAGAACCAACCCTGCCAGCAGCTGCTGTGTATCCTGGGGCTGGTCACTTTGCCTCTCTGACACTCAGTGGCTTCCCAGGGCAGTTAGACCAAAACCCACCTGGAAGGCCCTGCAGGACAATCACTGTGCTGACCTCTTCTCCTGCCCCCCACGTCCTGGCACACCATGGTCTGGCCACACCACCCTTTTTGTTTTGTAAACAAATTGAGCTCATGCTGGTCCTGAGGCCTTTGTACTGGCTGTTCCCTCTGCCCACAACACTTCCCAGATCTTCTCCCTGCTGGCTCCTTCCCATGCCAATGCAACCTCCCCAGAGAGGGTTTCCCTATCCCCTGCCTGAGTTGCCACAATGACACCCATCACTCCTCAGCCCATGGCATTGTCTTTTTTGTTTCCCCTCCAAAGCACTTAATAGCATCTGAATTTTTTTTTTTTTTTTTTTGTAGAGTTGGGGTTTCAGTATGTTGGCCAGGCTGGTCTTGAATTCCTCCTGGCTTCAAGGGATCCACCCACCACGGCCTCCCAAAGTGCTGGGATTACAGGCGTGAGCCACTGTGCCTGGCAAATTTTTTGTATTTTTTGTAGAGATGAGGTTTCGCCATGCTACTGAGGATGGTCTCAAACTCCTGAGCTGGAGCGATCCTCCCACCTCAGCCTCTCTATGTGTTGGGATTACAAGTGCTGGGAACCACCACGTCTGGCCCTGCTGAACTGCTTTATGAGGGAGGAAAGTGAAGCTCAGATGGGTCTGAAGGGCAGGCCTCAGGTCACATAGCTGGGGAGATGAGCGGCCGGGGATTGAACCCAGACGTCACCAACCCGAGCCTGCCAGCTTAACTCCGTGCTTCACCTCACAACCCTCACATCTCTTGTGTCACGTATGTCCTCAGTTTCTCTCAGCCCCGAGAGCCAGGACTTTAATTACCATCATTCCCATTTTTGCCATAAGGACCCTGAAACTCATCAGGTCCAAGGTCATGTTCCAGGAAGGCGCTAGACCCTGCCCTGAGGTCAGCTGAGCTGAAGCCTGGTGCTCCCATCCCCTGGCCATAAAGCACCGAGACTCTCTCCCAGTTCAGCGCTGCAGGGACTAAGGTGGTTTTCCACATTGCTTCTTTAGGGGGCTCCATCCAGCTCCCACCCTCATGCCCTGAGGAGCCGCCTTCCCCAAGTGGCTGGTGGCAACCTCAAAGAGGCCAATGTGGCCCTTCAAGGTGCCAGACACCCTGAGTGGGTGGAACCCTGGGGCTGCCCCTACCGTTCTCCTCTGCATCCTGCTCCTGCTCTGTGCTGGCATAGGTACGCAGGAACTCAGCGAAGGCGCCGTCTCGAGCCAGCAGCTCCTGGTAGGAGCCCATCTCAGAGATCTTGCCGCCACTCATGACGATGATGACGTCCACCTGCGGCAAGTAGCTCATGCTGTGCGTGACCAAGATCCGCGTCTGTGGGCAAAGGGGACACCCGGCCACGTGAGTGCACATGTGTGAGACTGCCTAGCTTGGCAGAGTGAAGACTAAAGGAGGAATGAGCCGACGAACACCTGGTGGGCAAAACTCAGGTCTGAAGGTGGGACATGCACCCGCGATAACAGCATCCAGGAGCAGCTGAACCTGTGCACACGGTCCTGTAACATGCATGTGCAAAGGGCCTGCCACGCCTCAGGTGCTGAGCTAAAAGCTGGGGAAGGGGAAGGAAACAAAGACCCCTGCCCCAGATTCCAGGGCCGCAGGAGAAACGAACACTAGTAGAATAGTGCTTGCTGAATGGCAAAAACACAGCAAAAAGGGGAACGGGTGTACCAAGTGTGCGGGTTTTGCAATTTTAACAAAGGTAATGGGGAAGGTTATTTTTTAACAAAAACCTGAATGACAAGAGGTAGGGAGGGAACCATACAAGTGTGTAAAGGAATAAAAGGATGGTGCCACAGCAAAACAGTTTGTATGCAATGGCTTTTTTTTTTTTTTTTGAGACAGAGTTTCACTTTGTTGTCCAGGCTGGAGTGCAGTGGCACAGTCTCGGCTCACTGCAACCTCCGCCTCCCGGGTTCAAGCAATTCCCGTGCCTCAGCCTCCCTCCCGCGTAGCTGGGATTACATGCGCCCGCCACCACACCTGGCTGATTTTTTTGTTGTTGTATTTTAGTAGAGATGGCGTTTCACCATGTTGCCCAGGCTGGTCTCAAACTCCTGACCTCAGGCAATCTGCCTATCTTGGCCTCCCAAAGTTTTAGGATTACAGGTGTGAGCCGCTGCGCCCAGCCCAATGGCTTAATTTTTTTCTTCTTTTTTTTTTTTCTTTTTGAGATAGGGTCTCGCTCTGTCGCCCAGGCTGGAGTGCAGTGGTGCGACCTCGGCTCACCACAACCTATGCTTCCTGGGTTCAAGCGATTCTCCTGCCTCAGCCTCCCAAGTAGCTGGGACTACAGATACGTGCCACCATGCCCAGATAATTTTTGTATTTTTTGTCAAGACAGGGGTCTCATCATGTTGTCCAGGCTCATCTTGAACTCCTGAACTGAAGCGATCCATTCGCCCTTGGCTTACAAAAGTGCTGGGACTACAGGCATGCGCTACCGTGCCCAGCTCTGGCTTAATTTTTTTCTAAAACAACTCCCGCTGTCAGCCACCCCCAAAACCACTACAAAATATGCACATGCATACATTTTATCTGCAAATCTGAAAGTTTGGGAAGACATTCATCAAACTATTAATAGAAGTCAGCATATGTTTCCTTAAACAGCTAACGGTCAATCTTTTCAGCTTTATGGATCTTACAGTTGCCATGGCACCAACTCAGCCCTGCCGAGTTGAAGCAGCTGTAGACGATGCTTTAAAGAACAGGACACGTGCGGTGGCTCACACCTGTAATCCCAGCACTTTGGGAGGCCAAAACGGGAGGATTCCTTGAGGCCAAGAGTTTGAAACCAGCCTGGGAAACATAGTGAGACCTGTCTCCACAAAATAAAAATAAAAATAAATTAGCCAGGCATGGTGCTGCATGCCTGTGGTCCCAGGAGCTACTCAGAAGGCAGGAGGATTGATTCAGCCGAGGAGCTGGAGGCTACCATGCCATGACTGTGGCACTGCACTCCAGCCTGGACAACAGAGGAAAACCCTGTCTGCAGAAAAAAAAAGAAAAAAAATACATTGGCCATGTTCCAATAAAGTTTTATTTATGGACACTGATATCTAAATTTAATACGATTTTCAAATGTCATAAAATATTCTTCCTGTTTAGATTTCTTCTATTTAAAAATACACACATCATTCTTAGCTCAAGAGCCATATAAAAAGCAGGCAGTGGGCCAGATTTGCTAACCCTTGCTCTCTAAGAGAAGAATTAAAGATTAGGGATGCAGGATGAAGAGGGACTATTTTATTTACTTTATTTAGATATATTTTCTGAGACGGAGTCTCGCTCTGTTACCCAGGCTAGAGTGCAGTGGCGCAATCTCAGCTCACTGCAACCTCCACGTCCCGGGTTCAAGACATTCTCCGGCCTCAGCTTCCCGAGTAGCTGGGATTACAGCCATGCATCACCACACTCGGCTGATTTTTGTATTTTTAGTAGAGATGGGGTTTCACCATGTTGGCCAGGCTGGTCTCGAACTCCTGACCTCAGGTGATCCACTGGTCTAGGCCTCCAAAAGTGTTGGGATTACTCACCGTGCCCAGCTTTATTTACTTTATATACATGCACACACACACACACACACACACACACGCATACACACATATATTATAAGAAGATATCCATATTCTTGTACTTTTCAATTTTGTTACAATGGGCATGTATTACTTAGTAATTTTCAAAAATGTTTTGTACTATTTTAAAATATGTTTACACAGAATGTTAGTGGTATGTATGGGAACGATTACAAGAGGTCATGTAGCACGATGTTTCCTGTATATATACGTGGAACAAGATAACCCTATTTAAAAAGTTTATACACAGAGCAAAAAGACTTGAAAAAAATACAAAACCTCTAACCAGTGGAATGTGTGTAACTGCTTCCATTTTTCTTTTTCATGTTTTTCTTAATCTATATGCCCCCCATGGGGATGTGTTAGTTTTAAAATCAGCAGAAACAGCCGGGTGTGGTGGCTCACGCCTGTAATCCCAGCATTGCAGGAGACCCAGGCGGGCAGATCACTTGAGGTCAGGAGTTCGAGACCAGCCTGACCAACATGGTGAAACCTCGATTCTACTAAAAATAAAAAAAATTAGCCAGGCGTGGTGGTGGGCACCTGTAATCCCAGCTACTTGGGAGGCCAAAGCAGGAGAAGTGCTTGAACCCGAGATGCGGAGGTTGCAGTGAGCTGAGATCATGCCACTGCACTCCAGCCTGGGCAACAGTAGCGAAACTCCACCTCAAAAAAATAAAATCAGGGGGAGAAAAAAAAGAGCCAGTGTGTACCCATTACCACAACTGCCCTATAAAAAGAACACAGGAACTATTTCCTATTATGTTAAGGTGTTGTGGCAATTTTCCGACCCCTCTACCCACAGACACCTCTGCAAGTAAGAAAATGCAGCCTGCTAGGTCACAGGCAATGTCTTGGAGTGGGATTCCCCGCTAAGAAGCCAGCCCTGTGACTTAATCAGGAAGAGAGGCCTCCCTTGGCCATGGAGAGGCAATGAATTTAACTCTGCGCGGAGGACTTACCCCTATAAAGACAAGTACAAGACGGCTGTCTTAGGAAGGCTTCCAAGACAAGCATGAGAAATGTGTTCTTTAAAGTCCAATTAAAAACAAAGAAAGCCAGAGAAAGTAAAGGACTCCTAAAGGGGACACGTTCTGACTTAACCAAAGGGCGAGACGGCCCAACACCAAGCCCCACCCCGCCAGCAGGCACCTTGTTCTTCAGCATCCCCTTGGGGCCAATCACATTTTCAAAGATGTGTTTTCCCACATGGGCATCCACTGCTGAGAGGGGATCATCGAAGAGGTAAATGTCAGCGTTGGAGTACACGGCCCGGGCCAGGCTCACGCGCTGCTTCTGGCCCCCAGACAGGTTCACGCCCTGGGGAGAGACACACACAGGAGTGGGTTTCCTGGGAAATCTTGAGACTCACAATACGTAGAAGCAGGCCGAGTGTGGTGTGATCCCAGAACTTTGGGAGGCCAAGGTGGAAGGACTGCTTGAGACCAGGGGTTTGAGACCAGCCTGAGCAATATAGGGAGACCCTGTCTCTACAAAAAAAGAAAAGAAAAGAAAAGAAAAAATTAGCCAAGCCTGCTGATGTGCGCCTGTAGTTCCAGCTATTCAGGAGGCTGAGTGGGAAGATGGCTTGAGCCCAGGAGTTCCAGGCTGCAACGAGCTATGGCTGGGCCACTGCACTCCAGCCTGGGCGACAGAATGAGACCCTGTCTCTTTAAACAAGAAAGAAAGAAAGGCATAGAGCCTGCTCAGGACACAGCAGGTCCTGGGTGAAGGCCCTGCAGAGCTGCACCCACCTCCTCTTCTTTAAGTTTGATGCTGAAGGCATGAGGTCACGCCTGCACAAACCTGGAGCCAGGCCCCAGCTCCACCACCACCAAGGATGGGATCACAGGCACAGGGTTTAGCCCCACCTGTCAACTGGGCAAAAGAGAAAACCTGAATCTCCCGTGAGGTGCTGAGCAGGGCACGTGGTGCACAGCAAGTGCTCAGCAAAGGATGGCTGACGGCACCAAATCATGTTGACCAGTGGGAAGGCCGTGATCCCTTAGTCTCATGGAAGGCGCTGGTGGACGTGGTCATATTATTGTTACTGCTGCTGTTGGTGACAGCTGCCATGTTTGCCAGCTTACTCTGGATCTGTCACTGTCTGGCAAAGCCACATATAGGTGAAGCAAGGCTCCGGCCTGGGGATGCTGAAATCCAGCCCACATCCCAGTCACCAGGAGGAAGGACAATGCATGGACCAGCAGCAGCGCCAGCTCCCACCATGACAGATAAGCCAACGTCGTTTCCCTATTTGGCTGGAAATCACAGGTTACTGCCCAGTCCCTCCTGAGATGCCTGCCCTGACTCCCATGCACTGAGGTGGGGTCCTGGCAGCCACGTGCCTTCTTTTTGTTTTTGGAGACAGAATCTCACTCTGTCGCCCAGGCTGGAGTGCAGTGGCACAATCTCAGCTCACTGTAATCTCCGCTTCCCAGGTTCAAGCAATCCTCTCACCTCAGCCCCCTAAGTGGCTGGGACCACAGGTGCACGGCACCATGCCTGGCAACTTTTTGTATTTTTAGTAGAGGTGGGTTTTCACCATGTTGCCCAGGCTGGTCTCGAACTCCTGACCTCAGACAATCCTCCCACCTTGGTCTCCCAAAGTGCTGGGATTATAGGCGTGAGCTACCGCGCCCAGCCAATAATTCGTTTTTTATTTCCAAGGAGCTGCAGGCTTATCTCAATTTTTAAACATCATTCACCACGTAAGAAAGCCGACAGAGCCCCTGGCTTGTAACTAAAAACAGAAATGGGCCAGTGCTTTGCACTCTTGGTCTTCCAAGAGGGGACACACCAGACGACCACCATGGGGTGCCAGAGCAAAGTGGCCAGGCAAGCAGCAGGGGAGGCACCCCAGGCCTTGAAGGCTCAGACCAAGGTGTGGAGGTGGGCAGGGGCTGGGGGTTGCTGTGAAGCAGCAGGAAAACCTGGGAGATGGAGCACAGCAGGAGGGAGGGTCTGCAGTGGTGAGAGGCAGAGAATGGCCCTTTTAGAGATGACAAAATGAGCAGGTAACAACATGGACACAGGAACCATGCTCTCTGCAGCTCTGTGGCTGTGTGGCCTCAGGTAAGTCACTTGGCCTCTCTGTGCCTCCTTTTTCCTCAATGATTACCTAGGTATAACAACAAATTCCACCCATGGGCTTGCTGTGGGGAAGAATTACGTGTAAAATGTTTAGCATAGTTCCCAACATACAGAAAATACTCAAGTTATAGGCCGGGCGAGGTGGTTAACATCTGTAATCCCAGCATTGTGAGAGGCAGAGGCGGGCAGATCACCTGAGGCCAGGAGTTCAAGATCAGCATGGCCAACACAGCGAAATCCCATCTCTACTAAAAATACAGAAATTAGCTGTGCGTGGTGGCAGGGGCCTGTAGTCCCAGCTATTCAAGAGGCTGAGGGAGGAGAATCACTTGAACTCAGGAGGCAGAGGTTGAACCAAGAGTGAGCCACTACACTCTAGCCTGGGCGACAGAGAGAGACTCCATTTCAAAAAAAAAAAAAGAACTTTGAGAGGCTGAGGCCAGCCGATCACTTGAGGTCAGGAGTTAGACACCAACCTGGCCAACATGGTGAAACCCTGCCTCGAATAAAAATACAAAAATTAGCTGTGCGTGGTGGCAGGGGCCTGTAGTCCCAGCTATTCAAGAGGCTGAGGGAGGAGAATCACTTGAACTCAGGAGGCAGAGGTTGCAATGAGCCAAGAGTGAGCCACTACACTCTAGCCTGGGCGACAGAGAGAGACTCCATTTCAAAAAAAAAAAAGAACTTTGAGAGGCTGAGGCCAGCGGATCACTTGAGGTCAGGAGTTAGACACCAACCTGGCCAACATGGTGAAACCCTGCCTCGACTAAAAATACAAAAATTAGCCGAGTGTGGTGATATGCACCTGTAATTCCAGCCCCTCAGGAAGCTGAGGCAGGAGAATCACCTGAACGCGGGAGGCAGAGGTTGCAGTGAGCTGAGATCGTGCCACTGCACTCCAGCCTGGGCAAGAGAGCAAGACTCCATCTCAAAAATAAATAAATAAATAAAAAGAAAGAAAGAAAAGAAAGAGAAAATGCTCAGTAAGTGTTAGCTATTGTGCTATTTTCAGTATTATGGCTATCTTGACAGGGACTGTGAACATATGAATCATCGACTCCCCTCCTCCCAACAGCATGCCCTCTGTCATGTGACTCTGCAGTCATGTGACCACAAAGGTAGAATGTACTTCCTTCTTGGTCCCTTGCCTTTGAGCTTGGCCAAGTGACTTGCTTTGTGAGTAGAAGGGACAGTGTACTTTAAGGGACATTGCATGCTTTCTGGGGGGCCTATCTTGGGCCTCTGCTGCCACCATGAGAAGAGCCCCCCTTTGGAAAGCTGTGGACCCCTCACCCCGGTCCCCAGCAAAAGCTCTGTAAGTGAGACCTGAGCCACACCCACAGCCTGGACCCAAGTTCAGCTGGCCTGCAGCGTGCAGCAGAGCCGCCCAGCTGAGCCCTGCCGGGTCAGCTGATAGCAGCAGACTCACAGCCCACTGAGATTGTGAGAGCATTTGTTACGCGGCAACAGCTGACTGATTCAGGGGCCAACATCCAACCTATACTGACCTTCTCGCCAATCTCTGTCCGATCCCCACTGGGCAGGATTTCCAGGTCTGGGAGGAGGGCACAGGCCTGTATCACGGACCTGTAATATGGTTCCTCCAGCTGACATCCAAAAAGGATGTTTTCTCGGAGAGAATCATTCTGAATCCAGGCCTGCTGTGGCACATAGGCCACGGAGCCCTAAGTTGCAAATGGAGAACGAGGTGAGACAGACACACAGACAGATCTGATCAACGAGACAACAGCTGGCCCACCCGCCTGCTAGGAGGGCCTCACTTCACAAGTCATTTTCATCACAACTATTGCTTTGGCAAGAGGGAAACTGACTCACAAAGGACAACAGATGCCAGGGCTGGGATCAGAACCCACAGCAGGTGAATCACTGACTCCAATATCAGGAGTCAAAGAGTTGATATCCTCGTTGATAAGATTACAGTTATTTACTTAGTAGCTAGCTATTAACTCAATGCCTACAGCGGTGATCAAAACCCCTGCTTCCAAAGAGTGGAAGTCCCTCAGGTGACGGAAAACTACTTGATTACAGTTACGGTGGACGCAAAGATAAAAAGATATATGACACTTTTTAAGAGTCTAACTTGACTAGGCGCAGTGGCTCATGCCTGTAATCCCAGCACTTTGGGAGGCCAAGGCAGGCAGACTGCTTGAGGTCAGGAGTTCAAAGCCAGCCTGGACAACATAGAGAAATCCCATCTCTAAAAAAAATAGAAAAATTAGCCAGGCATGGCGCTGTGCATCTGTAGTCCCAGCTACTTGGGAGGCTGAGGTGGGAGGATCACCTGAGCCCAGGAAATGGAGGTACCACGAGCTGAGATTGCACCGTGCCACTGCACTCCAGCCTGGACCACAGAGCAAGATCCTGTCTCAAAAAAATTAAAAGACTGACCTAGTTTGGGACATCCGGGAAGGATCTTTGAGGAAATATCCTTGCTAAAAATTGAAGCAAAGACTCCTATATCAAGCATCCATTTCAAAGGCTTATTTTTATTTCCATATGTCAGGTATCACAAACAGCATGAGAATAAAGGCTAGAGTAAGGATATTTGTTTTGTGTATTTTGCTAATGAAAATGCTGAGGTAGTTAATTCTCTATATATTTATTACGTTTGTAGAAACAAAATCTTGCCATGTTGCTAAGCCTGGTCTCAAACTCCTGGCCTCAAGCAATCCTCCTGCCTTGGCCTCCTGAAGTGCTGGGATTATAGGCATGAGCCATCATGCTCAGCTCAAACATATGTTTAGACAAGAACCAAAAAGTGAAGAATGAGTCAGTTTCATGAGGAGAAGAGGGAAGAGCATTCAAGTCCGAGGGAACAGCACATGCGAAGGCCTGGAAGTGAAAAGTACTTGGCACATTCAAGGAACAGAAAGGCCAGCGTGACAGGAACATCGATCAATCCTGTGAGGGAACGACTGGCAGAAAACACACCAGGGACAGCAAGGGGGCCTATACTTGGTGGGGAGCATGGGCTTTATCAGAGGGGCAAGGGGAGCCCCTGAAGATTTTTTTTTGAAACGAAGCCTTGCTGTCGCTCAGGCTGGAATACAGTGTCAAGATCTCAGCTCACTGCAGTCTCTGCCTCCGGGCTCAAGGGATTCTCCTTCCTCAGCCTCCTGAGTAGCTGGGACTAAAGGCACACACCACCAGGCCCACTAATTTTTGTATTTTCAGTAGAGACGGGGTTTCGCCATGCTGGTCAGGCTGGTCTCAAACTCCTGACCTCAGGTGATCAACCTGCCTCAGCCTCCCAAAGTGCTGGGATTACAGATGTGAGCCACCGCGCCCAGCCAGAAGATTCTTGAATAAGGGAATTCTAGAGAGGGCAAAGCTGACAGCAGGTCCCAGGTACCCTCATTCTTACTCTAAATTCTCAAATAATTAACCTGCTGACTTGAATATCCTAACTTTTAAAAAGCCAAAATGTCAACAGTGGTGCCTTACCATAGAACCCACAGAAATTTCAGACATAATATACACAAACCACACCAACTAAAACATTTGGGAAAAGATAAATATTTTATATACATTTCTAGCACTCCCCTTACCTAGGCCAAACAACCAATAATAAATAATCATCTGGCCTGAAATGCTAATAGTGCCAGGATAGCAGAAAGCTGGGGTTAAGGAAACAGAAAGCAATGTGGATCCCATCGGGATTTGGAATTTTCTTCCATTAATCTAGCTCTCATGGTTCATTCATCTTATTTTATGGCAGGAACTTGAAAGTAATGATAAAACATTTCTTAAAACAACAGCTAAAGGTCATTAATTTGGACCCAACCACAATGTATACTTTCTAAAGGCACTGTATAATCAAAGAAAGGGTTTTGCTCTGAAATAAAAACAATGTCATTAACTAGGCCAGGAGCGGTGGCTCACGCCTGTAATCCCAGCACTTTGGGAAGCCGAGATGGGGAGATCACCTGAGGTTAGGAGTTCTAGACTACCCAGGTCAACATGGTAAAATCCCGTCTTTACTGAAAATACAAAAATTAGCCGGGTGCAGTAATGGTGGGTGCCTATAATCCCAGCTACTCAAGAGGCTGAGACAGAAGAATCGGTTGAACCCAGGAGGCAGAGGTTGCAGTGAGTCAAGATCACACGACTGCACTCCAGCCTGGGCAACAAAAAAAACTCTGTCTCAAAACCCACAACAACAAACAACGTCATAAACTTGACATTCCCAAAGGCAGATTCCAAGAGACAAATGTGCAGTTGCACAGACACTAAAGAGGTGCGGACAAGTACACCTGGGACACATAAGGTTAAACAGTTAATAGATTTTTTCTCCTTGCAGGACTTGTCAGAGCCTTTAATTTGCTAATGTTTACTGTAAGTCTCCAAGAGGGAGGGGGCTGGAGTATGCATTATTTCCCACGCTTCTTTGAGCCTGGGGTTCTTTATCGCCCAAATGTCCTGCAAGATGAGCTGGCTGCAGACCACACTCCTGGAAATGCTGGTAGCAAAACTTCCAGGGACGTGTCGTTACACTAGGAAAAGGCCTTCATGGGGAGTGAACTAAATGCAAACAAAGGCTGTTGATTTCCAGTGGGGATTATTTGTAAAGGAGCCTCTTAAGCTCACTCCTGGGGAATTTCAACTTACTTCAAAGTACACTGTGTATTTAAAAGCAGTAAAACTGCAGTCTTCTTTTAGCTCCATATTAAGAATTCAACACTAAAAATTTAAACTGTTCCCTTTAAAAAATGTTCTAAGAAAATATTCCAACCACATAAACATTTTTGTTTTGTTACATTTATAAGAATAGATACTCAGAGATCCATAAAGATAAAGAACAATCCAAAAAGACCCAAACAGACCAAGAGACACTCAGTGACAGGCAGAGACGCAAGGGAAGGAGACACAGGCTGCGTACCAGGGAGTCTTCGTGTGTCTACTAAGTATTTCTTAAGTGGCCAAATGCGGTGGCTCACACCTGCAATCCCAGCACTTTGGGAGACAGAGGTGTGCAGATCACTTGAGGTCAGGAGTTTGAGACCAGCCTGGCCAACATGGTAAAACACCGTCTCTACTAAAAAAATATAAAAATTAGCTGGACATGGTGGCGCATGCCTGTAATCCTAGCTACTCGGGAGGCTGAGGGAGAATCGCTTGGACCCAGGAGGCAGAGGCTGCAGTGAGCCGAGATCACGCCACTTCACTCCAGCCTGCGGGACAGAGCCTGACCCTGTCTCAAAAAAAAAAAAACACAATAATAATGATAATAATAATAATAAAATAACAGCTTAATAAAGAGGTAACAAAATAAATATTTATTAAGTGCCTACTATATACTGGGCACTATTTTAAGTGCTGGGAGACAGATGGAAATAAATGATACCAAAATCCTGCCTTCTAGGACAGCACGGAACAGAACAGAAAGAACGAGAGAGAAAGAGACAGTGGAAAGATACAGGAGGAGGAGGAAAAGAGACGTTGCTGCTTTCGCTTCTGGCACAGGGACAGTCAAAAGAAACACCATCATTTCTGAGCTTTTCCTCAGACCACCAGCTTCCCCACTGCCCCTCCCCGCTGGTCCTCATCCTACCTTGATAGCCACGTGCCCCTCCACTTTGTCCATCTCAGCCAAGAGGGCTGAGAGCAGGGACGACTTTCCGCAGCCCACCTGGCCCACCACGGCCACCAAAGCACCTTCGGGGATGGAGAAGGTGATGCTGAAACGACACAACACACCTGGCTCAGCCACGCTGAATGAGGCCTGCCGGGCTAATGCCCATGGCCACCGAGCCTCAATTTACCCCAAGTAGAGAAAGAGAAAGACAGAAGGCAAGACTGTACTAAACACTGAAGGCCTCAACATTCCTTCCATTTCTACTGCTGAGTTCAGTTCAGTGACCTGTCTCAGGGGGCCTCCAGGTGGGAGGCAGGTGACAGGTGTCCCTTAGAGAAGTGAGGCAGGGAGTAACCTGAGGGATCCTGTCACAGTGGGCTTCTGGAACAGTTTTTGCCCCTCGGAGAGGCAGAAACTTTACTGGGGGCATGACGCAAGGTCTGAAAGGAGAGGACACCTCAAGACAAACTGGGGCCGGACACGGTAGCTCATGCCAGTGCTGGTAATCCCAGCACTTTGGGAGGCCAACGCAGGCGGATCACGAGGTCAGGAGCTCGAGACCAGTCTGGCCAACATGGTGAAACCCCGTTTCTACTAAAAATATAAAAATTAGCCAGGCGTGGTGGTGGCAGGGCCTGTGGTCCCAGCTACTGAGGAGGCTGAGGCACAAGAATCACTTGAACCCAAGAGGCGGAGGTTACAGTGAGCTGAGATCGTGCCACTGCACTCCGATCTGGGCAAGAGCGTGAGACTCTGTCTCAGAAAATAAATAAACCAAAAAACTCTGACAAAAAGCAGGAGTGTCCCACACACAGAAACATGTGGAGAGCCGGAGAAAGGTGTAAAGGGGTGAAGGCACAGGGTGTAACCAGGGATGCGATGGCACTGAGGTAGGTAGTGGCCAGACCTGGGAGCACCTTGAAATATGCCCTGGAAGGACGCTGTGCTAAGACACCTGAACTCTGCCAGCCGGGAGCCACCAAAGGGTTGAAAAGGGAAACGCATATGAATAAATCTGAGTTGAATTTCAGGAAGATGTCTCTATTGAAATCATCCTTTAACGAACAGCAGAAAGCAAAATAAAATAAGCTCAGCATTCACCCAGTAAGACCGGCTGTCAATGGGGCAGGTCAACCCCAGGCCACTCCCACTGCCGACGGCACCTCCAGAGCAGGGTTTCCATCCTCCCAGGGAAGGGAGGGCACATCCAAACCTTTGCTGGACTCACTTATATGGAATGTGCTTTTATTTTTTATTTATCTGTATTTAGTTACTTAAGTATTTATTTATTTTTTTGAGACAAGAGTCTCACTCTGTGGCCCAGGCTGGAGTACAGTGGCTCAATCTTGGCTCACTGAAACCTGTGCCTCCCAGGTTCAAATGATTCTTGTGCCTCAGCCTCCCAAGTAGCTGGGATTACAGGCGAGCGCCACCACATCCAGCTAATTTTTGTATTTTTAGTACAGATGGGGTTTCCCCACATTGGCCAGGCTGGTCTCGAACTGCTGACCTCCAGTGATCTGCCCGCCTCAGCCTCCCAAAGTGCTGGGATTACAGGCATGCACCACCATGCCCAGCTAGTTTTTTTATTTTTAGTAGTGACAGGGTTTCACCATGTTGGCCAAGCTGGTCTCAGACTTCGGACTTCAGGTGATGTGCCCACCTTGGCCTCCCAAAGTGCTGGGATTCTGTGCTTTTTAACTGCCACCTTTCTGATTTCAGAGTATTAGTGGAAATGCTGATAGTCGTTGCTGTCACTGATTGTTTCATTCTTATGACACTGCTGCATGGTGACACTCATCAGGCTTTTTGTTCCTGTGCTGGGAGGGGAAAGGATTATGGGGCCTGAGTGGGCAGGAAGCCCAGTGAGACAATACCTGCCACTGTCCACGTGAGACAGTACCTGCCACTGTCCACGTGAGACTGAAATATTCTTACAGGCTGATGAGAGAAAAGGGTTAGAGAAAGGTTCTGGGGGCTCATGGGGGGAAGGTAACTGAACAGGAAAACCACTGG
The DNA here is from genome assembly GCF_000001405.40 of Homo sapiens. NCBI lineage: Eukaryota > Metazoa > Chordata > Mammalia > Primates > Hominidae > Homo > Homo sapiens. The sequence goes on along the minus strand of NC_000016.10, from coordinate 16,077,438 downwards.
GTCAGGAAAGGGACACAGATACAGATTAGTTGTGCAGCTCAACAAGACAGAACAGCTACAATTGAAGCAGGCAGGATTTAAGTTAGACATAAGGAAGAACTTCCTAAGCATGCAGTACCCCCATGAATTTTCAATGCAGGCCTTCTACAGATTGTTTTCTCTGGAGAGTTTCTCTCCTTCATCATAAAATACAGCAGTGATTTGGCTACCCAGGCATGAGCTAAACCTCTAAAAGGGTCCCATCACCCCTGTGTTTTGCGGATTCCTTAAGGGGGCCTAAAAAGCTGTTGATCAAGGCCTCTGGTCAGAACAAAATGAGAGGTGCTTGACAAGTTGCCTGGGGATAAGGTCAATTTCCTAGACATCATGTGCTTTGGAAAGGTAAGGACTGTAGGGTGTGGGGTGCCAGATAGAAAGCTGGCAAGAAAGGGTGAGCTGGGCAGCTGAGGGGCACTGGAGTTCAGCAGCATCACAGCCCCTGACTGAGACTGGCCAATCAGCACACTCAGTGTCTGAAGGCATAGCGATTGCCTCACAGAGGGCACAGGACCCAATCTGGGTCAATAAGAAGCAGGCAGTTCTCCTAACAGTGGGATACACAGTGGGAGCTGTTGGGACCATTTACCATCACAAGGGGAGAGGATGCGTGAGGATAAAGCAGACCAGGAGAAAGTGAAACACAGAAAATATGAAGAAAGTTCTGACGGCAGAGTCCCTGGATCACACCGCACCTGAAAGTAGAACTTCCCAGTTACGCAAGCCAAGAATCTCCTGTATTGTCTAAGTCTAGCTGTCCAAGGCTGCTGTAACTTACAATCCCAGGGAACCCTCTGTGCTAGGCATGTGTGTCTGCTTCTCACGACAGCCTAAGCAGGTGTATCTGCACCCATTGTCCAGATGGGTAAGCTAAGTCTTAGAAAGGCAAAGTGAGTTGTTCAAGGTCACAGAGAGGGAGCACGGTGGGAATTCGAATCCACGTTTAACAAAAGCCCTGTGGCTCTCTCCACACCATCACGTGTGTCCACGTCCCGGCTTACCCATTCAGTGTGGGAGGGTCGCTCCTGGCCCAGGTGAATGTGGCATTCCTCACGGTGATGCTGTTCGTGCCCCCGCCTACAAAGCACAGAGACATGTCAGGGACAGGCTGAGCTGTGCGACTCCACATGCACAGAACACTCTCTTTCTCTGCTTGAATGGTTCAACCCCAGACGCTTGGCACGAATGGCGCTAGGCATTATTATCTGGTGACATCAGCCACGGGTTCTGAAAGAAGAAACTCAACCTGCAGTTCTGGAGGCAGCCCCAGACCCAGAAAGCAGAAGGAAACTGCAAGCAGCTTTGTCCTTGTAAGATGGGGTTGCGCCATCTGGACGATCATCTTGGGAGATGACTGCAGAGGCGGGGGCCGCATGAGAATTACTCAATGCTCTCGATGCCCTGGCCCTTCTCAGGCAGGTTCGGGGCAGCTCCAGCTGGGAGGGCCGAGCAGTGGCCAAGGTCAGTGGGAAACAGCTGGCGTCCACATGCAAACCTCTCTCCACTGGGGTGGCCAGCATCAGACCGCTGGGCCCTCCTTGAGGTGCAAAGGGAGGTCGTTCACCCTTCTCCCCAGGTCCTCTGTCTTCCTCCCCCAGCCACACCACTCTACACACAGCACATCACAGCAGGTGGATCTTTCTAAAACATCCATCACGATAAACTCAAAAAAAGAGGATACGGAACAGGAAGTGTGGTACGAGGGCACAGGGAAGGGGAGAGTGTCGGAGACAAAGCCCACGTTAACTGGTTCCATGTTTCTGTCTTCTCCTGAGACAGGATCTGGCTTCTGCACCCAGGCTGGAGCGCAGTGGTGCGATCTCGGCCTACTGCAACCTCCATCTCCCAGGCGCAGGCGATTCTCCCACTTCAGCCTCCTGAGCAACTGGGACTACAGGATGTGCACCATCACACCCAGCTAATTTTTTTTTTGTATTTTTTGTAGAGGTGGGGTCTTGACATGTTGCTCAGCCTGGTCTCGAACTCTTGGCCTCAAGTGATCTGCTTGCCTCGGCCTTCCAAAGTGCCGGGATTACAGGCATGAGACACCATGCCCGGCCAGCTCCACACTTCTAAAGCTCCTAGCACCTCTGTCTTCTTTTACTCTTCTTCCTGTTATTTTCCTTTTACTTCATGTCTCTCACTTAAAACAAAAGCAGGCCAGTCGCAGGGGCTCATGCCTGTAATCCCAACACTTCGGGAGACCGAGGCGGGCAGATCACCTGATGTCAGGAGTTCGAGACCAGCCTGGCCAACGTGGTGAAACCCCATCTCTACTAAAAATACAAACATTAGCCAGGTGTGGTAGCGCATGCCTGTAGTCCCAGCTACTCGGGAGTCTGAGACATGAGAATCGCTTGAAACCAAGGCAGAGGTCGCAGAGAGCCAAGATCGTGCCATTGCACTCCAGCCTGGGCAACAGAGTGAAACTCTGTCTCAAAAAAAAAAAAAAAAAGAAAAAGAAAAAACAGAAAAGCAGCTCTCTGAATTATGAGCCACCTTAAGACCATCTGGAGATAATACAGGAGTATTTTTTGTTTAAGTTGTCAAATGAAGAAATAACTTCCTCCATGCATCAAAAAAACAAAAAACCTAGAGAGAGAGGAAGGTGCTGGTTAACCTAGATTAACTTTCTCCCTCAGCTCTTCTACGAGTGGACGTGGAATGAGGAAACTGGGAGTTGCTATTTAAGGAATTTAAGAAAAGCCACTGGAGACAGAGAGGTTGCAGAGAACGGTTAGCTTGGGAGCTGGGAGCAGCCAAGGGGGCCCCCACTGGCTAGAGCGTGCTAAACATTCCAGGAAGTCCAACCACCTAGGAGGCCACTATTAGGGCAGGAAGGAGGGGCTGGGGTGCGGGCGGCACCCAGGGGCCTAGGGGTTTCCTGATGCTTGCATTGAGCTGTGAACAACTTCAGTACCAAGAAACCACCCCCCACCCACCGCCGGCCACCTCAAATTTCAGCCTGTGGTTAGCAGAGAAATTTGACCCCAGAGTAGATGGAATCATTGCCTTATGATGTGAGGGGATGTGGGACACTGGGACAGCAGAAACCAGATGACCACAGCCCAGGAGTGTTGGGAGGAAGAGTCCAGCATCCACTTGGGCCACGGTTCTCAACTGGAGGTAACTGTGTCCCTCAAGGCACATCTGGCAATGTCTGGAGCCATTTTTGGTTGCCAAAATTGGGATGGATACTACTGTATCTAATGGGTAGAGTCCAGGGTTGCTGCTCAACATCCCACAGTGCACAGGACAGTCCCCAACCACAAAGAACAATGTGTCTCCAGATGTCAGTAGCGCCCAGGATAAAAAACCCCACACCAGGGGGCTGAGCTGAAGATGCTGAGACCATCTCGCTCAGACCAGAGAAGTGACAACTCCCAGGATCTGTTTATCATCTTCTATGCACCAGGTGCTGTGTCAAACGTGTCAAACGTTTTAGGTGCCACTAAAGATACCTGAGCGCCTGCGAGGTGCCAGACACAGCTCACGCGGTATAACCGACGTTTACACACATTCAATCTTCTGACATTGGACTCTGGAGCCAGACTGTATGGGTTTGAATCCTGGGGCTACCACTTCGTACCTGGGTAGCCACAGGCAAGTTAGTTAACTTCTCTGTGCCTTTGTTTGTTTGTTTTTTGAGACAGGGTCTCACTCTGACACCCAGGCTGGAGTACAGTGGCATGATCATAGCTCACTATAGCCTTGAACTCCCGGGCTCAGCCAATCCTCCTGCCTCAGCCTCTCAAGTAACTAGGACTACAGGTGCACCACCATGCCTGGTGAATTTAATTTTTGTAGAGACGAGGTCTCACTACATTACCCAAGGTGGTCTCAAACTCCTGGCCTCAAGCAATCCTCCAGCCTTGGCCTCCCAAAGTACTAGGATTATAGGTAGGAGCCACTGCACCCAGCCTGTGCCTCACTTTTTCATCTGTAAAATAAGGCTGACAATCATGCAATCAACTTCAGAGGGCTGTGATGGGGTGTCTATGAGGCAGTGCACACAGAGCACTTCTCACAATGCTTGGCACATAGTAGGTGCTCAGTAAATCTCAGTGAGGCAACACCCTATGGCCAGGAAGAGCATGGACTCTACCGATGGGCTGTGGGTGTGAATGCTGGTTCTTCTTTTGATCAGCTGTGCAATCTCAGGCAAGTTTCAGAGACCAGTTTCTTCATCTGGAAAATGGGGGTTTCCATCACCCTCCTCCAGGGGTACCATGGTGAGTAATGGACAAGTTGGGACATTGACATCCTTGGAATGGCATGTGCATGACAGAGGCTTTATAAGTGAACGTGTCACTGCACTTAGTGCCATTAATATTTATTATTATTATTTTTTTTTTTTTTTTTGAGATGAAGTCTCACTCTTTGCCCTGGCTGGAGTGCAGTGGCGCGATCTTGGCTCACTGCAACCTCCGCCTCCTGGGTTCAAGTGATTCTCCTGCCTCAGCCTCCCGAGTAGTTGGGATTACAGGTGCCCAACACCATGTCCAGCTAATTTTTGTATTTTCAGTAGAGACGGGGTTTCACCTTGTTGGCCAGGCTGATCTCGAACTCCTGACCTCAAGTGATCCACCTGCCTCAGCTCCCCAAAGTGCTGGGATTACAGGCGTGAGCCACTGTGCCCGGCCTAATATTTATTATTAAGTGCCTAGAGAGATGGTTACAAACAACATCCCTGGCTCAGGGGGATGGGCTGGGAAACGATAAATTAACAAGCTACAAAACAAACAAACCTGCCAATAAAAATGCATGGCCAGGTGCAGTGGCTCACATCTGTCATCCCAGCACTTTGGGAGGCTGAGGCAGAGGGATCCTTGAGCCCAGGAGCTCAAGACCAACTTGAGGAACAAAGCAAGACCTTGTCTCTCCAAATAAAACAATTTAATATTGAAAAAAAAAAAAAGGCCAGGAGAACTGGCTCATGCCTATAAGCCCAGCACTTTGGGAGGCTGAGGCAGGTGGATTGCTTGAGCTAAGGAGTTCGAGACCGGCCTGGACAACATGGTGAAACCCTGTCTCTACAAAACATACCAAAATATTATCCAAGTATGGTGCTGTGTGTGCCTGTAGTTCTAGCTACTTGGGAGGCTAAGGTCAGAGGATCACCTGAGCCCACGAAATCAAGGCTGCAGTGACAGCTGTGACTGCACCACTGCACTCCAGCCTGGGAAATGGAATGAGACCCTGTCTCAAAAAAAAAAAAAAATCCAAGTAACACTCAGCCAAAGAAAGGTACTTTTGTTTCCCTTATCTAGATAAAACTGAGGCTCAGACCTAAGTCTACACAGCTTGTGGGTGATGGAGGCTGGCCAGCCTCCAGAGTCCTCATTTAGCCCAGAATAGAATCAAGGTCAAAGCCTTGGAAAGTGACTCCCACGGGGAAGCCTCAAGCAGCTGCTGACCCTCAGCAAGAAAACAAAAATGCAAGTGCAAGTTCACCCTCCTGGGAAGTGTGAGACAGGACAGAAGCCCAGGAGGCCAGGCTTCCCTTCCCTTCTGCAGGCTCTGCAGAACCCTTGTCCCCCGGGGTCTCGCAGACAAGCGGCTGGGCAGAGTCAAACCTGAGGGCAGCCAAGGGAAAGAAATGCAAGTAGGGAGGACCCAGTGGGAGATGGGAAGGCGGCCACTTCCAGAAGCCAGGACTGAACACACACACACCGTCTTTGACAGGCCGTCGCTCGATGCTGTCAGGTTCCAGCTCCTCATGGGAGAGAAAGATCCTCAGGCGTTTGAGGGAGACACTCGCCTGTACAGAGAGCAATGGCAGGGGAGAGTTATTTTTAAAAAGCATTTTTGCAAAACCAACCAAGGTTAACTTTCAAGGGTTTCCCCAGGTGTGGAGGGGCACACACCCTCCCTTATTTCTGAAGGTCCCACATTTCTTAGAACCAGTGTATACTTTAGAATTAAACAAAACAAAAAAAGAAACAGGTTTGGTTCTGCTTTGTTTTAAAAGCCCACAAAAGGTATTTCAGAAAAAATGGGCGAATGGCTGGGCACGGTAGCTCAAACCTGTAATCCCAGCACTTTGGGAGGCCAAGGCAGGCAGATCACTTGAGGTCAGGAGTTTGAGACCAGCCTGGCCAACATGGTGAAACCCCGCCTCAGCTAAAAAAAAAAAAAAAAATACATAAAATTAGCCTGGCATGGTGGCACGCACCTGCAATCCCAGCTACTCGGGAGGCTGAGGCAGAAGAATCACTTGAACCTGGGAAGGCAGAGGTCGCAGTGAGCCAAGATCATGCCACTGCACTCCAGCCTGGGTGACAGAGTGAGGCTCCATTTCAAAAAATAAATAAATAAAAATAAAAATAAAAGAAGAAAAGGGCAGAGGCCTGGTGGAAAAGGGACTCTGGAAACGTAACAGCAAATGCAACAGAGCCAATTCAAACAGCCCAATGGGACAGGCATTTCTGAGATATTCCAGAAAACTTGGATATGGGCTGAGTATTATTGTAAAAACTTATTGTTAGTTTGCTTAGACATGATGATGGTATTACATTATGTAGGAAGAAATGCATGCTGAAATATTTGTGGGTAGAATGTAAGGGGTCTGAGATTTGCTTTAAAATTATTCGGCAAAGAAAGGAAAGAATGAAGGGATAGATAGCAGAGTTTAGCATTAAAAACAAATGAAGGGAAAGAGGGACAAGGGAGGGATACTGAAAAAGAATGAGATAAATCAACTGTGGCAAAATGTTTTGGGTTTTTTTGTTCGTTTTTGAGATGGAGTCTCGCTCTGTCACCCAGGCTGGAGTGCAGTGGCGCAATCTCGGCTCACTGCAAGCTCCACCTCCCGGGTTCACAACATTCTCCTGCCTCAGCCAACCGAGTAGCTGGGACTACAGGCACCTGCCACCACACCTGGCTAATTTTTTTATATTTTTAGCAGAGACAGGGTTTCACCGTGTTAGCCAGGATGGTCTCCATCTCCTGACCTCATGATCCGCCCACCTCGGCCTCCCAGAGTGCTGGGATTACAGGCATGAGCCACTGCGCCCAACCTTGGTTTCTTTATTTGAGACAGAGTCTTGCTCTGTTGCCCAGGCTGGAGTGCAGTGGTGCAAACATAACTCACTGCAGCCTCAAACTCCTAGGCTCAAGCGATCCTTCTGCCTCAGCCTCCCATGTAGTCACTGCAGGCATGCACCCCACACCCATTTTGTTATTTTTTGTAGATTAAGGGTCTCATTGCCCAGGCTGATTTTGAACTCCTGGGCTGAAGCAATCCTACCACCTCAGCCTCCCACAGTGCTGGGATTACAGGCGTGAGCCACTGCGCCCAGCCAAAAAATGCCGATGTTGAATCTGAGTGATGTGTACACGGGGTTCATGTTGTATTATTTCCTTTCTTGGAGACTGAGTCTCACTCAGTCGCCCAGGCTGGAGTGCAGTGGCACAATCTCGGCTCACTGCAACCTCGGCAACCTCCACCTCCCAGGTTCAAGCGATTCTCGTGTCTCAGCCTCCAGATTAGCTGGGATTACAGGCACCAACCAATACATCTGGCTAATTTTTGTATTTTTAGTAGAGACAAGGTTTCCCCATGTTGGCCAGGCTGGTCTCGAACTCCTGACCTCAGCTGATCTGTCTGCCTTGGTCTCCCAAAATGCTGGGATTGCAGGTGTGAGCCATCATGCTTGGCTTTTTTTTTCTTTTTCTTTTTCTTTTAATGCCAGTTTACAAACTTTAAGCTATTCTACTTCTGTGTACACTTGACATTTTTCATAATAAAATGGATTTTTTTGTTTTTGACAAAGCCTGCTATCAGCCTTGTACTACCAAATTTTACGGTTGATTTGCCTATGTAGTTAAAATGGAGTTTTCAAAAGGGATGTTCGCAATGCTCGGAAAAAGAATGTGAAAACAGTGCAGAAAAGTGACAGGAGCTTCCAGTAGTGCCCAAGTGTGACAAAACAGAAAGCCACCCCTCCTTACACAGTCAATGGCAGGAATTTTAGAGATTCTACATGGTCTACATTGTTTCTAAAAAATAAAAACAAAAAACAAAAAAAAACAGGGTCTTACTCCCTTCACCCAGGCTGGAGTGTAGTGGTGAGACTATGACTCACTGCAGCCTCAACTTCCCAAGCTCAGCTGATCCTCCCACCCCAGCCTTCTGAGTCGCTGGGAGTACAGGGGCACACCACCATGCCTGGCTAATTTTCAAACATATTTATTTATTTATTTATTTATTTATTTATTTATTTATTTATTTTTATTTTATTTTATTTTATTTTTTTTTACATACAGGGTTTTACCATATTGCCCAGGCTAGTCTCAAACTCCTGGGCTTAAGAGATCCACCTGCCTTGGCCTCCCAAAGTGCTGGGATTACAGGCATGTACCATCATGCCCGGCCGTAAGGTTGGGGTTTTTCTTTTTTTTTTTTTTAATTTTGAGACGGAGTTTTTGCTGTGTCACCCAGACTGGAATGCAATGGCACGATCTTGGCTCACTGCAACCTCTTCCTCCTGGGCTCAAGCAATTCTCCTGCCTCAGCCTTCCGAGTAGCTGGGATTACAGGGACCCGCCACCACACCTGGCTAATTTTTGTATTTTTAGTAGAGATGAGGTTGCACTATGTTGGCCAGGCTGGTCTCGAACTCTTGACCTCAGGTGATCTACCCGCCTCAGCCTCCCAAAATGGTGGGAATACAGGCATGAGCCGCCGCGCCCGGCTGTAAGGTTGGGGTTTCTCAAAGCGTGGGTGGTCAAGACCTATCAGTGGGTTGTAAAATCAATCAAGTCAGACAAGAGCTACGTTTTTTAAAAAAAGGATAGGAATGGCGGAGGAACAGGCTGAAGAGAACAGAGTATTTCGGAAAGATTCTTCCAGAGCATGGGAAAGCCCTGCTGCATTAAACTTGATTCATATACTCAAGTGCGAGTTCTCTGTCAAGAAGTCAAATGTGTTTTCTTTCTTTCAGGCATGACCAGACGAAAGCATGGCAGCCTTTGTCCGGGCCTCATGGAGCCCGACCGGGAGTGTGATCTAGAGGCTGCGCTCGGGGGCACTTCCATGCTTTCGTGGCCTAGAACCCCAAGGCCCCCTCTCGGAAGTCGCCCCAGCTTCCCCCTGTACCTGCACGATGCTGCTGATGACCATGGGGAGAATGTTCAGGGGAAACCGGAGGATGTTGAACAAGGCCAAAGACACGAAGGCTGTCTGGGCATCCAGGATGTTGTTCTCGTCAATGGTCACGTAGACGGCAAATGTGCACAAGGCCACCTGCAAGCAGAACGCCCAGTGCTGACTGCTGTGCCCCGAGTGAGAGTCATCATCCTAGGAGCAGTGACAGGCCCTGGAGACGCGCTTGGGCCCTCCCCAGGTGGCCACAACTGACCAGCTGCTGGAGCTCGTGGAAAAACCTGGGGCAGTATCTGGCACATGGCAGGTGCTCACTAAACACTCTGGGAATGAACTGGATAAATCAACGACCGGGAGCCCAAAGAGCCGGCCTCTCCCATCAACTTTCTCAGAGATGTCCTAGAGGGGCATTCTTAGTATTCCTCAAAAGCACCAAGCACAATCCCCAAGCCAGGCCTTTGCCCCTGACGTTTCCTCTGCCTGAAACCATCTTCCATCCAGGGGGCCACCTGACTCCTCCCTCTCACCATTCAAGGGAGCTGTCTCTCCCACTTTACCCAAATAGCCCTGCCATCTGGCCATCGGCCCATGTATTTTCAGGGTCTCAGCACTGCCATTTCATTGTTACTTCCTGGAAGGTCATACAGCTTAAAAATAAAAACCATACACTTTGCCATATTTCCGCTGTGGGACCCTGGTTGAGTTATTTCACCTCTCCAGGCAAGCCCCTATTTTCTCATCTATAAAATGGAAGTCATGATAGGCTTTTAAGGGCTGTTGGCACTTATGTAGGGTGTTTATTTGCACAGGGCCCAAGCACAGTAAAACTCAACAGATGGCAGCTGTTTTTATTTCTTGTTGGAAGATTTGGTCCAAATTCCTTAGATCATTCTTCCAAGGAATCTATTAACGTGGTCACACAAGCGAGAGCCCGGTCCCACGGGAAGCCAGAGCTGGTTCGTGTTCTGGCTCTGACATTAACAAGACAGATGACGCTGAGCCATGGCACAGAAATTTTCCAGGCTCCGATGTCAAGAGGGAGGCAAGGTGCTCGAAACGACAGGGACGCATGATCCCTGGGTGCAGTGGTGCAATCATGGCTCACCACAGCCTCGACCTCCCGGGCTCAAGCATTCCTCCCACCTCAGCCTCCCGAGTAGCTAGGACTACAGGCGCATACCACCATGCCCGGCTAGTTTTTTTATTTTTGTAGAGACAGGGTCTCCCTATGCTTCCTAGGCTGTTCTCGAACACCTGGGCTCAGGCCATCTGCCTGCCTCGGCCACCTAAAGTGCTGGGATTACAGACATGAGCCACTGCACCCATCCTGGCTCCCATCTTCTAAGCGGTAACGCAACACTGGCATCTTACCTAAAGATACTTTTTTTTTTTTTGAGACACAGTCTCATTCTTTTGCACAAGATGGAGTGCAGTGGTGCGATCGCAGTTCACCGCAACCTCTGCCTCCCAAGGTCAAACGATTCTCATGCCTCAGTCTCCAAGTAGCTGGGATTATAGGCGCCCACCACCATGCCCAGCTAATCTTTTTGTATTTTTCTTAGTAGAGATGGGGTTTCGCCATGTTGGTCAGGCTGGTCTTGAGCTCCTGGCCTCAAGTGATCCGTCTGCCTCGGCCTCCCAAAATGCTGGGATTACAGGTATGAGCCACCATGCCCAGCCCAGAGATATTCTTTACTCGAAAGGGTCTACATGTATCTACATGATAGACTTCTCAACCATAAAAAGGAGTGAAATTCTTATACATGCTAAAACATGGATAAACCTTGAAAACATCATGCTAAGAAACCAGTCAGATGGCCAGGCGGGGTGGCTCACACCTGAAATCCCAGCACTTCGGGAGGCTGAGGCGGGCGGATCACTTGAGGTCGGGAGTTCCAGACCAGCCTGACCAACATGGAGAAACTCCGTCTCTACTAAAAATACACAATTAGCCAGGAGTGGTGGTGCATGCCTATAATCCCAGCTACTCAGTAGGCTGAGGCAGGAGAATCGCTTGAACCTAGGAGGCAAACGTTGTAGTGAGGCAAGGTCATGCCATTGCGCTTCAGGTGGGCAACAAGGGAGACACTTCGTCTCAAAAAAAAAGAAAACAGTCAGAAAAGGCCACCTGTTGTTTGATTCCATTTATATGAAAAGTCCACAGTAGATAAACAGAGACAGACAGAAAGCAGATTACTGGTTGCCTGGAATGGAATGGAAGATTTGGGGAGCAACTGGTAACAGGTACAGGGCTTCCTTTTGGGGTAATGAAAACGTCCTGGAATTAGTGGTGATTGTCATTATCATTTATACAAAAAACCCACTGGGTGACCTTCACACCACCACACATCACACAAAAAAACCACTGAATTGCACACTTTTAAATGGTGAATTATACCTCCGTTAAAAAAATACATTTCGATCGGCATGGTAGCCCATGCCTGTAATCCAAATGCTTTGCAAGGCCGAGGAGGGAGGATCACTTGAGGCCAGAAGTTCGAGCAGAGCCAGGGCAAAAAAGCAAGGCTGTGTCTCTACAAAATTTTTTAAAAAATAAGCCAGGTGGCTGGGCTCAATGGCTCATGCCTGTAATCCCAGCATGTTGGGAGGCCAAGGCAGGTGGATCTCCTGAAGTCAGGAGTTCAAGACCAGCCTGTCTGACAGGGCAAAACCCTGTCTCTACTAAAAATACAAAAATTAGCCGGGTGTGGTGGCATGTGCCTGTAGTCCCAGCTACTAGGGAGGCTGAAGTAGGAGAATCACTTTAACCCGGGAGGTGGAGGTTGCAGTGAGCCAAGATTGCACCACTGCACCCCAGCGTGTGCAACAGAGCAAGACTCCGTCTCAAAACAACAATAATATTAATAAATAAGTCAAGCATAGTGGCATGCACCTGTAGTCCTAGCTACTAGGGAGGCTGAGGCAGGAGAATCATTTGAGCCCAGGAGGTCGAGGCTGCAGTGAGCTATTACTGTGCCCCCGCACCAGCCTGGGTAACAGAGTGAGGCCCCCATCTCTAAACAAGTAATTTTTAAAAAAGTACCTCTCCAAAGTCAACCTATTTTTCAGTGTAGAAGTCAAAGTGCTGACTCAGATCCCAAGGCCCAGCTGATTTGTAAAGTCCCTTCCCTGTACCTCATTTGGCGTCATCTGTCACTCTCCCCTCACTCCCACTGTTTCAGCCTCCATGGTTATCCCACCTATGAATGGGCACAGTAATGCCCCAGGGCCTTTGCACATGCTCTTGCTACTCCCTGGTTGGCCTCTTTACCTCCATCAAGTCTTTCCTCAAGTGTCACCTTCTCAGTGAGCTTGGACCACCCTACTTAAAACTGCAAGCCGCCCTTATTCCAAAGATCTGACTCTTTTCTTTCTATAGCACTTAGGATGGCTTTCTCTAGCACTAGGATTTATTTATTGTGCCTATTTTTCCTTGTCTGTTTCTCTCCGTGAAAAATGAATGTTCCATGACTGGAGATTATTACCTGTAGTATGCACTGCTGTATTGTCAGAGCCTAGGACAGAGCCCAGATCATGGTGCTCAGTGAATGTCTGCTGGATAGATAATGGATGGGTGGGAGTGGATAAATGGGTGGGGACGGGGTAGGTGAATTTGCCTGAGGGCAGAAGAGCACATCACAGGTGTCTCTTCAGCAGTGAAGCAAACCAGGCCTCAGGCATCTCACCACCAAAACGTACCAGCCCCCTTGGTGAGCCAAGTACCAATCGATGCCGGCTGCTGGCAGCACAGGGCACACACAGAGAGGGGACAGGACAACATCATGCGGCCCCTTTCAGGTCCATGGTCCTGGCTTCTCCAGAAGGAGGAGGTCATCTAGCCATCCACCCCTCAGGTGGTAACTGAGCACCCATCATGCGCTGGGGACTGAGGTGGGCTTGGCAACCCTGAGACGCACAGTCTAGTGGAAGCACAGGCTTTAACAGGTTCCCTGCAGGCAGTGTTTGGAAATCCGAAGAGGCTGGTAGGACGGGCACAATGACTGGGGCTCCAGGCAGCAGGAGACTGGAGTTCGCCTTGTAATAGGCGAGGGTCTAGGGTGCAAAAGCCCTTCATACACAGTGAGGAGCACCTGTCCCCTAGGTGCCTTTTCTGAGAAACGTGGAAAACCAATGAATGGAACCCCTACACTCCAGCCCACTCCCTAAAAATCCTGATGCCCTGTGTGCAGTTACCTGCTCTTCCTGCCTACCTGGCATCTATTACTCTGTTTATGGCAACATGCAATTTTCTCTGGGGGAACTGAACTTCTCCCAGTGTCAACCTATGAGCTTCAGCCACAGATGAACCTCCTCCCTCACCCCCTACCTTGGCCCCAAGCCCTGAAAGACATGACCTAGCCCTGGCTGACCCAAGCATCCTATCTCCCTGGCCTCAGTGACTGGCTCAGGAAGAAGCATGTGATCGACCACAACCAATGAGACTCAATCCCATAGCTTTGCAGGAAATATTAGGGGAAAAGAGTAAGACTCTCTGTTCACAGGGGTTGCTGAGGTGACAGGATGATCAGGAAACTACCAGCTAATAAAGAAACCACCATCAAGAAAGCAGAGCTGAGAGTCAGAGACGTTGTTATTCCCAACATTATCTTGGGAACTCCTAGATCCAGCCATGCCTGGAACCCCATTCATGCTTAAAAGTCTTTTTCTAGACTTTTTAGTTTTGTGACTCAAAAATCCCCCTCTTCTCTTACTCTAGTTGATTTAAGCTAGGTTTCTGTTATTTGCAAGACAGTTCCTAATTAATATGATTTATTTCAACCTCTCATTCATTCATGTATTTATTCATTTACCTACATACATTTACAGAGCATGAACTATTTGCCAAGGTCCCTATGCTTTGCTGGTACAAGCACAAAATGACAAGGTCTGACTGGGCATGGTAGCTCACACCTGCAATCCCAGCACTTTGGGAGGCCGAGGTGGGCGGATCACTTGAGGTCAGGAGTTTGAGACCAGCCTGGCCAACATGGTGAAACCCCATCTCTACTAAAAAGACAAAAAATTAGCCAGGTGTGGTGGCGCACACCTGTAATCCCAGCTCTTCGGGAGGCTGAGGCAGGAGAATCAGCTGAACCTGGGAGGTGGAGGTTGCAGTGAGCTGTGATTGTGCCACTGCACTCCAGCCTGGGCGGCAGAATGAGACTCCGTCTCAAAAATACAGAAATGTATAAATATATAAATAAATAAAATGACATGGTCGTGGCAGTGTCTCCATGGGCCCTAGGATATGATCAGCAGAGAACTACAGGACAGATCATTACCATAGAGAATGATGAATTATTCTAACAAAGGGAGATTCAGGGTAAACAGAAGGCAAGAAGCTCACAAATCATCCAAGACAGAAAATGTTAAATATTGACGGCTGCCTGGCGATGCTATTTTAGGAAAGTGCATTAGGTGGACGTGGTAAATGCCAGGTTTGCCATTCCAGAAAAACAGTCCCATCAGTCCCTGGATGGCATCCCTGGCCTTCCCCGGCCTCTGTGTTCCATCACACCTACCGCTGGGTAAACACCTCATCGTCTTTGAAGCACAGGAATGCACACCAGTGGAAAAAACACTCAGGCACCTTCCAGGGGAACTAAAGGCCACATATTTTATCCTAATGTAGTCAGAGGCTTCGATGCCTCGGCCAGGACAAGGTCTCCCCAGCTGACACCCAGGCCCATCTGTTTCTTGCCAAACAGCTCAACAAACTCTGTCTCTGGAAACTCCGGGAAACTAAATGGCAAGAAAGCTCAAGAAAAGGTTAAGTAAAGCCGGTAGCCGGGCTCAGTATTTCACATCTGTAATCCCAGCTACTCCAGAGGCTGAAGCAGGAGGATCGCTTTAGCTCAGGAGTTGGAGGTTGCAGTGAGCTGTGATCAAGCCACTGTACTCCAGCCTGGACAGCAAAACAAGACCCTGTCTCTTTAAAAAAGAAAGAAAGAAAGAAAAAAGAGAAGAAAAGCCAGTCCTGCTCTTAAGCATCTTCTGCTGTGGTTTCCTAATGGGGAACAGGGCAGGAAGTGATAAGCAAAGTTTGGTGACAGCCTGGAAACTGTGGGTTTTGCCAACGAATCCAATGTGCAGAGCAAAAAGCTGTGAGAACACGCTGCCCATCCCCTCCTAAGCGGGACACAAGGCACAGACCAAACCTCATCACCAGCGCCCTCTGGCTTGTATCTTTTCCTCTGAGACAAGACCTTTCAAAATGCCATCAAGGCCAGGTGCAGTGGCTCATACCTACAATCCCAGCACTTTGGGAGACAGAGGCAGGCGGACTGCTCGAGCTCAGGAGTTTGAAAACATCCTGGGCAACAAAGTGAGACCCTGTCTCTGCAAAATTACAGAAATTAGCTGGGCATGGTGGTGCATGCTTGTAGTCCCAGCTGCCTGGGAGGCTGAGGTTGGAGGATTACTTGAGCCTGGGAGGCAGAGGTTGCAGTGAGCCAAGATCATGTCACTGCACTCCAGCTTGGGCGGCAGTGTGAGACCCCATCTCAAAAAAAAAAAAAAAAAAAGAAAAAAAGAAAAAAAAAGCCATTTTGTATGTATTTATGTATGACTCTTACTATCACTTGTATAAAAGTAAAGTAAACAGAATCAAGTAACCATAACTACATGTATGACATGTATCCACCATTACAGTGATACAGACGTGGACTCTGGAAAAACACACAAGAAACATGGAGAGAGGGAAGCAAGGTGACTGGTGTTAGGAGGAAGGGCTTGGGCCTTTCACTATTGACTGTGGTTCTCAACTGGGAGAATTCTGTCCCCCAAGGGGACACTTCGCAATGCCTGGAGCCATTTTCTATTGTCACCACTGGGAAGAAGAGGGAGAGGTACGACTTAGCATCTGGCAGGTAGAGGCCACAGATGCTGGGAAACATCCTGCAATGTGCAGTCCAGGCCCTACAACACAGGGACAAAGGATGACCTGTTGGCGAATGTCAGCAGGCTGAGGTGGCCACGTGCGAAGTCCGGCTGTATGAATACCATCTGGTGCAGCTTTAATTATGTTTCACCATATGCAAATACATTACTTCCTACTTTATAAAGTAAGACCCACCGGGCATGGCGGCTCACACCTGTAATCCCAGCACTTTAGGAGGCCGAGGTGGGTGGACCACTAGAGGCCAGGAGTTTGAGACCAGCCTGGCCAACACGGCTAAACCCCATCTCTACTAAAAATACAAAAAATTGGCTTGGCATGGTGGCGTGCGCCTGTACTCCCAGCTACTCGGACGCTGAGGCAGGAGAATTGCTTGAACCCTGGTGAAACCCCGTCTCTACTAAAAATACAAAACTTAGCTGGGCATGGTAGTAGGCGCCTGTAATCCCAGCTACTCAGGAGGCTGAGGCAGGAGAATCGCTTGAACCCAAGAGGCAGAGATTGCAGTGAGCTGAGATCGTGCCAATGCACTCCAGCCTGGCGAGAGAGCAAGACTCCTTCTCAAAAAAAAAGGAGAGTCCAGGCGCGGTGGCTCACGCTTGTAATCCCAGCACGTTGGGAGATCAAGGCAGGTAGATCACTTGAGGTCAGGAGTTCGAGACCAGCCTGGCGAACATGACAAAAACCCATCTCTACTAAAAATATTAAAATTAACAAGGCATGGTAGTGCATGTTTGTAATCCCAGCTAGTCGGGGGACTGAGGCAGGAGAATTGCTTGAACTGGGAGATGGAGGTTGCAGTGAGCTGAGATGGCACCACTGCACTTCAGCCTGGGTGACAGAGTGAGACTCAGTCCCAAAAAAAACAAAAAAAGAGAGAGTTCATCAACGCACCCCGGTAAAGTCAAGGTATTGGAGTGTAAGAAGAATGCAATGTACAAGGCAGAATGCAGGGGCATTGGAGCTGGAAGTGATCTTAGGGAACATGGAGTTACAGAAGGGCAACAAGATGTCATTTCTTGCTCAACTCTAGGCCACTGGCACCAGTCACCTGGAGGGCTGCTTGAACATAACTCAGTGGGAAAGAACCCCATGAGTGACTGTGGGTGTCTGCTGTGGGCATGAGGAAGGAGGACAGGGCCCAGTATTTGACATGCTTGGAATCTAACCCCTTCATTTTCCATGTGACAAAATCTAGAGCCAGCGAGGTGAGATGACCAGCTTTGGGGTCACACTGTGAGCTGGCAGTAGAATGTGGCAGGTGTCCTGATTCTCAGAAGAACATTCCAGTCCTCTAAGCCAGGGGCTGGCCAACAAGGATGGCTCAGGTCCACATTTGGCCCACACCTGTTTACATACGGCCCATGAGCTCAGCATTGATTTCATTTTTTTTATTTTTTTTGAGACAGAGTCTTGTTCTGTTGCCCAGGCTTAGAGTGCAGTGGCGTGACCTCAGCTCGCTGCGATCTCCGCCTCCCGGGTTCAAACGATTCCCGTACCTCAGCCTCCCAAAAAGCTTGGATGACCAGCATGCTCCACCACACCTGGCTAATTTTTTTTTGTGGGGGGCTGGGAGGGGGTGGGGGGGCAGCAGCAGGAAAGGGTCTCACTCTGTTGCCCAGCCAGGAGTGTGTGGCATGATCTTGGCTCACTGCAACTTCTGCCTCCTGGGTTGAAGCGATCCTCCTGCCTCAGCCTCCCGAGTAGCTATGACCACAGGTGCGCACCACCACTTCCAGCTAATTTTTGTATTTTTAGTATAGACGGGGTTTCACCACGTTGGCTAGGCTGGTCTCAATCTGCTAGCCTCAAGCAACCCGCCCGCCTCGGCCTCCCAAAGTGCTGAGATTACAGGCATGAGCCCCTGCGCCCAGCCAGATTTCATATTTTTTAAAAGTTAAAAAAATCAAAACAATATTACATGACACATGCAAATTCTATAAAATTCAAATTTTGGTGTCTCTAAATACTTTTTTACAGGAACACAGCCACACCCATCGATTTCCATATTATCTAAGGCTGTTTTTGCACTACGCTGGAAGAGACTGGTATTTGTGACAGAGACTGTATGGCCCGGAATTCCGAAAGTATTTACAGAAAAAGTTTCTTTACTCCTACTTTCTGCCAGTCTCTCTCGAAATTTAATGTGCATACACACCACCTAGAGAACTAGTTACAACTCAGATTCCGTTTCAGTGGATCTGGGCTGAGGCCTGAAATTCTGCACCGTTAACAAGCACCAGGTGATGCCATGGCTGCTGGTCCACGGACCAGACTTTAGGCAGTGAGGATCCACTCCGGTGTCTCTACATGTCAACCTGAACCAGAAGCAGCAGCACCTAGGGATATGTTAGGAAAGCAAATACTCAGGCCCCAACCAGACCTACTAAAACTGAAAATTTGGGTGGGGCCCAGAAAGCTGAGTTTTATAGTAACAAGCTAACAGCCAGCACTGTGGCTCATGCCTGTAATCCCAGCACTTTCGGAGGCCAAGGCGGGTAGATCTCCTGAGGTCAGGAGTTCGAGACCAGCCTGGCCAACATGGTGAAACACCATCTCTACACTAAAGATATTTTAAAAATTAGCTGAGCATGGTTGCTGCATGCCTGTAATCCCAGCTACTCAGAGGCTGAGGTGGAAGAATCGCTTGAACCCGGGAGGCAGAGATTGCAGTGAGCCAAGATAGTGCCATAGCAATCCAACCTGGGTGACAGACTGGGACTTCATCTCAATAAATGAATAAATAATAAAATATAATAACAAGCTCTCCAGGTGATTCTGATGCAGGCTTGAATTTGAACACCATCTCTCCTGCAGTTCCAGACCCTGAGAGAAGTAAGGCAAGACTAAGAAAATTCAGTGGGAGCATGAACACGCTTTCGCAAATGCTGAAACAGCTGGAGCTTCCTTAGACATTCCACCTGAAACTCAACAAAGATGAAGCAGATGGTAGTTTAACAGAAAAGTTCATATTCATAAACATGTTTAACTCTGCTTCACAGAAACTTGCCAGAAAAACATATAATTTGCCAACCTGACCAAGAAGGAATAGTTGTAATGAGCACAACATTACAAAAAGAATGACACAGTTAATAAAAAGACAGAAAGAAAAAACAAACATGGGGCATGATCTGAAGTCATCCTTCACCATTAACTGTTTTTAACTGTGCTTAAAAAGGGAATTTCCAAAGTCCATCTCTGTATGGTCTCCTGATTTGCGGCCAACTTTGCAAATTGTAAGTTGCACTGTTGTCTTTAAACTTTTCAAAGCCAGCTAGGCAGGGATAGACCCATTACCATACCCCAGGACAGGTACCAGAACTTTCAGTGTAGCATGGATCATAACAGCAAAAAAAACAGGGAACAACCTGTTTTTGCAAGGAATGGGAGAAAGGGTAATTCCAGCAGGGCGCATCTGCACGTCAGACAAGCATCCATCATGAACACAAATGAAACAAGCTGGGAGTGGTAGCAGTGCACCTGGAGTCCCAGCTACTTAGGAAACTAAAGCAGGAGGATTGCTTGGGCCCAGGAGTTCAAGGCTGCAGTGAGCTATGATCGCACCACAGTACTCCAGCCTGGGGGACAGAGCGAGACCCCATTTCAAAACAAAACCCCCCAAAAAACTAAAATGAAGTAGACCAGAATGAACGAACCAAGACTATATATTGTTAACCAAAGAAAAGAGAACACTATGTACAGTATGATTCCATTTATATCTGTCAAAGTATTTTTAAATACCTATATGCTTGTCCATTTTTCTCTAAAAGCGTACACGAAACTGTCACTTTAGAAGGGAGGAACTGATGGAAGAGAGGACAATATACTTTTCATTTTATATCTTTCTGTATTTTTTTTTTTTTACAATGGATGACAATATTTGTTCAGCACCTGCTATGCACTGTTTTATATACTGAGGATACAGCAGTCAAGAGAAACGACAAAAATGCCCATCTGGAGCTGACATCCTAGTGGGGGAAAAGCAGACAATAAAATAAGTACATTTTATTTTACTTATTTTTTTTTTTTTTTACTTTTTTGAGACAGGGTCTTGCTGTGTTGCCCAGGCTGGAGTGCCGTGGCTCGATCTCGGCTCACTGCAACCTCAGCCTCCCAGGTTCAAGGGATTCTCATGTCTCGGCCTCCTGAGTAGCTGGGAATATAGGCATGCACCACCATGCCCAGCTTTTTTTTTCTTTCTTTTTTTTTTTTTTTTTTAAGCAGTAACAGGGTTTCACCAGGTTGGCCAGGCTGGTCTCGAGCTCCTGGCCTCAAGTGATCTACCCACCTTGGACTCCCAAAGGGCTGGGATTACAGGCACAAGCCACCGCACCCAGCCCAAAATAAGTAAATTTTAGAGTGTGTTTAGACCATGCCACTTGACATGTGGCCTATGAGACACTGACAATCCACACTTTGTGACCAGTTGGTGACAAAATAAGGACGCAGCACCACAATGTAGATCAACTATGGCACCAAGCGTGCCGTTCGACTCAGCTCGCACTTTTTGTCTTGCAAGGCTATCTTAATGCAGGAAGCAGGGGGCACTGGTTTACATTCTGGCACAAGCTCCTTATATCACAGTAAATAGATAACGAACGGTTCCTACACAGGTTGGCTAGAAGCTGCTAAGTGTGAATAAAACAAAGGAGAATGGAGAAGATGGCAAATGTTTAAACCAAGTGTTCAGGGAAGGCCTTGCTGACATAGTGACTTTTTTGTTTGTTTTTGAGACAAGGTCTTGCTCTGTCGCCCAGGCTGGAGTGCACTGGCGTGATCTTGGCCCACTCCAACCGTCGCCTCCCAGGTTGAAGTAATTCTCTTGCCTCAGCCTCCCTAGTAGCTGGGACTACAGGCATGCGCCACCACACCCGGCTTATTTTTTTGTATTTTTAGTAGAGACTGGGTTTCACCATGTTGGCCAGGCTGGTCTTGAACTCCTGACCTCAGGTGATCCACCTGCTTTGGCCTCCCAGAGTGCTGGGATTACCAAGCATGAGCCACTGCACCTGGGCAACATAGTGACCTTTTAAAAATATTCAGGTACGCAGAGAAAATAAAACATCAAACAATGAGGGCCAGGAAAAATGTGGCTTCACTCACCAGAAAGGGCGTGCAGACCCAGGTGAAGGTGCCCACGGCTGACAGGTAGGCAGACTTCTTCAGCACCTTCAGCTCCTCCTGCCTGATGGCCAGCACCTTGTCCTTGAATGCCAGCTCCCAGGCATAAAGCTTTAGCACTTTGATCCCATTGAGAATTTCGTTCATCAGCTTGATCCGATTGTCTTTGCTCTTCATGTGGGCCACCTTGGAAGAGACGGGCAGTCAACACATCTGGGGCGACCCTGGGATCAGCCCATCACTCAACATCACCAGCTATTTTTCTCATAAACTTTATTATATACTTTGACATGTAAATGTTTTTTATATTGATTTTTTTTTTTCTTTTCAATAGAGATGGGGTTTCACCATGCTGCCCAGGCTGGTCTCAAACTCCTGTGCTGGGATTACAGGTGTGAGCCACCGCACTGGGCCTCAACTTCACCGTCTATTAAAAATGGGCCTCCTGAGGGTGGGAGAGCTGACCCTGTAATCCCTACTAGCCCTACTCTTGAGCCCCAAGACCACACCAAAGGACCCCGCTATCAAGAAAAAAAAAACCCCTTCAAATCACGTTAGGTTAGACATTGGAGAAACATACTCAATTTAGAATCCAGGAACAGAGGCAAGAAAAACCCTTCAGGTGTACAGAAAAGAAGGGATTCAGTCCCTACTCTGCTGACCCAAACACAGGAGACATGGTGGTGGTGTTTTTCTTCTCTGTTTTCGTATTTTTTCTTTTTTTTTTTGTGACGGAGTCTCGCTCTCTTGCCCAGGCTGGAGTGCAGTAGCACGATCTTGGCTCACTGCAACCTCTGCCTCCCGGGTTAAAGAGATTCTCCTACCTCAGCCTCCTGAGTAGCTGGGACTATAAACGCCTGCCACCACGCCTGGCTAATTTTTCTATTTTTAGTAGAGACGGGGCTTCACCATGTTGGCCAGGCTGGTTTCGAACTCCTGACTTCAAGTGATCCAACCTCGGCCTACCAGAGTGCTGGGATTACAGGTGTGAGCCACCGCACCCAGCCTGTTTTCTTATTTCTTGTCAGCCCAGTTTTCTTTTTTTTTGGAAACATCATCTCACTCTGGCATCCAGGCTGGAGTGCAGTGGCATGATCATAGCTCACTGCAGCCTTGAATTCCTGGGCTCAAGCGATCCTCCCACCTCAGCCTCCTTAGTATCTGGGACCACAGGCATATGCCACCACACCCAGTTCATTTTTGTATTTCTTGTAGAGATGGCACCTTGCTATGTTGCTCAGGCTGGTCTTGCACTCCTGGCCACAAGCCAACCTCCTGCCTCAGGCTCCCAAAGAGCTGGGATTACAGACATGAGCCCCTGTGCCTGGCCCATGGTTGTTAAAATAGTGAAATGTTTCTGTACTGGCTAGCACTGGTTCCAAATAGTGGATACTTGTGCAGTGCAGTTGTTAAATACTTTTACTACCACCCAGGATTTTGTGTATCCCAGCAACTTTTCTAAGCATTTTACATGTATTCAGACACTTAACAATCACAAGAACTCTTATCATTTAGTGCTACAGTCATCCCCGGGTCACAGATGGGAAGAATATAAGCTACATGATCTGGAGGCCAGGGACTGAAATGGGTTGAGTCGGGCCACTCAGGGCATCCTACACATCAAGAGACTGAAGGGTGACTCAATCCTAAAGCCCCTGCCTCACCCATCCCACCCAACCCTACCACGTGAGGCCTCTCCTTCCAACAGGCCCATGTCCTGAAACTCATCTCCCTGTGGTATCGTCAGTGCAGCCTAGTGCTCCCATTTGAAATTCCACAGCACACCATAAATATCCATCAACAGAAGAGCAAAGAAATAAACTGCACCATCTCCATTATAGACCAAAAGGCACCGGGTTGGAAGAATGAATTGAAGCTATACGGCACAGCACAGAGAGGTCCCCAAAGCAGGGCGCTAAAGGACAAAAATCATGCTGCCACGTGGGCCCATTTAGGTAAAAACAGATATGGTAATAATATCACACACACAAAACATATATAATGGCCAGGCATGGTGGCTCATGCCTGTAATCCCAGCAATTTGGGAGGCCGAGGCGGGTGGATCATCTGAGGTCAGGAGTTCAAGACCAGCCTGGCCAATGTGGTAAAGCCTCATCTCTACTAAAAATACAAAGATTAGCTGGGTGTGGTGGTGGGCACCTGTAATCCCAGCTGCTCGGGAGGCTGAGGCAGGAGAACTACTTGAACCCGGGAGGCAGAGGTTGCAGTGAGCCAAGATCGTACGACTGCACTCTAGCCTGGGCAACAAAGTGAGACTCCATCTCCACAAACAAAAAAAAAAACCCACATATATAAAAACAAACCAAACTATACCATTAATCAGGTCTGTATATACATACGTAGAAAGTTGTAGAAGGATTTGCTTCTATATATTTGCAGTGGTTGAGAGAGTAGGGAAGGGGGTATCCCCTTTTAATTTATGTACTTTTGTACGATTTAAACTTTTTTTTTTTTTTTTTTTTTTTTTTTTTTTTTTTTTTTTGAGACAGGGTCTCACTCTGTTGTGCAGTGGCACAATCATGGCTCACTACAGCTTCGACCTCCTGGGTTCAGGTGATCCTCATGCTTCAGCCTCCCAAGTAGCTGGGACTACAGGCACGCATCACCACATGCAGCTAACTTTTCCATTTTTGGTAGAGACAGGTTTCACCATGTTTCCCAGGCTGGTCTTGAACTCCTAAGCTCAGGCGATCCACCCACCTTGGCCTCCCAAAATGCTGAAATTACAGGGGTGAGCCCGGCTTGATTTGGACTTTTTTATAATAAGAAACATCACTCTATTACTTGGGTATTCAAACTTTTTAAAATACAAAATATCTCCAAAAATAAAAAGCTGAAAGCCGGGCATGATGGCTCACACCTGTAATCCCAACACTTTGAGAGGCTGAGGCAACAGGATCACTTAAGCCCAGGAGTTTGAGACCAGCCTGGGCAACACAGCAAGGCCCCATTTTAGAAATTAATTATTTTAATTTAAATAAAGAGATTAACAGCATGTATCCTATAAGGTAAGAGCTAATAAGGGGGAAAAAAGTAGGGGGTAATTTGTACTCAACTCTTGAAAGCTGAGTCACACATACACATAATAAACAAGACCGTGGGAAACAAGGACTTTCTCAGAGGCTCACAGACCTTCTGATTCCAGTCACCGGCCTACAAGGTCTAACCATGTGTCAGGAGCTCTCAATCTTGGCTGCCCAATATAATGACCTGGGAAGCTTTAAAACATCTTGATGTCCAGACCCCACCCACAATAAGTGAATCAGAATCCCAGATATGCAGCCGGGGCATCAGCATTTGTTAAGGCTCCCCAAGTGAGTCCAACTGGCAGGCAAGGCTGAGAACCCCAGGGACAGAGCAGAAGGAACTGGACTAAAATCCTCATGGAGAGGCCTCTGCCTAGGGCCCGGCTTGGGGGCCCGCAGAGACACATGCCTTACCTGATACGTCTTGGTCTTCATCGCCATCACAGCATTGACGGGCACCATGAGGACCATCACCGCCACTCCAGCCAGGACGGAAGGGCCCAGATTCTAAGGAAGGAAAGGAGACTCTTCATCACTCACCAGACAGAAGAAAACAGGGCCCGTAACAGCTTCCCCGGTTGATCCATCCCACGTGGATGCTGCTGACCAAGTTCAGGGCAAGGTGTGTTACTTTTACCCCACAATAGGGTGTTAAGAGCCTGTGGTTTCATTCCTGAGCATCTCTCCAGGTCCTCCCAATCCCTTGAAGAATAAGCAGGTCCACGCTCCTTTCTCCCAAGCCCTTGGGGCCACATGAGTTTTGCAAATTACAACTGCAGGATTCTAATTTTTTTTTTTTTAGGAGATGAGGTCTCGCTATGTTGCCCAGGCTGCAGTACAGTGGCTATTTGCATCAGTGATCCTCCTACTTCAGCCTCCAAAGTAGCTGGGACTACAGGTAAGCATTAGGTCTTGCTACATTGCCCAGGCTGGTCTCCAACTCCTGGGCTCCAGCGATCCTCCCAATTCAGCCTCCCAAGTAGCTGTGACTAGTCACATCACCATGCCCAGCTAATTTTTTTGGTTTTTTGTAAGGACAAGGTCTCACTATGTTACTCAAACTGCTCTCGATCTCCTGGGCTCAAGTGATCCTCCCAACTCAGCCTCCCAAGTAGCTGTGACTACACTCACACCACCATGCCCAGCTATTTTTTTGATTTTTTGTAGAGACAAGGTCTCACTATGTTGCCTAAGCTGGTCTCAAACTCATGGGCTCAAGCGACTTTCCCACCTCTGCCTCCCAAGTAGCTGGGATTACAGGCGCGAGCCATCACACCCAGCTTAGATTTTTAGAAAGGTAATAAGGTAGTAAGCAGAAAAGTGTGAACACGACCACCTGATTGCTTTTCCTGCTTGAAGGCTGCTTACAAGTTTAGCCCTTGGCTAGTGTCTGCATACTTACAGGGTTTCCACCATTAACAGAATTGGGTAGAGTAGCTCAGTGTGCCTCAACTGTTTGTACAAACAATATGGTTTATGCTGAACACCGCTTTCCCTCTGGGAGTCTAGACTTTTGGTATGTGCCAAGCAAAGGCTGCTTATGTGACCTGCCCCTAATACAAACCCAGGAACTGAGCTCCTACCAAGCTTCCCTGGTTGGCAACATTTCACACACATAATCATCATGGTTGCCAGAGAATTAGTGAACCTGTGACTCTGCTGGGGACTCCTGGAAGCCTGCACCTGGCTTCTCTTGAACACCGCCCCATGTGTGCCTTAATTCCTTGCTAATTTTGCTGTATTAACTTATAGCCTTGTGGCCAGGTGCAGTGACTGACACCTGTAATCCCATCACTTTGGGAGGCCAAAGTGGTAAGATAGCTTGAGGGTAGAAGTTCGAGACCAGCCTGGGCAACACAGCAAGACCCCCATTTCTACAAAAAAATAAATAACTTAGCCAGGCATGGTGGCGTGCACCTGTAGTCCCCAGCTAGATGAGATGACAAAGTGGGAAGACTGCTTGAGGCCAAGAATTCAAGGCTGCAGTGAGCTATGATCGCACCACTGCACTCCAGCCTGGGCAACAGAGCAAGACTCTGTCCCTTAAAAAAACAAAAAAAACAATAACAAGAACAAAAAAAAAAGACAGCCCCCACAACAAAGAACTGTCTGGCCCCAAGTGTCAACAGTGCTGAGCTCAAGCAACTACCATCTAAAACAAAACGTGATGTTAGACAATTTTCTTAACGGTTCATAAACCAATCCTGAAGGCAGTTCTAGAACAAATGTTCCAAAAATATTTTTCCCATAGTAGCACTTTTACAAAAGTGGACTCCCCAAGACACCTGCTTGAAAAGACACTTTATTTAGATTTTTTTTTTCTTCTAGAGACAGGGTCTTGCCTTGTCACCCAGGTAGGAGTGCAGTGGTGTGATCCTAGCTTACTGCAGCCTCTGCACTCCTAGGCTCAAGCAATCCTCCTGCCTCAGCCTCCACGGTAGCTGGGACCACAGGTAGGCACCACCATGCCCAGCTAATTTTTTTTTTTTTTTTTTTTTTTTGTAGAGACAGGGTCTCACTATGTTGCCCAGGCTGGTCTCAAACTCCTGGCTTCAAGCAATCCTTCCACCTCAGCCTCCCAAAGTGCAGGGATTACAGGCGCATGCCACCTATATCTGTACCCAGCCTATTAGACAATTAAATTCTGGTGTTTTTTCTGAGTTTTATTATTAGAAACACTTTACTCACCTTCTGCTCTACAAATGTACAAAAAAAAACCAAACTACAGCCAAATAAACCAGTAATTTTTTCTTCTTCCTTTTTCTTTTTTTTGAGACAGAGTCTCGCTCTGTTGCCCAAGCTGGTATGCAGTGGTACAAACTCAGCTCAATACAACCTCCGCCTCCCGGATTCAGGCCATTCTCCTGCCTCAGCCACCCAAGTAGTTGAGATTATAGGCATACACCACCATGCCTGACTAATGTTTATATTTTTAGTAGAGACGGGGTTTTGCCATGTTGGCCAGGCTGCTCTCCTGGCCTCAGATGATCCACCCGCCTTGGCCTCCCAAAGTGTTCAGATCACAAGCATGAGCCATTTCGTCCAGCCCTTCTCTTTCAATAACAGATAATAATTTGAGCTGTGCCCATTATGCATCAGGCCCTGCTGGGGTTGTACCCACAGAAGACACAAAAGTCAGCTGCTATATGTCTGCAAGTAGCTAACATGTTACCCTTCAAAGAGGAGGCAGTACACTGAGCATGCAAAAAAAACAAAACAAAACTATTTCAGGGAGTGGGCTGGGCACGGTGGCTCACGCCTGTAATTCCAACACTTTGGGAGACCACAGAGGGTAGATCACCTGAGGCCAGGAGTTCAAGATCAGCCTAGCCAACATGATCAAACACTGTCTCTACTAAAAATACAAAAAAAAAAGAAAATTTAATGGGCGTGGTGGTGTAAGCCTGTAGTCCCAGCTACTCGGGAGACTGAGGTAGGAGAATTGCTTGAAGCTGGGAGGCAGAGGTTGCAGCGAGCCAAGATGGCACACCACACTCCAGCCTGGGCAACAGAGCGCGACTCCATGTCAAAACAAAAACAAAACAAAAAAAACTATTTCAGAAAGTATTATTAGATGAGTTCCTATACTAAAGTTATTGGGACTCAAAATTCAAAAGAAGAAGTCCATCTAATTGAGAAGGGAGGGTAAATCAATGGAAGTAGTGTTTGTTACAGCCTTGGGGGATGAGCAGGCTTTCATCAATTAGGAAGAAGGAAGGAAAGGTACGTGGCAAAGATCCAGAGGTAGCAAAGCACAAGGCATGTGTTGTGCTATGAGCCTCTTTGCTTATCATTTTATTTTGGGAACTCTCCCTCTCCACATGGAAGGGCTGTCAATCACATCTCTTCTGCCATGGGAGAGGACATGTGACCCAGGCTGGCCAATGAGAGAACTCTGCCTCCTGGGCCACAGTGATTGGTTCACGGGTGTGAATAGGACCAAGCCAGGCTAATCAGAGTGCTCTCTGAGACTGACTCTGGCTGTGCAGAGAAATGCTGCCTTGTCTTTTCTCTGGCACCTTTATCTATCAGGATGTTATCAGCCCAAAGCTACGGAGCCATGTAGGGAAGTACCACTGAGAATGATGTTAACTCAGAGGACAACAGGGCAGTGGGTGAAACTGAGTACTGACAACATTGCTTGATCTCCTGGATCAATCCACACCTGAAGCTAGTCCCCAGATTTCTGAGATACATGCAGCCCCAAAGTTCCCTCTATTTACTTAGGCTACTTTTTTTTTTTTTTGGAATTGGAGTTTCACTCTTGTTGCCCAGGCTGGAGTGCAATGGCCCAATCTCGGCTCACCGCAACCTCCGCCTTCCAGGTTCAAGCAATTCTCCTGTCTCAGCCTCCCAGGTAGCTGGCATTACAGGCATACACCACCACGCCCAGCTCATTTTGTATTTTTAGTAGAGACGGGGTTTCTCCACGTTGAGGCTGGTCTCGAACTCCTGATCTCAGGTGATCTGCCCGCCTCGGCCTCCCAAAGTGCTGGGATTACAGGCGTGAGCCTCTGCAACCGGCCACTTAGGCTACTTTAAGACAGATTTATATCCCTTGCAATTGAGAGAATTTTGACCACCATAATTAGGGACTAATGAATAAGTGAGTCTGGTTAGCGTTTGGGAGGATTCAAGGGGAGAAATATGATGTGTCGTCCATTGTAGGGTAGTTAATTACTGACACTGTCAAGGAAAAGAGAAAATGAAAACGCCATGCCACCAAGGAGAACATCAACCTGACAATTCAGGAAAGGAACAAAATACTGAGGAATTGGTTAACAGGCTGGAAAATAAAATATGAACCACAGCCGGAACTGCCAGGGAGCTCTACATGCCATTACCATCAACACCCACTCCCTCGGCCCACTGCCCACACGTAGAAGTCCCTCCCTGCATGCAAAGGGAAACGGCGTTAAACACACACCAGCCACAGGAGGTAGAGAGCAAGGATGACTTGCAGGGGGGCTGACCAGATCATGTTAATGTACGTGGCCAAGTCCATGAACCTCTGAGCGTCCACAGACATGAGGTTGACAATCTCCCCGACCGTGGAGGATTTTCTGGCTGAATTGGTGATCACCAGGGCCTGTGGGACAAAGGAGAGGGAAGGTGGGTGAGTGTGGCAGCTGAAGAGGCCTGACTCTCCCTCCAGACCCACGGAGAGGAAGGAGACTCTCAGGGGCAGAAATGCCGCAGATCTCTCCTCCTCCCCTCCCGACCTATCTGTCTGCCCAGGACGCCTGTGTCATCTCAAAGCCCACATTCTTATCCGCGGTGCTCAGTGCCTCCCAACCTTGAACTCATCAGTTGGCAAGGGACCCTAGGTGTCCTCGAAACCAGGGCTTCGCATGCTTTAATGTGCACACATGCGGCCGGGTTTTTCTGGGGGGAGTGGTGGGGGGTGGGGGGAGTTGTTTTGGATTCTGCAAGTCTGGGGTGTGGCCTGGGATTCTGCATTTCTACGCTTCCAGGCTGTGTCAGTGCTACTGGTCCCAGATCCCACTGAAGGACTGAGGGTGTGGGCCAGGGTCTCTAATCCTTGGCATTCTTGACATCTGGAGCCAGATAATTCTTTGGGGGGCTGTCCTGCGCACTGTAGGAGTTTTAGCAGCAATACCTGGCCTCGACCCACTACATGCCCTCGCCCCCAGTTGGGACAACCGAAAATGCCCCCAGATATTGCCAAACGTGCCCTGGTGGGGGAAAATGTCCCTAGCCCTCAAACATGATTGCACACTATCACCTCGTGAGTTTTAAAAACACTAAGACATTAGCAGGCGTGGTGATGCATGCCTCTGGGCCCAGCTACGTGGTGGGCTGAGGTGGCAGGATCGTTTGAGCCCAGGAGGTGGAGGCTGCAGTGAGCCAAGATCATGCCACTGCACTCTAGCCTGGGTGACAGAGCGAGACCCTGTCTCAAAACATAAAAATAAATAAAAAACAAAAACAATGACACCTGGGTGCCACCACAGCAATCGCAATTTCACTGGTCTGGTGCAACCTAGGTGTCAGGAAGTTTTTTTGTTTTTTCAGACAGGGTCTCATTCTGTCACACAGGCCGGAATGCAGGGATGCTATCAGGACTCACTGCAGCCTCCAACTCCGGGGCTGAAGTGATTCTTTTAACTCAATCTCCTGAGTAGACGGGACTACAGGTACGCACCACCATACCTGGCTAATTTTTTTAAATTTTCTGCAGAGCCAGGGTCTTGCTATATTGACCAGGCTGGTATTGAACTTCCAAGCCTCCAGTGATTCCCCCACCTTGGTCTCCCAAGCTGCTGGGATTACAGGCATGAGCTACAGTGCCTGGCCTGCATCAGTTTAAGCTCCCCAGGTGAGTCTAATTCACAGACAGGCCTGAGAATCACTCCTCTAGTTCATCAAGTACCTGCAAGACTGTCTCTTCCTAACCTAGGAGCCAAGCAGTTTCCTTGACCTCGAGACAAAAAAAAAAAAAAATTTATAGGGATCAAGAAGGTAATTTAGGTCCTTTGAAATTGGATGTACACAAATGCCTGCTACATACTCTTACCATGCAAGGAATGTGCCACCTGCTCAGTTCAAATTAAGAGTGACAACAGGCTGGGCGCGGTGGCTCATGCCTGTAATCCCAGCACTTTGGGAGGCTGAGGCAGGCGGATCACCTGAGGTCAGCAGTTCAAGATCAGCCTGGCCAACATGGCGAAACCCTGTCTCTACTAAAAATACAAAAATTAGCCGGTCGTGGTGGCAGGCGCCTGTAGTCCCCGCTACTCAGGAGGCTGAGGCAGAAGAATCGCTTGAACTCAGGAGGCAGAAGTTGCAGTGAGCCAATATCATGCCACTGCACTCCAGTCTGGGGGAGAGAGTGAGACCTGGTCTCAAAAAAACGAAAAAAAAAGAGTGACAACAAGCTGAAACACAGAATGTTAACAGCAGAATGAGGATCCAAACTTGGATTTCCCCACAACAAGGGCCACTGATCCATCTAAGAAACTCAATTACTCACAGCTGATACACAAAGACATCTACACGCCCACCCTTGAAATCAGCTTTCCTAACGTACAATGCCTGATGCGTGCTGTCCCTGCCACCTAAGGTCACGGAAGCTACCCTCATCCTACTGCTCCAGAAGCTGGGCTGGAAATCCCCACGCTGGCCCCAGAGTAACCCAGGGCTGCAGGAGGGGATGTGGAAGTCGGGCCACATGCCAATGGCACAGCGTCCCCTACCTTCCGATAGACAGCCCCAATGACAGCGGTCTTGATCCTCATGCCACTGACGAAGCAGATGTGGAAGTACTGGTGCAGCACGAGGGTCTGCAGGCAGGCAGTGACAAACAGCAGCACGGTGTAGAAGTAGCCCTGCCAGTCTGGGGCCTTCGTGTCATTCACGAACTTGATGAGCAACCTGCAAAGGAGCAAAGAGAGGGCCTGGAATGACTTGTGACACGTGGGGGCAGGGAAGAGAGCTTCAGTGTTGGCACTGCAACTTTCTCCTGAGCCAGATGAGCTAGACACTATCACTTCAATTTCATAGATGGAAAAACAAGTCCACAGTGGTGATCTGGCTGTGCAGGTGACCCAAACTGCTCATAAAAGAGGCCTCTGCCTTGGGGTTGTGCACTAATTGCTCTAGCTATATCTCATCACCAGCAAGTCACCCAAAGGAATTGCATAGGGAACACGAGGTAAAGAGGTAGGGAGGAAAAGAGAAGGGATGTGTAGCCCCTGAGTCACAGAGCAGCAGAGAGCCAGGTAGGAGAGAGGCAACTTCCTTTCTGACTCCCCAGTTCCTGGTTGCAGTTTTTTGTTGTTGTTTTTATTCTTTTTTTTTTTTTTTTTTTTTTTGAGACAAAGTCTTGCTCTGTCGCCAAGGTTTGAGTTCAGTGATGCAATCAGCTTGCTGTAACCTCTGCCTCCTGGGTTCAAGCAATTTTTATGCCTCAGCCTCCTGAGTAGCTGGGATTACAGGCGTGCACCACCACGCCCGGCTAATTTTTGTATTTTTAGCAGATGGTTTTACCATGCTGGCCAGGCTGGTCTTGACCTCCTGACCTCAGGTGATCTTCCCACCTCAGCCTCTCAAAGTGCTGGGATTATAGGCATGAGCCACTGCGCCCAACCCTGGTTGCAGTTTTTTCATGAGATCTGCTGGCATTTCCTTGCTCTTGGTTTCCCAAGACAATGCCATATCCTCCCCATTTGGGTTTTAGGGGAGCCTAGTGGGTTTCTGTTACTTGCAAACGATGTGGTCTTCACTAATATGGTAATTAAGTAAAGCATAAAGTAAAGCTAGGCAGTGACCATGGCTCACATCTGCAATCCCAGCACTTTGGGAGGCCGAGGCAGGAGGATCGCTTGAAGTCAGGAGCTCGAGACCAGCCTGACCAACAAAGCAAGACCCTGTCTCTATTTTTTTCAAAAAAGCTAAAGTAAAAATGGAGACATCTGGCTATGAGCCCACTTCAGGACACAGCATGACCCCAGGGTTATGACTGATGCAACTGAAAGATCAAAGCCAAGGAGGGAAAATGGAGCCCACCTGGGAGGGAAGGGGTCTTACTTTAAGATCTGCGGCCCGGAAAACATCATCAGGTCGTGGATGGCCTTGAAGAAGAAGCTCATGAGGAAGTAGGGCCCAAAGGTCTTGTATAACACCTTAAACAGAGAGGGGTTCCACTCCTTCTGTGGGGACTTGACGATCAAAGCCTCCACCTCCTCATTCGCATCCACCTTGGAACTCTCTTTCGGCTGGGCAGGATCCTTGGAGGAGTACACAACCTTCACCGGCTGCCTGGAACACAAGGAGGTGAAGCCGTTGTGGGGTCTGCCAGAGATGCAGCCCCCTACCACAGGGACATGGCCAGGGAATGTCACCCTTCAGGGAAGGCAGAGTCAAAGACAACAAGCCCAGGGAAAGAGGCAGCTCAGCACAGTGGTTACAAACACGGGCTCCAGAGCCACGGGCTCCAGAGCCACCGGCTCAAGGTCTGGCTTGGCCACTGGCCAGCTGCGTGACTTCAGACAAGGTCCTTAAGCTCTCTGGGCCTCAGTTTCCTCCTCTGTGAAATGAGGATAAAAGTAGGACCTACCTCCAAGGTAGGTAAGATTAAACGAGTTGAATAAGTTAAAGACTTAGAAAACTGATGGCTCCAAACTGATCTAGAGTCAAGGCAATCCCCATCAAAAGCCCAGCTGGCTGCCAGGTAGAAATTATGAGCTAACTTTAAAATTCACATGGAAACTCAAGGATCCAGAACAGTCAAAACAATCATGAAAAATAAGAATCAAGTTGGAGGATTCACACTTCCTGATTTCAAAACAATACAAAATAACAATCATGGCCAGGAGTGGTGGTTCACACCTGTAATCCCAGCACTTTGGGAGGCCAAGGTGGCTGGATCACTTGGGGTCAGGAGTTTGAGACCAGCCTGACCAACATAGTGAAACCCCATCTCTACTAAAAATACAAAAATTAGCCGGGCATGATGGCAGGTGCCTGTAATCCCAGCTACTTGGGAGGCTGAGGCAGGAGAATTACTTGAACCTGGGAGGTGGAGGTTGCTGTGAGTGGAGATCAGGCCATTGCACTCCAGCCTGGGTGACAGAGCAAAACTCCATCTCAAAAAGAAAGAACAACAATAGGCTGGGCGCAGTGGCTCACGCCTGTAATCCCAGCACTATGGGAGGCCGAGGTGGGCAGATCACCTGAGGTCGGCAGGTTCAAGACCAGCCTGACCAAACATGGAGAAACCTCATCTCTACTAAAAATACAAAATCAGCCCGGCATGGTGGCACATACCTATAATCCCAGCTACTTGGGAGGCTGAGGCAGGAGAATCGCTTAAACCCAGGAGGCGGAGGTTGTGGTGAGCTGAGACCACACCATTGCACTCCAGCCTGGGCAAAAAGACTCAGTCTCAAAAAGAAAAAAACAAAACAAAAAAAAGAACAACAATCATCAA
This sequence comes from Homo sapiens, assembly GCF_000001405.40. Classification (NCBI taxonomy): domain Eukaryota; kingdom Metazoa; phylum Chordata; class Mammalia; order Primates; family Hominidae; genus Homo; species Homo sapiens. The sequence continues at coordinate 16,043,278 of NC_000016.10, read as the reverse complement.
GACAGGTAAAGGGATAGGCATATATACATCAGTGGAAAAAAAAAAAAAAAAAAAAACAGTCCAGCCAGCCAGAGCAACACAGCAAGACCCTATTTCTAAAAAAAAATTTTTTTTTTGACTGGGTGCAGTGGTTCATGCCTGTAATGCCAGCACTTCGGGAGGTCGAGGCGGGTGGATCACTTGAGGTCAGGAGTTTGAGAACACCCTGACCAACATGGCAAAACCTTGTCTCTACTAAAAATATAAAAAATTAGCCAGGCATGGTGGCGGTTGCCTGTAATCCCAGCTACTTGGGAGGGTGAGAAAGGAGAATCGCTTGAACTCAGGAGGAGGAGGGGGTTGCAATGAGCCGAGGTTGTGCCACTGCACTCCAGCCTCAGCGCCACAGCAAGACTCTGTCTTAAAAAGCAAATAAATAAAATTGACTGTGATGATGACTGCACAACTCTGTGAACACACTAAAAATCAGTGAATTGTATGTTCTGCATACATGAATTGTGCGGTGTATGAATATCTCAATAAAGCTGTCACCAAAAAAGTAGTCTTTATCTTATAGGGATTTTTTTTTTTTTTTTTGAGATGGAGTCTTGCTCTATCACACAGGCTGGAGTGCAATGGTGCGATCCTGACTCCCTGCAACCTCCGCCTCCTGCGTTCAAGCGATTCTCCTGCCTCAGCCTCCCGAGTAGCTGGGATTACAGGTGTGCGCTACCACACCCAGCTAATTTTTATGTTTTTAGTAGAGACAGGGTTTCACCATGTTAGCCAAGCTGGTCTTGAACTCCTGACCTCAAGTGATCTGCCTGCCTTGGGCCCCCAAAGTGCTGAGATTATGGGCATGAGCCACTGTGCCCGGCCAATAGTTCGTTCTTGTACATCACTTAGTATTCAGTTGTGCAGATGTACATAACTGGTGCATCTGTCTGTTCACTTGCTAATAGATGTCTGGCTTACCTCCAGTTTGGGTTATCACAAAGTAGCTAAGAACATTCCTGTACCAGCCTTTTATGAACATATGTTCTCAGCTCTGTTGGCTGGATGCCTGGGAAGGGGGTGACTGGTGGTATGTTCACTGTGTCTAACTTAAAAAAAAAAAAAAAAAAAACTGCCAAACTCTTCCAGAGTCACAGAAGCATTTCACATTCATGCCAGCAGAAACCACAGTCCAAAATGGCCCTAAGCTCTGAGTGGCCATACACAAAAGAGAACATAAAACCACTACACACAAACCAATGAAGCACTGGGTTTTTAAATCCAAACAATTCAAGCAATTCTCATGCTTCAGCCCCCCTGTAGCTGGATTACAGGTGAGCGCCACCACACCCGGCTAATTTTTGTATTTTTAGCAGAGACAGGGATTCACCATGTTGGCCAGGCTGGTCTCGAACTCATGAACTCAGGTGAGCCTCCCGCCTCAGCCTCCCAACGTACTGCAATTACAGGCATGAGCCACCATGCCCAGCCACACCTGACTTTTGAGAAGGAGTCACTCATGGGTGAAGAGAGGTGGTAAAAGGATCCAGGAAGCCATGCAGAGCCCCCAGCCCTGGCGTCCATCACCTGATCCCCGAGCCTAGGATACCCAGCAGCCCAGAGCTGCACGAGCTGCATTCCTTTCTCTGGTTAACAAAAGGGATCTGAGTGTAAGGGGCCACACCAGGAAATTCCAGCCTAGGACAGGGTTTTCCTTCTCACTCTCTCCAGGTTCACAGGGGTTACAGGTGCCAGATCTGGCTTATGCCTCTGGGAATAAAGCAAGCGATCCGTCTACCAATGTCCCAAGTAAATGATCCCCTGGCTCCACGCTGAGGATCTCTAAACACCAAGGTACTCACAGAGCCAGACCCTTCTCAGGTGGCCCGCTTTCAAGCCCCAAGACCCAGTTCTCACCACATCCTCCCTGGCAAGATCAAAGTGTACAGATGAATAAATAAAACTTGTACAATTAAAACCTGCCCAGCATGTACTCAGGGCTAGGGCACAGCTTATCATATCATATATCTCACTGAATTCTCAGAAAATGCTCTGGGTGAAAAATGGAGGCTCCAGTCAGGCACAGTGGCTCACGCCTGTAATACCAGCACTTTGGGAGACCAAGGTAGGTGGACTGCTTGAGCTCAGGAGCTTGAGAACAGCCTGGGCAACATGGCGAGATATCATCTCTACAAAAAAAAAAAAAAAAAATTAGCCAGGTGTGGTGGCACGTGCCTGTAGTCCCAGCTACTAGGGAAGCTGAGGTGGGAGGATCACTCCAGCCTAGGAGATGGAGGTTGCAGTGAGCCGAGATCGTGCCACTGCACTCCAGCCTGGACAAAAGAGTGACACCCTGTCTCAAAAAATAAATAAATAAATACAATGGCGGCTCCCGGTGAGGCATGAAGGGACTTCATGGACAGCCCTTGAGGTTCCCACCCTGGTCTCCCTGCCTTCACTCTTGTCCCTAAATATCCACCTTCCCCAGGACAGCCTGGGTTGTTATGAACCAGAACTCAGCTGGGTGTGGTGGCTCACACCTGTAATCCCAGCTATTTGGGAGGCTGAGGCAGGAGGACTGCTTGAAGCCAAGACTTGGAGACCAGCCTGGGCAACACAGTGAGACCTGTCTCTATACATATGTAACTAACCTGCACATTGTGCACATGTACCCTAAAACTTAAAGTATAATAATAATAAAATAAAATAAATTTAAAAAGGCCAGGCGCAGTGGCTCACACCTGTAATCCCAGCACTTTGGGAGGCCGAGGCAGGCAGATCACCTGATGTCAGGAGTTTGACACTAGACTGACCAACATGGAGAAACCCCATCTCTACTAAAAATACACAATTAGCCGGGCATGGTGGTACATTCCTGTAATCCCAGCTACTCCGGAGGCTGAGGCAGGAAAATCGCTTGAACCCGGGGGGTGGAGGTTGCAGTGAGCCAAGACAGCACCACTGCACTCCAGCCTAAGCAACAAGAGCAAAATTCCATCTCAAAAAAACAAATATAAAATATAAAATTAATTAATTAATTCATCAGCCAGGCATGGTGGTGTGCACCTGTAATCCCAGCTACTCTGGGAGGATGAGGTGGGAGGACTGCTTGAGCCCGGAATTTCCAGGCTGCAATGAGCTGTTATCATGCCACTGCCATCCAGCCTGAGCAACAGAGCAAGACCCTGTCTCTAAAATACATACATACATACATACATACATACATACATACATACATACAAACAAACAAACAAACAACAGAACTCACGTCACACCACTGCCCTGCAGAAAACCTGCGCCTGTGTTCTCACTGCACCTGGAATCCCACCTTAACTCTCAGAGGAGACCCCTGCAAATCCTTCTCCTGCTTCATCTCCTCCCTTTCTCCCCCTCACTCACTTTCCTCAAGCCACACAAGCCCCCTGATGCACCACGAGTGTCCTCAGAGCCTTTGCACTGGCTGCTCCCTCTACCTGGAAAGCCCTTCCTTCCCCAGATACACACAAGGCTCACTCCCTCCAATGCAAGTCTCTGCTCAAATGTGACCTTCTCAAAACAATCATACATGGTCAGCTGGGCATGTTGAACAAAAACACTTCAAAAAGCAGTAACACTCAGGATGCCAGAGGCTCGAAAACAGCCAGAGATAGACTTAGGGAGGGACAGGCACATGCTCACCAAGGGTCATGGCCACACTGGGTAGAACCTTTGACCACTGTATCTAAAACACCTCTCTCAGCCGGACACAGTAGCTCATGCCTGTAATCCCAGCACTTTGGGAGGCCAAGGCAGGAGGATCACTTGAGATTAGAAGTTTAAGACCAGCCTGGCCAACATGGTGAAACCCCGTCTCTACTAAAAATACAAAAAATTAGTCAGGCGTGGTGGCATGCACCTGTAATCCCAGCACTTTGGGAGACCGGGGCAGAAGAATTGCTTGAACCCGAGAGGCAGAGGTTGCAGTGAGCCGAGATCACACTACTGTATTCCACCCTGGGTAACAGAATGAGACTCCATCTCAAAAAAAAAAAAAAAAAAAGAAAACACACACACACACACACACACATACATACACACACACACACACACACACACAAAAGCTTCCTCGGTTACTCTCACCCTCATTTCCTCATTTTTATCTCACCCCAACACCATCATTCTCCAAAGCTTCTTGTCAATGCATGTTTCACAACCAACGTCCTGTCTCCCATATAGAATGTCGATGGCACCCAACTAGAGTGTGTCTCTTTTGTTCCACTCTCTGAACCCTCAGGGACTAAACGTCGCTAAGCACAAAAGCAGCAGTCAGTTTCATCTGCTCAGTGGATTAAGAGCCAGGCCAGTGGAGGAGCTTCTGGATTCAAACTCTGTCCTCCTCCCAAGGCTGTGATATTGGCCTCTCCCATGGTGTCTCCAGCAACCTGCTCTCCTGACAAGCTCCAGGGGACACAAAGGTGGGCATCCGTCTTCCATGAGAGGAAGCCGAGCCAGGTGATCAGCAGAGGCGTGGATGATGAGGAATGCTGAAGCCCACACTACAAATGTGGCCTGCTTAGCGGGGGGGATGCTGCAGGTGAGGCTGAAGGAATCCAGATGAGATGGGTGATGTTAGGGGTCAAGTTGACTGGGTTAAGGGATACCCAGATTGCTGTTAAAGTGTTATTTCTGGGTGTGTCTGTGAGGATGTTTCCAGACGAGACTGGCATTTGAATGAGTGGACTGACTAAGGAAGATCCATCCTCGCCCCATGTGGGTGGCACCGCCCAATCAGCAGAGGGTCCGGACACAACAAAAAGTCAGAGTAATGGCAAATGCAGGCACTCTCTCTTCTGCAGCCAGGATGTCATCCTCTCCCACCCTTGAACATCAGAACTCCAGGATTTCTGGCCTCTGGGACTTACCCAATGACTCCAGGTTCTCAGGCCTTTGACTATGGACTGAGAATTCCACCATCAGCTTCCCTGGGTCTGAGACTTTTGGACTAGGCCTGAGCCATGCTACCAGCTTCCTGGGTTCTCCAGGTTGCAGATGACCTAGGGTGGGACTTCTCAGCCTCCATAATCACATGATCCAGTTTCCCTAGTAGATCCCCTCTCATCCTCCATCCATCCATCCATCCATCATCTATCAATCATCCATCTATCTATCATCTATCCATCTACCTACCATGTATACATCCACCAACTATCCGTCTATCATCTACCTATCATCTATCAATCTATCATCCATCTATCTATCATCTATCCATCCATCCATCCATCCTACTAGTTCTGTCTCCATGAAGAACTGTAATAAACAGGGACCCCACCTTTGCCTGCCAAAAACCTTCAACTGGGTCATGGACATGGGCCATTTCCTTACAATGCTCAGTCACAGAGGCCCAAGCTCTATCTGCCTCCCACGAGACAATTTCTCCCATCACCTGGACCACCCAAACAGCCTCCGACCGGAGTCACGAGGTCCTCTGCTGATGTCCTAGTGGCTGGCACATGGATGTCCAGATTCCCACCCACCATCTGGGTCTGACTGAAGGCCTGTATCCTGGGCATCCCCGGAATAGAATGAGGAACAGAACCCCGGTCTGGGGTTTTTCCCTGTAAGGCCAATGGGTCTGTGGGGAATCCAATGCACCACACTGGCCCCACCACAGTTTATCGTAGTAAACTTACCCCAGAACAGGCAACAGGAACAAAAACAGCCATTCTACTACCCCCATGGCCGCAATCCACTGCCCCCATGTCACCCACAATTTCATGTTCCAGTTCGTCCGGGCTCGAGACAAGTCTTATGTCCTTGTTTAATTGGCAGCTGCTTTTCTTTCTTACTGTTACATAGAATAATAACGCATCACGCAACTAATGGTGTCTCAGATTTGATGAGTTAAGGTATGTGCAGGGGAGGCACTGGCCTGATTCCCGAAGAGTGACAGAGGTGGTGCAGTGGGGCACGCCTTACATAGGGGGTAGAGCCTAAAATCCAGTACAGCCAAAATCACCCTCAAATGGGGCTTCTTTGGCTAAACAGACTTACGTGGTCAGCTGGGCATGTTGGACAGAACATTCAAACAGCAAGAACATGCAGGATGCCAGATGCTCAGAAAGAGACAGAAAAAAGTGAGACTGACTCAAGGAGGGATAGTCACGCGCCATGGCAGACAGCATCAACTGCCTGTTTGGACAACATTTTTCTTCTTTTTTTTTTTTTGAGACGGAGTCTCACTCTGTCTCCCAGGCTAGTATGCAGTGGCACAATCTCAGCTCACTGCAACCTCCGCCTCCTGGGTTCAAGTGATTCTCCTGTCAGCCTCCTGAGTAGCTATGATTACAGGCGCCTGCCACCATGCCTAGCTAATTTTTGTATTTTTAGTAGAGACAGGGTTTCACCATGTTGGCCAGGCTGGTCTCAAACTCCCGACCAAGTGATCCGCCTGCCTTGGCCTCCCAAAGTGCTGGGATTAGACACGAGAGCCACCGCACCCAGCTTCTTTCTTCTTTTCTCTGCCCAGTTGCTTTAATGACATGTGAGATCCTACCCCATTTGGCAGAAAAGCAAACTGAGGCCAGGAGGAGAAGTGAGGCATCTTGCCCAGAACCACAAAGCTAGTAACAGGCAGCACTGCCAGGGCCCCATCCTGGATTGAGGCCACAGGAGTGGAAAGGAGGTGACCAGGGCATCCTGGAGGACAAGGAAACTCACACTTACTTCCTAGTCTTGGCGCATTCCTTCTTCCAGTTCTTTACCAAAACAGGCACGACTTGTTCCGACGTGTCCTCCTTGTTTAAGGACCAGAGGTCACTGCCCTCCAGGGGCTGGCGGTAGCCCCGGACAATCAACCTGGGGCCAAGACACAAGGGGGTTAGGCAATGAGAGTCAATGACAGGAGGAGGGGGAGGACGGGGCTCACTCACTCCACACGCCTGCTGATGCTGCTCCCCTCTGCAGCACAGCTGCCCGCTGCAAATGAAGGCAGCCATGCAGCTTGGGAAGTCAGAATGCAGATGGACATTTGCATATATTACAAGCTAATTACAGCTCATTCTGTTGGGTCATGCAGGAAAAATGGCTTTTTTTTTTTTTAGTGGTGCATACAAAAGACTTAGGGAAAAAAAGATGATTTAGGAGCGAAGTATCAGGATAGCTCTTTTTTATTTTTTATTATTCGTTCATTCATTTATTTACTTGGAGAGAGGGTCTCGCTGTGTCACCCAGGATGGAGTACAGTGGTGCGATCGCAGCTCCCTGCAGCCTCCAGCTCCCGGTCTAGAGTGGTTCTCCCATCTCAACCTCCCGAGTAGCTGGGACTTTGGGTGTAAGCCATTATGACTGGCTAATTTTTTTTTTATTTTTTATTTTTGTAGAGACAAGAGTCTCCCTATGTTGCCCAAGCTGGTCTTGAACCCCCGGGCTCAAGCAACCCTCCCACCTTGGCCTCCCGAAGTCTTGGAATTATAGGCATAAGCCACCGTGCCCCGCCAACTTTTTAAAATTTTAAATTAAAAAAGGCTGATATGGGCCAGGCACGGTAGCTCATGTCTATAATCCTAGCGCTCTGGGAGGCCGAGGTGGGAGGATTTTGTGAGCCCTGGAGTTCAAGACCAGCCTGGACAACATAGGGAGACTATCTCTACGAAAAGTAAAAATAAAAAAATTAGCCAGTCATGATGGCTCGCACCTGTAGTCCCAGCTACTCGGGAGGCTGAGGTGGCAGGATTGCTCAAGGCCAGGAGGTGGAGGCTGCAAAGAGCCGTCATTGTGTCACTGCACTCCAGCCTGGGCAACAGAGTCAGACCCTATAAAAAGAAAAAAAAAAAAATAGGCTGAAGGAAAAAATTAAAAAATAAAAAGGCTGACATGACAAAGCATTAGTAAGCATGAAATCTGGGTGATGAGATTATTGAGTTTTATTATATTAATCTTTCTATGTCACTCCATCCAGGCTGGAGTGTAATGGCGCCATCTCAGTGCACTGCAACCTCTGCCTCCTGTATTCTAGCAATTCTCCTGCCTCACCCTCCCAAGTAGCTGGGATTACAGGCGTGTGCTGCCCGGCTAATTTTTGTATTGTTAGTGGAGACAGGGTTTCACCATGTAGGCCAGGCTGGTCTCGAACTCCTGACCTCAGGTGATCCACCCACCTTGGCCTCTGAAAGTGCTAACATTACAGGCATGAGCCACCGTGCCCAGCAGACTAAACACTTTTATAATAAAAGGTAAAATACTTTCATGTTTTGTTCTAAAATAATTTCAAACTTATAGAAAAATTACTCAAATCATACTAAGAATTCACTCAACTCACCATTGTTAACACGTTGCCACGTTTGCAGTATCATTCTCTGTCTGTATCCATTGACATGCACACACAAACACACACACACATGCAAACACATCATCTTTTTCTGAACCACTTAAACAGTTAAAGGGCTGGCATGGTGGCTCACACCTGTAATCTCAGCACCTTGGGAGGCTGACGTGGGTGGATCACCTGAAGTCAGGAGTTTGAGACCAGCCTGGACAACACAGTGAAACTCCATCTCTACTAAAAATACAAAAATTAGCTGGATGTGGTGGCAGGTCCCTGTAATCCCAGCTACTCAGGAGGCTGAGACAGGAGAATCTCTTGAACCCAGGAAGCAGAGGTTGCAGAGAGCTGAGGTCCTGCCACTGCACTGCACCCTGGATGACAGAGCAAGACTCCATCTCAAAAAAAAAAAAAAAAAAAAAAAAAGTTAACATACAGCCTCTACATGCCTTTACCCAAGAAAAACTGGAGGTATTCTCTTCCAATCCAGGACATGCTCTTATGTAACTAGAGCACAATTTTCCAAAACAAGAATGAATGTTATTAGCATGCATCCGGGGTCCTGTAGTCATGAACAAATTACATCAACTGTCCCAGTGATGCTTTTTAATAGTAACTTGAAGAAATTATTTAAAACATCTAATTTTTTAAAACGATGTTTGTCATTAAGACAAGGATGAGACCGGGCATGGTGGTTCACGCCTGTAATCCCAGCACTCTGGAGGCTGAGGCGGGAGAATCACTTGAGCTCAGAAGCTGGAGACCAGCCTGGGCAACATGATGAAACCCCATCTCTACAGAAAGTACAAAAATCTGCTGGGCATGGGGGAGTGTGCCTGTAGCCCCAGCTACTCAGGAGGCTGAGGCAGGAGCATCACCTAAGCCCAGTAGATTGGGACTGCAGTGAGCTACAAGTGTGCCGCTGCACTCCAGCCTCAGCGACAGAGCGAAAGCCTGTCTCAAAAAAAAAAAAAAAAAAAAAAGATGATGCTTATTAGGGGCAAAAAAAGATTCTTCAAACAATCCCCACTAAGATGTTAACAACGGGCAGAAAAAGATATACAAAAAGAGGACCAGAAGGTAGCTGGGCATGGTGGCTCACACCTGTAATCCCAGCACTTTGGGAAGTCGATGCGGGTGGATCACCTGAGGTCAGGAGTTTCAAGACAAGCCTGGCCAACATGGCAAAACTCTGTCTCTACTAAAAATACAAAAAGTAGCCGGGCATGGTGGCGCAAGCCTGTAATCCCAGCTACCTGGGAGGCTGAGGCAGGAGAATCGCTTGAACCTGGGAGGCGGAGACTTGTAGTGAGCTGAGACTGACAGAGTAAGACTCCGTCTCAAAAAAAAAAGAAAGACGACCAGAAGAAGGCATACTAAAATGGTGACACTGGTTACCTCTAGATGTCTCCTGCACTGCTGATCTGCACATGTGGTTTTTTAACCCACACTTCCTGTGGTGAGACAGTATTATTTTTCTAAGGCGTGGGGGACAGGAGGGGGACAATGTCAATAATAACTATACCTAATATTTTAAAAACCCAAATCTGAAGCTAAAGCAAAAGCAGTCCAGCATATGGCTGTCCCAGGCAAAGCCTTCTGCAGAGGTGTCAGCTGCTCACGGCTCACGTGTTTATCACATTCAAGTTCACGGAACTGCCGGACAGAGTTGGTGTCTCTGAGACCACATGGCCAGCACAGGCAGATTCAAGACAACTCTGCAGAAGAGCAAAGGAGGGAGAAGTTGGGGAGGGGGAGCTGAGCATGTTCATTCGTTCATTCATTCATTCATTCACTCCCCACCACCTCCCTGAGGTCTGGGGGGCCTGGCCTTACCCTGTGATCCACCAGAAGGTGATCCTCGACAGGAAGGAAGCGCTGGACTCTGGGCAGGGATTCTAGTGGAAAGAAAGCACAGGTTTGGGAGGAAGAGGGAAAGGAATGATTTGACTTTTCATCCAGGTCAGAGCTTAGCAAGTAGTCAGCTGCTCACTCTTCCTTCCAGAGGACTAGCGTCAGCTCCACACCATTCTGCACCCCAAAAGGACCCTCTCCTAATAGCCAGGAGAAAGAAATTCATGGCAGCTCTTCCAGTTTCAATCAACGGAGTGTCTACCATGTGCAACCACAATACAACATGCTATAGACCTGCCTTGTCTTCTATCCCCACAACAACCCTAGGAGTTGGTGTTAACGTCATCCCTACTTCACTCATTCATTCAACAAATATTTTCTGAGCACCTACTATGTGCTAGGCATTCTACAAGGTACTACAGGGTTGCCTTATATCCCCACGACAACCTCATGAGCGGGTATTACTATTGTCCCCACTTTACTCATTCAGTCACTGAATATTTATTGACCATCTACTATGTGCTAGACACTCTACCAAGAGCTTATATACTTGCATTATTTTATATCCTCATGGAATTCTATAAACATGGTATTACTATTATCTCCACTTCATTCATTCGTTCATCCAACAAGTATTTCCTGAGCACAACCCTTGTGCCAAGCACCCTGCATACAAATCTAAACAAACAGAAATGACCCCTGCCTGTATGGAGCTTGTGGTCTACTGCAGTAATCATCAGTAATACCTGCCAAGATTCTCTACTATTAGTAGCTAGCTCTTTTCTAAGTGCTTTACACAAACTACCTTATTTAATCTTCATCCTCACCTCACAAGATAAATAAAAGTATTATATCATCCCTGTTTTGCAGTTAAAAGAAACTGGGCCTGTAATCCCAGCACTTTCGGAGACCGAGGCAGGCAGATCATGAGGTCAAGAGATCGAGACCATCCTAGCCAACATGGTGAAACCCTGTCTCTCCTAAAAATACAAAAATTAGCTGGATGTGGTGGCAGGCGCCTGTAGTTCCAGCTACTTGGGAGGCTGAGGCAAGAGAATCGCTTGAACCCAGGAGGCGGAGGTTGCAGTGAGCCATGATCGAACGACTGCACTACAGCCTGGCAACAGAGCAAGAGTGTCTCAAAATAAAAATAAAATAAAATTTAATTTAACTTAAAAACTGGGGACCAGAGATGAAAAGATTTGTTCAAGGTCCCACAGCTAAAAGCGGTGGAGTGAGGATGTGAGCCCCAAAGAGTCAGGCTCCAGAGAGAGACATGCATCAAATGATCACATGAACAAATGCAAAACTACAACTTCTGGGCCTTGATGTGTGTCCTGAAGGGAGAGAAATATTACCAATGAGACAAAGTAAGTGCATGGGGGCTGATCTGGTGTACGAAGGTCAGAGAAGGCGCCCCCGAGGCAGACAGTCAAGCTGGCACCTGAAGGGTGAGTAGATGAGAACTAAGTAACAAGGAAAGGCAACGCATTCCCAACAGACAGCAGTGTGTGCAAAGGCCCGGTGGTAGAAGAAAGCATGGTAGACTCCAGGAACCAAGAAGGGGCCTGAGTAGTCTACACTGGAGGCTGTGCACAGTCTACACTGCAGGCCACATATTTTGGTCTTCATTCTAAGGGCAATGGGAAGTACTGAGAGATTCTAAGCAAGCTATCAAAGAACTCATTTCCCAGAGAAATGAAGATGAGCCCCAAGTCAACAACATGCAGGCAAGGAAAGGGACCGATACAGAGCTCCTGGGATGACAGACAAAGCCTGGCTTTCAACATGGATGCATCCGGGTCTAAATTCTGAAACACAAGCTTTAGCAGCAGAGGGAAGAGAGGTCACCAGGCAGTAATGAAAGCTTTAGCCAAGGACTCCACTCAAAGTTCCAGCCTTGTGCAGATATAAGGCATTTACAGAGCCCGATAAGGTGGCATACTCTCGTCCAGTGGTTTTCCATTCAAGGCTGGGCGTGCTTTTTAAAAAATACTGTATCCTGGCTGGGTGTGGTGGCTCATGCCTGTAATCCCAGTACTTTGGGAGGCCAAGGCGGGCAGATCACTTGTGGTCAGGAGTTCGAGACCAGCCTAGGCAACATGATGAAACCTCGTCTCTACCAAAAATACAAAAAATTAGCTGGATGTGGTGGTGGGTGCCTGCAAGCTCAGCTACTCGGGAGGCTGAGGCAGAATTGCTTGAATCCATGAGGCGGAGGTTGCAGTAAGCTGAGATCGTGCCACTACACTCCAGCCTAGGGACCCTGTCTCAAACAAAATAAAAATAAAATTTAAAAAAATACTGTATCCGGGCCCTACCCGCACCAGGCAATCTGATTAAGCTGGTTCTGGGTGCGACTGGGGCACTGAAGCTTTGTTTTTGTTTTAAACTTCCAGATTTTTCTTGGAAAAGTGGCTGGGCAGGAAATATGCAAGGTAAGCCAAGAACATCTTGTCACACCGGACAACAAGGAAACTAAGCATGAACAGGATTGTTAAAAGGCTCAAGAGCCAAGCAGAAGTGGCCGCTGCAGGCTAAAAGAGGGACAATTTGAGCTTTGACAAGGAGAATAAGTACAACAGGCTGAAACATACCAAGCAAGGTTTTTGTTTTGTTTTGTTTTTTGAGATGGAGTCTTGCTCTGTCGCCCAGGCTGGAGTCCAGTGGCGTGATCTTGGCTCACTGCAAACTCCGCCTCCTGGGTTCAAGTGATCCTCCCGCCTCGGCCTCCTAAGTAGCTGGGATTACAAGCATCAGCCACCACACTGGGCTAATGTTTGTATCTTTAGTAGAGATGGGGTTTCACCATGTTGGTGAACAGGCTGGTCTCGAACTCCTGACTCAAGTGATCTGCCCACCGTGGCTTCCCAAAGTGGTGGGATTACAGGCTTGAGCCACTGCGCCCAGCCTTACATGTTTATGTACACAAATTTCATATTGACGCTGGAAATAAAGAGAAACATCTGATGTTGTCAGTGAACCAGGTCATTGTTTGAACGCAGAAAAAGCGGAAAGAAACAAGTATTTTCTCCACCTTTCCCAAATGTACTCATTTGGTTCACCAGGGTTGGAGAAGGCTTCCCTGAGGAAAACAGTCATTTATTCGATCACCACAGAGTGATCAGTGATCAAAGAAATGAAGGGGAAACTCTTTTCCATAAAAAAATCCCAGCTAAAACATAAAGAATGATATCATAGAAGAATGAGCCATTGTACAAACACAATGGATTACTGGAATATTTGATAATAATGAATTATTATTAAAGTTAGTATTACAGTCACATATACATGTTTTTTGTCAAGACAAGGTCTACCTATATTGATCAGGCTGGTCTCAAACTCCTGGGCTTAAGTGATCCTCCTGCCTCAGCTTCCCAAAGTGCTGGAATTACAGGCATGAGCCATCACATGCAGCCCAACAGTTACAGTTTTTAAAATTCTTATCTTTCAGATGTTATCATTAGAGAAAGTTGAGCAATGAACAACAGGAACTCTGTTATTTTTGCAACTTTTTGTGAGCCAAACTATTGCGAAATAAAAAGTCATTTAAAATAAACAAATCCATGTCCTTCAGAGATACATATTAAAACGTTCACCTATGCAATGCATGGTAAAGAGCTCATGGCAGCTGGGCGCAGTGGCTCACACTTGTAACCCCAACACTTTGGGAGGCTGAGGCGGGAGAACTGCTTTGAGTTCAGGAGTTCGAGACCAGTCTGGGCAACATGGCAAGACCCTGTCTCTACAAAAAATATAAAAATTGGCCGGACATGGTGGCACGTGCCTGTAGTCCCAGCTACTCAAGAGGCTGAGGCACGAGAATGGCTTGAACCCGGGAGGCAGAGGTTGCAGCAAGCTGAGATTGTGCCATCGCACTCCAGCCTGGGTAATAGTGAGACCCTGTCTCAAAAATAAATAAAAAGAAAAGAAAAAGAGCTCATGGTAGTTCATTATCCTAGGCTGTCTACTTTATGTTTCCATCATAAAAGGCTAAATAAAAAGCTCCTCCAGTGATTCAAATACACAGCCAGGGCTAAGGATCAGGCTCCGCTCTGGGGCTCGGAGGGGTGATGAAGTTCCCAGCCCTGCCTGTCCACTGGAATCACCTAAGGAGTTTGTTAAGTGCCAAGTGCCTAGGGCCCCAACCCAGACCAACTAAATCAGCACCTCCAGGGGGAGGACCCTGACAGCCACAGATCTTTAATAAGATCATCAGATGCAGCCGGTGCAT